>NC_000002.12:221239618-221864618 GCF_000001405.40 Homo sapiens | reverse complement strand
TAACCAAAGTTTAAAAATCCAGTAGAGGGTTTCAATAGCAGATTTGAGCAGGCAGAGGAAATAATCAGCAAACTCTAACAAAGATTACCAAATCTGAGGAAAGGAAAGAAAAAAGAATAAAAACAACAAAAAAAAACAGAATCTAGAAGACCTGTGGGACCCTATCAAGTATACTAACATAGGCATAATGTCAGTCCTATAAGAAGATAAGAAGGAAAAAAAGGATGGAAATAATATTTTAAAAAGTAATGGCTGAGAATTTTCACAATTTATTGGAAGATTTAAATCTACACATCAAGGAGCTCAATAAATCCCATATAATATAAACTCAAAGAGATCCACACTGAGACACATTATAATCAAATAGTCAAATGTCAGAGGCAAAAAGAGACTATTGAAATCAGAAAAAGAGAAGTTACTTCTGTACAATAAAATTGAGAGCTAATTTTTTAAATCAGAAACCATGGAAGCCAGAAGGCACCTGGAATGACATATTCAAAGGGTTGAAAACAAAACAATACAAAACAAAACTGTCAAGCAACAATTCTATATCCAGCAAAATTATCCCTCAAAAATGGAGGAGAAAGTAAGATCTTTTATAATGAATAAAAATAGATACTTTGCTTCTAGTAGAGCTGCCTTATAAGAAATTCTAAAGGGAATCTTTTAGGCTGAAATGATAAGGCAATAGGGGTGATTTAATAAGCATAAAGAAATAAAGGACATCAATAAAGGTAATTACAGAAGTAAATGTAAAATCAGTATTCATGCGCTCTGGTTAGTAACTTCTCTTTTTTTTTTGAGATAGAGTCTTGCTCTGTCACCCAGGCTGGAGTGCCAGCTCCGCCTCACGGGTTCACTCCATTCTCCTGCTTAGCCTCCTGAGTAGCTGGGACCACAGGCGCCTGCCACCACACCCAGCTAATTTTTTGTATTTTTAGTAGAGATGGTGTTTCACCACATTAGCCAGGATGGTCTCGATCTCCTGACCTCATGATCCGCCTTCCAAAGTGCAGGGATTACAGGTGTAAGCCACCACGCCCGGCCGGTTGGTAACTTCTTTTTCCCCCATATGATTGCTTAAAAACAACTACATAAAGTAATAATTACAAATTTATGTTCTTGGGAATATGTTTATAAAAATGTAATTTGTGATAATAGCAACATAAAAGGTGAGAGATAGAACTATATAGGAGCAAAAGTTTCATATACGATTGAAATTTGGTTCATATTAATTCAAACTAATTATTATAAATAAATATGTTAACTGAAATTCCCAGAGCGACTACTAAGAAAACAGCTAAAAATTATATACAATAAAAAATATGGAAAAAATGGTATGCTATGAAACATTTATCTATTACAAAAGAAGGCAGTACTGGAGGAATTCAGGGAAGTAAAATATGAGACATATAAATAACACATGGCAAAACAGAAGTAAGTCCTTTTTATCAGTAATTATGTTACATGTAAATAGATTAAATTCTACAATTAAAAGGCAGATAATGGGAGATGAGGTGAAAAATGATCCAACTATATGCTGTTTACAAGAGACTTACTTTAGGCTCAAAGAAACAAATAGGTTGAAAATGAAAGGATAAAAACAGTTATACTATGCAAACAGAGTTGGAGTGGCCATGATAGTATCAGATGAAATCGATTTTTAAAACAAACATCTGTTACAAGAGACAAAGAAGAATGTTATGTAGCAATAAATGATCAGGCTGGGCATGGTGGCTCATGCCTGTAATCCCAGCACTTTGGGAGGCTGAAGTGACTGGATCACAAGGTCAGGAGTTCAAGACCAGCCTGGCCAATATGGTGAAATCCCATCTCTACTAAAAATACAAAAAAATTTAGCTGGGTGTGGTGGTAGGCACCTGTATTCCCAGCTACTCAGGAGGCTGAGGTAGGAGAATCACTTGAACCTGGGAGGCAGAGGTTGCAGTGAACCAAGATCACGCCACTGCACTCCAGCCTTGGTGGCACAGCAAGACTCCATCTCAAAAAAAAAAAAAAAGGCAATCCATAATTATATGAGATAATAATTATTTGTGCCTAATAACAGAATTCTTAAAATATCTAAAGCAAAAACTGGCAGGATTCATGGGACAAATAGACAGTACAATAATTATAGATGGAGACTTTAATACCCCACTTTTAAGAATAAATAGAACAACTAGACAAAAGATTAATAGTGAAATAGAAGACTTGAACATTATAAACCCATCTGCCTTAACAGACATATTTAAAGCACTCTACCCAGTAATAGAATACACATTGTTTGCAACTGCAAATGGAATATTCTCCAAGAAAGACTATATTTATGCCACAAGACAATTATAAATAAATTTCAAATGACTGAAATCATACTAAGTATTTTCTGTAACCACAATGGGATAAAATAAAAAATGAGTAACATAATGAAATTTGGAAAATTTGCAAATATTTGAGCATTAAACAACATACCCTTTAACAACCAATTGGTCAAAAAGGAAACTGCAGGAAAATTAGAAAATAACCTGAGATAAGTAAAAGCAAAAGCATAACATAGAAAAATGCACAAGCAGTTCTCAGCAAGAAATTTACAGCTGTAAATGCCCAGATTAAGAAAAGAGAAAAGATCTCAAATCAATAAGCTATCTTTTACCTTAAAGAACTATAAGAAGAAAAGTAAACTAAATCTAAAGCAAGCAGAGGGAAGGAAATAATAAATATTAGAGAAAAGGATAAACAAAATATCAAATATATAAACAGTAGAGTCAACAAAATAAAAAATTGGTTATGTAAAAAGATCAACAAAATTGACAAAATCTTTAGACAGAATGACCAAAAAAAGTAAAAGAGAGAGAGAAGATTCAAATAAATTCATAAAAAATGAATGTGGAAGTGTTATTACCAAACTTACAGACATACAAAGGATTATAAGATAATGCTTTGAACAGTTGCACGACAATGAATTAGAAACTCTAGAGAAATGAACAAATTCTTAGAAACATGGAAACTACCAAAATCGACTCAAGAAGAAATTTAAAAATCTGCATAGATCTAAAACAAGTAAAGAGATTGAAACACTAATTTTAAAACTTCTAACAAAGAAAAGCCAGGAACCAGATGGTTTCATTGATAAAGTCTATCAAATGTTTAAAGAAGAATTATCAGCAATTCTTCTCAAACTCTTTTTTAAACACTGAGGAAGAGGCCGGGCGCGGTGGCTCATGCCTATAATCCCAGCACTTTGGGAAGGCCGAGGTGAGCAGATCACAAGGTCAGGAGATGGAGACCATCCTGGCTAACATGGTGAAACCCCGTCTCTACTAAAAATACAAAAAATTAGCTGGGCGTGGTGGCACACGTTGGTAGTCCCAGCTACTCGGGAGGCTGAGGCAGGAGAATTGCTTGAACCCGGGAGGCAGAGCTTGCAGTGGGCTGAGATTGCACCACTGCACTCTAGCCTGGGTGACAGAGCAAGACCTCATCTGAAGAAAAAACAAAAACAAACAAACAAACCACACACAAAAAACAAAACAGAAAAAACAAACCAGAGGAAGAGAGTACACTTCTTAACTAATTCTTTTTTTTTTTTTTTTTTTTTTTTTTTTTTGAGACGGAGTCTCGCTCTGTCGCCCAGGCCGGACTGCGGACTGCAGTGGCGCAATCTCGGCTCACTGCAAGCTCCGCTTCCCGGGTTCACGCCATTCTCCTGCCTCAGCCTCCCGAGTAGCTGGGACTACAGGCGCCCGCCACCGCGCCCGGCTAATTTTTTGTATTTTTAGTAGAGACGGGGTTTCACCTTGTTAGCCAGGATGGTCTCGATCTCCTGACCTCATGATCCACCCGCCTCGGCCTCCCAAAGTGCTGGGATTACAGGCGTGAGCCACCGCGCCCGGCCAACTAATTCTTTATGGCTAGTGTTACCCTGATATCAAAGCCAGAAAAAGACTTCATAAGGAAAGAAAATTATAGACTAATATCCCTCATGAACGAGATGCAAAAAATCTTCAACAAAATCTTAGCAAATTGAATTTAGCAACATATTGAAAATATTATACACTACACCTGTGATTATGTATCTCAGGAATCTAAGAGTGGTTTGACATAGAAAAATTAATTAATGTAATAGAAGAAAGGATTTTTAAAAAGCACATTAAAATTTCATTCCAAGCAGAAAAAGCATTTGACAAAATCCAACAACCTTCTATGATAAGATTACTCAACAAACTTGGAATAGAAGAGAATTTCTTTAATCTGATAAAAGGCATATCTGAAAAACACACAGCTAATCTCATACTTAACAGTGAAAGACTGAAATCTTTCCCTTTAAGATCAGAATCAAGATGATGATGTTCACTCTCACCAACTCTATTCCACATTGCATTGAAAGTTACGGCCAGGTCCATTAGGCAAAAAAAAAAAAGAAATAAAATACATCCAAATAGAAAAAGAAATAAAAGTATCTCTATTGGCAAATGACATAATATGATAGATAGAAAATCCTACGAATCTGTGAAAAAAAACCCTATTTGATCTAATAAAAAAATTCACTAAATTTGCAGGGTACTACAAGACTAACATACAAAAATCAGTTGTATTTCTATGCACTATCAATGAATTATACTACAAAAAAAAATCAGGAAAATAATTTCATTTACAATAACATCAAAATGAATAAAATACTTGGAATTAAATTTAACCAAGACAGTGTAAGACTTATGTTCTGAAAATGAAAAACATGGAAAGAAATAAAAGGAAATCTAAATATATAAAAAGATATGCCATGTCCATGGATTGGGAAATTTTGTTAAGATGGCAATATTTCCAAAGTTATGTACAAATTTGATGCAATCTCTGCCAAAACCCCAATTTCCTTTTCTGAATAAATGGAAAAGCTGATTCTAAAATTAATATTACATTTTACGGAACTCTGAGTAGCCAAACAATCTTGAAAAAGAAGAATAAATTTGGAAGACTTATACTTATTGAATTCAAAACTTATTACAAATGTACAGTAATCAAAACAATGTGGAACTGATATAAGGGTAGACATATAGATCAATGAAATGAAATTTAGAGTTCAGGGATAAACCTGTACATTTATGGTAAAATCATTTTTGACAAGGGTGTACCAAGACCATTCAGTGTGGAAAGAATAATCTCTTCAACAAAATTTGCTGGGATGACTGAATAACCACAGGCAAAAGAATGACACTAGACCCTTACCTCATACCACATACAAAATTTTTTTCAAAATGAATCAAAGATCTAAATGTAAAAGTATAAAACTCTTAGAAAAAAGCATAGATGTAAATGTTTATGACTTTGAGTTTGGCAATGGTTTGTTACATATATGACAAGCAACAAAATAAAAAATAGATAAATTGGACTTCATTCAAATTTAAACCTTTTATGCATCAAAGGACATTGTCAAGAAAGTAAAAAAAAAGCCAGACCACAGGGCGGGGAGAAAATATTTGCAAACTATAAATCTATTGAGTCTTGTATATAGAACATATAAAGCACTTGAATAACTAAACAACAAAAATACCAAAAAATCTCAATTAAAAATAGGTAAGGGACTTTAATAGATATGTCTTCCAAGAGGATATACAAATGGCCAATAATCACATAACATTATGCTAAACACCACTAGTCACTAGGGAAATGTAAATCAAAACCACAATTAGATACTACTTCATAGCCACTAGGAAGGCTACAGTAATAATGATTTTGAACAACGAAAAATAGCAAGTTTTGATAAGGATGCAGTGAAACTGAAGCCTTCATACATGGTTGGTAGGAATGCATAATGAAGCTGCCACTGTGGAAAACAGTTTGGTGGTTCCTCAAATATTCCTCAAATATTAAACAGTAATTCTGCTCTTAGGTATACACTAAAGAGAATTGAAAACAGGTGTTCAAACAAAAGCTTGTGCAGAATGTTCATATTCATAGCAACATTATTCATAATACCTAAAAAGTGGAAACCACCCAAATGATTATCAGATGAAGAATAAACAAATGAGCTACATCCATAAAATGGAATATTACTGTCAAAAAATAAAGTACTGATACATGCTACAATATAGACAGATCTTGAAAACAAAAGGAAAGAAGTGAGACACAAAGAGCCACATATTGTGTGATTCTATTTATGAGGAGTGAGAACTTAATGAGTATAGAGTTTTTGGGGTGATGAAGATATTTTGAAATTAGGTAGTGGTGATGGTTGTGCAATGTTGTAAATGTACTGGAAGACACTGAATTGTACACTTTAAATGGTTAAAATACTGAATTTTATGCAATATAAATTTTTACCTCAATTAAAAAAAATCAGGAACCCATTTAAAAGGAAATGTTTCAAATAACAAAAATAAAATAGTGGTTTAAAAATGACCTAAAATCACCTCGACTCTTTCTTTTTGAGTGATAGTATTCAACCAAAACTCTTTATTTTTCCTCAGTATCGCAGCCTTTGCAGTAGATATATGCATCATGCTACCATAATTAACACAATTTCCTTGTGAAATTACATTTGCAAAACTACAGATACGTTTTCAGTTGTCTTGCATTCCTTCCAGATAGCACACCATCATCATGTATTATGCCAGGAACTGCAATAATGTAATCAATATTATAATTAAATGGTCCCCACTGTAAGCACATATTTATATACTGTGGTGTTGACAACTGGCTTTAAAAGAGCCTAGAGTTTAATAGTTGTGCGCATCATTTACAGTTCCCCTGTACTACTGACATGATTGATTAGCACTACAATTAGAAATTATGTCCTCTGCAGAATCCATCTTGTATTGGGAGAATTGATTATATCTCACTGGGGAGGTCAGGTCTCATAATGCAAATGTTAATTAATTTTTTTGTATTAAAAGCTAAATACAAAGATTGAATCACTTTTATTAGGAACTTCTTTTAATGAATTCACTGTCCTTTGAACCCAAACAGTTTATCTTTTAGCATATGCATTCTATTAAAGAATAAAAACAATTGATTGTGGAATCATCTACGTGCAGTCTCCCAACTAAGTTATATAGGTATGTGGCAATGGCCTCTCAGTGGCTGTTACATTTAATCTCAGGCTTTTAGCAGATTTCCTTCCCTTCATTTTTCTATTTTCTCTTACTTTTTCTTTGAAAAATAATTCAAAAAATAAGCCTGAAAATTAAATAGTATCATTTTATCTTTCAACGTGAGGATTTAGAGGGGAGTGAGAATATATAAGTTATTTATTCCAAATATATTGTACTAGGAAAGCATCATGTCAAAAATCTTTATGGTGATGTACATGGTAGAAGAGCTTGTAAGTAAACTAAAGAATTGCTAGAATATATTTCATAGGTTTTCCAGGTAATGAAACTTCATGACTCTAATGGAAACCACCTTGTATGCATTTTCATAGAAATTTTGCTGGAAATTTAAATTAAAATGTAACCAATGATGGTTTGCAGTTGACTAGTCTTTGTAATGACCTGGTCTATCTGTAAGGCTTTTAGAGATTTCAAACTCTGTTATGATCTAACATATCTGCATTAAAAACTCTTTCTTGATTAATTTGATGAAGCATACTTTGGTTACCATATCACTTAAGACCAGAATTCTGGGACCAAAAGTCTCTTATGCAACTCTCCCCAGCATGGGATCATTGCAATAGTTTGTTTTCTTAATGTTGTTCCTGTCTTCCTTCAAAAAGTTATAGTAAGCCCACAATTAGTTTGAAAAATCTCATTAGGTATCAAATGAGAAAATCGTTAAATGTGCTTCACTGCGGAAAGCATGCCACACTTTGAACTACATTACTTGGAGTGTTTCACTTCAGAGTCCAGTGCTAACTTGAGTTTGCAACAAGCAGAGCATTAGAGATTTCAACAAGGGGCCATCTCTCATTTCTGAAGATATGTGGTCTTTGGCTTATTTGTGTGCGTGGATGGCAATAAACAATTTGGAGACTCAATTTTGGGTTAATTATCTCAAGGCAATTTTCCCTGGGCTGTATTATTGATGGCTCATAGAGTTACTTCTCTGATACCTCCATGCCAGAGCCTAGCTGAAGCAAAATGGCAACTTGGATGGGTTATCCTTAGTGTTAATCTCTCTATCCACATTCTCCTCTCTTTTGCCATCTGCTCAGACTTCTTGTCTTGGTGTCTAATATCTCCTGTTCCTTTCTGACTCTCCAATATAATGCCCTAATCAGACGCATTTCATCCAAAGAGTGTATGCTTAAAGGAAACCAGAAAATCTGCACTATCTACCCCTACGCCTAATCTTACAATGCCCAAAGAAGGGGAAAAAAGTCTTAGCTTTCCAAAACATGATACTATGTGAAATCTACCTCATAAATTCTGAAATACAAAGCAGGGTTTTATTTGCTTTCCATAGTAAAAAATTGCATATTTTCAACAAGGGAAAAAAATAGTAATTTTAAAAGACATTCACTCATGTCTTTAAAAATCACTGAAAACATTTTCAGTTTTCTCTGGTTTCCTTACTCTAAGGAAATAAGATTTCTGCCTGATGGGTCCACTCCTGGTGTTTGGAGGATCTGGCAATTGGGCAAAAACAGGCAGAGAGCTCAGATAATTGACCTAACTCATAAAAAAACCGAGGCATACCACCAACCAATGAGTGGATAAAGGAAATGTGGTGCATATACACCATAGAATACTACTCAGCCATAAAAAGGAATGAAAAGACAATGGTCTTTTGTGGCAACTTGGATGGAGCTGGAAGCCATTTTTCTAAGTGAAGTGACTCAGGAATGGAAAACCAAATGTTGTATGTTCTCACTTATAAATGGGAGGTAAGCTATGAGCACGCAAAGGGATAAGAATGATATAATGGATTTTGGGGGCTCAAAGGGGAAGATTGGGAGGGTGGTAAGGGATAGAAGACTACATATTGGGTACAGTGTACACTGCAAGGGGGATGGGTCCAAGAAAATCTCAGAATTCACCACTATAGAACTTTAATCAAAAACCACCAGTAGCCCAGAAACTATTGAAATTAAATATATGAGAAAAAATCCAGAGGCATAGAGAAGAAAGATCA
Organism: Homo sapiens; assembly: GCF_000001405.40. Lineage (NCBI taxonomy): Eukaryota > Metazoa > Chordata > Mammalia > Primates > Hominidae > Homo > Homo sapiens. The sequence continues at coordinate 221,855,555 of NC_000002.12, read as the reverse complement.
GTGATAAGAAAGCCTCCAAGAGCGGGGTTTATAAGAACATCAAGGAGCTTGGAGTTGTGGAGGTGGGGCTTGCAGTTATTGGGGTAGCTGTGGCATGTGAGTAAAATGGAGTGAAGAAGATGGGAATGAGGATTTTAGAGGAGTTTTGCTTTATATTACAAATCAGCTTTTCCTTTGATGCCTTAAAAAGATATTGAAGTAGGTTAAATTTTTTTTAATGATTTTGGATGCTGAACTGCTGTGTCTTTGTGAATGGCACCCATCGTAGAGCTGGGACCACAGATGATTGTTTTACACATTCCACAGATAGACCTATGAGCACACTCTTGTGAGAAGAGGGACTGCCTTTCTAGGCATATTTTGCTCCATGCCGCCACCTTACTCAAGAATTCTCTCAAGCTTTGTTACTTTCAATAAGTTTATAATGCTTTTTCTTGATCAAAATTACCTCTCTTTTGACCAGTTCTCTTGAGAATGTGTTTTCTACTGCCTACTTGCTGAATTCATGTATACTGATGGTTCTAATCAAGGTGACACATTTTCTGCCATATTTGAGTTTCTAGAAAATATGACTCTACTCGAAGGAGGAAATTGTGGAAATTCTAGGCATTATGACACGTCAATGACACTTTTTTCTATCGAAATACTTCAAATAAAAATATACGTTGTATATTTGCTTCCACAGGTTTTTTCTATTCTGTCTTCAAAGAAATTTGTTCCCTTCTTTATTCAGTAATTAGAGAAGCTATTAAGTTAAAGTCAGATTAAGAACAGAATCAAGCACGTGGCCAAAGTGTTTGCTAAATATGGAATTTTGCTGAGCACTGGGGTTACATGGAATGCAAAAAGACAAGGTTCCTAACCTCAAAAAAATTGTAGTCAAATGGAAATGACAAGTAATAAAAACATAACCACACATATAAATGTATATTCATGTCCTATGCTAAGTGCTACGTAGAAAAGAGATAGGGTGCTATGAGAACATATAACAAAGGACATTTCCTAGGATGGGATCAAGGAAAACTTTCCAGAAGAGGTGACAATAAAAGCAAAATATTATTTGTAGGCATTAACTAAGCAAAGAGGATGGGGAAATAGTAGTCAACCACACGTAACACCATGTTCAAAGGTCCTGAGGCAGGTCAGAGCATGAAACATTTGTTTAAGAAGCAGAAGGTAATCTAGGCACGGTGGCTCATCCCTGTGATCTTAGCACTTTGGGAGGCTAAGGCAGGAGGATTGCTTGTGTCTAGGAGTTTGAGGCCATCCTGGCATCATAGTGAGACTCTGTTTCTACAACAAATCAAAAATTTACCAGACGTGGTGGTGTGAAACTGCACTCCCAGCTACTCAGGAGGCTGAGGTGGGAGGATAGCTTGAACCCGGGAGATTGTGGCTACAGTGACCTGTAATTGCACCACTCCATTCAGCCTGGGTGACAGTCTCACAAAAAAAAAAAAAAAAAAAAGAAAGGAAGGAAGTCATCATAGCTAGAAGACTTGGAAGGAGGTAGAGAGGATGCAATTTGAGCTTGAAGAGGCAGAGCAGGCAAAATCAGGTTGGGTTGGTGGGCTGTATTAAATTTTTTTTTCATAGAGTTATGGAAAGCCATAGAGGTGTTTTAAGCAGGGAAGTAGCATGATGAAATTTGCCTTAAGAACTTCAAATGGAGAGGAATGAATGCTGGAAGATGAGTTGTAGAATATCGCCATGATCCAGATAAAGTACAATGGCAGTTTGATCTAGTTTTGTAATGTGACTGACACAATGAAGGGCAGGCTTGACAGATATGTAGGAGACAAAAATTTATAAGACTGAATAGTGATTGCACATGGAAGTAAAGGAGAAGAAAAAGTCAAGGATAACCCTCAGGTTTTTGTTTTGTTTTTGTTTTGGCTTCTGTGGCTGAACAAAGAGTGAGGCCATTGATCAAAGTGGAAAACAATGGGAAAGCCTAGACTGGGGTGGAAATGGGAGTAATGATAGGGCAAGAGCATAAAGAGATCTATTTGTTCGTGCTAGAGTTTGAATTGCTTTTGAAATACCCAAGTTGAGATGATAGCATCTCTAAAGTGAACCTAATGATAACTGTCTGACAGGGTGGCTCTGTGGATTACAGGAGAGAGTGTCTGTAAAATACAGTTCCTGTCACATAAAAGGCCCTCAGCAAAGGTGAGGAGACTACTGGAGTGTGACATGTGTGTGCAGTTAAGCTTGTGTGCTTGCATGTAAATAATCAAAATAATCCTCTCCATTTATGTTTAAACTCAGCAATATAAAGCTATTATATAGAGGATAATTCTTGTGTTTCTTATTAACCTCTGAACTCCTAAGTAATTTAATTCCAAACACAAGATAGACAAGATTAAATATAGCCAACTTGTGTTATGCTATTTTATCTCTGCATTCATTTGAGCCTATAAGTTCACAAAGTCAGGAAAAAAATGGCATCCTGGTTTTAAATAATTACAGTATTTTAACTTTAATTTAATTACAGGGCATTGAACAGTAGACCTTTTAAAACTATGTAGTGACTTGCCTCAGTGAGTTAGATTAATCAGCATATCTCATTATACTCAACACAAAAAAGGATATATGTCTTCTGCTTTATAACATATTCCTTCAATGAGCTCCCACGGTGCTATCAAAACTGATGCTCAAGTGTTTGCAGAGCTAGATGGTTTTCCTTTAAAATAAAAGTCCTCAAGTGTAAGGTTTTTCAGGAAAGAGCTGGGGAGAAAGAAAGTTGGTGAACTGAGAAACAAGCTCTGTCCTGGCAGCATCTAGACTCTGTAGGAGCCACCAAGCACTGACCCCTTGGTTTTTTTTCTGACAGATGACATAAAGATGATCCATGAAGAACGTGGATGGAGAAATAATATTAGAAAACTCCAAATGAAAATAATATTTCAGTGAATGTTCAATTGATGTTCCCTTACTTTTCTACATCAAATATTTCTACACAAAGGGATATTAGGTGTATCTCCTTTTTAAAGACTGAGACCAGCACTTTGGGAGGCCAAGGTGGGTGGATCACGAGGTCAGGAGATCGAGACCACCCTGGCTAACATGGTGAAATCCCGTCTCTACTAAAAATACAAAAAATTAGCCGGGCATGGTGGCGGGCGCCTGTAGTCCCAGCTATTCGGGAGGCTGAGGCAGGAGAATGGCGTGAACCCGGGAGGTGGAGCTTGCAGTGAGCCGAGATCGCGCCACTGCACTCCACCCTGGATGACAGAGCAAGACTGTGTCTCAAAAAAAAAAAAAAAAAAAAAAAAAAAAAAAAAAAGACCGGGACCAAATTTGTATTATGGGAACGTTGAGAAAGCTTTACTCAGCTACATTAAGATTTTTAAGATTTCATACATAGGTTTATCCCAAATAAAACTGATTGCCAAAATTAAAAAAAAAAAACAGTTTTGAGCTGGTTCTTAAATTCTCCATCTATCTAACTGATTAACTGTGCAAACACTGAGTGGGGGTTGGGATGGGCAGAGGGTGAGAAGAGCTAGGGTTCAAGTTATTGAATGAAATTTAAAGAAGATAAATTAGGTTAAGTAATTGGACAGTGAGAATGACTGGTCATATGATTTTCATCTTTATTGACTTAACTGTAGGATAGAATATGAAACATTTTGGGCACTGAAAATGCAGGCTGCGACTTGAAAGATGGCCAAGACTTCAGACCCAAATGGCTCCAGCCCACCTACAAGATGGTGCAAAATAAACCTGTAGTGTTTAAATGGATGACATACCAGAGCAACTGGGTCATGAGTATCAAATAACAGGCCTATAATCCCCAGAATATTAAACAGCACTGTGGCTTTATTTACCAATGAATTGCAGGAGATGGTGAGGCATCTGTGGTTTGGATAAAAATACACCACTTCTTTTTCTTATCCTGCTTTTAATATCCCACATCCATTAGACTTGGTTTGGGCTTAGAGTTGCTTGAGGCTTCCAAAGCTGCCATAGTGGAAAAAAAATACATTCTACTTATGGAGCCACAGAGGTGGGACGGTGGTAAAACAGGCCCTGCACACTTCACAAAGAAAGCTCTCTGGCTTTCTGCTACTAGATATTTTCCATAGCCACCTCTTGAGGAGTCCTTCAATAACCAGATCTTGGAAACACTTTTGCAGAATTACAAAAATTTGGAGTGAGAATTGACTTCGTCTCTTCTCTTTTACTTTCATCTGGCTTCCTACACCTAGCAGGTTTTCAGAATAACACACATAGTTAAAGAGAGCTTAGTGGTAAAAAAAAAAAAAAAAAAACCATATTTTCCACATAGAGTTTGATATCCCATATGTTGGTAAGTATGTATTTAAGTATGAGTGACATTCATTCATTCAATTCACCTCAATTTTCAATGTTTCACTTCCTGCCTTCTTTTTTCCTAGCTGTGCTCCCAAGCCAGGTAGAGAGACGTTTCCAGAACCTCATGTCTTTCTTCCAGTCCTTGTTTTCCCCCAACTCTCTTGGGTGGGCACTTCATTCTCTGGTGAGAAACAAAATAAATTTCTTTCTTTTTGAGTTCTCCAGCATTTTTTCTTGGTTCAGCCTGTATTATCCTTTAAGTAGTATTCTGCCTTTCCGCTGACCATGCTCCCCCAGTCTCCGTGTAAACATCTCTCTGAATTTCTTGCTGTCTTTGGACATTTTCTGTCAGCCTGGAACTTTTTCCTATATTTAAGCCTTTTCTCCTTGATTCTTGTTGAGTCTAGTGGCCAGTTAATAGATTCCTTCTGGTTGATCTTGCACCCTTTCTAATTAGATCAGATCTTACTTCTGTTTCTGACAACAGTTTTCCTGTTGCTTGTCAGTTTCCACCAACACCCTTTCTTTCCTCTTTCATTCACACACACGCGTGCGTCCACACACAGAGCAGTCAGCATCAGCAGGAGCATGCCCTGCCCTCAACCTGATATTTTTGAATTCCCATGTTGAAGCTTTCATCCCCTGGCCCCATTGCTCTTCGTTCTACCCTGGCATTTCTGAAACTATTTGGCATTTGATAATTTCTTCCATGCACAATGAAACAAAAAGAATGTGTGGATGAAGTAGGCAGGGGTCCCACTGCTACCAATCTGGTGTGATTTGCATCTGCCCTGGAAAGCATGACCTGGTAGCTGAGAACGTGTGCTATTTGCACCAGGTGCAGCCAGAGGCATAGAGAACAGAAGTAAGAGATCTCACTCCAAGCAGCAGGGCGCCTGTCAGGGATATAAATATTGCAACACCATGGTTGCTTGATTTTTAGGATTGTTTTGAAGTTTTGTGGCTGTCTTTATCAAGCCAGAGTAGCAATGACTTGTTAACACCATGTGAATATATGACGAGATAAAAAAGATAATATGAAATTTGTCATCCTGCACAAATATAATGACACTTCCATACCAAAGTGATGACTGTTTTTTAAAAACACCCACACAAATAGAGATACAAGTCATTTTCTCTTTTATTTTGTCTATTCCTCACCTTAAAAATGTTCTAGTTTATGTGACAGAGAGATAGTTATTCCTATTCCAAATTTATAAATCGAGGCTCAAAGGATAAGTTTATATAGGTGAAAAAAAATTCTCCTTTCAAGCTCATGCCAAAGAAATAATGATATTTTTTCTGCCTCTAAAATAAAGATGTTTAAACACTGTGTAGTTGTATTATGTGCTTCAAGTGCTTACTCTGCTAGGAGACTTTATTTCTTATTCTATTCTAGGTATAGAATATAATAATTATTTCTTATTCTATGCATAGAATAAGAAATAATATCCCCTCCTAATGTCTCCAGTATTTATAAAGAAACTCTCAATTTTTTTTAAAAAAGTGCCTTAAAGGCCTAGGTGAACATTTCTTTGGTAAACATGGGCTCTGAACTGTGAGCCCTGAGACTGAAGAACTGTCCCAGTCAGGCACAGCTTCCTCTGCTCCTGTGTTGGGAACAGAGCACAGGTGCTGCTGAGGCGGGCCAGGAAACTAGGAGATCAGCTCTCCTCAAGTGGTACTTTCTAAAAGATACGGTGCATCTTAATCAATGGAACCCTGCCCTCAATCACTGGGTACCACCTGGCACCTTTTGCAGCTGATTGTGAACACAGAACACAAAGGGATGTCCAATATTGCACCTCTCCCATCCCAACTTGGTCTCCCTTTGCTCCAAACAGAGTTGGCCTTTATGCAAGGAAAACTTGAAGTCCCCTCTGCCTTGGTCTCACTCCTACTTCCGCTTTTATCTCCTATCCCCACCCCAACCAGTATCCTTGATCCAACCTTCCAAGATCCCACAGGGTTAAATCCAGAGACAACATTTTTCTGTATACCCCCATTTTAATGTGGAGCGAGCAACATCAGTGGCTCCTGGACATCCATAACAATGACAATCCATCTCTCACCAGCCCTATCTCCTCATGACGTACAACTTGGATGTTAAAACTTCCCCTTCCCTCCAGGCGTGGGAATAAGAAGCAAATGAGGGGGGAAGGGGAAGACAGAAACCATGATGTCACTGAAGGCATTAACTTTCATCCCAATAGCCATGAATGTGAGCTATTATTTTTAAAATTAAAAGTAATAATAAATCAATCTATTTGTGCATTCATGGGATCTTAGTTTCATGGGAAGCCTTTTCTGTGTGTCTGTTCTATTTTCATTTTTGACGTCTGCCTTTTCACCAGAAAGCTACATCTATTCCTTTGCTCAAAAGAAGTGACAGTTACAAGAGACTAAATCATTAGTTAAAACCCCCCCCCATGAGTGATTTGCAGAATTGGGGTTAGAATTTAGAATCCCTGGTGTGTACTAGGTATTAGCCCAGGCAACCCTAATTTCAGACAATTCCCTTCATGGTTAGCTAAATTTTATGCTAATTCTCAAGACATCTATTCTGTGAGCAGCCCAAGAATATAAGAAAAAGTCCTTGACCCACTTAATAAGCCCAACTAACTGATGCAAATAGTGGTGGATGCCTTATAATCTGTCTTGTGTAGAACTGAATATTTCTAAGGCGAGTAACCAAATTCGACTGAACTTTGAGTCTTAACCACAGCTCAAAAGAACAGGTTGGATCCGCTGCTGGAAAAACTGGTTTTGGGCAAGATGGATACCTGTGTCTTTGCCTGGGGAGCCACACAGAAGCAACAGTAGGTAGAACAAATGTATCTGAGTGTGGTTAGTTGGTCTCTGTGGGTCTAGCAACCCTTCACATGGTCTGCAAGCAGTTTGATGGTTTCAGAGGAAATGCAAAGACACGATTTATTCACATACATTACTGAATTTGAAAGAAATGATTAACGATTATATTCTGAAAGAATCTACTTATTCTACAGGGACCGCCATGACTCTCCCTGCAGGTTCATTCAGGGAACAGATTTATCTTGACTAACTCATTATTGCCTCATTTGCATATTATTATTTACATTTGTTACTTTTCACATTTCATTGTTACTTTTCTAAGGTGTTATATTCTCGATTCACAGAAATGAATCAGTAGCTCAAAAGTTGTTAACTGAAGCATGAAAGTAGTGATGAAAATAGTAAAGCAAATACCACAACTTCGAACAACATTGTAAATATAAATAGTGAACAGGGCTTGGATGTGAATATGGAATGTGATTCTGCATGTGCTGAGATAACTGAGTTTCTAAATGTGATGAATTTTCACAAGCTAAAAAAGAAAAGTGCAAATAAGAACAATGGATGTCTAAAAATCTGATTTTGTTGAACCAAGCTTTTGTTTTTTCTTAAGATTTCAGTATTTCATTGGATATGAAACTTTGTTAGATAGCAGTACGGAGCCGCCAATTTTCAAATCATTTTAAAGTATACTCACCACACTAGGAAGTTTATCAATATTTTTTAGAACAACAATAAAATGATGCTTTCCAGCATTCAATGGATACATTTTCTTTTTGAAGGCTGAGAAAAGACCATCCAGAATTGCTTTCCTTATAGAAAAAAAAGCAAAACAAAAAAACAAAAATCTTGTTCCAGTCACAGTATACTGACAAGCATATAAAATTTAATGACAATATTATGCTTGGAGAGAAAGTATTATGAGCTTCTGGAAAAATCCTTTTATGAAAAGACACTGTTGGATGTCAACGGCATGGTAGCAGATATTTTGCTTTATAATTACTTGACACTAGTGATGTGCAGAATGTTTGAATCAGCTCTTCTGTAATAAGCAAAAGATACATAAGAAAATAGAGCAAACATTTACTGAAACTTTCCACTGTACTCTGTACTCTATCTCATTTAATCACCCCCCAAATTCTATGAAGTAGGCACTATTCTTATCTCTACTTGACAGCTAAGAAAATCATAGCTTGGAGGAGAAAATTAGAAGTAGAACTGAAATGCTTGACCACCAGGGCACCAACTCCAGAGACTTTGCAATCATATTCCACTGCTTATGGGGGAGAAAACTCAGTGGCTTTTTGTTTGATTTATCACCAAAAAATGTGCTAAAGGGGCAAGAGTATTTAATCTGAATGGCTCGCAAAGGTGCATTGGGATCAGTACTGAAGAAAAATACAATTATAGAACGCATCTCAATTACTAAAGTGTACTTTTCCAGCTTGGGTTCCCTGGGAAGCAACCTCTGAGAAGAAAATTAGCATTCAGGCCATCTATTAGTGAACGCTCTTGGGATTGATACCTATGACATAGAAGGGAAGAGATTGGCATGGGGCAGAGGGAGAAGTTGAGCAGTGCCATTGAAGGCCTCACTGACTTCTTGGAGATCCCTAGAGTAAGAATGGTTTTTGAAATTTTCCTATGTTTGAGCAAAGAGCCTTCATCTTTACAACCCTGTGAGATCATGCATTGGATGTGGAGGGCCCTTGGAAGGAGGTGTCACCTTCAGCAAGGCAGAGAGCTGACAGCTGAGGGTTATTTATCTTCCAACAGTGATCTGAGCAGGTGGATGAAAAAATAATTCCCTCCAAAGGGGCATCTCCCTAGACCACCATCCACAGTGCTCTAAGCAGAAAAGGGTGGTGGGTTGAGTTCTTTGCTTTTCTAGTCTATAATGTTCTGATTGTTGGGGAGAAAGTACACAAACTTTTAAGAAAATCTATAATGCTAATGGGCCAGTTAAAAGTTTAGTTAGTTTCTATGGGTCATGTATATTGTGCAGCTCGGCTACATTCAATACCTAGGATAATGCAATCTTCAGGGCTGACATACCATCTATTTTAGCTGTATAATAAATATCAAGATTTTTTTTCAAAAGCTATAGTTGAAATAGAAAGGATATAATTACTAACAATTGGTGTCTTTTCTAATTAAAAATGTTTGGTTTTTACTCAGTGCTAGAACACCCAGTGAGATGTGATTGGGTACACTGTGTATGTATCCATAAACTACAACAGAACATGAAATATGCAACCAAAGATGGGATTTGAAATTCATTTGATGGCCGGGTGCAGTGACTCACGCCTGTAACCCCAGCACTTTGGGAGGCCGAGGTGGGCAGATTACGAGGTCAGGATATCGAGACCATCCTGGCTAATACAGTGAAACCCCATCTCTACTAAAAATACAAAAAAATTAGCTGGGCGTGGTGGCGGGCGCCTGTAGTCCCAGTTACTCGGGAGGCTGAGGCAGGAGAATGGCGTGAACCCGGGAGGCAGAGGTTGCAGTGAGCCGAGAATGGGCCACTGCACTCCAGCCTAGGCAACAGAGCAAGACTCCAGCTCAAAAAAAAAAATTATTTAATATTATTTCCAAGTTGAAATATTCAACCTTCAGTTTTTTAGAGTAATATGCTTTGGGAAAAAGCAGTCTGTGGTAAAAATAAATATATAAATAAATAACTGTAATTTCTGGATCCATGTTTTATCTGAATTTATGGAACTATTTGAGTTTAAACAGCCCGTATTTGTGAATGCAGATTATCCAGCTTAATAAAAATAAAGTGTAAGGAAGGAAACTTACTGAGAATGTAAAAGTGGGCCAATGGCTGAAGATCTCTGTCACTACACGGAAGGCACAAATACTGGAAGAAGAATTCCAGGAGTGTTCACTCACTGACGAGAAATGATTATCATCATTATTCTTAATTTTGAAATATTGCATTTTTAGTCAAATGTCTAATTGTAAAAAACATTTTTAAATGTAGCCTGCCAACGTGTCCAATGTTAGTTGAAGGAATCTATAGACACAGAATTGCTGAGAAGTCCAATGTAATGGGAAGACTGGATGTTGGGTTATAGTTCTGATTCTTCTACTGTAGGCTCTGTGACTTGGCCTCATCCTTTACCTCTGTGGAACTCGCTGATTGCATCTTTAAAATGTAGGAGTTTGTTTACTTCAGTTTCTCAGCTTCAGCAATATTGACATTTAAGGCCAGGAAATTCTTTCTTGCAGGGAGGAGGCTGTCTTGTGCATTGCAGGATGTTTGGCCGCATCCTGGCCTCTACCCACTAGCCAGTCACACCCATCCCTCCCTCCCCACATCATGAAGACCAAAAGCATATTTAGGCATTGCCAAATATTCCCCAGGGGCAAAATTACCCACAATTGAGAATCACTGGTTTAGATATTTCCAAGGTGAAATCAGCTTTAAATTTCTATGAATTTTATGAACTCTTCCTGACAAGAATGGTTTGTGACTTTAGGAAGCCAGGACTTGATGATTTGGGAAATTCTCAATCTTTCCAGATGGCAGATGATGCTAAAATGAAGAAACTGCTTCTGAAAGCATAGCGTGGAGAAAAAGCCAAGGATGTGACTGCAAAACATTCTACTGAAACCTTTTACTGAAACTCTGAAAGATCAAAATGTTAGAATACTCAGTAACAGCAAGTTAAGGATCATAGATGGTCTCAATCAAACCAGAGGGCCCTAGGAACTGTAAGGGCAGTGTCTCAGCTGTCTCACCAGAAGCCAAAAATAGAAAAAAGATTATCCAAGAAAATCTGTGGATGAACCTTTTGTCTAAAAGAGTGAACACCCATGAAATTCATGCATATGAGGTTCTTGAGAATTTTATGGCAGCAGAAACACTGCCAGTTTGGACTGAAAGGCACAGAGATTACAAAGGCTCTCAGATCCAACGTTCTGTGAACAGGAAACAGGGTGATAAAACTACTCAGCTGAAATTACATGCTACCATTTTCACAAAGAAGGAAGAATGAATCTGAGGACAGAATCAAGAGCACTTGACATCAAAAGAAGTTTGCACAGTTGGATTTCAAAACTGCTTTGCATGGTTGACTACTTTTTACTTTCAATTTTACTGATTTCTGAATCTCAGTGTGTAAACAGTTATCTTATGCCTATCATACCACTGAATGTTGGTAGCAGATAACTTGTTTTTTATTTCCTTTGCTCCACTGATGGGGAGAAATTGTGGTCAGGGGCCTCCACTGTAATTGGTTTAGGTGACTGAGACAAGGAGACTTTGGACTTTTGAAGTGACGAGATTTAGATGAGATTTGGGACTTTGAATTGATATCACAATGGGATGAGACCTTGGAAACCTTGAGCTGGTGCGAATATATTTTGCATTTGAGAGTGATGTGAATCTTTGGGGGCAGAAGGGTGGACTGTGATAGGGAGAATTTCCCGAACCCCCTCACAACACGAGTGTGTTCCATCCCAATCCCTGGAAACTGTCACTACGATGAGACATTACTTTCATGACTATGCTGTGATATATAGCACAGTTAACTTCAGGATAGGGGATTATCCAAGTGGGCCTGATTTCATCACACAAGCCCATAAAACAAAAAAGGCAGAATACCCAATGCACGAGGAAGATTCCATGTGTCAGTGCTTGTTTGAAGGTGGAGGGAGCTACCTGTGAAAGGATGTTTAAGGAGCTGTGAGAGGCTCCAGCCAGCAGAGAGATGAAGATCTCAGCCTTGCAACTCACGAAGGAGGTGGATTCTGTCAGCTTGAATGAGCTTGGAAGTGGATTTCTTCCCGGAGCCTCCATATGAGAACTCAGCCTGTCTGACACATTGATTTCAGTCTTGTTGAGCCCTTCTGGACTTCTGACTTACAGAACTGTGAGCTAATATGTGTGTGTTCTTTTACAATAAGTTTGTGGTAATTTGTTGTGCAACAATAGAAAATGAACATATATGGTAAATGTAAAGGAACTGCTGAAGAATACCATTTAAAGAAAATAATAATAATACCATATTAGAAGATGGCAATGAACAACAAAAGAAATGATTTTCTGGAACTTAAAACATGAATTTTCAAATAAACAATTTAGAGAAATTGAAATAGACCATGATCAAATATAAAATTGTGGCCTATATTATCAAAAGTGATAAATATCCCTAAGTAAAGATAAATGAATGGAAATAGTGAAATAAATGCAAACAAAAAGCAAGGGTTTGCAATCTATATGTAAAATTAAATAAAAGTAGGACAGAAGTACTAAATGAGACAAAAAGAATGCTTATAATGCTAAAGTCACTAGTGCTCAGTAAAATGAAGCGATTACTAATATCCATATACAAAATATAGCAGCAACCTTTACAAAGCAGAAATTATAGGATCCGAAAGGAGAAATAAGACACGCACCAAAAACTGGAGACTTAAAAATGTGTCTCTCGGTCCTAGATAGATCAAGCAGTCAAAAATTAGTAAGGATCTAAAGAAATAAACTACATAATCATCCGGTGTGTATTCTGGATGTTTAAAAGAAAAAATTACATAATGAAGCTACAAAGAAAAACAATAATTTCAAAAACTGAAACAATACAAACATAATTATCTGATCACAATAAAACAAAGGTAAATAACATAATAAAATCACCCTCCTCCCTTGAAATGTAAAAAACTCTATTAAAGTAACTCCTGCATCAAAGAGAAAAACAAAATTAAATCACAGAATTTCTAGAAAATAGTATTAATGAAAAGATGATACATAAGAATTTTTGAGCACAGTTAAATAGAGGCAAATTCATAATACTAAATGATTATAACAAAAAATGAAAAATAAAAGTAAGTGAATTTAATGTCCACTTTAATGAACCAGCAAAGAACAACAAAGGAGAGTGAAAGGCGGCAGAAGGAAGTGGTTTTAATAGTAAATATAATGGTAGATGTCAATGAGTAGGAAAAGAGAAAATCAGTAGAAAGCAATAAATCACCTGGCTCATTTAAAAAAACTGAAAAAGTTATAAACTATTAGATGCACTAAAATAAAGGAAAAACAACAAAGGAAAGTTCAGAAAGTGCAAAATAAAAAATGATGAGGGAATGAAAGCTATGAAATCACAAGTAGAAAGAAGGGAAGAGACAGAAAATCATGATAAATTGTGTGTATAATTTTATATGAATACATTTTAAAATCTAGATGAATTGAATAATTTAGTAGTAAAATATAATCTACCTCAAACAACTCTAGTATAGACAGAAATTCTGGAAAAATAGTTTTCTTAGAGAAAAAATATGTAAAATTGTAAAAGAACTCAACCATATAAAAGCACCAGGCGAAGTGGTTTCATAGAAAAAAATTCTACCAAATCTTTATAGGAGAGGTAATACAAGTATTACTAAAAATCTTGTTGAATATACAGAAAAAAGAAAATCTTCCAAACTGTTTTTCAGAGACATGTACTGATATATTAACACTTGATAAACAATGAAAAAAAAGAAAACCATAAACTAATCTTATATATGAAGATTAATGCAAAAATCTTTTAAACATAAACAGATAGATTCCAATAATACATGAAAAAATGCATACATCAGTGCCAAGTGGGGTTTATTTCAAGAATGTGAGCTTGCTTCAATATTAGCAAATCAATAAACACTCTATAAACAAAATGTTAAAAATGTAACTAATTCATATTAACATATCCTGGAAAAAAAATAAGAATCATTTCCAGAGGTGCCTAAAAGACATTTCAAAAAATTTCAACACCCATTCCTGATAAAGTCAATAAATAGACCAGGAATCATAGATACGTTTAGAGTATAATATATATACATATGCATAACTTCTAAATCTGACTCTTATTAATACTTAATGGGGAAACATTAACAGCATTCTTGCTAAAGCAAGAAAGAAGATAAGAAAGCCTAATAAGCAAATGCTATTTAACATAGTTTTAGAAGTATGAGCCAAAGACATTAGATGAGAAGGAAATTAGTTGCACAAGAATTAGAAAGAAAGACTTCTAAAATTTTATATCTGGGCTGGGTGCAGTGGCTCACACCTCTAATCCCAGCACTTTGGGAGGCAGAGGCTGGCAGATTACTTGAGGCTAGGAGTTCAAGACCAGCCTGGGCAACATAGCGAAACTCCATCGCTGCTAAACATACACATAATAGCCTGTAATCCCAGCTACTCAGGAGGCTGAGGTGGGATGATCGCTTGAGCCTGGGAGTCAGAGGTTGCAGTGAGCCAAGTTTGAGCCACTGCACTCCAGCCTGAGTGGCAGAGTGAGACTGTGTCAAAATAATAATTTAAAAATAAAATAAAATTTTATATTTGGAAAACTCAACAGAATACTGGGGAAGCTATTACAAACAAAAGAATGTATTAAAAATATCAGGGTATAAAATTAATACATAGAAATCAATACAGATTTGTATATCTAAAAGTTAAATGATGCAATGAAAGACCCAATTAAAATTACAGCAGACAAAATGAAACACCTATTCACAAACTTAACAAGAAATGTGAAAAAGCTAAATAAATAATAATAATTAAAGAAACTGAAATATCCCTGCAAGACTCCACATTAGATTTAAACAACTGGAAAAATCTATAATGTTCATAGTTAAGAAGACTCAATGTCATGAAGATAATTCTTTCTAGAGATTTTATAAATGTAACACAATTCCAATAAAAATACTAAGAAATTTTTTTAATTGGTGCTCCCCAAGTTGATTTTAAATTTCACGTAGAAAAATAAACACACAAAAACAGAGAATTCTGAAAAAGGAGAGTATTGGTGGTGGGGATGATGACCAGTCCTGTCAGATAGTTAGATAGACAGATGCTAGAAATTGTTTCTGTGAGTATGCCATTAGTGCACAAGTGAAACATAGCACAGAATTGATTCCAATGCACTTGGACATTTGGTATATGATAAAAATGGTATCTCACATCTGTAGGAAAAGTTGGACTTCTTAATTAATGGTGTTGACACATTTGGAGAAAGATACAATTAAATCTGCACTTCACTTTATTTACCAGCATAAACTCCAAATTATTGAAGATCTGTATGTAAAAACTGAAAGCTTTCAATCCTGAGAGTAGACTTGGATAGATCCTTTATACATTATAAATAAGACCTTACTAACTATGACTCAAAATTCATAAGCAATTTAAAATAATTAGGTTCAATTATACAAAAAATCCTTTGCTGAAAATATCACCATATACAAAATCAAAATACGGATTTAAAATATTAGAAATTTAGATTAGAAAAGATTGTTACCACTAAAATACAAGCAGCTACTAAAATTGAGGAAAATACGACCAATAACCCAACAGAAAAATGAACGAAGCATATAAACAAGTAACTCACAGAAGAGAAATGGCATTTAAACATAAGAAGATCCTCAATCTTACTCATAAGATTAATAAAAATTAAATGAAATTATCATTTCTCATGTGTTAGTTTAATGAAAATCTAAAGATTTGGAAGTAGAGAATTTTGGCAAGTCCGTGGGGAAATAATCACATTCATATTTTTGGTAGAAATGCAGTGTTGTACAAACCCAATTGAAGGGCATTTGGCAATATCTTTGAAAATTATATATGCATTTATCCTTTTTATAGCAATCTCACTTCTAAGAATCTAGCCTAAAAATACACTGGAAAAATATGAAATAACTTATGCTCTAGATTATTCACTGTGACATTTTTTTAGACTTGTAAAAGTTTGAAATCAACCTCAATGTCCATCAATTTGAGACTGGTTGAATAACATATAGTACATTCATATAATATATATTGTGCAGCTATAAAAAATGAGGAAGACTTTTATACACTCATGAGGAGAACCAGAATATACTTCTTAAGTGACAAGAGTTAAGTACAGAAAAATATATATGATATCCTACCTTTTGTGTAAGAAAAGGGGTTAAACATATAAATGTAAATGTAATTAGTATATTTGAAAAAAAGAAACATTAAAGAACAAACTGAAAATGAATAAAATTGTTACCTAAGCAGGAGGATGGAGAGGACAGTGACAGAAATGTGGCTTCTTTGAATATTGGTTGGTTATACAGCTTTGACTTTAGAATCATGTAAATGTTTTACATACTTAAAAATTTAAATAGATTCAAAAAAAAGAAAGCAATTCTTAAAGATTGTTAAAAAAAAAGTATAAACATCTGTTACTGACAGAGACACAGAAAGAATATTTTCTTACACATTAGTGGTGTGAATTAAAACATTTTTTAAAGCAACCTGCCTGGCAATATCTATTAAAATGGAATGTAGTGTGTGTGTATGTGTATGTGTGTGTGTGCATGTGCCTGTATATGTGTGTGTGTGTGTGTATGTGTGTGGAACAATCCCATTCCTGGGACTGTATAACAGAAATAAAAACAAAGGATATATGAACATCAGCATTGATTGCAGCAAAAACCTGGAGGTGAAGTTCTAGGATTTTATGGCAATGATTGACAAATTCACAGGGTGTCCACACTATGAAGTACTACACAGCCATAAAAAGAATGAATTGGAACTCTACTGGTAGACTTGGAGAAATTTCTATAAATACTTGTAAATAAAAAAGACAAGATACAGAAAAGTAGGCATAGGATAAATCTTATATTTTATGTACATGTATTTATGCATATTTGTGTGTATGTGTGTGCGTGTTGTTATATAATCATAAAGAAAATATGGCTGACCACACTGAAAGCTGTCAATAGAAATTAACGATGGAATTGGGACAAATGTGAAGTCATGGGAAGGCCAAGCAAAAAATGGAAGGAACAAAACTGCTTTAAAACAAATGAAAACACACACACACACACACACACACACACACACACACTCTCACACATGCAGAGTCTGATTGCATTTTGCTTTTCTGTATAATTATATATGTGTGTATATATAGCCTATATAACAAAATAGGTTAACAGGTAAGAAAAGGAAGACATACAGTTATAATCTTAAATATGGTATGAATAATTAACATGGGCTCAAAGCTGTTTAGAGAAAGGAGTATGAGAAAAAGAAAAAAGGAGAAAGGATCAGGACTGGAAGACTGGAGGAAGCTGGAAAAAGAAAGATTTGGAAGAGTGTGAATGTAGGAGGCTTGAAGAACCAGTGCTCCACAGGAAAAATATAAGCTTCACGTCACAGTGTGTGGCCCAGAGACTTGTTAACATCCTCTCTCAGCTGTGGCTTCCTCTATGAAGCCTTTCCTCTTGACCCAAGCAAAAATAATCTATTTCTTCTTAATATCACCTGTGATCTACTGTGTACTTCCAAACATCCCATTGGCTGTAATCATTTATGTGTGTTTTCTCTTCTTTGATCTCCTTGTCATCTTTGTTATTATGATTTGGTAAGCTCTGCATGTATCTCAATGTATGCATATAGAAGTCACCATATAATATTTATCAAATGAATTCATAAGGTTAAGTCTTCTTTCTTTAAGGCCACTCTGCTGCCATAAAGGGAATTTACAAATTAAAGAGTGGAGATTGTATTTGAAGGTTTTGAAACACTTATTTGCAGTATCCCAAAAGAGCAGAGGTACTCTCCTGGGAAGTAAATAATGGAATTATGGAAGCAGGTTGGGAGATAGGTGAGGGGCAAATAGAATGAGATCAGCTTTCTTTCCAATTCTTTATATAGCTGTGAAGCTCTATATAAATTGGCATAGCATTAGCATAATTAAACTGTCCATTCTCCTACTTGGGCAACTAAGATTGGAGAAGGAGCTAGAGTGTATTCTCTTTGGTTATAGCATTTGTAAGCTTGGAAATTGGAAGTTTAAGAAATTGGGACAAAGTCAGTTTCTTTCACCTTAGAGTCTCAAGAAAAGATCTGTGCTGTAGACCACCTTCACATGAAGAAAACAAATACCTGGGCTCTAGGAAGCTGAAATCTCCTTTTCTGCTCTCCACCTTTTGCCTTTGCTTGTTTTCCCCATCCTTAGTTTAAATCACATGTCTATGTTATACATCCTCTCTCTTTCAGAGTTAGAGCACACACTTAGCACCCGGCTAAAGCTTTTCCATCATCGCTATTTTATTCTCCTCATTCCTTATTGAAGCCACCAGCTTTGGGGCTTAAATTGCTTATGTCTGGTTTTAACTCATTTAAAAAATACTAAATCTATTCACCAGTTTTGAATTATAGGAACAGAGCAATAAAGTGTGTGCCTTTCCATTTCAGGCATCTAGGTGCATAAATATCTCTAAGCAATAAAATCTTTGAATTTCATCCTTTTTAAATGGTAAATTCCCGGTGTGAGGTTGAAAGTCTAAGAAAAATGTTATGTTTTAATAATACAGTATTACTTAACCATTTCAATCACTTCAACCACATATTATTACAATGTATGAATTTCTTTCCTGAGTATTTCTTTGCTTGTGCATGTGGTTTTGAAAACAGGAAGAAATCTTCAATCCTAAAAATAGAATAATAATGAAGGTAGTCCTATATAAGAACTATCTTGAAATAAACCATATGAACAAGAGTGCATTCTTTTGAAAAATATCTTTTGCAGGCATGGTTGGAGGATTTAAGGTACTTCCCTTCCCTTAAATAAAGTTCGTATAAGATATTAGGGCCTGCACATAAGGGCTGGCAAGCCATTCTTACGGCCTGAGACTGCCATAAGCAATCAATTGTGAATTATAGGTATAATTTATTTCATCTATTGTTTGGATTGGAGCTCAATATAAATTTTAATTTGGCTCCACTGTGGTGTAGTTTCAATGCCTATTATTAGATAGATCATTCTGTCTTATTTAGAAATGTTTAATGTAACAATTGCCCAAAATAGTTTTTAGTAAATTATCTCTCTGACAGGTTTTTCTCACCAAGATAATTAATTTTCTATTTTTCCCCATCATTAAGTATTTTAAATATGCAAGTCTGCCGGCATTTAATACCGTCTATCACAGAAGTGCCAAAAACCCTGCAGAATCTTGTTTTTAGAGACTTTGTTCACAGGCTTCCTTAACAAGGTGTAATTGGCATAAAATAAGCTTAAATTGATTACATATTTCTGATACGACTTTCTATTTCACAAGACTGGGTTTGGGAGAAGGCATCTGTGTGTCACCACTGGCTGGCGTTCCTCCCTCTGGTAAAATGGCTGTCTGCCACCTTGAGCCCAGAACAATGTATTGAAGTCATGAAATAATTTGTCAGTGTTCCTTTTAACACTGTAGTCATGTATTCCATGATTATTAAACTTGTACATACCTGATTAGCAAACTCCAACCAAAAAAAGATAAGCAAACAAAACAAAACAAATACAAAAAAAAGGAAAGAAAAACAAAACAAAACAAAAAGCTTTTATAATTAATTCTCCATATGCTAAGCTTCACAGTAGTGACACAAGGAGTGTACAAGTTATGATCATGAGAAATGTTTGCTTGGCTGTTTGGGGATAAATTACAATGGAAGTTATTTATTCAGCAACCAAGAGTCAGTTCAAAGTTCTAAAGCTCACAAAAACTTAAATGCATTTCCTTTGTCTGCTCAGAAAATCACACACATTCATTTCCTTCAATAATATTTAAATATGTATTGTGTGTCTACTAGTAACAGGACTAGATGCTTGACCAGAGAGGCAGAAGAGAAACAAAATAAAACCTGTTTCTGCTAAGAACCTATTGTATACCGAGGGAGACACACATTAACCACGTAATCACAGGGTCAATGTAAAATTACAAATCGAGACACAATGCAAAACAAAAAAAAGTTGCAAACTCACCTAAGACAGTTTGGTAGTTCACAATGATAAGGTGATTTACGGTAGATAAAAGTGGCCTTCAATAATTAAGATTGGAGAGGTTTGCAGTTCTCCGCACTTACCTTCTCACCGCCAGATGTCAGTTACAGTGACAGTAAGTCTCAGATGGAATTCTGCCACACAAATGATTATCAGCTGACTGGCATCCAAAAAGAAAAAAAAAAGAAAAGAGCATCCATATAACCTGGTCTGTAAACTTGATGAAGTCCCAGCCTTCAGCTATTAAATGTAGGCAGTGCGACTCAAATGCCACAGGAATCACTGGGGATCTTGTCAAAATGTGGTCTGTCTGGAATGGGGCCTAAGAGTTGACATTTCTGGCCAACTCCCAGGTATTGCTGATGCTACTGTCTCCACACCACATTTTGAGCAGCAAGGCTTTTTAATTTTATTTATTTGTTTATTTTTATTTGAGACAGAGTCTCACTCTATGCCTCAGGCTGGAGTGCAGTGGCGTGATCTCGGCTCACTACAACCTCCACCTCCCAGGTTCCAGTGGTTCTCTTGCCTCAGCCTCCTAAATAGCTGAAATTACAGGTGCACACCACCACACCGGGCTAATTTTTGTATTTTTAGTAGAGACAGGGTTTCACCATGTTGGCCAGGCTGGTGTCGAACTCTTGACTTCAGGTGATCCCCCTGGCTTGGCCTCCCAAAGTGCTGGGATTATAGGCGTGAGCCACTGCGCCTGGCAGCAAGGCTTTTAAATGCTCTGACAAAGCACATGACACAAAATATTCACTTGAAATTAATGTGATAATATTCAGACACCAGGATTCGGGTATCAGCATCCTTTGTAAGCTTCTGCAGTCAGAACCAGATGGACTTCTAAACCTAAGGCAGACTTCTGAAGAGTTTATGCTGCTGGCCTTGCTCAATTCTTTGTTTCTGTGAAGGCAAGATAATTTGTACAAGATTTCTAGCCAGTCCACACTGTTTAAAATGCCACTCATTAAGTTAATGAAACATTATTTTAAAAACCATAAAAAAAGATTAATATTTTAACAATATTTTTAAAATGCTGATTATTAAACCTTCTGGTGGAATAGAGATCGAGATCATTGAAGCCTTTGTGTAGACGCCTTGAGTGTAGATTTTCTATTAGTTTTTAAATGCTCACTAATCATATCTTGAGTGTGTATTTTAGATTAAGGCCCTTCTACTATGAATTAAATATCTCCAAGATGCAGATCAAGACAAACACACACACTATGTACGTTGAAGTATTTACAAGTATTTACAGACAACATAAATTGTCTATAACCTGGGTTCTGAGCATGCCTAAATTAAACGAACATGGCACAGATGGGAGTCACTTCCCTGGGGAAGAGCTGAAATCTGCAGGATGAGGAATGTGCCTTGGAGGTGAGAGCATTCCAGTCAAAGGGAACAGCACCTGCAAAGCAGGTGCTCCCATAACAGGGCAGAGCCACTGCCTTACAGCATACCACCATCACATAATTATGTAGGTCACAGCAAGTCTCCCATGGCGGACAAAATATGCAGCCCTCCATTCTTCTTTCCCTTGGGGCATAGAGTCTCAGTCCTAGAATATGCTTGGCAGCTGCAGAGTCACAGTTCCCTCTGTGATGAAGCTGCAAAACTGACCTTCCTAATCATTTAGTTTTGTCCTCTGCCTGACTGATTGTGCCCCAGTTCACACCTGGACACACAGTCATTACCCCTGTGGCCATTAAGGAATTGCCTACAGCTTCTGGGAGAGAAATTCATGGAGTCAGCTGAGTGTCATCTGTTAGCAATACAAAACTTTGCATTTGGTTCAAGAGGTGCTTTTGTGGCTCATTGAAATTCACATGATTCGAGACTAAATCTGTTGATGAAGGACAGTTATTTTGGTGTATCCATAAAAACAGTACTGTTAAGTGACAACAGCACGAACATAGTTTCAAATGAATGAATTTTTAATAAGGAGGAATTAGTATTATATAAGATTTGTCCTTAAAGTGAGATGCTATTAGTATTTTTATATCATACTTTTTCTGATTTAATTAAAGTTAATTCAAAATGTGATCACACGTAATACACAAACGTTTGTTCTTTATATATGTTTCTTAGAACCCATTGTCAATATGGTATGCTGTTTGAATTTTTTTTCTTGGATGCATATTTTGCTGAACTACGCCCATAGTCGATCAGTTTTATCTCCTGACAGTCCCCTCTTCCCATCCCATCCTATTAAAGATGAGTGCTTGAGGCATTAGGAAAAGGAGGGGGCAGGAAAAGGGATATAGATCAGCTTCTGCAGTAGTGTTAAAGGTTTAGTTTGTTTGTAAAACTAACAAGCCTGTTTGAGGATGCAAGTGCATCACCTTCAGAATTATATTTAACCTCAAGAAGCAAAAGCAAAAGAAATATATACATACATATATACACATACACACATAATATTCATCACCTTAATGAAGATAAATATCCAGGTTAAGGTTATTGGAGATAAGGGTGGGAAGAGCTCTTATATTCATGCACCTTATCGCCACAAGTCAAGTCTAGATTGCACTGCTGGTTACAGCATACCTTACAGTAACTGTAGCTTTTTAGAAATGAACTCACTTTTGACTGTGTGCGGATTTATTGGCTTAGGTGATAACTCTTTAATAATGAAGAAAAAGTTTGATTGGTTTAATCGCTAACTCTACTGTTGGCTTTGGGGTCCAGTTAAACCAAGTTGTGTCTGGAGGAGTGAAATGCCTGTACGTGTGTTCCATTATCTGCCCCACCATCTCGCGAGGCTACTCTGTTATCTCCATGGTGTCTACCAGGCTTATTCAGAACTGGTACAGGCTAGAAATAGAAATAGCTTCAAAAATGTTTAGATAAACTCATGGATGGGCCGTGTAATTAATTATTGAGGGAGGCTGGCATGGTTTGTGTTAACTTGCTGGTCTTTTTGTGGTTGAGATCAGAGGCAATAAACACGCTCTCCTGCCAAATTGCTATCACAGACGAAAAGGGGGACTGCAAGGACTGACCTGATGAATGAACATTTTTTATGACCTTTTAAATCACCTTCTATTTTTAAGAAAGGGAGCAAACACATAATATCTTGAGGAGATTTGCTTAAGCAGTTTAAACTAAGTTGGATGGGAGGGATGGTCCATCATTACTAAGCCAGGAAAGATATGGTCTTAAAAGGCAGGGCTGCCAAAATTGCCAAGTTGCAAATACAGCATTAGTCAAAAATGTAATTCTGCAATATTGAAGAGATTTGCTGGGTATGCAACTATTTTTATAGTCAAAAGCCTAAAAAGTAATTGTGAAGTTGTCTGATGAGTGGATGCTAGTTCATTATTCCATTCTACTTTTATATACATTTGACATTTTCCATAATAAAAATGTTAAAGTGATTGTTAGTAATGGCATTATGGAATAAGAGGGACTATAAAAAGTGGATGTTGGCCATACCAATTAGTGGCTAAACCTGTTATCATTTACTCATATTTAGCACTCAACCAGTCAATGGGCCAAGAGTCAACATAAATTTGAAAAGTTGGCATCACAGTTTCTCGGGCTATCATGGGTTGTCCAAGCAGGTTTGGCATAGAGCAGTTTGCTCAGGCTGCCTAGAATGGGTTACTGCCAAGAACAGGAAAAAGTTGAGAGGCAAGAGAAGTCATCTGGCTGCCTAATACGGGCACAGCCAAGTCCCTGGTAGGACTCAGGTTAGAAATTGGGAGCCTGGTTGATATCAAAGGAAAAACAAGGGAGAAAGGACTAAGAGTAATCAGAGAGGGAAGGGGTTAGATCAAAATAAGCAGAGATTACAAGGCCAATCCCCAGGTTCTATCTCCCATGCGGGAGCTTAGTACATTGTATTGAAGTGACATGGTTTGGATGTGTGTCCCCTCCAAATCTCATGTTGAAATGTGATTCCCAATGTTGGAGGTGGGGCCTGGGGTGATGATTGGATCATGAGGCAGATCTCTCATGAATGATTTAACACCAGGCAGATCTCTCATGAATGATTTAACACCAGGCAGATCTCTCATGAATGATTTAACACCATCTCTTCTGTGATAAGTGAGTTCTGGCTCAGTTAGAGTTGAAAAATCTTGTTTAAAAGAATCTGGGTCCTCTCCTCTCTCTTGCTCCCTCTCTTACCATGTGATACATTTGCTCCCCATTTAGCTCTCACTATGATTGGAAGCTTCCTGAGGCCTCACCAGAAGCAGATACAGGCACCATGCTTCCTGCACAGCCTCCAGAATCATAAGCCAAAATAACCTCTTTCCTTTATCAATTACCCAGCCTCAGGTACTCCTTTGTAGCAATGCATAAATAGACTAACACATGGAATTTCCTCATTATATGAGAAGCACGAAAAGCCTGCATGGAATCAAGAGCTACCTGCCCAACCACACCAAGTCTAAAAGGAATTTTTCCCTGCTTTGGAATCATAGATTTTGCATAGACTTTAACTCTCTCAAATTCTCCCATTCTGAACATCACTAGAGATTTCAAAGAGATGATGGAGTAAAGGCAAAGTACATTTTTTGAATGAATCCTAGTTCTCCGCAAAGCTCAGCACAAATTCAAGATGTTAGCTAAAAGGAAGAGTTCCCACCTTTTGTTATCAGTCTCACTCCAGTTCTCAGTGTTAGCCTCTTTGGTGTAAGAAAGTGAGATTTATTCCAGATTTTGTCTGGCCATAATGACACGTGCTAAAAATGCCTGCTCCTGATCAGTGCTGGAGGCTATTTAGAATTTGACTGTTTTATCACATGTATGTCTCTCATTCATGTGTCCATTTGTCTACATTCACTGAGTATTTCTTGAGTCTACACAGAGTAATAGGCCCTAGGAATAAAACTCTAAATAAAATATAATTCTTGCCTTCAAGCGCTTAGAGATTTGTCCTGATGATGTTTTGGGGGAAGTTTCATCACGATGAAAACAGTGGATACCTCTTTGCTAAAAGATTGCCCCGTGGTATACATGGCAGGTCTCCTCATTGCACACCCTTTGCTTTTTCCATTACCTTCATAAAGTAACGACACGGGAGCAGGTAGTCAGAAACACACAAAAATGCAGAACATTATGCTTTACCTGACTACCCCTATCAATTTTTCTATTTTTATGTGTGTGTGTGTGTGGCTCAGGTTGCTGAGTAAATTTTCAAAACTTAATCCGGCTGAGAATAGAGATAATACAAACTCATCTGCATGGGATCGCACAATGATTTGAAGCAAGGAAAGAGAGAAATACAGCACAGACCTCTCTAGATCATATGGCTCTTCCTGTAACCAGATGTTTTCTGGTTCCAGAAGCCTCACAATGTGGCTGCATGAAATTTCTGCATTTTATTGGCTTACATGTCTCTGAGACATTCTTTATACAACCCTTTTCTACAGTGAGTTATATCTTTCATAACAACACAAGAAAACATGCCCGACAAGCAGCAAGTTGAGGCAGAGACAATTTTATCTAAAGTACTGAATGAATTCTCAGATAAATTCTCAGTAGTATTTATCCAGAATTGTCATTCTCTTTTCACTGCCAATCTTTTCCAGCTGTAACAGCAGTAGCATTTGCCTAGACTTCAGCAAATAGAGACACTGTACTGTCACATTGTTAGATGTTAGATTTAGAAGGCTGGAGCCATTCATTGGGACAATTTTCCTCTTTAAGCCAATTGTATTGGCTTCTGTTTCAAACAAGAACCAGAAATGGGAATGATATCTACCCTAATTTGACAAAACCACTCAAACATTTCACTTTCTAGGTCAGTGAGTTTTTTGTGCTTTTCAATTTTTCTCTTTTTAGTAACCCCATTACCCTCCTCAGTTTAGCTCTTAGTGAATTTCAGGATTGGAGAGAAAGTGTATTCAATTGGTATTGGAGATAACAAAAACCTTTCTATCTTTTGGCTCTTTCCTTTTAAGAAATAGTAAAGGCAAGGTGTTTTCATTTCACAATCACAGCAATTTATCACAGTCAGTGACCCTGGATGTCTTTTTGCTTTTGATAATAATCTCTTTGTATTTACTTGGAGCCCTGGTCTGTAGTAATAATAATAATAATTATAACCATTTACTTATTCCCTACTATAAGCTCGGCAGCATGTAAGGAATTTTACATACATTTCTTCTCTTAATCCTTGCAGCCAGCCTGGGAAGGTGAATATTATTACTATGACTTTACCTACCAGGAAACTGAGGCAAAGAGTGAAGAAAACTGTTCAAGGTCATTTAGCTTCATATTATCTTGCATGCCTAAGGTTCACGGTAATCAAAATCACTTGTGGTCTGTCTCTTGAAATGTCCTCTTTGCTCAATGTATGCCCACCATCTATAGGCATACCTAGTTTTACTGTATTTCACTTTATCGTGTTTCTTAGACATTGAAATTGCAAGTTTGTGGCAATTTATTGAGCAAGACTATCAGTGCTATTTTGTAACAGTCTGTGCTCACTTTGTGTCTCTGTCTCACGTTTTGGTAATTCTCACAATATTTCATACTTTTTCATTATTATTTTATTTGTTATAGAGATCTATGTATTAGTCTGTTTTCACACTGCTGATAAAGACATACTTGAGACTGGGTAATTTATAAAGAAAAAGAGGTTTAATGGGCTCTCAGTTCCAAGTGGCTGGGGAGGCCTCACATTCATGGTGGAAGGCAAAGGTCACATCTTACATGGTGGCAGACAAGAGAGAATGAGAGCCAAGTGAAAGGAGAAACCCCTTATAAAACCATCAGATCTCATGAGACTTATTCACTATGACGAGAATGGTATGGGGGAAACCTCTCCCATGATTCAATTATCTCCCACCAGGTCCTTCCCACAAAACATGGAAATTATGGGAACTACAATTCAAGATGAGATTCAGGTGGGGACACCCAAAGCATATCCATCTATGATCAGTGATCTTTGATGTTCCTATTTTAATTGTTTTGGGGTACAATGAGCCATGCCCACGTAAGATAGCAAACTCAATGTATAAGTATGTTGTGTGTTCTGACTGCTCCACCCACCGGCTGTTCCTCCATCTGTCTCAGGTTCCTCAGGCCTTCCTACTCCCTGAGACACAACAATATTGAAGTTAGGTTAGCTAATAACCCTACAATGTCCTCTAAGTGTTCAAGTGAAAGGAAGAGTAACATATCTCTCACTTTAAATCAGAAGCTAGAAATAACTAAGCTTAATGAGGAAGGCATGTTAAAATGTGAGATAGGCCAAAACTAGGCCCCTTATGCCAAACAGTTAGTTAAGTTGGGAATGCAAAGAAAAAGCTCTTGAATGAAAATAAATGTGCTACTCCAGGAAATACATGAATGGTAAGAATGTGAAACAGCCTTATTGTTGACATGGCAAAAGTTTTAGTGGCCTGGTTAGAAGATCAAACCAGGCAAAACATTTCCTTAAGGTAAAGCCTAATCCAGAGCAATCCCTTAAGTCTCTTCAAATCTATCAAAAGTAAGA
Organism: Homo sapiens; assembly: GCF_000001405.40. Lineage (NCBI taxonomy): Eukaryota > Metazoa > Chordata > Mammalia > Primates > Hominidae > Homo > Homo sapiens. Next base: position 221,828,180 of record NC_000002.12, on the reverse strand, counting down.
GAGGTGAAGAAGCCACAAAAAAATGTTGGAAGGTAGCAGAAGTTGGCTCATGTGGTTTAAGTAAGGATGCCATCTCCATAACGTAAAGGTGCAAGGTAAAGCTGAAAGCACAGATGTAGAACCTGCAGTAAGTTATTCAGAAGATCTAGCTAAGATCATCAATGAAGATGGTTACACCAAACAATAGATTTTCAATGGAGACAAAACAGCTTTATATCATAAGAAGATGTCATCTAGAACTTTCATAGCTAGAGAGAAGTCAATGCCTGGCTTTGAAATTCAAAGGACAGGCTGACTTTCTTGACCCTTAGCCTGTGGAATGGATGTTATATTAGCAGATGTGAAAACAACATTAATCTCTTTGTATATCTCCATCAGAGCTCTTAGGTAACCAGGCGCATTGTCCATGAGCATTAGGGGCTAATGCAGCTGGTGACTTTAAGTTGGGGGTAATGCTTATTTAGCATTCTGAAAATCCTAGGCTCCTAAAAATTACACTTAACATATTCTGTCTGTGCTCTATAAATGGGACAACAAAGCCTAGATAACAGCACATCTATTTACAGTATGGCTTTCTGAATATTTTAAGCTGATTTTTGAGACCTACTTCTAAGAAAAAAAGATTCCTTTCAAAATATTACTGCTGATGGACAATGTACCTGGTTACCCAAGAGGTTTGATGAAGATGTACAAGGAGATTAATGCTGTTTTCAAGCCTGCTAACACAACATCCATTCCATAGCCCATGGGTCAAGAAGTCATTTCGAGTTTAACATCTTATTTAAAAACACATCTTGTGAGGCTATAGCTGCCATAGGTGGGGATTCCTTTGACGGATCTGGACAAAGTAAATCAAAAACCTCATAGAAAGGATTCACCATTCTAGATGATACTAAGAACATTCATGATTCATGGGAGGAGATCAACAATGACAGAAGTTTTGAAATAGTTGATTCTCCTTATTTTGTTTGTGTTTTTTTTTTTTTTTTTTTGAAACAGGGTCTACTCCCATTGTGCAAGCTGGAGTACAGTGGCACAATCTCCACTCACTGTGGCCTCTACTTCCCAGGCTCAAGTGATCCACCCACCTCAGACCCCCAAGTATCTGGACTACAGGTGCCTGCCCCCATGCCCGGCTAATTTTTGTATTTTTTGTAGAGACAGGGTTTTGCCATTTTGCCCAGAGTGGTCTCAATGTCCTGAACTCAAGCGATCCATACTTCTCAGCCTCCCAAAGTGCTGGGATTACAGGTGTGAGCCATCATGCCTGGCAGGAAAAAAAGTTGATTCTAACTCTCATGGATAACTTTGAGGGGTTCAAGACTTCAGTGGAGAAAGTCACTGAAGCTGTGGTGGAAAAGCAAGAGAATTAGAATTAGTAGTGAAGCCTGAATATGTGATTGAATTGCTGCAATTTCATGATAAAACTTTAATGGATAAAGAGTTTCTCCTTATGAATGAGCAAAGAAAGTGGTTTTTTGATTTGGGATCTACTCCTGGTAAGGATGCTGTGAACATTGTTGACATAAATGACAATAAAGGATTTAGAATATTATCGTTCCTGCATTTCTGGGGCTGTCTTCACCCATTTTCCTCTCAAAGCTGAGTGCTTTTGTTAATCCTTTCACTTCTTCAAATTATCCTACTGTAAGTAAATAAAGTATTTTTAACTGCTTTTCACTCTTCTCCCCCTTTCTGAGGTTCTCTCACCTAGCTTTCTGTTATTAAGTTCAGGGTATAACTAAAAATATATGATTCTGTGGATTTTCTTCAAAATAATATAATGGTGGGAAAGTGGATGGATAGGGTGGGATTGGCCCTTGGTTGATGGGTGTGGGGGTGAGTGATGGGTACATGAAGGTTTATTATACTATTTCATTTCGTTTTTGTGGGTTCTAAGTTCCTCATAAAGTAAAGCTAAAAGTAGCCAACAAACAGCAACAACAATAAAAAACAGAGACCTGACCATGAAACTGAGCTTCAGGTCTCCCATAAAGATGAATATGACTTAAGAGCAGTTCTTGACAGATGGAAAAGGGAAAGCTCTTTTAGGCTTGGAGGTAAAGACTGAAGGAGAGAAGAGAAAAGCAAGAGCTCAGCTGAAGATACCTAGCTCCCTGTATAAAAGAGCTTTCTCTTTTCCAACTGTCTTACTGGCTTGGAATCTGGAAGGGGTGAAGAGGGGTAAGAAAGTGGTGGAGGCCAAAGTGGTGGTTGTGAGAAAACATAACCCAGTGGAATCATAGGGACTTCACTTCCCTGGGCTTCCAAAGAAGCCTTTCTAAGTCACGAGTTTTGTTGTTGTTGTTGTTTTGTTTTTGTTTTGAGATGGAGTCTTGCTCTGTCGCCCAGGCTGGAGTGCAGTGGTGTGATCTCAGCTCACTGCAAGCTCCTCTTCCCGGGTTCATGCCATTCTCCTGCCTCAGCCTCCCGAGTAGCTGGGACTACAGGCACCCACCACCACGCCCGGCTAATTTTGTTTTTGTATTTTTAGTAGAGAAGGAGTTTCACTGTGTTAGCCAGGATGGTCTTGATCTCCTGATCTTGTGATCCGCCCACCTTGGCCTCCCAAAGTGCTGGGATTACATGGGTGAGCCACCGCACCCGGCTGTCAGGAGTTTTTTGTATGTTTCCATGTTTCTCTTCACATTCAGCACCAGAATGGTCTGGGAAGCCATGGAGTAATGTGGTTATGGGAGGCATCTTCTTAGTCACTCATTCATTCATTCATTCATTCATTCATTTATTCATTCATTTGCTCATTCATTCATTTCACTAACTTATCTGATTCAGGAGACAGAAAAGACTTGCTAATGCAGTGCCTGGCAAATAAGTGGTGCTCCACAAATATTTGTTGAATTAATGATTGGATGAAGGGAAATGCTATAAAGAAAAACCTTTAATTATGGAACTCTTTTGACATTATATCAATATTCAATCTGCTACATTTAGAACCTGCCAGAGTCTCTGCTGCAAATTCTATTTCGAAGGCCGCAACAACTTGGCCAGGAAAACATTACCACTGAAATTTTGCGTAGACATCCACAGCTTGAAATTTGTTCTAAGAGACAGAGTTTGACACCCCTAAATCAAGTTTTCTAGCTTTGAGTGACAAGGATGTCAAAAAGATGGAAATTAATCTTTCAAAATATGGTTTTCGCTTGTTGAACTGAAAACTTTCTATTTTTTCTGGGTGGAGAAGTTCTTTCAATAAGATGAATTCATAATGTAGAGTTAATTGTCTTAGTAATTTTAATGGCAGTTAATTTTAAAAGATGTAGCAAGCATTTGTTATATTTAACTGATAAGAATCTAAATGGGCTCTTATATATTTTCTCATATTAGATGTATGGACTGTTCTATGGCCATCAATGCCTCTGTTTATAACATTCATTCAAATCACAGCTATTCACACAGGACCTACTGAATACAGGGTACTATGTGCTACACAAAAGAATGAGAAGGCCTGACTTATACCTACAAGGAATTAATAAGCTAATAGGAGACAGAAACTACATAATTTTTGGCTCCTTTATAGGCAAGTCAATTGCTTTGAAAAGTAAACAAGGAAATCATCATAAATTATATGCAGCCTTTGGCAGGCATCACGCCGCTCCCCCACCTTCTTCTCACCAAGCTGCATCCCTGCAAGGCAGCATGCAACAGCAATTCCTCATCCCACTGTTTCTATTTGTTCTCAAACATGTGAAGGTAAACATAACCAGAGCTAAGAAAAATGGAAAAACCAGTGAAGTTTGTCTAACCCAGGGTTCACAGATGTGTCTTCATGAAAGCATTATTCCTTTTTTGGAAAAAAAATATGTTTTTAGAACAGCTTTGGATTTACAGAAAAATTTCTAAGATGGTATGTTATGTGTGCATAATTACAAAATCAATATTGGCTGGGCACAGTGGCTCATACCTGTAATCCCAGCACTTTGGAAGGCTGAGGTGGGCAGATCACTTGAGATCAGGAGTTTGAGATCAGCCTGGCCAACACGGTGAAACCCCTCTCTTTCAACCAAATACAAAAATTAGCCAGGCGTGGTGGTGCACACCTGTAGTCCCAGCTACTTGGGAGGCTGAGATGGGAAAATCGCTCGAATCTGGGAGGTGGAGGTTGCAGTGAACCAAGATCGCACCACTGCACTCCAGCCTTGGTGACAGAATGAGACCCTGTCTCAAAAAAAAAAAAAAAAAAAAAAATCAATTCTGATCATTATTGCTAATTGAAGTCCATACTTTATTTAGATTTTTTTAGTTCTAGCATTGTTCTTTTTTATTCCATAGGCATAGTCTGAAATGGAGAGATAATAGAAGGGGATGACATAGGAAAATAAATTCATAAAGGTTGAACTGATTACTGTGTGATTGGAATCCACAGATGAAAACTTCCCATGGGACCATGATGGTGGTGTTTTGTCCTTGGGCCCTGCCCCTGCTCCATTTTGAAACGGTCAATTTACTCCTTTCTCAACTTTAACTTGAAATAATCCAAGGAGCCCAGCAAGATAGCTTTCCTGAAACAAAAGTACAATTTGTCCTCAAAGGTGAATTCAAGCAAATCTCTCAAGAGAAACAGGAATACCATTTTAAAATGATTTTTCTGACTCCTGCACTCCTGGATAGCATGTTAAAACAAATACAGATATAGATTACATTTACCTTTGTTATTCTTGGTCCCTTTTTGAGATCTTTTTCCCACTGGATGGTGACTCAGAAATGCCTTCTGATAACACAGTTTGGACATTCCAGGGTCCTGAAGCTGCCTCTCAATCCTCAAAATATAAGAAATGTACCCAGTACAAATGTAAAGGCAGCATCCGTGGAGCACACGCTGCACACCAGGTGTCAGCTCTGTCTTGGCTGGTGACTTTCTGACAGCCCTCTCAGGAGATTGTTGGCTGGAGGTTGCTTCCTTCACCTATTGAGGAAGAATCATGCAAAGATAAGAGGTGGCCACCAGAGGACACAAGGATTGGCACCTGGGAAAACTGGCATGGAAATGCCAATTTCAGCCTTCTGTGTCTGCTTTTAGGTGCTCTGTAAGTAACCACATACCCTCAGGTCCCTGATAAGATCTTAGTCTGCCCGTTGAATTAGTTTTTTTAATCTGGGGATCCATGGAGCCCCAAATGGGAAACCTTATTGTCAGTCCTGACTCTGAACTCAGATGCGGTTTATAGTCTACCCTGTCTTTTATTTTTTTGTCCTGAGACAGCTAAGAACATTTATGGTTTGTTGGGTTATTTGTTCTTATTTTAGTTCGAATTTTAAAATATGTTATTCCCTTTTTGACATCTTACTCCTATACCATCTAGCTTATGTTTAAGTTTGAAAATGAATTTTCAGTCCAGACTCATTTCTATTGATGAACAAGATTCTATTGAAGGAAAGCCAATATCACTGTAAATAAGGCAAACGACTTGATAAAAAGGGTGCAAAAATTTGAGCACTTACCAAAAATATGTGAATGGCAAATAAGCATATGAAAAAATGCTCAGTATCATCAGTCATTAGGAAAATATGAATTAAAGCCACAAAGAGATACCATTACACAATCACTAGACCAGCTAAAACCAAAAAACCCAACGATATTAAGCCTAACAAGGATGTGGAACAATTCCTAGACATTTACCCAAGAGAAATGAAAACATGTCTCCACACAAATATTTGCACATGGAAATTCTTCAAGGCTTCATTGATAACAGCCAAAACTTGAAAAAAAAAACAATTAATGGATAAATAAATTTTGATTCACATCTACAATGAAATACTACTCAGCAATAAAAAGGAACAAACTGCTGATATATAAAACAGCATGGCTGAATCTCAGAAGCATCATATTCAGTGAAATAAACCAGACATGAAAAACTACATATTGTATGATTTCCTATACGTGAAATTATAGAAAATGGAAAAATGTAGTGAATGGAAGCAGAGCAGTTCCCAGGGCCCAGGAATAGGGGAGGGGATTGATAGTAAAGAGGACTGAGGGGACTTTTTGGGATGATGGAATATTCTATGGACTGTGATAATGGTGATAATATAAACTTTTGTCAAATGCATACTTTAAATAGGTGAATTTATACTTTTATGCCTTACAGAATTGGTAGATTTTTTTTCTCTTAATAATAGGGATTCTGTAATACTATTATCTCCATGTTTGCCCTGGCTTTTAGGAAGTTTATAGTAAAATTTAATGCTCAATTGCAGTAAAAATGAGTGCCCTTTGGATTAGCAATGCACTTTCTTTAGGTACAGTTGACATTCTCTATTTATGTTTAATAAACAAACCTTTCGTGTGTCTTTTATTGTAAGACATTTAAGAGCCTTTTTAAAAACTGGCAAAGCATAAAATGAAACCTAAAACATATGTAACAGTCATAAGGATATAGAAGCCTAATTAAGGTTAGCAATTGAAAGGATAGGACAAAATCATGTGCCATTCACACACACACACACACACACACACACACACACACACACAACCTGTCCAAGTTTATTGCTGATTCAGTTTTCCTCTCTCTACTGCCAGACAGGTCCAGGATACAGCAAGCCACTGTTAGGATGAAGCTACAGATGGGCAGACCGCTCAAGAGCTGGGTTCCCACAAGACACTTGTTTCTAAAGGAAAACTGCTTAACTGTGTATAATCTTGAAATTATAGCTTGACAAAGAACATCTTAACAGCAATGCTTTATGAAGTAAGGCATTTCAAATGTGCTACAATATATTTTTACAGAGTTGAATGATATTGTCCCTTTCACTGTGCAAAGATGTAGCTCACCCATTCAGAAAGATGCTCCAGCAGAACGCTGTATACAAGGTTTTGCCCACTCTGTGAACTAGAATCTTTTCTGTATATATCAAGGAGTGTTTACTCATCTAAGATTCCTATATGCATTGATACCTGGAGTTTCTTTCTTTGGGAACATGTTGAAGATAACTGCAGGGTTTATTGCAAATGACCTGAATCTCCACTAGGGAAGGAGAAAACAATATATATTAATAGTAATGAGCAAAAGAAATTACTGCCGGGATTATGAAGGATATTGAGGAGTCTCTCAAATCAATTTCTACTTCTTTCTCACGGTGAAATGAGTGATAATTTATCCAGTATGATAAGGGAGAGGCGTCTGTTCTGGTCGTTTACAAAGTTCTCTCCCCTCATGTTTCAAGGGTCTCTTTTCCCATCGAGCTCACCCTTGCCTGATGCAGTCTGGGATGAAATGATAACATCTTATAATTAGAATTCTCGTTACGATTATCAGATTATTCTCTATCTCTGGCTACATGATTGTGCAAAGCTTAAATACATATGCTGTCCAGTGATTCTGGTAGAGCCTTTGCTTTGGGTGATATGCGCTGTAGCATGCAGGCTGCCCTTTTCCTCGGTTACCTGGCTGCTGCACTGCTCTGTCATTCTCTATCCTGAAGACTTCTCTTCTGCCTCTTGGCCTACCTTTTTGCTGAAATAGAAAAGGTTATCATCTCTTCCTGGGCTTGGGAGGGTGTCAGGATTTGATTAGGGTCTGTCTGGCACATCAATTTCTGCCATCAGTCATTGCAACGTCACCGGCATGTCCCACCGCTACACCACAGCAGCAGTAGCTCAGGGGACTGCCCCTTAATTATTTATTTCCTGATGTCCTGGAGGCAACTTGAGAGCAGCCCTCAACAAGATGGTAGCAACTTTTCAGAGTTCGTTAGAAAATAAACCAAAAGGAGTTGGAGGCCAAAGTGGTCTGGAGGGAAGACCATTCCAGCCCTATCTTCAATCTTGGCCTAAATTCATTCTTTAAGAGATTACTGAGCTAGGCAGGGTTAGACATAATACATCTTTGCCTTCTAGGCAAAACTATGACTGCAGGGAGGATACAAAAGAGACTCTTCCATTTACTGTTACACCTATATCAAATATTACTTGCTCCAAAGCAGTGGTCTTTAAATTTTAGTATGCATAAGAATTAATAGTTTGTTAAAATATATATTCTCCTGTATAATTTTGGATACAGTAGGTTTCAAGTGAAACCCAGGAATCTGAATTTTTACACTGTCCCATAGGAAATTCTAATGCAGTGGTCCTTTGACCAAACTTTGAAAAACACTGATTACTCTAACAGAAGAAGCAAATCTAATATATTTACAAACTTGAGAATTTTGAAAAACCAAAGATCAAATCAGGGATTCAGTTCTTGGTGTGTGAGCTTATTGGTATAGAGTAATATTGATATCCTAAATGTTGATTTTTTTTAAAAAAAAAAAAGAGAAACAGAAATAAAAAACAAAACAAAATAGACTATGGGGCTTCATCCAGGTCTACTGGGGAAAAGGCCCAGGAATCTGCACTTGTACATTTCTGGTGATTCTTAGGTATGTTGAAATTTGAAGATCATAGAAAGAAGGACCTTGTAGTCAGCCAGTTTTACCCTCATTTACCAGAGTAGCTACAGAAAGCAGGTTGATGAGTAAAGAACCATGGTATGGGAGCTTCTAGCAAAATCTGGTAGCAAGCTGCAATGACTTAATTAACATTCAAATCTCATCTCTATTCCTAAAATTCAATTCCACTGCAGCAACAAAAAACCACTTCTGCATACAAGCAACTACTGAGACAAACTTGAGTTTGAGATTTGGCTTGTGTGGTTTTTTTTCCTTCACTGTTTCGAGGAGAGTAAATTATGCCTAGTGTTTTAACCTCAACAGTTGCTCTTTTGGTAGGAGCACGGAGCCAAAAATGCACTGTTTTCTTCTTCCACTTCGATATCTTAATGGAATGAATGTGATATTATTTATCAAGTGTAAGCTTGATGGAATATATCATATAAATCATCTCAAATGTTTTTTACCACCTGCCTGCCTGTTCTGAAATGCATGCAGGCTTAATTAATCTAATTAGTCAATGCACAGATCAGGAGCACATTTACAGCTTCTCTGTCATCATAAATAGACTAGTTTTGTTTTCATAGGCTAAACAATTCATTTTGAAGATGGATACTAGAAAGAATGTGGGAGAGCTGACCTCTATTACAGTAAAACATGGAATAACGATGACAGGGTTTTCTTTTTGTTCTGTGTGCCCTCCATTAACCTTCTATTAAAATACTCCTTTGTGGGGGAGGTAAGGAGGGGCTGAGGTGGCGCGTGGCAGAAATGTCATGCCCTCCCACCTGGAGAGGCATTCCTGCCATTTCCCTAGAAATAAGCATACCCATTTTAAACCTCATGATTGAAAGACACATGGATTCTCAAGCACATACATATGCAATGGAGACCTGCAGACCAAAGATGCTATAAATTTGGGAGCCTGTGCTGCTGGTTCTAGACAGACCCAAAAGGGGGAAAGGGTCAGGATCGCAGGTGAGAAATGAGGCTAAGCACAGTGAATGAGTCGGATGTTGTGAATGAGTCATTGTTTCTTTTAATAGCCGTAGTTACCTGGTGCAGCCGTGCTCTCTGCACAGTCCCCAACTCTAGAAAGCACATTCACCTGACAACGATGTGAATGAAATGCTACACGGTGGTCCTGAAATATACAATGTGAAATAGATCTAGACTTGCATCCTGCCTTTCACTATTTACATGCTGTGTCTCCTTACACTGTCTCCCTAACCTCTTTGCCCTATTGCTTCTCAGTATAATGTAGAAACCTGGCAGGATTTTATAAAGGATTGAATCAGATAACTCAAGCACATAGCACATGACCTGCTCCTAATATATTTGGGGGCTCAAGGGAAGATTACGAATGAGCCACCCTCTCCACTGCTTGTTGCCCTTCTTCTCCCTGCCCCTCATCACCACTTAGCAAACAGCCTCCCCTTGGATACTGTCAGCCTCAGAAGCAGGACCCTAGGGAAGAGGGCCATGCTGGAACTGAAAGTGGCTTAGGGTCATTTGGGGAGAGAGTAGCAAGGTCTGGAGGATGGGCAAGAAGGCAGGGGTGGTGCTGGATTTGAGGAGGTTTTGTGCAGGCTCTGATAGGGCACGGCCGCTTGCCCCACACATGCTTTGCCCCACAGGGGTGCCTAGGCCTAAGAGTAGTACTGTTAGAACAGTGTGTGGTACATAATAGATGTTCACCAAATGTCAGCAGTTATTGTTATCGTTACTTCATCAAGTCAGCAGTTTTCTATAATTCAATGTATATTTGGGAGGATTTTGTGAAAAATTGAAATCCCAAACCACTAACCCCTCAAGAAGCTTAGATTATTAATTAATTACTTATTTATTTTTAGAGCTGGGGAATCATCTCACTGTTATCCAGGGCTGCAGTGCAGTGGCATAAACTTAGCTAACTGCAGTCTCAAACTCCTGGGCTCCAGGGATCCTCCAACATGATCCTTTGGAGTAGCTAAGACTATAGGTGTGTGCCACCACACTCAGCTAATTTGTGTGTGTGTGTGTGTGTGTGTGTAGAGACAACGTCTCATTATGTTGCCCAGGCTTGTCTCAAACTCTTAGCCTCAAACAATCCTCCTACCTTAGCCTCCCAAAGTGCTGAGATTATAGGCATGAGCCATTGCACTCGGCCAAGAAGTTTATATTCTATTTCACCAGATTGCTATATTGGCAATGTATTAATACATAACACCACCTTGCTAATTCTAGTAAGAAAATGAATTTCACTTTGTTACTTCTATGCTTAACAACATTTAACATCTTACCACTGGCTATAGAAAATATCCAAACTTTTCAGCCTGATATGCAGGACTGAAGCCACTGATAATCCCTATGTCCCAAGTAAACTGTGCGGTGCTGTCAGTAAACTCCTTCCCTGTGCCCTCATTCTCCCAAATTATTATGCAGATTCATGTGCCAACTCTTGCTCACAGCATGCTGTGGCTCAGCATGCCTCTCTACTTCTAGATGAATCCTACACCGGTAGATATCTCGGGATATGTCTTGGGCTCCTCCTCTCGATGACAGCACTCCAAAGCCAGGAACATGACTCATACCTCTTTGTGTTCCCCAAGAGAACATACCATAGTACCCTACACAAAGTGAGCTTTCTTGTTTATTTTATTTTATTTCATTGAGATGGAGTCTCACTCTGTTGCCAGGCTGGAGTGCAGTGTCACAATCTAGGCTCACTGCAACCCCCACCTCCTGGGTTCAAGCAATTCTCCTGCCTCAGCCTCCCAAGTAGCTGGGACTACAGGCATGCACCACCATGCCCAGCTAATTTTTGTACTTTTTTTTAAGTAGAGACGGGTTTCACCATGTTGGCCAGGATGGTTTCGATCTCCTGACCTCGTGATCTGCCCGCCTTGGACTCCCAAAGTGTTGGGATTATAAGCGTGAGCCACCATGCCCAATCAAAACGAACTTTCAGTAAATACCTGCTGACTAATACAAGCTGAAGGAGAAGGATTCATGGAGGAGGTGATGTCTGAATAGTACCTGGAGAGACGAGATGACTCAGGGCCCTTCAGGCAGAGGTCTCAGCCTTTCAGGGACAGGGAGGTATGAAACAGCATAAGTGAAAAAATGGATGAGACACAGAGCAAGATAACGTAAAGGAGTTAAACACACCTGGAGGAGAGAGCTCAGCATACACAGCATCTGGAGATGTTTTATGAGGTGTCAGTTTATGGAGAGCGACTTCATACCGGGTTGATAAACAGAAAATGGAAATCTGCTCCAATAACCTTCTGTATTAGTCCATTCTCATGCTGCTATAAAGACATACCAGAGATTGGGTAATTTATGAAGAAAAGAGGTTTAACTGACTCACAGTTCCACAGGCTGTACAAGCAGCATGACTGGGGAGGCCTCAAGAAACTTACAATCATGGCAGAAAGCAAAGGGGCAGCAGGCATGGTCTTCACATGGCCGGCAGGAGAGAGAAAAAGAGGAGGGGGAAGGTGCTACATACTTTTAAGCAACCAGATCTTGTGAGAATTCTCTCACAAGACAGCACTAGGGTGATGGTGCTAAACCATTAGCAACCACTCCCATGATCGAATCACCTCCCACCAGGCCTCTTCTCCAACACTGGGAATTAAAATTTGACATGAAATTTGGGTGGGGACATGGAGCCAAACCATATCATTCTGCCCCAGTCCCTCTCAAATCTTATGTCCTTCTCACATTCAAAATACAATCATTCCTTCTTAAGAATCCCCCAAAGTCTTAACTCATTCCAGCATTAATTCAAAAGTCCACAGTCCAAAGCCTCATCTGAGATAAGGCAAGTCCCTTTTGCCTATGAGCCTGTAAAATGAAAAATACATTAGTTACTTCCAAGATACAATGGGGGTACAGGCATTGGGTATGTGCTCTTATTCAAAAAGGGGTAAATTGACAAAAAAAAGGGGCCACAAGCCCCATGCAAATCCAAAACCTGGCTGTGGAGTCATTTAATCTTAAAGTGCCAAACTAACATCCTTTGACTCCATGTTGTACATCCAGGCCACAGTGATGCAAGGGGCAGGCTCCTACGGCCTTGGGCAGCTTTACCCCTTTAGCTCTGCAGGGCTTAGCTCTCAAGGCTGCTCTCAAAGGCAGGCATTGAGTGTCTGCAGCTTTTCAAGGCACATGGTGCAAGCCGTAGGTGGATTTACCATTCTGGGCTCTGGTGGATAGCAGCCCTCTTCTCACAGTTCCACTGTGCCCCAGTGGGAACTCTGTGTGGGGTGTCCAACCCCACATTTTAATTCCACACTGCCCTAGTAGAGGTTCTCCAGGAGGGCTTCACCCCTGCAGCAGACTCCAGCTGGGACATACAGGCATTTCCATACATCCTCTGAAATCTAGATGGAGGCTCCCAAACCTCAACTCTTGCCCTCAGCAGCACATGGAAGCCTTGGTGGTTTCTGGCTTACACACTCTGGAGCAGTGGCCTGAGCTGTACCTTGGCCCCTTTTAACTACAGATGGAGCTGGAGCAGCTGGAACACAGGGTGCTACGTCTCAAGGCTGCACAGAGCAGCAGGGCCCTGTGGGCCATTTTTCCCTTCTAGGCCTCTGCTGCAAAGGTGTCTGAAATACCTTGGGTGCATTTTCCCCATTGTTTGGGCTATTAACATTCAACTCCCCTTTACTTATGCAAATTTCTGCAGCTGACTTTAATTCCTCACCAGAAAATGGGATTTTCTTTTTTACCATATGGCCAGTCTACAAATTTCCCAAACTTTTATGTTCCACTTCCCTTTTAAGTGTAAGTTGTAGTTTCAGGTCATTTCTTTGTTTATACAGATGAGCATAGGCTTTTGGAAGCAGCCAGGCTACATCTTGAAAGCTTTGATGCTTAGAAATTTCCTCCACCAGCCAGGCGCAATAGCTCATGCCTGTAATCGCAGCATTTTAGAAGGCTGAGGTGGGCAGATCACTTGAGGTCAGGAGTTCAAGACCAGCCCAGCCAACATGGTGACACCCTGTCTCTACTAAAAAAAGAAAAAAGTACAAAAATTAGCTGGGTGTGGTGGTATGTGCCTGCAGTCCCAGCTACTCAGGAGGCTGAGGCAGAAGAATCACTTGAACCTGGGAGGTAGAGGCTGCAGTGAGCTGAGATTGCGCCATTGCACTCTAGCCTAGGTGACAGAGCAAGACTCCATCTCAAAATAAATAAATTAATAAATAAGAAATTTCTTCCACCAGATACCCTAAATCAGGGGTGTTCAATCTTTCGGCTTCCCTGGGCCACACTGGAAATAGAAGAATTGTCTTGGGCCAAAATACAGCAACACTAACAACAACTGATGAGCTAAAAAAGAGTCCATGCATAAGTCTCATAATGTTTATGAAAGTTTACAAATTTGTTTTGGGCAGTATTCAAAGCTGTCCTGGGCCACATGCTGCCTACAGGCCACAAGTTGGATAAGCTTGCCCTAAATCGTCTATCTCAAATTCAAAGTTCAACAGATCCCTACAGCAGGGTCACAAGGCTTCCAGTCTCTTTGCTAAAGCACAGCAAGAGTGATCTTTGCTCCAGTTCCCAACAAGTTTCTCATCTCCATCTGATACCTCATCAGCCTGGCCTTCACTGTCCATATCACTATCAGCACTCGGGTCATAACCATTCAACAAGTCTCTAAGAGGTTCCAAACTTTCCTTCATCTTCCTTTTTCTGAGCCCTCCAAACTGTTCCAACCTCTGTCCGTTACCCAGTTCAAAAGTCAATTCCACATTTTTAGGTATCTTTATAGCAATACTCCACTCTCTGTACCAATTTTCTGTATTAGTCCATTCTCAAACCTCTATAAAGACATACCCAAGACTGGGTGATATATGAAGAAAAGAGGTTTAATTGAGTCACAGTTCCACAGGCTGTACACGCAGCATGGCTGGGGAGGCCTCAGGAAACTTACAATCATGACGGAAGGCTGAGGGGAAGCAGGCATGGTTTTCACATGGCTGGCAGGAGAGAGAGAAAGAGGAGGCAGGAGGTGCTACACACTTTTAAACAACCAGATCTTGTGAGAACTCTATCACAAGACAGCACTAGGGGGATGGTGCTCAACCATTAGAAATCACTCCCATCCTCCAGTTACCTCACACCAGCCCCTTTGTCCAAAACTGGAAATTATAATTTGATATGAGATTTGTATGGGGATACAGAGCCAAACCATATCACCTTATTTATGCTCTGTGCCCCTTCCGTTGATATATGATTCTTATACAATGAGTAATTTAATGTACCTTTAGGATTTGACCTAAGCTCCTTACTTTTGTTTAGTATTTTTAACTAATACTCTTCCTCCTCCCCCTTGAGTGATATGGTCAGTATGAATGTATATTTTCATGGCACTCCCAGACTGAAGGTTAAGTCATTACAAGTACTCCTTGGTGATAAATGGTAAAGGAAGACCTCCAGCAAGGAAGGATTTTCATAAAAACCCATCCCTTTTGCACTGGCTCACTTTAGAAGCCTGGATCTGTTTTTGGGGGTTTTGTTTTTTTAAATAAAAGAATATCTCAAAGCAACGGAAATGTGTAACACAAATTCATGTTACAGAACTTTAATGTTTGAAAGCTAAAACAACAACAACAAGATGCTGTGCAGACAATGACATATGAATCTAATTGTGTTACAAACATATTAAAAAACTTTACAGAAGAGGTAGGGGGTAAAGAAGCTGACCTAAATAACTCTGGAAAATTATGTTTTGTCTGGGACCTGTAAGGATAAACATTGGACTATAGCTGGTAAATTTGTTTCTTCTGGAGGTATGGGTTAAACAATTGTGAAACAGCTTTATATGTATACTGGGGCTGAACACATAAATGCATGATGGATGATGGGAGTCAGGTTTCTCACTGCTGCAGTGGAAAGTGAGAGATAAGCAAGAAGGGTTGGTGAGAAAGAATGTGGTACTGGATTCGAGTCTGAGACATCAGTATGAATTCACATTTAACTTATTATCCACATAGATGGATAGATGTGGGAATAATCACAGAAATGTGCGTAGGTAGACACGTGAAGACATGCATGGCTATAATTGTGTATCTTAATATACACATATATACTACCTAGCTCTGTTAGCTGAGAGGGCCTGGAAACAATGACACCGTAGTAACCATGAGCATATCCAGCACTGAGATTTTGATTTCAAAATACTATTCTCCAGTAAATAGAACCAAAGCTCCCTGGAGAAATGGCTGGCTCTAGGGCCAGGAAAGGAAAATTATAAGATGAGCCTGAAGCATCTTGTAGTACAAGAAAATAATGAAGTCATCAGAAAATTAGAGAATGGGGTCATGTCAAAGGGACACAGGAGCCAACTGGGAGAGCTCTTAGTGGTCAAAGCTGGAATTTGAGTAACAAAATAAATATTATAATATTGCATTGAATTATAACTCATAGTGCAAAATAAATATAAAGGAGTCAAAATATACACCAATGTCTAAAATAAATATGTATGAGTCCACAGAGACATAAATAATTGAATAAATAAATAAACAAGAGAGAAAGACAATCTTCTTCACAGAAGAATTTGAAATAATATACATAGATACTTGCCACTCCAAGAGGTATAAGCTTATTCATGCTCCACCCCCTCCCTTACCAATTTGTGCTGGATTTAAAGACTTCTTTCCAAAGACTAGATATCAGAAAACTGAGAAGTGTCACAGACCAAAGTACATTAAAGAGACATGACCAATACATGGAATAAAATATCCCAGATGAGAGTCTGGAACAAAAAAATGACATTAGTGGAAAACCCAAATAAATCTGGAGCCTAGTTAATAATAACATACCAGTGTTGTTTCTTTTGACAAATTCACCATGGTAATGTAAAATGAACTAGGTGAAGGGTATACAGGATCTCTACTGGTTTGGCAACTTTTCTGTAAAGATGCAGGTTTTCAAAAATAAAAAGTTTCTTAAAAAGAGGATTGTACATATGGTATTGCTTGGTGCAGTTTACCTACAACTATCACATCTCATCCATATCCCAAGCAGATTGGAATCTATCTCAAGAATGATTTTAGAAGGCTGAATGGAATTAGAAGGCAGGCCCAGGATGGACTGCCTTCTCATTTCTGTCCCAAATCAGGTCTTCATGGATGGGAACAAGATTTCCTGAAAGCTTGACATTCAATCCAAAATTGCAGACAGTGGACTGGGCTGAAACCCTCTCAGCTTACTGTCTTTCTGCATTCACTACACCTGCCACATTTAGATGGTCTGGTGGAAGTTCTTCAATGTTCTTTTCAATAAGACAATCATCATTGCCTACAGTGTAGAATAAAGATCTCTCAATTCTAAGAGTTCTAAAGAGTTTTCAAGGAGTGTTTTTACAGGGAAACTGTGAATGAGTGTCCCATAAAATTGGCCCACATCATTCCAGCTACCCGACAGGCTTTTGTGTTCCTCAGATCCAAACCCCAAAATCATCAATAGAAACAACAAGCACTTTGCAAAACGAAGTTTAAATATGATTCTTGACCTTTATAAGATTAAATCGTGTCAAGTGGCAACTGAATTTGCTGCTCAGGATGCTGATGGTATTTTACCCTTTGACTGACATCACCAAGTCTTCAGACAAGGCAGTTTTTAAACATCTAATCTTGAACAAAGGGACAATTGTGTTGACTTTCTAGACCTCTCCTTCTTAAGTCCTGAAGTAGTTCTGTACCAGGTCTTCAGGTTCCTGTGCCTTTTCTGATATGCATATAATAGGCAATAAATTAGAATATTTCAACTATTCAGGAATCTGGGCCTTGGATATTTCCTTCCAATTGGCATCTTTCATTTGACTTCCAGTCAACACAATGGCATATTTACATTTTGTGTTAGGCAGAGTAAACTCTGGGAGGTGCAGCTAAGAAACAACTTTTCTCCATCCCAGTATGCAGATTTACAACAGAGCTGTCTGCCAAATTAAGGTTGAGGCAGAGACAAACTGTTGAATTGGCACTTTGGAGTCTCAGGAGCTATTTATTGTGAATAGCTTCAGAGACAACAGGAGTCCTCTGGTTATGTTCCAAAGATCCCAGCTTTATTTAAACATTTCTCTTGTAGAGTAACACTGATAATTTTGTATGCCACATTTATTTTCAGTTTAACCTGTTTCTTACTCTCAATTATTTATAAAGACCCTCACAGAATCCTGAAATAAGCCTGCCCCTGCCCCTGCAGCTGTTATTGCCTTTTCTATTTCTTCCCCTGAATTTTTTCTGGTGATAATCACAGAGGGGCTCCACTCCCTTTCCTTGCTTGTGCAGCAATGCTAATGGTGAGGCCAGAGAAGAGTTTAAATTAAAAAAACAGATTTATAGCAACTTGGCAGCAGGCCACTTTCTCGGATGGCCGTGGGCGGGAGATGAAGGCCCTGCATTCTTTCGGGGGCACTTTGATGCAGCAGGAGTTAGGAAGGCAACACTCCTCTTGTCAGTCTCTGTCAACATCTCTCATGATGATCCCCTCTGGCAGTTTTGTCTCCTTCCAGGTGATTCTAGCAAACAATTGAGATATCAAACTGCTATAGATTTCTTTCTTTGACTGCCTTGCTAAAATGGTTGGTGCAACTTCCAGACCTTAAGATACACATGGGTATTCTTTTTTTCATTGATCATTTATTCATTCATTTCATCAAGTTGCAGTTTTTGTGTTTACTCACAATAGGGGAAAACCACTTGCTCTCAAGTGAGACAGATTGGGTTTTGGGGTTTTTGTCAGGGACCTACCGTATTCTCACTGGGCTGCTTTGGACAAGTGACTTAACCTAGAAGAGCCTCAGTCCTCCTCTCAGTAGAAAGGGGGTTCTACCGTTTCTAAGATTATAAAGATTCAATATTCACTCTCAGCAGCTAATACAATGATAAGCCTTTGTGCCAGGTGCTGAGGATGCAAAATTACATCAGACTCTATTCAAAAGCTGGTAGAATAGGATGTGAAGGTATCTCAGGCAAAGGATTTTCTTATGCTTTATGGAATTAAAATATTTGAGAATAAGTAAAAGATACAGAGGCCAATGAGGCCCTATTGTTATTATCTCTCAACGGGAAAAATAAAGCACAGTGATGTGAACATAATCTATTTTGACCATGTAGGTAAAAAGAAAAATAACTGATTGGTTTGCTATTGAGAGGCCAGAGTGATTATGCTAATGTTCCAACAATAAAAGAAAATCTTTAGCTTGCTTAAAATATTATTTTTCTTGTTGTATCAACTGAACATCTGGACTCAAGTTCTAACTAAGCAATGGTGGAACCCTGGATGAATCACTGCTCCCTTCTGCAGGCCACCATATCCATCTTCTATTTCCTCATCATGAAATGTGATGGTTAAAACAAGTCACCTCTCAGGTCTTCTCTAGGTTTGTAAACATTCTATGGTTTTAGGATTTTTGACTCCCCTTATCAATGGAAGCTTTAATTATAATAATAACAACAGCAGCAATGCAACAGCGAATGGACATCTAAATACTTCCTCACATAGTCCTTTTCCCGTCTTCAAGCCAAATCCTGAATGACAAGTGTGAGGATGTTAAGCTGGAAACCAGTTAAGATAAAATACCAAGTTTTGGAATAAGCAGCCTTACATTGCCTGAAATTACAAGCCATAGTAGAAATGAGATTTTGGAAAATATACTTTGATTTTTTGTGAGTCATACTTTTAGCTAAAATATGCGTACTTAATCGAAATATTTAACATTTCAATTCTCTATTTTTACGTAATTAGTAATTAGAGTATTAAGGGATATTTTATGTCAAGTAAACAATAACAAGATGTAGGACCACACTGCAAAAGATCAATGAGGACAGCAAGAAGGATAAATGTCTAGTCAAAATGTTAGAAAATTGCAATTAAAAATTAGCGGTTTTCTTTCTATCCTTCCTTTTGTCCTCCCTCTCTTCCTTCCTTTCTTTCTCTTCCTTCTTTTGTTCTCTCCTTCCCACTTTCCCTCCCTTCCTTTTTTTTTGTTGTCCAGTAGAAAACACGTTCACTGCCCATTGACCTAGTTATGAGGACTGGCTTCCCTACTTACTAATGTTGTCCTTGGGCAATTCCATTCATTTCCCAGAGTCTTATTTTCTTTATCTATAAAATGATGCAATCAATAAAAATATCTGCCATGAGATTTCTGTATAAGTCAGATGAGATAAAGTGTGTACAAATATTCTATCAGCCACAAAAGGCTGGATTGTATTAATATCATTCTGCCTGTGTCTGCAGAGAGAGACACTGCTGTCTCCTTACCCTTCCCTTTACCATCCATATCTATAAACCCTTTTTCCTTCTCTACTCTACCCACTCCGTCTAAAACACACACCAATCTGGAAAAACTGAAGAATCCTGCCTCATTTCCTATTTTGTGGGCTTCATTTTATGATGCAATAAGGATAAATGTTTCACACACCATATAAAAATGGAGGGTCAAAGGTGTTGATGCTATCATATGAAACTGTCTTGCTGGTTTTCAGGGAAGAGAAAGGGGATGATTTTCTGTTTCACTGGTACATTGCATCCCTGGTACCAGTGGTTCCAATCATTTCCAGAGGACCAGCATGGGTAGGTCTGCTATTCTGTTCACTTATACTACTTGTCATTGAATGGTTAGTGGGTCAAATACCTGACCAATACTTTTATGCCACCACAGTTTTGGATAGGTGAATAGATGTTAGTGTTTCTCTCTGCTCTTTACAAACTACAGTTGACAAATAATTTTCACATCTTCTCTCCATCTGACTGCTGAAAGTTATGCCCACCCTAAAAGACCTCAGTTTAGTCCTTGATGGTCTAAGGCAGTGCTTCTCAAACCTCAATGTGTGTACATGTGAATCATCTTGGGATCTCACCAAATAAAGATTCAGACTCAGTAGGTTTGGGATGGAGCCCAAGATTCTGCATTTCCTGCAAGCTCCCATGTAAGAGTTGGTGCTCATGTTGCTGGTCTGCAGATCCTACTTTGCAGAGCAGGACTAAGAGTGCTGTGGAAGGGGGATGAGTTAGCCCCGAAAGCAGTGGTTTCTGGTTCAGTTGATAGAAGAGAGTGAATGATGGGGAATGTGACAGGATGTATGGTATTTCCCAAATATCATAGCTGGTCAAATGAAGACTGAATGGTGTCCATACTCTATCGCCCAGTGGGAGTGCCCAGTGGACCTGCTGATGAAGATACGCACCCACCATGTCCGACTGACATGTTTCTAGCTGCATGCCCAAAGAAGCCATGCAACGAAACATTTTTTGTGTCTTCTTAACAATCATTTTCTTTGTCTTTTCTTTTCTTCTCTTTTTTTTTTTTTTTTTTTTTTGAGACGGAGTTTCGCTTTTGCGCCCAGGCTGGCTGGGGTGCAATGGCATCATCTCAGCTCACTGCAACCTCCACCTCCTGGGTTCAAGTGATTCTCCTGCCTCAACCTCCCAAAGTCCTGGGATTACAGGTGTGAGCCACCACACCCAGCAAAAATCACTTTCTCCCAGTTTTATTCCCTGACCTTCAGAAGTCGAAGATATTAATCTTGTCCTCTAGCTCCAGATTCAACCAAACATTCTCTAGACATAAAGTCTCTTCAGCTCCTTTAGGGCCATAGTTAGGCCTCATCTCTATCATGTCAGGTAAGAGCTTTTTGTGGAGGGAAGTAGGAAGTATGAACTGAGGAGTGGCAAACCACTGAGTCAGGTGATTTAGGGAAGCCTGAGTCTTACCACATTCCTCCCTTGCAACTATTAATACTCCCATACTCCCCAAAGTGACATCTGGACCCCGCCAATTGGGCTGAGTGTGCATCTGAGTGTGTGTGTGTGAGGGGTGGAGGTGTGAGCTGATGGTTTGTTTTCTTTGTGATTGTTATTTGGGAAGGAGAGAGAGGAAGGGCAAAGAGCCAAGTTGTGAAGGAGAGAAGTAAACGTCTGCCGAAGGTTTATGGCAGTTGCTCCCACCAGAGAGGTGCAGAGTCAGGGGCTGCATTTTATGTTCTCAATCCTTATGCACGGAAAAAACACAAACAGAGGAAGGGTTTTTCCTTCCTGGTATTGAGGTTTATTGTTCTATCTTAACATAATCCTCATTGTCTCCCAACTCAATACACCAAGCATGGGTTTTAAAACAGAAGTGCAACTTTTTCACTTACCGGCATGAGATCTTGGGCATACTTAACTTCTCTGAGTCTTTTTTTCTAATCTCTAATATAGGGATAATAATATATCCCGTTGGGTCTTTATTTGTATTAAATTAGACTAAATGATATACTCTATATGAAAAGACCATTATGTGCATTGTATGTTATAGATATTTAATTTTACTATCATTATCCTATGTAATTATATACATATATATATTTGTGTGTGTGTGTGTGTGTGTGTATGTGTTTGTGTGTGTGAGTTTCTGACTTCTGAGCTGTTTATTTCTGGGATGATAGGACTCAGAATATGTTTGCCTGCACTGTTCCCATAAGCCTCTGTCTGTTTAATCTGAGTTCAAAATCAATCCAGAGCATAACTCCCTTACTTTTGTATAGTATTTGGGTTTTGATTCTAAGTCTGACTGGCTTTGTATTGTTATCCATTATAATAGTGATGATGATAATAAGAAGAATATCAATTCTAGTAACAACTAAGACATATATGATCCTCACTACATGCCTGGCACCGTTCCAAGCCCTGTATGTGTATTAATTCATTACCACGAAAGACAGTTCCTATTATTATCCTCATTCTGCAGATGAGGAAGGTGAGGCACAAGTATCATCGAAAGCACTTGAGCATGGGCTTTTTGATTACCTTTAGATTACTTTGGTATTAACAAACACAAACTTTACTTTTGTTTTCTTTAATGTACACACTATGGCTATAGATCCTTCTGGGCCAGAGTGATGACCTAATAATCTCCTGTGTTTATGTAGTCTTGTGCAGAAGCAAATCTTTGTTTTTCAAATTTGAAAATAAATGCAAAATCTAAGGTTGGTTCTTCAGCATCCACTGCCGAATGTTTCCTGAATCTGATGACTTCTGCCCAATGAATTTCCTTAAACCTTCATTTAACATGCCACCACCTCTTGCCTGGAGGTTTGCAGCACTGCCTCTATGGTCTCCATGCTTGCACACTTGCCTCTCAATCCATTCTCCCTACAGCAGCCTGAGTGAGCCTAATGTAAGCCAGATGTTAACAATACCCTGTGACAAGCCCTTCAACACCTACATATTAAAGTACAAACTACCAACCAGGTCACCAGGTCAAAAAAAAAAAAAAACAAAAAAAAAAACACCTCCCGCCCACCACAGCCCCTGCCTACCTCTCTGCCTTTGTCTTTATTTGTCTCTGTTACTAGTCAGAGTTCTTCGGAAAAACAGAATCAGTAGAATGTGTGTGTGTATCTATCTGTCTGTCTGTCTATCTATCTATCTTTCTATCTACCTATGAATCATGGTTAATATTTGGTGTCAACTTGACTGGGTTGAGGGATGCCTAGATGGCTGGTGAAGCATTGTTTCTGGGTGTGTCTGTGAGTGCGTTGCCAGAGGAGACTGATAATCAGTGGACTGGGAGGGGAAGACCCACCCTCAGTGTGGGTAGGCAACATCCAATCTACTGCCAGCATGGCTAGAACAAAGCAGATAGAACAAGGGGGATAAGCAGCTTGCTTACTGAGTCTTCTTGCTTGCTCTCTCTTTTTGTGCCATGTGAACAGTTGGCTTCCTCTCCTCCTGCCCTTGGACATCAGACTCGAGATTCTTCAGCCCTTGGACTCAGAGATTTGCACCAGCGGCCTCCCAGGGGCTCTTGGGCCTTTGGCCTCAGACTGAGGGCTTCCCCGTTGGCTTCCCTGGTTTTGAGGCTTTCCAACTTGTACTGTCCCATGCTACTAGCTTCATCTATTTCCCCAATTTGCAGACGGCCTATCATGGGACTTGGCCTGGGAATTGTATCCTATTCATTCTCTCCCTTTGGAGAACCCTGACTAATACCATATATAAAGATATTATAAGAAATTGGCTCACACAATTATGGAGGCTGGTAAGTCCAAAATCTGCAAGGCAGCCATCAGGCTGAAGACCCAGGGAAGAGCTGATGTTGCACTTCGAGTCCAGAGGCCTTTGCTGCAGAACCAGGAAGAGTCAATGTTGCAGATGAAGTCCAAAGGCAGTTTGTTGGAGAATTTCCTCTTGCTCAGGGGAGCTAGTCCTTTGCTCTACTCAGGCCTTCAAGAGATTGGATGAGACCCACCCACTTTATGGAGGGTAATCTGCTTCACCCAAAGCCCACCAATCTAAATTATAACCTCATCCAAAAACACTCTCAGAGAAAAACCCAGAATAATGTTGGGCCAAAAATCTGGGCACCCTGTGGCCCAGCTAGGTCGACATGTAAAATTAACCTTCTCACTCTCTGTATTCATTAAATCACAGCCAAGTTTGTCTCTGAATCTCTGTCCTGCTCTTTCTCCTACTTGGAATGGTATCTACCCTTTCTAAAATGTGAATTCCTTCTGGGAAAAGATTCTGTTCTGTCTTGTTCACTGATTTAATCTAGTGCCTACAAACATGCCTGCCACCTGGGCATGCCCCAAAATTGTATATTTACAAAGTAGATGATTAAAGTAATTAATTAATCTGTTCAAAAAAGATAGTACACCTGGACCTAAAAACCCAAGAGGTCATTTATGTTGTGTGATATTGGAAACACAATGAAATCCAGTCTTTCTCAAAGCATCTCTCTCCTGAACCATCAGACAAACATCCTCATCTGTTGCCTCAAATCTGTACCCTTCAAGTTGCCCCTGATTAGATAACACAGCCTGAAACATTATGACCCAATGATCTCCACTAAGTGTTTATGTTACCTGAAGCTTTTGCTCCATTTCTTTTACATAATCATATTGATTCAAATTAAGTTGTCATGGAACTCTTTTGGCATTACCTCCAAAGACCCTGAGACTCTGACTCTGAAGGAATATTCAGAGAATATCAGAGGCGAAAGACCAATGTTACAATAGCCAACTCTTCTTTTTTATAGATGAAAAAACTGAGGCCCGCTCAAAGAAATTGTCTTGTTCAAGACCAGACGACCAATTAAGAAAAAAGTTTAGTACAGGACTTAAATCCTTTCAGTTTGGTACTCTACATAACAGACAGATTTCAGCAAAAGAAATATACTCAACAGTACTGAGTGAGGTGTCTGCACGAAGCAATATTATAAGGGTTTGGGGGTGGGAGAATGTGTGTATGAGGCTGTATGTGTATATGAGAAAGGGGAATTATTGTTGGGGTTTGGGAAGGAAAAAAATATTATCCTTTTTTCCTCTCAAGTCTGAAAGCGATTCATAAGTAAATTATAATGACCAAGAGATGAACATTTTAAAAAACTGCTTTATTATCATTATTATTAGGTTGGTGCAAATGTAACTGTGTAATTGCTGTTTTTGCCATTAAAAGTAATGGCATTACAAGTAGTGGCAAAATCCGCAATTATGTTTGCACCAACCTAATATTATTATGACAAGGTCTCACTCTGTTGCCCAGCCTGGAATGTGGTGGCGAGATCATAGCTCACTACAGCCTGGACCTCCTGGCCTCAAGCGATTCCCCCACCTTAGCCTTCTGAGTAGCTGGGACCACAAGCATGTGCCATCACACCTGAGCTAATTTTTTAAAAAATTTGTTTTGTAGAGACAGGGTCTTGCTATGTTGCCCAGGCTGAAATTGCTTCATTATTAGCACTAATTGGAAAACAGTTTTATATGTGCAGCCACACAGCTTGTTAACACTATTCTTCATCCAATTCTTCACTCTTCTTTGAGTGAACTTCAAGAAAAATTTCACTCAAAGGAGAGTTTTAACCTGAAGACCAGAAATAAATATCCAAGATCATTGTTTTTAGTGATCCAGGGCAGGCATAGAACAAAGACACTAAATCTCCATTGGCTGCAGTTTTTTTTTTTTTTTTTAGAGATCTGTCGCTCAAGCTGGAGTGCAGTGGTGCCATCTCAGCTCACTGCAACCTCTTCCTCCCAGATTTAAGCAATTCTCCTGCCTCAGCCTCCCGAGTAGCTGGGATTACAGGCACACACCACCACGCAGGCTAATTTTTGTATTTTAATAGAGACAGGGTTTCACTATGTTGGCCAGACTGGTCTCAAACTCCTGACCTCAGGTGGTTTGCCTGCCTCAGCCTCCTAAAGTATTAGGATTACAGGCATGAGCCACCGCACCTGGCCTAGTTGCAGCATTTTGATAAATTCACTACACAGCCCCAAATGTGGACCGATGTTTCCACATCCTTAACACAAATCCATTTCAACTCAATCCAATGAGTTGCTTTTTTATCTCCAGGAAGAAAAGGGGGGTTAGAGGTCTGGCTGGAGTGACACTTATAACTAGCCAAATCTCTCCAAGGGGAGAAAGGCAGGCAGAAGGACTGGCATGAAAACAGTCTGCTGTTGCCCAGCTGGGGAGAGCAAGTCTGGGTGATGGGATTAATGTGAAGGAATTTGACCTTCCCTGAATAGCAGGATTCTTAACAGATCAACTACATTGTTCTGAGTGATTGAGACATCATCATTCTGCTAGATCCTCTTCTCACTGTATTGCATAGGCCCAAAAAGCAGGGGCTAGTATTCTTATTTTCCTTTGATTCCCTAGAACTTCACAGTGTCTCATATGCTGTGTATAGTGGAGCTACTCGCTCAGACTTTGAGGAGAGTGATGGTCTCAGCTGCTCACATTGTCTCTATGTCTTTTATCTTTTCCCTAATTCCTTATAGGGAGGAGCATTGGTCTAAGGTATGGATTCTTTTTTTTTTTTTTTTTTTTTTTTTTGAGAGGGAGTCTCATTCTGTCACCCAGTCTGGAGCGCAGTGGCGTGATCTCAGCTCACTGCAACCTCCACTTCCCGGGTTCAAGCTATTCTCCTGCCTCAGCCTCCCGAGCAGCTGGGACCACAGGTGCCCGCCACCACATCTGGCTAATTTTGTATTTTTAGTAGAGATGGGGTTTCTCCATATTGGTCAGGCTGGTCTCGAACTCCCAACCTCAGGTGATCTGGCCACCTCGGCCTCCCAAAGTGCTGGGATTACAGGCATGAGCCACCATGTCCAGCCAGGTATGGATTCTATTCCTGTAACTCTAAATATCATGTGTGTGACTTTTGAAAATTATCTCTCCGCCATGTCTCAAAGTTCTGACAAAGTTAGGGTGATAATATTGCAGGGAGTATTAAATAGGATCCTGCATGTGAAGCTGTTTGCCCAGTTCCTGGCATATAGGAGGCACTCAACAAATGACAATAAAATGAGGGCTGGCTTCATGGGCATGAATCCAGTGCACATGGAAGGGACCTGCTGTTGGTTTAGTACCTTGTTGCTGCCATCTTGAAATTCTTAACATTCTTTCAACAAGGGGCCCCATATTTTCATTTTACACTGAGCTCTGCAAATTATGTTGTCAGTTTTGATGATATAGTGATCCTGGAGGAATATGGACGCAAGTTAAAGGGAAAGAAGCAGGAGCAGAGAAAGAAAGATAAGAGAAAAGAAGCGAGAGGGGAGTAAGGGAAGCTCTATTTGTATTATTCAATTTTTCCCAGAAAATTAAAATATTAAAAATAAAAAATAAATTTGTTTTTTCTGTGGGAATGTTTCTGAGAAAATTGGGATAGGGTTGGAGAAAAAGAGAGGTTAGCATGTAGGCCAAAAATGGATGGGTTTCCAAATCAAATTTTAGCCTATCTTATCATGATGCTTAAGGATTGCCCAGAAAAGGGGCAAAAATCAAGAAATCCTTTTGAATAGACAAATCAAAAGCACAATACCAAGAAAACTG
The DNA here is from genome assembly GCF_000001405.40 of Homo sapiens. Classification (NCBI taxonomy): domain Eukaryota; kingdom Metazoa; phylum Chordata; class Mammalia; order Primates; family Hominidae; genus Homo; species Homo sapiens. Next base: position 221,800,967 of record NC_000002.12, on the reverse strand, counting down.
ACATAATACTATAAAAGTCTCAGACTGAAATACTTGTGTAATCTTTTCTTAAATGGTGAATAATATATAACTTGTCCAAGCACACAGAAAAGCAATCTTCATAACATAGTGCATTCAGTTGCTCAGAACTTTGGAGAATAACGTACAACCACACCTCATGGAAGAGATAGGCAATCTAAAATCTTAAGATAACAGGAGGTTCATTATAGATGTTTATTGACCAGTAATTATTTGCTTCTCTCTTCAGCTGAAGGGATTCTCTCACAGAGCCCACACCTGCCAGAGAGTAACTTTTTTCTATTGTTTCATGTTCTACCTACTGCAACAACACAGAACAGTCCACACCCTCATGCCAATCCTCTATCGTCAAGGACAGCTGTCCTTAATTCCTAAGATATTCTTCCCCCAGTTAAACCTCCCCAGTGCTGCCTACCTGTAATCCCAGCACTTTGGGAAGCCAAGGCAAGAGGATCACTTGAGCCTAGAAGTTCAAGACCAGCCTGAGCAACATAGGGAGACCTTGTCTCTACAAAATAAATAAATAAATTAGTTGGGTATGGTGGCACATGCCTGTCATCCCAGCTACTTTGGAGGCTGAGGTTGAAGGATTGCTTAAGCCCAGGAGGTTGAAGCTGTAGTTAGCTATGATCACGCCACTGCACTCCAGCCTGGGCAACAGAGAAAGACTCTGTCTCAAGAAAAAAAAATTTAAAAACCACCTCCTGCACCATTGGTTACATGGCATAGTCTTTAAATCCTGCATTATCTTAGCCATTCATTCTTAATAGGTTCTAGTTTTTGAATATGCCTCTTAAAATATGGTGCTTGAAATTCAAACAATCCTCTGGATATATAGTCAGATGAGGTTAGAATAAAGTGGATGACTCATTTCTACTTCTATGGCCTTGAATCACATTTATTTTATCTGATGGCTAACCTGAAATTCTAGCATATATTAGTCTATCCATTAAGTAACACCTAGAGATAGGCGGTGTATTAGTCTGTTTTCTCTTCTCACACTGGTAAAAAGACATACCTGGCTGGGCGCAGTGGCTCACGCCTGTAATCCCAGCACTTTGGGAGGCCGAGACGGGCGGATCACGAGGTCAGGAAATCGAGACCATCCTGGCTAACACAGTGAAACCCCGTCTCTACTAAAAATACAAAAAAAATTAGCCGGGCATGGTGGCGGGCGGCTGTAGTCCCAGCTACTCAGGAGGCTGAGGCAGGAGAATGGCGTGAACCTGAGAGGCAGAGCTTGCAGTGAGCCGAAATCGCGCCACTGCACTCCAGCCTGGGCGACAGAGTGAGACTCTGTCTCAAAAAAAAAAAAAAAAGACATATCCAAGACTGGTTAATTTATAAAGGAAAGAGGTTTAATTGACTCACAGTTCCACATGGCTGGGGAGGCCTCATGAAACTTACAATCATGGCGGAAGGTGAGAGAGAAACAAAGGCACGTCTCACATGGTGGCAGCCCAGAGAGAGTAAATGAGCGAAGGGGGAAGAGCCCCTTATAAAACCATTAGATCTCATGAGAATTCACTCACTATCATGAAAATAGCATAAGGGAAACTGCCTCCATGATCCAATCACCTCCCACTGGGTCCTGCCCTCAACTTGTGGGGATTATGGGGATTACAATTCTAGGTGAGATTTAGGTGGGGACACAGAGCCAAACCGTATCAGGAGGTTTCCATGAACTGAATCAAAGATGGACTTCTTGGCTTCTGGGAGGTTTGAGTCATGTGTATGTACACTTTCAGGGAGGAGGGCATCCACAGCTTTCACTGGATTCTCAAAGGTTTCCAAACCCAACAAATCCAAAGAGCTTTTAAATAAGAACTGCAGTAGAAGTTATCTAGTACAGAAGAATATTTTTAAAAAGGTAAATTAAAGAAGGAAATTATTTTAAAATGACACATAAAGGCTTTAAACATTTTGTTTGACTTAAAACATATACATATGCAAATTTTGCCATTTTTTGAAGGAGTAAAACCTTTTTTTCTGTTTGGGTAAGCTAATTAGAATTTTGTGTTTGCTTTATAAAAAAGCATACTATTAAAAGCATCATAGAAGAGTTCCATTTGGAGTACGTTTCAAATGAAGGGAGAATTTTAGGACATGGGAGAAGTAACATGAATGCAGAATTCTAGATTTTTATAATTTTTTGATGAATGTTTACAGTTTCCATGCTCAAATTTAATTGCATTTATTAAATGATTTGCCTGGTCAACTCTTTTTAAAAATATTCAACTTAGTTGAATCAACAACTCTAATTATATGTTATCAATTTAAGTAATGTTGAATTAAATAATGCAATTAATATTGTTAGGGTCTACAAAAGTGAACTCGAGAAATAGGATTCTCTTTCCTATCCAGGTTCTGAACAAGTTGAAAATAAAACACAGAGCAAATATTGAGGTCAGAATATCACTTCTGTAATTACAGAGCCCAAACTGAAGGACTTGACTTTAGTTTTTATTCAAGATGATAGTGCAAGTAGGAATTAGGCCAAGACTTAATCACCCAGTCTAAAGAAGCAATGGGTTTGGGCTGGCCTTCCCCTACAGGGGCAAAGTTCCTTGGGAGCAGAATGTGGCATGTTTATCTGAGAGAGAAAAGCAACGCTTAGCCGGCCACATCATTTGTCTCAACTTTACCATTGGTAAATTACTCTGTCTTCCCAGGGGCAGAAAGAATGAAGGAGAGAAAGAGGTTTGGAAGGTGCTTGGGGAAAATCCCTCATTACGGAATCGAGGAGTGGGGAAAAGGACTTTTCCTCTCACAGTAATACCAAGTGAAATTTGCTTTAATAGGTTCAGGAGCACACCTGTCTGGCACTGGGTAAGCACACAACTCACACATGGCAATAGCAGTGCATGGCTCTGCTGGAGAATAGCCTGCTAGCTGGATGTGTTCAGTCAGCATGCTTTTCAGAAGCAATGGCAAGTGTCAGTTAATCCTTCTGTTTGATAGACATCAGTGAAGAGAATTCAATTATCTACTGAGCCCAGGCCTACTCCATCCTGTCCATAAGTTTATAGGGGAATTAAATGTGTAATTTTTTACATTTCATCTTATTTGTTTCAAGATATGATTTTAGGATGTTACTCAATTCTAAGAAACATCAGGAAAACAACTTTCCCGAAGGCAAAACTGAAAACTTCTTACTTTCCTAAAAACTTTAGAATTTTCAAGATGCCTTATAACAAAGCAAATATTTTGTAATTAATAAAGTGTTAATGAAAGGAGTACAACGCTATTAGCACAAAGTTTGTACCCATCAAACTCTATGGTCAGATAATGACAAATATCACTTGCAAGGATTAAAAACTAGAATACGTTGACCCTAAACACAATCTTTGCCAAAATTTTATCTTAAGTAAACTTAATAAAGCATAGATATTTGCTTAGAATATTTTTCTCCACAGGGAGCATTTGGAAGGCTTTTCATGTGACCTAGGTGTGCAACAGCTTAAAAAAAGCTCTAATTGTCTATGTTTGCAGAGTTCTTATTAGGGAGCAAAGTAATTATTTTAAAATGTAGTTTTTAGTTTAAATATTTCAACCCTTAAGATAGAAAACATGCATATGCATGACAAAAATGTATTAAACATGTTCTGATTCTTATCCTAGGTGAGCCAATTTTGAAAAGTTATCTGAACTCTATTCCTTTCTAAAAAGAAGGAAAATTTCTCATGACCTTCTTTGAAAAGTAAGGATTGTTTTTGTTCTTGTTTTTCATGATTTAAAATGAAGTCTTTCAATTTAGACCCACTCCTCCCTCCACCTCCACAATCCCACGAAATATTTGTGACTGGATAGTGCTTTTTTGCTTTTAAAGACAGATAGTTTCATAAAGCAATTTTACAATTACCAGTATGAATGTGTTTTTTGTTTGTTTGTTTGAGACGGAATCTCGCACTGTCACCAGGCTGAAGTGCAGTGGCGCGACCTTGGCTCACTGCAACCTTCGCCTCCCAGGTTCAAGCGATTCTCCTGCCTCAGCCTCCTGAGTAGCTGGGATTACAGGCACCCACCACCATGCCCAGCTAATTTTTGTATTTTTAGTAGAGACAGGGTTTCACCATGTTGGACAGAATGGTCTCGATCTCTTAACCTTGTGATCCTCCCACCTCGGCCTCTCAAAATGCTGGGATTACAGGCGTGAGCCACCATGCCCGGCCATGAATGGTTTTTAAAACGCATTTCTAGAAAACGTCTGAGAGCCTGGAGACTAAAATGAATTGAATTCTTACTTTAACATGTTTAAATACACATACAAAGGTTACAGTTTTGGCTTTGCAAAGCACATGAAATTTATAAAAATAGACACACACAACAGAGAAAAAAATGCTATCCTTAGTCATGGGAGAACCTGTACTGGTTGCCATATTATTTATCCTAATATAGTTGCGTGGTAATCTCATGCAATAATTTTCAAATTGTTGGTCACCAGCCAGTGGCTGGGTGTGAAATCAATTTAGTAGATCTCACAAATTTAAAAAATAAGCAAACAGAATAGAATAGAGAAGAAAAAATGACAGAGTGTATCGTACATGATAACTATATATATAATTTTGTGAACATTTTGTTTGATTTGTATGTTATATGTGTGCTGGGTTGCCATGTGTAATGTATTTCTTATTGTAGGATCTTGATGCCCAAAAGGCTGCAAAAAGCCCCCAAGGAACCAAGATCACAGACTTCTTCACTGCCAGATATGACCTTTACATTGATTACTGTTATATTTGACCAAAGTGGGGTAACTGACACTGTTGATTACAACTTCAGCTCTGTGTTGAAAGTCAACCCTTCTTTGACTTCTGCATTGTTTCCTTCCTATTTTCTGACTCTCCTGGTCACTCTTTATTATCTCTTATCCATCCTGTTTACAACTCCTCCAGCATAAAGGACACGTGTCATAACAGAGTAGAATACCCTTTGTGGCTCCCCTAATGGCTCCTGGTGCCTCATCTCCCATCTCTTTCTCTCAGACATCCAATCCTGTAGCCACACCATATTCCTTGCAGATCACCTGGTTGGGCCATTCCATCTTTCCTGCCTATGTTTAAACTGCTCCTTCTTTTCTGACTGCCAACCTAACATAATCAAACGGGTTAGAATCCAGTTTAAAGACAGCTTATTCAAGTGCAAAGGCTGAGGACTCTAGCCCGAGACACACTTCCAAGTTGTCCTGGGGAGTGCTCCAAAGAACAAAAGTTTTTAAATAAAAAGAGGACAAATCAGAAGAGGGGGTGATTACAAAAGTTTTTGTTGAACATTCTCTTTGGTTTACAGAAATAACATCGTTTAGTGATTGGCTGTACATTGTTAAACTATAGAGCGCATGGCATTTTATGGCCAGTGTCGTCAGTCTAGAGCCTGCGTAGCAAGTGGCTTCAAGAAATAATTATTTAGCTCAAGGAAGAGTGAGATCTGATTATTGTTACATTTTAAATTCCTTTCTGGGACTGATAATTTAAAGGAGCTTGCATTCTTCAGATAAAAGGCTTTTATTCTTTCTCATGACCAATCATCAAGTTTCCTTCTAGAGAAATACTGTTTAAAATATTTTGGTTATCACTAACATTGCAACTCATTACATGTATTTAATGCATGTATATGTATCCATATACATATACATAATGTCTATACTTAATATAACATATACTTATATAATCAGATATAGATGTTTAGAGAAGAAAGACTTACCTTTCTACCTAGGATGCATTCACATTTCTCTCCCTTTACATTTTAAAAAATGCAGATTCTGAACCAATAATGCAGATTCTGAACTAATAAATTAATTTTACTAATTAGTAATAGGTTTCAATCCAAAATAGGTTATAACCCTTTCATGGGAAAACACCTTGGAGTGAACTAAAGCCTCTTTCTGTCTCTCTTTCTTTCTTTCTTTCCTTCTTTCTTTCTTTCCTTCTTTCTTTCTTTCTTTCTTTCTTTTTCTTCTTTCTTTCTTTTCTTTTCTCTTTCTTTCTTTCTCTCTCTTTCTTTCTTTCTCTCTTTCTCTCTTTTTTTTTTTTAACAGAATCTTTCTCCATCACCAGGCTGGAGTGCAGTGGCGCAATCTCGGCTCACTGCAACCTCTGCCTCCCAGCTTCCAACAATTCTCCTGCCTCAGCCACCTCCCCCCACACCCCCACCCCCAGTAGCTGAGACTACAGGTGTGCGCTACCACGCCCAGCTAATTTTTGTATTTTTAGTAGAGATGGGGTTTCACCATGTTGGCCAGAATGGTCTTGATCTCTTGACCTTGTGATCGCCCACCTCGGCCTCCTAAAGCCCCTTCTTTAACCAAGTCTCCCTCCTTTGTGTGTCTTCTCCAGGGCATTTCTGGTGATGTTACATGCTTCTTTGCTATGTCTCCCAGGATTAAACACAGTGAAATATTCTGAGCACACTTCTCACTCATAGGTTTGTAGCTTGGGCAGGTTCACTCACGCAACAAATATTTATTAATGTCAACTATGGAAAAAACACTGTGCTGAGCACTGGAGATACTGAACCTAGATGGAGTAGCTAGACACATTCCATCTCTGGTCTCACACAGCTTGGAATCTTATCAGTACTCTGGAATGTAGACCTTCCTGTTTAATCTGGTTAAAGTTAACCTTGTTAGGTTTGGCTCATTACTACAACCTGTGGTATCTTTCTGCAACTTAATTCTACCATCATTTCCAAATGAAAAGTCAAGTCATATTTAGAACTAAACCTTCCCAAATATGGGTAGTTTTAGTCTCTATAGTTATTTGCAAATGATGAGCATGTGTTCAAGTCATGGTGGGAGTCAAAGGTAAAAATTATTCTCTGGATAAAGCCAGAGTTAAATTCCATAGTTTCCTAAGTACCTCTGATTAAAATTTGCATATTCCCCTCCATCATCCCAAGTAGATTATAATCTTCCTAAGGAGATACATGATCAGATTTTATATTTTTTGTGTATTGTCCACAACTTGAGCACTAAAGATGCTCAAAAAATATTTCACTAATTAATTGCTTGGAGAATAGAATTAACAAAATATGCTCCACATTTTAAAATATGAATGTGGAAACAGAAGAAACAACTTTCAGGCATGCAGAATGCATAGAAAGTTCCTGTAAAGATGGATTTTAATTCCCAATTTTAATGTGTATGTAACATGGACAATTATATCATTGGTTAAAAATATTTCTGATTTCACCATATTCAACTATGTTTAGTTTAAATAATATACTTGAAACTAACAAAACCCACGATTGCCTTTTGAGATTGCTTTTATCAGCATTTAATACTCATCCTGTTTTAAGATAATTACATGAAATAGTCACAGCTAATTAACACTGTTTCCTTAAATAAAGATTAAGTGGAAAGAATTTATCAGTGACTTTAAAATCAGATCGTTTTCTCCACTGGGTGATTCCTGGGCAGATTTTCAGCCTCTTCTTGAGTCAACAAGCATTACCTTCACTCCCCTTAAGCTGCCTTCAGCCAGAGACAGTCGGTGCAGCCAGTATTGACTTGATGTCTCCAACTATAGTGTTTGATTTTAAAGCTTTTGGCCACTGAGTGGAAGGTAGTGACAGAATAAAACACCCGGCTGGCTTTGTTCTTCCCACAGGTCCTCCCCGTCATCATGGCTACCCAGCCATGTTGGGGAAAGATAAGGGAAGAACTCCAGGAAGGAGAGCCCCTCCTTCAGTGGCTGGTCCTGAGGTTCACAAAGCAGAAGAAGGTTATAAAGATTCCAAAAGGCTGTATGAGACTTCAGGCTCCATTCCCCACCAATCCCTCCAGCAGCATTCAGCCAGACAAAGGGGTTCCTCTCAAGGAATTCAACTTGCAAATTTTGCGCCTTGCAGAGTTTGCATTGTAATTTAAGCTTCTTGTCACTGGAAGTTAATAGCTTACCATTCCCTGCAGCCTACACTGACGGAGAGCCCGGAGAAGGTGTCTAATGAATAATGTGGCACCACCCAAGGGGAGCATGAGCGTGCGCTTCCACAGAGCACTGAGAGGATTCAGACTTGCCGCTTTTTTAATAATGTCAAAAACCAAAAAACTCCTTCACTTATTCAGTAAGTGTTATATTTCCACCAAAAACTGTTTCTACAAAGTGCCTGAAAAGTTTTCAAACACACATGGCAAGTACAACATCTACCCCTTTGTGAAGGAGCTGGTAAATCTCATTTTATCCACATAAATAGTTTCCAATGAGGCCACTATGTGTAGAAACCCATATTATCGTGTGTGTGTGTGTGTGTGTGTGTGTGTGTGTGTGTGTGTGTTTTCAGAAAAGAAACTGGCTGGGGATATGAGATATCCAGTTAGTACTTTCCCTGTTCCCCATTTGAATATGTAGATGGAACCACTATAAGACATTTAATTTTATTCAAAAGGGAGAAAAGCAAAGAGGTGGCCAGGTGTATTAGTCCATTCTCACATGGCTATAAAGAACTACCTGAGACTGGGTAATTTATAAAGAAAAGAGGTTTAATTGACTCCCAGTTCCATAAGCTTAAAAGGAAGCATAACTGGGGAGCCTCAGGAAACTTACAATCATGGCGGAAGGCAAAAGGGAAGAGGAAGGGGAAGACATCTTCACAATGGCAAAGCAGGAGAGAGAGAGAGTGAAGGGGGTAGTGCCACACACTTTCAAACCACCAGATCTTGTGATAACTCACTCACTATCACTAGAAAAGCAAAAATCACCTCCCATCAGGTACCCCCCACAACACTGGGGACTACAATTCAACATGATGGGTGCAGACAAAGAGCCAAAACATATCACCAAGTATTGTAGAAGAAACACGCATTGAACACATGGCACACAAACTAGCCTAGAGTAGGCACTGAATTAATTCTTGTTGAATGAAAACAAAAATGAGTCATATGTCATATGGACCTTGTTGCATATCCTGATTCAGACCTTTGTTTTCTTTGTGGCCTGTGTGAGTTTCTTAGCATCCCTGAGCCTCACTTTCTCATCTTCATGTGAGGATGACATCTACTATAATAGAACTGCGATGAAGATTAAATACAGTGAGATAATGTATGTAACATGTCAGGTTCTTTTGTAGGACTAAGCTCACTCAATACATGGTTGCTATTATTTTGTTATCCTTTTTTAAAATTGATACATACTTGGACATATTTTTGGGGTACATGTGATATTTTGATTCATGCACACCATGTGGAATGATCAAATCCAGTGTTTAGGATATCCATCATTTCAAACATTTCTTTGTATTAGGAATCTTCTCTTCTAGCTATTTTGACATATATGATAAATTATTATTAACTATAGTCACCCCTACTTTGCTATTGAACATTAGAACTTATTCCTTCTCTCTAACTTTATGTTTGTACTCATTCTCATTAATCAACTTCTCTTTACCACCCCGCACGTTTCTCAGCCTTTGGTAATCATCATCCTACTCTCTACCTCCATGACTTCCACCTTTTTAGCTCCTACCTAGGCATGAGAACAGATCATATTTGTCTTTCTGTGCCTGGCTTATTTCACTTAACATAATGACCTCTAGTTCCATCCATGTTGCAGCAAATTACAGATTTTCATTCTTTTTTATGGCTGAATAGTATTTCATTAAGTATATATATCTTATTTCCTTTATCCATGCATCTGTTGATGGACACATAAGTTAGTTCCGTATCATGGTTATTGTGAATAGTGCTGCAATAAACATGGGGGTGCAGGTACCCCTTTGATACACTGATTTCTTTTCCTTTTGACCAATACCCAGTAGTGGGATTTCTGGATTGCATGGTGGGTGTGTTTTGAGTTATTTGAGAAACCTCTATGCAATTTTTCATAATGACTGAACTAATTTACATTCCCACCAACAGCATATAAAAGTTTCCTTTTCTTCACATCCCGGCCAGCATTTGTTAATTTCTGTCTTAGCCATTCTAACTGGGGTGAGATGATATCTCATTGAGTTTTGATTTGCATTTCCCTGATGGTTAGTAACGTTGAGCATCTTTTTCATATACCTGTTGGCCTTTGTGTTAGAGTCTTCTCTGTTAGCTGCATGAGGCCAAGGCCCCATCTATTTATCTGTGTACTCAGAGGAGCTCAGAGGCACAGATAGGTGCCCAGTCTATGCTTTTCCAGGCAACACTTACCAACTGTCTTGCCTTTCCTTCTCCCAAGGACTCTGATTCAGGCTGATTGCCATAAATTATCTCATGGGCTTAGATCCTCAGTGGTTTATTGAGCTGGCTGGTACTTAAGAGATATACCCATAGCAAAATGGTACTCTACATTAGAAGAGCTACAGCTTAGAGATTCTGGACTCCGAGCTCAGGTGCTAGAATCTTCTTTCTTGCTGCCTCTGCTATGCACAGTTAAGAGTGAAGATTGCAGATCTTTCCCAGGTTCCACATATTTTCGCTTAACCATGCAACTATGCCACTTGCCATTTGGCAAACATTTGTGTGCCAGGCACCGTGCAAGGCTAGGGCATAGAGATATGCATAACACAGTCTGAGTCCTAGAGAATCTTAGGATTTGTTTAGCAGAAAGACTGTGATGCCATCAATGAAAGGTTTCCAATTCTGAGGAAAGAAAATAAGCACACAGAACAGCTTGATTCTAGGAACTTTGGATTCAGGTAGACTGTGATGAACAGTTACTTTCTACTGACTAGCTATATGGCACCTTAATCTGTATATGTGCTGCCTAATCTCCTAACACCTCTATTATCTACCTTTTCTCCACTTTACGTGGGGATTACTGGATCAGCACCATCTGCACCCCAGGAGCTTATTAGAAATGCCGAATCTCAGGCCCACACTCTGGCCTACTGAATTGGAATCTGCATTTTAACTAGCTCCTCAGCTGATTCTTATGCACAGGAGCATTTGTTACACCTTGATCTCTCTCAAGGTTTTAGGTAAGAGAGATGACAGAGGCACAGCAGTGAGCGTATAACATTAGTTTTCTTCTTTATGATACATGTCAAATGACCGATACCTTATGTGCCATTAAAGTCATATCACAGCCTTTAGGACACTAGTAAGAGACATGGCTGTAAGTAAATAATGTCTTACAGCTGCTGCTTTTGGGAACATCCATAATGATGCTGAGATCAGAAGGAGAAATAGTTTTAGGATGGGCTCCAGCCATACAGCTAGTCCTCATGCCAAAGAGGATAAAATCCTCAGCTTTGCTCATGGGCACCAGAGAAAAGGCCCACAGTGATAGGCAGAAAGTGCAAATGCATAGACAAATAAGAATATTACCCCTTGGAAAGTATGTCCACTGTAGGCATAAAGAGAAGTGTAGACAGCCATGATCAGCTGGAGATATCAGAAAGAGAATCAAAAATATGAAAAAGAGAATCATAATCCAAAAAGGCTCCCAGCAAGCAGCCATTGGCCAGTGGGTTAGAAAACCCAGATAACTCCCCAGATAGCCAACAAATATAGGAAAATACATTCAAGTTCAGTAACGATTAGGAATATACAAGTTGGAGTAACAATGAGGCATCACTTTACCTTCAAACTAGAAAGAATTTAAAAGTCTATAGTAAATATTTATGAAGTAAAAGAGGGAAAAAGGATACTCCTATACTTTGTCAATGTGAAAAGTTAGAGTCTTATGGAAAACAATTTGGCAAAACCTATTAGAATAAAAAGTATATACTTAAAAGTACCAGTATACACATATACATACACACACATATATACATACAAGCATACATAGACATGCACGTACATTCCAACATTGTTCAACAGCAAAAAAGTGAATAAATTTTGGAACTTCCCACACCATGAATTTTTATGCTGCCATTAAAAAGAATAAATAAGAGCTATGCCAGTTACTTTGTAAGGATAGCCACCAAGAATTAAAGAAAAAGCAGATGTAGCAAAGCTGAATAATATAATCTCATTTTTAGAAAATAAGTAACAACAAAAATATTCATAGCCTATGTCTTTATTTCTCCCCTGGAGATCCACTTTTCACCCTCTCCACTCTGCTCTGTGCCCTGGGATACTGACCTGGATGGGACACTCTTAAGTCTCTGACTTCTCATCAGCTTTAGCCAATCAGTCAGAGCCCTGGCAGATGATTGGAGAGAGGCTGGAAAATGAGGTCATGGTTGGTTGAGTCTCTGAACATTATCATTTCCCTCTAGATAGCCCTTTCTATATGACTTTCCTTCAGGTTCTGGTAACCACTCCCCTGATCCCTTTTCCTTTTATCCTTAAAAATATTAAAGCACTGGGGTATAGCTACACTCCTTCCACTTTTCAATAACGTCTCTGCACTTTCATAAACAATCCCATTATTAGGTTCTCTTTAAATGATCTTCATTGGAACTTGCCATCTGTTTCCCGCTGAAACCTTGGCTAACACAACCTCCATTTCTGTATATTTATAGATGTGCATTCATGTTTGTATACCATTACATAAACATGAGGAAATATAGAAGGATAGATACTGTGTTGCTGAAAGAGCTATGCAGAAGCTGGGTGAAGGGGAATAATGTGGTGGAAACAATGGCATGTAGAACAAGGGAGAGGGGAGCTGAGCAAAACAGAAAAAGAACAAGAAATCTGCACACAATTAACCAAAAACAACAACAAAAAAACATGATATCACATTTAACATTTTATACATATATCTAATGGAAATTTAATCTAAAAAATCCAATGGGCAATATGAATAAAGGCACTAAACAATACAGATTTTCTGGCTCACAGGGTAGTGGGGGAAGTGGAGTGAGATACTGAACATCTTGATCTGTAACAGACTGAAATACTCCTAATGTGAATCAGGATGTCCCAGTGGAAGCTGAGTTTCTTAAGCAAATTGATGGGCTTATAGAGAATATGAATTATTCTCTTAATGATTGAACATGTTCAAAAAGAACAAAGAGCCACACATCTCAAAAAATCACATCCTTAGACCCTACCTTAGCTGTAGAAAAGTAAAAAGAAACAAAATCATAGTTGAGAAAATGGCCCAGTCTTATGTTGGAAGAGGTTTGTAATTTTAGGACAGGGCAACACACACACACACACACACACACACGCACACACACACACACACACAAATTAGTCAAACAGTACTGTGCTTTATTCAGTGATAAAAGGAAAACATGATGAGATGGGACACCCAGGATTTGAGGGAATGGTTGACTTGGCGCAAGACCAATTTTATTAGCTGAGAATGACAAGACATGTTGAACAGAGGTGTCAGAGCTGTGAGAAGTGTATAAAGCACAAGTCTGGAGCTGAGAGGGCAGCCAAACTAATGAAGCCAGTGGCTCCTGGTCTAGAAAAATGCTTTTGCACTTAGTTTCTGTCCCTGGAATCAGACTCGCTGAGAATCAGAAATATTTCCCTAACAAGACAAAGTAATCACATCGCAATGACCAAGAAAGAGGCTAGCACATTATGGAACTATTTTATAAACCATTATAGGTTTTTCTAAAGGTCCCTAGTGATCAGAGGGTCAACTTTGAATCCGAGTTAATCGGAGAACTAAAGGAAAGGATTGAATTCCCAGAGGACAGTAGCCCACTCCAGAAGCCTTGGGAAGAGATCCAACAGTGCTGTCTCCAACAAACATGTGGGGTATTCCAGGTGAACAAACAGCTACAGATTGGAGAAAGCATGTGAGACTCTGTGTCATGCCGTTAGCTCCACCTTTGGCAGAAGAGTTACCTTGATACCTTCTGCTTGACCAGCGAGCTTTACTGCCAATTGATGTGGTGTTAGATCGCAGCCAGATAAACAGAGAAGTAAGCAATAAGCAATGTGATACATCCTTGTATTTCTCCCCCACAGAGTATTATTACAAAGCAAATTAGTCCCCAGATGTCAAATGTATTGCAAACACTAGCTATTTATAATATAGCAACAAGTACTTTTGATCATCTCAAATTCTGGAACTGTAAAGCTATAAGAGAGCATGAAGACAGTTTACCTCAAGCCATTTATTTCACAGATGAGGAAGCTGAGGGACTAAAGAAGATATGATATTTGTGCTCTGTAATTTTTACAAGGAATATAGCATCGGAAATAGACTCACAACTAATAAGCTTGATGGAGTATTTCTAATATTAAAAAGGGAGAGTCCGTATAAATACAATAGCCCAGTTACCAAGTTAAAGAATCTCTTAATTACAGAAATCTGCACAGTCTCCTTCAAACACAACACCAATGCATCCACACGCACACACCACATGGCATTCATCACCCTAACAACCCATGGAGGCATATCCACCCTGCATTTGTAAATGGGGAAATGGCCTTGTTTCTCAAACTAAAGAGACCATGGGGGCATGTGGCAGCACATGATTAAAACAGGAAGGCATTGTTCTCCAAGCTCTCTATTTTCTATGATCTTAATTCCTGCTTCACATATCTGCTCCTGGTGCTGACTGATGTCACAAGTGCAGAAACCCAGAGTCCGTCCCTGCTGCCAGAAGTCCAGCCAATGCAATGTTACTGCTCCCTTCTTACATGCTAACAATTGTGTCACAAGCTTGGACTGACCACTGAAAGAGTGATCGGTTGGAGTGACAGCCTTTCAGCTCTGCAGAAACTACAAAAGTCATGCAGACAAAGAAATGGGCAGGAGTTCCTAGAGTCAGGATACATGGATCCACTCACTCTCTGACATCCCATCTTAGCCTGATCCTGGTAGAGAGAGATGCAAAATCATTATTGATAATGCAGAAATGCCACAACAAGATGAGTGTTTGGGGACCCTGATGCTTAACCAGGGACACCATAGGGTGGAAGCTGATCTTTCCTGATGTAATAGTATTCCACTTTAAACTAGTTAATTAAGTTAAAAATAATATAAATCTTCTTGTTTAAGTGAGAGTAGTTGGAATTGCTAATTATACTTTTGGCAAACTCATTGGAGGGCAGTTATCCTTCCATGGGCTACTGTAGATGGATCTGATCAAAGATCCAGACCTCATCCATTAGTACTTGGGTGAATACTTTAACTAGATTGAATATAGTTGTCTCTCTGTATCCATGGGGTCCTCATACATGGGTTCAACAAATTTCAGATCAAAAGTAGTTGAAAAAGCAAATGCATGGTTGCATTTGTAGTGAACATGGATAGCCTTTTATTCTTTGATTATTTCCTTAACAGTACAGTATAGCAACTACTTTCATAGTGTTTACATTAAACTAGGTATTATAGATAATCTAGAGATTATTTAAATATATAGGTAGATGTGCATAGCTTATATGCAAATACTACCCCATTTTATATAAAGGACGTGAGCATCATGGATTTTGGTATCTGCGGGGCTCCTGAAACAAATTCTCCACTGACACTGAGGGGTAATTATATGTTAATTCAAATAAGATCACAGAGAGCAAATAATATGAATAAATATCCTCCTACAAAGGTGACAATCACCTCATGGATAAAGAACCCTAGAGTCTCAGCCCTTGGAAGCTTCTTTTCTTCCTGGATTCCCCAGCCAGTCTTTCTCTCTGCTCTATCATTTTCTCTGTTTCTTTGTTGCTACTTGGGCCCATCAAACAATACTGCACTGTCTCTAGAAGGTAAGCTGCATATATTTACAGGCATGGGTAAGTTACATAATCTTTGTGTACTTTGGATTTCTCTTCTTTATTTTTTATTTATTTATTTATTTTTTGAGACAGAGTCTCGCTCTGTCTCCCAGGCTGGAGTGTGGTGGCTTGATCTCGGCTCACAGCAGCCTCCAAGTCCTAGGTTCAAGCAATTCTCCTGTCTCAGCCTCCTGAGTAGCTGGGACTGCAGGCACACGCCACCATCCCTGGATAATTTTTGTATTTTTAGTGGAGATGAGGTTTTGTCATGTTGGCTAGGCTGGTCTCGAATGTCTGACCTCAAGTGATCTGCCCACCTGGGCCTCCCAAAGTGCTGGGATTACAGGCATGAGTGAATCACCGTACCCAGCCAGATTCCTACTCTTTTTTTTTTTTTTTTTTTTTTTTTGATATGGAGTCTCGCTCTGTCACCCAGGCTGGAGTACAGTGCAAGAGCTTGGCTCAACTGCAACCTCCACCTCCCGGGTTCAAGCAATTCTCCTGCCTCAGCTTCCCAAGTAACTGGGACTACAGGCATGCGCCACCATGCCCAGCTAATTTTATATTTCTAGTAGAGACGGGGTTTCACCATATTGGCCAGGATGGTCTTGATTTCTTGAACTCGTGATCCACTCACCTTGGCCTCCCAAAGTGCTGGGATTACAGGCATGAGCCACACTGCTCGGCCTGGATTCCTCCTCTTTGAAAGGAGAACAACAGTAGAACCTAGATAATGGGATTTTTGTAAGAAACTAAGTTACTAAGGTAACTAACAGATATTGAATAATCTCTGGCACTGGAACATGGAAAGCATTATTTAAGTGTTTGCTTTTTTTTTTTTTTTTTTTTTTAGAGACAGAGTCTTGCTCTGTTGCCCAGGCTGGAGTGCAGTGGTGTGATCATAGCTCACTGCAGCCTCGAAATCCTGGGCTCAAGCAATTCTCCCTCTTCAGCTTCCTGAGTAACTGAGATCACAGGTGTGTGTCACCATGCCTGGCTAATTAAAAAATATATATATGTAGAGAGAGACAAGGGTCTCACTGTGTTGCACAGGCTGGTCTCAAACTCCTGGCCTCAATGGATTCTCCTGTCTCAGCCTCCCAAAGTGCCGGATTATAGGCATGAGCCACTGTGTCCAGTTATGTTTGCTATTATTATTATTATCCTTATTTAGATGAAACTTAAGAGGCCTTAAGTATTCCATGCTCCCACATTTACCTGTTCCTGTTAAGTGTTTTAAGGTTTCTCCTAGTTCTTAGGTCATTGATTGATTTAACTGTGATTTCTAAAATCTCATTCTCTCTCTCTCTCTCCTCAACCCTGAGCACACACACACACACATATACACTCGTCAATTTTCACTGTGCACCATAACATGTATTAATTGCTCTTACATTTCACAGTTATGTTTGTTACAGCGGCCTCACATGGAGGTCCCTACTGAGATTGTCTATGTGCCAGGTACCATGGATGGTGTTAGGGCTATAAAGAAAAATGGCACACCCTGCCTTTGAAAAACTGATGGTCTAACAGTAAGTTGATATGTTGATAAATAATTGCCAAACATTGTGATGAGTGCTTGATAGAGTCACAAAGGTGCTATGGAGCCCCAGAAGAAGGCACGACTGAAAAAACGAGGGAGGTGTTGAGGGAAGGAGATCCTCGGAGGGGTTCCTGAAGTGTGAATGGGAGTTTAGTGAACAAAGAAAACAGGAAAGGGCATTGAAGGCAGAAGGACTGGTGTGTATAAAGAAGGGAAGGTGGAAAAACTCATAGCATATGTAGGGCTCCAGAAATCATTGCTTCTATCAGTCAGAGGTATCAAAAGATAAGAAATATGAGGAGATGAGGCTGAAAGGGGTCTGGCAGTCACATCATGAGAGACCTTATGAATGGTGTAAAGATCCCTAATATAATTTAAATGTGTGTCCTCACCCAAATCTCAGATTGAAATGTGATCCCCAATGTCGGAGTTGGGGCCTGGTGGGAGGTGACTGAATCATGAGGGTGGATTCCTTATAAATGGCTTAGCACTATCCCCTTGGTGCTATCCTTGTGATAGTGAGTGACTTCTGGTGACATCTGGCTGTTTAAAAGTGTGGCAGCTCACCCTCACCCTCTTTTGCTCCTGCTCTGGCCATGCAATGTGTCTGCTCCCCCTTAACCTTCCACCTTAACTTCCTGCGGCCACCCCAGAAGTTAAGCAGATGCCAGCATCTTGCTTCCTGTATAGCTTGCAGGACCATGAGCCAGTTAAACCTTTTTTAAAAACATCAATTACCCAGTCCCAGGTATTTACAGCAATGCAAGAATGGAGTAGTACAATCCCACAGTGTAGACAATGAAGGTCTCTCAAGGATTTTAATGAGAAAGATAGTATTAACCTGTTCTCATGCTGCTAATAAAGACATACTCGAGACTGGATAATTTATAAAGGAAAGAGATTTAATTGACTTACAGTTCTGCAGGGCTGGGGAAGACCTCAGAAAACTTACAATCATGGTAGAAAGGAAAGCAAACACATCCGTCCTCGCATGGTGGCAGCAACGAGAAGTGCTGAGCAGCAGGGGGAAAGCCCCTCATAAAACCATCAGATCTCGTGAGAACTCACTCACTATCGTGAGAATCTCAGCATGGGAGTAACTGGCCCCATGATTCAATTACCTTCCACCAGGTCCCTCCCATGACACACGGGGATTATGAGAACTACAATTCAAGATGAAATTTGGGTGGAGACACAGCCAAACCATATCAAACATGCATGGCCAGATTTACATATGAGAAAAATCTTACTGGCCATAGAATGGAGATGAACTGGGAAGGGGTGTGTGATGTGGGCAGAGTGGGAACTATTGCCAGTAGCTGCTTGTTATTCTCCTAACAGCGACTTCATTGTTTCTCTCTTCTTTCCCTACCCTGTCTGTGGACCCATGGTCAAAAGGTACAGTAACCAGAAATTCAGCTCACTTGGCCCAGCAGGTGGGCACGTGACCAAAATACCTAGAGTCCTTCTACCTCCTGTTTTTAAAATGGCCTTGGCAGATGTAGCCCATGGGGCAGATTGCATAGAAATCAAACACTAAATAGATTAACTGATTCCAATCAAGTGAAGGAGAAATCTAGACGAGAAGTTACTAAACTCATGAACTCAAAACAGGTGATGATAGGTAAAAGACGTTTCAAATAAATTAGGAAACAGTTTAGCTTTAACTCAGGAGATTCAGTTCAGCTATATGGGCCCCATTTTTAGGACATGGGGTTAGCATTCCCTAACTGTTGATTGTTTTAAAAAGGGCTTTCAGCTGGGCACGGTGGCTCACACATGAAATTCCAGCACTTTGAGAGGCCATGGTGGGAGGATTGCTTAAGGCCAAGAGTTCGAGCCCAGCCTGGGCAACATAATGAGAACCCCCCCCCCCACCCCCAACCCTGATCTCTACAATAAATAAATAAAGACATACATACATATATACATAAAAGGACTTCATCCTGCCTGTCAGGAAAGTTAAGACTATCAAGTTGAAGGGCTTTAGTCCCTAGTGTCTGTGTCTAAATTTCTGGTTAATGAGAAAAACCAATCAGTGGGAAGGTAGCTCCAGTTTTCTGGGAATTATAAAACTCTTTCCTTATCAGGTGTTTTCCAACCTTGGAAGATTTTAGAGTTAACCACAAGGAGGATGAAGTAAACAAAACCCACACTCTTCAACGTTTTTGTGTTGAATTTAAGACAACTGCAGTATGTCTGATACTTAAAGTGTTTGTAATGTTTGTAAAGTGTTTTTAACGTTTAAAGATTCTGGCATATAGTCAACCTTGTAATTAGCCATGTGATTCTAGTTTAAATGTCTAATTTAGTGGTTGATTTTAGACTAGAAAGTTCCAGGAGAAGCTGGCTAAGTTTGTAAACAGTATTGAAAGATTTAAGAGAACTTAAGGGTCACGATATTTAAAAGTTTAATTTATTAGATTTATAAGAATTGCTTAGGTTCTTGGAAAAGTTTTGCTTGTTAGTGAAGTATTTGAAGTACTTAAAAAGAAAATCATATATATTACATTTATAAATGTGGTTTAGACTGTTTAACTGAACTTAATTGCCAAAATTGTAAAGTATCCCTTAAAATTTTATTAGATTTATAGATAGAATAATAAGATTTGTAGTTTGAACTTAAAAGCTGGAAGAAAAAAAAAACTCCATTACATTAGTATATTGAATATTTATCTTAGAAACCAAGTTGCTGCACACAGTCTTTTATGTGTACAAACCTTGTCCTCAAGGACCTCAGAAAACGCCTAGTGATTATTTTTCTGGGATTTTTTGGACTGAGGTGAGGTGAGAGGTGACTTTTTCTCTCTGGGCTTGAGCTGAAAGGCTGGTGACCTGTGGACTGCAGTGAGAAGCAGCCTGTCTGCACTGAGAGAATGAAGCTGACAGGCAAGGTATTTCTGAAGGGATGTCAATTCCCCGTTCCGGTCAACCCTAGGGCCAGCTCCAGTGCTACCTTTATGGTGAGTTATGTGAACCGAAGCATTTTTAAAATTTTCTTTTGCTGGTTGGAGTTGAGTCTCTAGGGAGGAGCCAATATTAATGGCACCTGTGGGTAGGATTAGACTGTATAATTTGAAAAAGCAAAACAAAATAAAGAGATTTAATATTTTGGTCCTCACGTAGCTTCTTTCTGAGCGATATTTTCCTATTATCTTCTTGTCGTTTGAAAAGTCCTGGCTGTTGAACCCTGCCCTCTCCAGGGGCCCCTTCCCTCACCAAGGCCAGGGAGCTGGGCAGATCCAGGAAGAACCAGTTATCAGGGTAAGAATACTTCCCTTCTCCTCTCCCCTTCCCTTTTGTCCTTAAGTCTGAAGATATGAGAGCAGGAGGAGGAGCAGTGATGTGAGTAAACCTGAAGTCATTGTGCATTTTTTTCTCAGTTCATTATGTGACTAATCTCCAGGTTTAAAACAAAACAAAACAAAACAAAACAAAAAAACTCTAGTACAGAGAAAGTTGTGGATCTGTCATTAGGACTTTGAAATGGTGCAAGCTCAATAGAATTCCATTGGGTGGGGCCTATATCCTGACTTCAACAGTTAGAGGACTGTGATCCTGTTAATTTAAATTAAGAATTCAAATCAGAGGAACAGATTTAGGGGGGAAAACGGGGGTTTAGTTTAGTAAAAGAAGAGTTTGAGGTACTGTGAGTTAGCCTGTTGGGAATACCCTTTAGGCCATAGGACACACGGTTCTAAAATTTAGAAAGCAGACTGGGACTGGAGAAGCAGATTTTAGAATGATGGCTATTGAGATGGTTATTAAAGCCTGAGCTCCTGTGTTTTCTCTCCCTCTTGCTGGTTGAAAGTCATTTTGCTAGGCACTAGCCAGGGCAATGTATCAGTTAGGAATCTGTTTGGCTCAAGCAACAGCAAATCCATCATAGAGTGGTTCAAATAGATAAATTCCTTTCATTATTAACTAACAAATTCCTTGGAAGGAGGCCGCTACTGGCTTTGGTTCCATGACTCAGTGATGCCGGCCGGGTCCAAGGTTCCTGCCATTGTCTTGGCATTTCCCTCATGTTCTCTAGATGGTTGCTGTGGTCTCCAGGCACAGAATCTGCATTCAAGGCAGGGCCAAAAGGCAGACGCAAGTTATATTGTTTGTTTTAAATAAGAAAGCCTTTCTTACTCAGCCCAGCAGACTCCTGCTGAAGTTCCATTGCCTAACACAGTGTCACATGGCTACCTTTAGCTTCAAGGAAAGCTAGGACAGGAAGCAAATGAAAAGGGAGTTCAGAGTAATGGTAGAGTCAGCCTATGAATTATGATTCCTCCCACTAGAAGTTTACAGTGTCATGATTATTATTCCCTGACCCAGGAACCTAGGGTCCAGACCTGGTCCATGATGGATGACTTTTAGTTTGATCCTGTGATTTATTTTCTTCCTTCCTTGAAACTTTCTTGGCCTTCTGGAACTCAAGCAGTCCCTTTCCGAAGTCTGCAGAAGAAAAAAATTATTTAAGCATCCAAAAGTATAGAGGAAAAAAAAAAAAAAAAGAAAGGAAAGGAAAAAAATGTTGCTATCTGACAATTCTGGATCTTCTCAAATGTACAAAGTGTCTGGATAGTCATAACAGTCTCCAAACTATCCTTCTAAAATTTAAAGGTGGGAACAACTTTAATCTGATGGAGAATCTGCGTAAACAGCGGAGAACCTCTGGCTTTGGACTAAGATTCTGGCAAATACTGTCTAGCTGCACAGTTTTGAATTTGCCAGAAGCGTCAGGCTCTGTCTTGTCCTACTTGAACCACTGAGATATCCCTCCTAAAACGACAGTATTGCAGCAATTAAGTGTCTTATCATGGCCAAAAAAGAATAAAGGGAAAAAAAAACACACACACACAAGAAAAGAAATAAACTCTTCTATGGTTTCTTTGCTCAGGGTTGCTATTTTTACCATACCAGGTCAACGCAGGACACTAAAGTGTAAAAGTTAAATCTACATTTATCTTTAAGGAGCACATAAAATTGGAACCTCAGTTAGAAGAGCTTTGGTTTTATGTTCAAACCTCTCCATTGCTCTGAGAGGTTCAGTGGGGGACTTGCCATAGAGTTGTGCTCATAGAAAGATATTTGATTCCACCAAGTTGTGAACTGGAAGCTGAGTGCTAATCTTAGCCCCCACTGCCTATCATACACTGTAGAATAAAAAACTGCTGCCATGAAATGTTAACTTTACAACTTACTACTTGACTTCCAAAATGATTTTTCTGCTTTGTTCTGTATAACCCAAACATGTTGTTTATTTCCTAGTGGGAAGGTCACATACATCTTCAATTTTAAATACATCTCCCTTTAAGTAGCAATGAATGGTCTCCCCAGAACTTGCTTCCTATATCAGACATTTAGAAATCAAATATTTTTCCACTGAGTTTTTATTATGCATTTAACAATGCTTTGTTTTGATTTCTGATTGATGTTCCATTGGCAAAGGCTCCTAAATGCTCTAAGCATAAGATACCCTCCGCCTACAACTTCTGTGTCACGTCGTTAATATTTCATAGGATCTGAACATGCTGTAGGAGCTTATTAACCTATATAATGAGATGGAGAATTTTATTCACTGAAATTCCAAGGCCTGTTCCCTATGAGATTAATAGCAGTCACAGACTTCCCTGGGGGCCCTGTGTGAAGAGGAGGGGCACGAGTTGAGAGGGGAGTACTTGAGTGGAGTAATTGTATGGGAAAGAAGGAGAGGCAAGTGGCATCATGGCACCAGGAAAAGAAGGGGAGAAAGACACAGAGAGAAATACACACAGAGAGAAACACACAAAAAGAGAGTGGGTGGGACAGAGTAGGAAGCACAGCTACTATAGGATCTCTGGAGAGAAGGTATTCTAAGGAATTTTAGGATATTTTGCTCTGTAATGTGCTGTCTGTAGTTAAAATTGTGCACATTTGTCTTACTCTGTTTTGTATTGCTGTAAAGAAATACCTAAGGCTGGGTCATTTCTTTCTTTTTTTCTTAAAAAAAAATATTTACTTGGTTCATTATTCTGTTGGCTGGAAGATCAGGCATCTGGTGAAGGCCTCGGGCTGCTTCCAGGCATGGTGGAAGACCAAGGGTAGCTGGCATGAGATCACATGCAGAGATCTCATGGCCAGAGAGGAAGCAAGAGGGAAATGGAGGAGTGCCAGGCTCCTTTTCATAACCAGCTCTCGTGAGAAACAATGGACGAAGAAATTATTACGGCAAGCACAGCACTAAGCTGTTCATGAGAGATCCACCCCCATGACCCAAACACCTCCTGTTAGGCCTTACCTCCCACTGTGGGGATAATATGTGAGGCTTGAGGGGGGACAAACATCCAAACCTATAGCAACACTCTTTCAAAAAAAACTAAATATAAATATTTCCAAAATATAATACAATGTTATTAGCTATAGTCCTCATGCTGTACATTAGAACTTAAGAATTATTCATTCCACATAACCCTAACTTTGTACCCTTTCATCTTCCCACTTTTGCCCCTTCCCACCCTTGGTAACCACATTGTACTGTTTCTAGGTGCTCATCTTTTTTTTTTTTTTCCTTTTGGGGTTCCAAATAGAAGTAAGATTACGCAATATTTTTCTTTCTGTGTTTAGCTACTTGAAATTTGCTAAGAAAATAGATTTTATGTGTTCTTACCATAAAAAAAGGTTAAAATTTTTTAGAAATTTAAAATGCAATGTGTACTATGCCCATAGTATACATAGTTGGTCAAAGTATAATGAAAAATAGACTAATAATTACTTTGATCTGATCATTTTACATATATGTATCACTATGTGTCCCATAAATATGTATACTTATGTGTCAATTAAAAAATTGAATATTTTCAATAGAAAAATGAGGAGTAATTATTCCAGTAATCATAAAAATGATTAACTTCAATGAAGAGGAAACAAGATGATATCAGGAAGAAAACGTGAGGGCTTCACAGTTACTAGTAATGTTCTAATTCTTAAGATAAGAGGTACTTACATAGGTTTATTAAAAATAAATGAATAGGTTAGGCATGATGGCTCTCACATGTAATCCAAGCACTTTGGGACGGCAAGGTTGATGGATTCCTTGATCTCAGGAGTTCAAGAGCAGCCTGGGTAATATGGCAAGACCTTGTCTTTATTAAAAATTATTATAAAAAACTCAGTGGTGCATGGTGGCATGCACCTGTAGTCCCAGCTACTCTGGAGGCTGAGGTGAGAGGATTGCTTGAGCCTGGGAGATTGAGGCTGCAGTGGGCTGTGATCACACCACTGCACTCCAGCCTGGGTGACAGAGTGACCATGTCTCAAAAAATTAAAAAAAATTAATGAATATAATCAGTTTTTTTTTTAAAAAAAAGGATTTACACAATTTACTTAGCCACTGAAGTCAGATGTATGTTCTGAGAGATACACCAATGGGCAGGACTGGCCTCAAGCCAGCCAAGATGTATTTGGGATACACTCATAATTTAAGCCTCTTCACAATTCAACAATAAGGTTCATAATTTCAACTATAAGTAGCACGTTACAGAGTGAAACATCCAAACATTCCTAAGGATGCATCCTGGGCCGGAAGACTCCACCACAGCTGTGATTCCCACTCTATCCTGTCCATTCTCACTTTCTTTGTATTTATCTCCATTTCTCCCCGTGTGTATTTCTCTCTGTGTGCCTGTCTCTCTCCCTTTCTCTTTCTCATCCCACCATACTATTTGCCTCTCCTTCTTTCCCACACAAGCTCTCCTTTTTGCCTGGCCTCCAGTTGCTGAGAAAATTGTTTCTTTAAAGTGGGCATTTCCCAGTGAACTGTGATGTGTCCTGGACAGTATGTGTATAGTGGAAAGAGTGTCAAGCATGGAATTGAAAGGCCTGGCTTCCAATCCCTACTGTGCCATTCACTAACTCCTCACCTCAACTTTCTTACCTATAAATGAGGCTTCAGCACAAAACTGTGAGAATTAAATGATATAATGTCTGTAAAGTCTCCTTCCACAGTGTCTGGCACATAATGATTTTAATGGATCTTGCATCTGGATCAGTGGAGAATACCTAAATTACACCATCAGACTATTTTTACCCTGATATGCCCATATGGGGTAGAAGTAAAGAGGCATTTCTATTACTAATATAATTTTCTAATCAAGAACTACCTCTGGGGTCATCAAAAAAAAAATCCAAATTAGTATCAACAGACCCATTATTCTCCCTTTTAAAAAAATACAAAACTAGTTAAGTGTTGCTGACTTTGTACCAACAGGAAAGTTAGGGGAAAAACTAAAGGATAAAATCCTTGTAATTTCGGCTCCACACATACCTTCAGCAGGTTCACTGTAGAATAATTTATTTTTTTCCATTAATCGGGCCAAAGGCAACATTTGTGCCCTGAACCGCTGGAGCTCTGACAGCGAGGCGCTAGGTGCACATTATCCACCGAGCGTTTGTGCTGGAGAGCAGGTGGCCTCTGACCCACGGGATTGAGAATGCAGAGAGGGAGAGAGGAAAGGAGCCCACTGCAGCATCTTGGGCTGGATTCACAGAGCAGGGCACGTACCCTGGCTCTCACAGCCAATAGTCTTTGTGAAAACACGGCTTTCTGAGGAGCGCTCCCACGTTGCTGCCCATGTACACTTCAGCTCGGCATCTCTGTCTTGCCTAAGGAACACCAGAGAGATGGAATCACCTTACAATCTCTGTAATGAGTGCCAAAAAGGTACCCGAAGGGCTATACCTTGGTCTCCATCCAAAACACAACATCTCACTGTTAATTAAAGCTGCATAACACTCCAGGGTTTTCACCAGGGAGAGAAGCAACTGCAGCATAAAATGATGGCGATTCCTAAAATAACCTCGGGCACTCAAAAAGCACTGTTGGGTAAGAACGGTGCAGAGAGGGACTAAAAAGACATTTTCTTGTCACCCCTGCACTGTCAACCTGCAGATCTTAAGCTGGGCACTGTCCCCCTTTGTTAATTGAGCCAGAGAGCCCTGCCCTACCCTTGTGCTTTATAAATCAGGAAACTGAAGCCTAAAGACTTGGCTATGGTCACACTGTCTTATCATAAAACTAATGTCATGTAATTGTTGTTTCTTTTATCCCATTTACCAGGAATGTGTGGGCCCTTGTAGTGGCAAAGACAAACAAAAAGAAACATTTTTGACTATAACTGCCTTAAATATTTTCACAGGGCAAAGGTATTGAAATGGAAATACTTAGCACTATGATTCTAAAAACTAGCAAGTTCAGAAAACTCTGTGAGACCAAGCTGCGGGAATGTATATTTTCAAATGGAGGCTAAAGACTGCATATAGCTACATTTCAAGTTGTGCTTTAAAATAATGCACCTCTGATTGTCCCAAATGGGTAGTGGTGGCCGTTGGCTTCAAACAAAAATTACATTAACTCCTTTGCCTGAATAAAAAGAGTGCCCATTGCCAGCAGTTACCCATTACCACAAAGACCAAGCAGGTCATTTGTGTGTATTTGTCAAATCAGAGGTGCAGGCTAGCAAACATTACACGTTTGCATTTCTCTTTCATGATGTATGCGGCCTGCATTAATATGGAAATAGATGCAGCCCTAAGGCACTTTTGAAGTTGTCAGGGCTGTTCTCATGTGACAAAGTTTTCACGTCTCCGTGCATTGTACAGTGCTCCCTTGATTTTAAAATCTGTGCTTACCTGATGTATTGTAATTATGGGATCAAAAATGACAGGATGATGCTATTCCAAAGTTAAAATGAATGATAATAATACCTTAGGTTTATGTAGTGTCTTTCTTCTGAAAAAGTAAAAGATTTCTTGCATATGTTACCTCATGTATCCTCTCGACACCCCTGTGAGGTATTGATAGCCCCATTTTACAGATGGAGGACCAGAAACAGGTAGGTTATGTGACTTGACTTAGCCAAGGTCAGCAATATTAACCTGTCCACCAAACCACCCCAGTAGAAAGCAGTGAAGACCCACATCACTGCTGAACCTCATGGCACTCCTCATGCCTAATCTACCCCATGTATTACTTTGTACTTCCAGTTATGGGTAACATAACTGGCTAATCTCTGCCTAATCAACTGCCTAATCTCTGCTACTAGGTCTTTGAGCATCAGATCTATCATTTTATTCTTCCTTCTTTTCTACCCCACCTTCTCTTCCTTTCCTCCATAAAATTTCTGAGGGTATACCCAACAGCTTGCCATTTTGTTGCATTCTACAGAGTCAAAGAGGGCTGAATTGTTCTTCTTGTTCCCCAGAAGTTCACAGGCTGGTGAGAGAGTCAGAGAAACGGGCAGGCAATCATCACATGGTGGGATTCATGGGCTCGGGGAGTTTCCTAGGGAAGGAGGCTTGCTGGCAAATGGTACAGAGGACTGAGAACTGGAGCTCTGGTTACCTGGTGCATGTTCTGGAAAGGAGGGTAGGCTCCGAGGGGGAACATCCCCTTGGCTTCATGGACCCCTCACCTCATAGGAAAAGGTATAGCTGAAAGAAGACCAGAGCAGCACCTCACGTAGTAAGTGATGAGAAGCACTGTTCTTGCCGGGGTCCAGGAAAAGAACTTCTGAATATACACGTCCCAGGGCCTGAGAGTGCAATGTAACGTGTCTCAGCACAGACTGGAAATCTCTTTGAAGTCTTTAGTTTCAGTTTAAGAAGCCATGCAAAATTGTTTCTCCCCAGCCCATCTTAATACATGGCAGATCCAGTCTTTCAATTGCTTAGGTCAGAGCCCTGAAAGTCATCCTTGACTCTGCCCTTAATACCCCACATCCCCTGCTAAATCCTGACAAACACATCCAAACACAAACCACTTCTCACCACTCCTTGCCATAGTCTAAGCGACCGTCATCTCTTGCCTGGAGTTTTACAGAAGCCTCCTAACTTGTTCCCCAACTCTACCCTTGTCCCCACCCTTTATCCTCGCTTTCTAACCACAGCACAACAGCCAGAGTGAGTCTCTTATAATCTAAGTCATCAACTCAAGTTATTCTTCTGCTTCCTCTCCTCTAGTGGCTTCCCAGCCCATGCAGAGTGAAGGCAAATTCTGTAGCTCTCACCTCCCACATCATCTCCTACAATTTTCCCAACAGTCACCCAACTTCTGCCTAACTGACCTCATTATTGATCCTGGAAGCATACCCATGAAGCATACTCCCATCTCAGGAACACCTTTTTTTCTGTTCCCCTCCCTGGAATAATCTCAAGATATTTGATAACCTCTTCTCTCATTTTCTTTAGGTTTCTGCTTAAAATCACCTTTCCAGATCATCATATACCCAACTCCCACCTTCATCCAACTTTGTTTCTTTCATTGCACTTTAACACAGCCAACACAGATTATAAACACATAATTGTTTTTATATACATATCATCAAAATACTCACTCCATGATGGTACGCACATGACTCCATCGGAGCTTAGGACCATGAAAGCATGAAGAAGACACTCAATTAAATATTGCATTTGTTTTATGTTTCTTAAATTAAAATGGAAGTTTTAGGGAGGTGAGTCTGTAATGTTAGTATTGACTGGCACATTACCTCAAATATCCATATTGAAAGCAACGAAAACAGGTGTCCAGTAAAATTTTGCTTTATAGAGGAAATAATTATACTCATATTAGAGAGAATCTTGGCATAATGTCTATAATTCTGACCTAACCACGTTCCATCTCCTATTCTTCTGTGTGATGCATTAAGTCTGCTAAAGTCAATTGACAATTGACCTTCTTACAACTGATTTAGTAGCACATTAAACTTTTTCGAGGTAACACATGGCTTTTATAATCCCTCTCCAGCCCCAACCTTTATCTATATTATACTCATATACACTTGTTTGTTACCTTCAAACACTAATTACGCCTTCCTAATAGAACTCATCTCCATAAACCGCACATACAACTCAAATCATTATTACAGTCAAATCTTGCCTTTACCAAATTGATTCCTTCAAGGGCAAGAGCTATATCTGCTTTTCTTTTGCAATCTCACTGATTAACCCCATGTCAGTCCTTTTCCCAGTGTAATACCAAATCAGTTACGGGTATATGAGCAATTATTCAAGAAGTTAAAGTCACATAAAAAGAAAACTGTCTTTTATAATTTGAGACTTCGGTGTAGGCTAAGCTCTAAGGCAAGTGGTCAAAGATTTCTTCATATGGTTACTGATACCCCTCTAAGCACAGTTCTAAGATCTCATTGTAAGTCCTCATTATTTTTATATTTATTATAAGTTGTTAACTTAGGCCATATAAAGCAGAGGAATGCAGACTATCCACCCTTATATTACAAAACTGATGTATATTTGTTGTGAAAAGTTGTGACAACATAAACAAATGAAAGGAGAAAATAAATGCATTCACGGTCCATTACCTAAAGATAGTCATTGTCAGCATTTTAGTCTGTCTTTCCTATTTGTTTCTGATCATAATGTATTTATTGCTTTGTTCCTGACTTTAAATTTTAATTGTTTATTTATGCAAGTGATAAATCATTCTCCTTTTAGAACATATAAATACAGAGAATGAAAAAGAATAAGCCAGAAGTGGTGGCTTATGCCTGTAATCCCAGCACTTTGAGAAGCCAAGGAGGGAAGATTACTTGAGCCCAGGAGGTTGAGGCTGCAGTGAGCCAAGATTGTGCCATTGCACTCCAGTGTGGGTGACAGAGTGAGACCCCATCTCAAAAAAAAAAAAAAAAAAAGAAAGAAAGAGGAGATTATTTATAATCTCATCATCCAGAGACTGCCACTGTTAATTTCAGTAAATACTCCTTCACAATTGTACCTATACATACACTCATGCATGGATATTTTTCATATATATTATATATATAATGTATATATATATATAATATATTATATATAAAATATATATAATATATATATATATAAAATATATATATATTTGATATAGAGTTTCCCTTTTGTTGCCCAGGCTGGAGTGCAGTGGCACCATCTCGGCTCACTGCAATCTCTGCCTCCTGGATTCAAGCGATTCTCCTGTCTCAGCCTCCCAAACAGCTGGGATTACAGGCATATGCCACCATGCCCGGCAAATTTTGTATTTTTAGTAGAGATGGGGTTCCACCATATTGGTCAGGCTGGTCTCAAACTCCTGACCTCAGGTGATCCTCCTGCCTCGGCCTCCCGAAGTGCTGGGATTACAGGCATGAGCCACCATGCCCAACCTAGAGTACATATTTTGTTTCTACCAAAATGCTATAATGTGACATATAACACTCTACAAAACTAGTTTGATCACTTAATGTTAAGTCATATCACTAATATTGTTATATCATCATCATGATTTTTGTGGCTACATATTATCACATTATATGGATGTATCCAAACTTATTGTTTCATCCCTTATGGTTGAGCATGTTTGTTGTTTTCTCTTTTTTTCTAGTGAAAGTGAACATCCATGCAAGAAAGCATTTTTCTAGACTCATAAAATTTGTGGATGTAAAATAACAAGCAAAAGACACATACATGCGTAATTTTTTTATACCTGCTGATGGCAGAAAGATGCTAATATTATTGTTCACTTGTTTCACTCGTTTCAAAGTGAAATCTCTGCACGTCTTTTCTCTTTAATTTTTTCATATCTCCTTAGTCATGTTTTCACCTAGAACATGGACATTTTCTATTATATCCTTTTCCTTATAGAGTTTTCACTGCATACAGGACACTTATTGATCAATCCTTGCTATTTAACATGCAAACACAATGGTACTTTCCACACAGTTTCAACTTGATGGATGCCTTGCTTGTTCAACACAGGAGTGTAGCTGAATCAAACGAATTCACCAGCTTCCTCATTCCTGATACCCTGACATGTACTTGGGTTAACTCTTAAGCTGTTTGGAAATTAAAAGCTGCCTATTGAATATGTGAAATTTATGAGAAGTCCTTTGTAGTGGTCTTACATGCTGCATGTTTTCTTCAATTAACGTTAGTGTAATACCATTGCCATTGTTGCCAGGTACTGTTAACTTATAGTGTAGCTAATCTGCCAAATCTCACACAAGCAGAAACAAATATGCTTATTGTAATTTTGACCTTTCATCTCTCTTTGCTGCTTGACATAAGCCAACAGGGGTCTTATGCAAACAAGCCCAAAACAATGGCTTTCCTTCCAAACTCTTTAGGAAAAAGAAGGTGAAAAATCAGCAAGAGTTGCATAGCCTTATACCTGAGTGCAGGTGAGATGTTTTTAGATTGATATATATGGTGTCATTTTCTGGACCATTAAAAATCCTGTCACCTCTGGAATGAAATGCTGCAGTGATTTACCTGCTGGTGACACAACATCACGCTATCATTTAGAAAGAGAAATGAGAAGTAGAAGTATTGAACCGAACATATTTTAAAGTTTATCACCTTAAAAAAATAAGATATTTTGTACAGGAGAAAAATCTGTAAATTTATTTTCACCGATCAAGTTCTTCATCTAAATCATTTTGATTTAAATGACAAAATAAGCTTTGAGGGAATAAACAAGTAAATGAAAGAAAAGCTTTTACCGGCTGGGTGCAGTGGCTCACGCCTGTAATCCTAGCACTTTGGGAGGCCGAGGCTGGAGGCAGGCGGATCACTTGAGGTCAGAAGTTCAAGACCAGCCTGGCCAACATAATAAAACCCCATTTCTACTAAAAACACAAAAATTAGCCAAGTGTGGTGGCACACACCTGTAGTTCCAGCTACTTCAGAGGCTAAGGCCAGAGAATTGCTTAAACCTGGGAGATGGAGGTTGCAGTGAACTGAGATCATGCCACTGCACTCCAGCCTGGGGGACAGAGCAAAACTCTATCTCAAAAAATAAAATAAAAATAAAAATAAAAAAAGAAAAGAAAAGCTTTTTATCAACAGGGTTAAGAGAATGCTTGCAAACTCTTTCACAGGTTTTCAGGGCCATTTAAACAATTTAATTTTTTTTTCTTTTTTCTTTTTCTTTTTTTTTTTGACGGAGTCTCACTCTGCTGCCCAGGCTGGAATGCAGTGGCATGATCTCGGCTCACTGCAAGCTCTGTCTCCTGGGTTCACGCCATTCTCCTGCCTCAGCCTCCTGAGTAAGCTGGGACTACAGGCATGCACCACCATGCCCGGCTAATTTTTTTGTATTTTTAACAGAGATGGTGTTTCACCATGTTAGCCAGGATGGTCTCGATCTCCTGACCTTGTGATCTGCTCACCTCGGCCTCCCAAAGCGCTGGAATTACAGGCATGAGCCACTGCGCCCGGCCTTTTTTTCTGTTCTTAAGACTTCATTCACCTCTAGACTGAGCCAGAGTATGATAACAACAAAACAACCATTTTTTTTTTCTATTTCCTAGAAGCTTCTCACATGGCCCAGGAGTCATAAAGCCTCAGAAATACAAGGCATCTACCTGTGGCCCATTGAACAAGTTAAACCAAACTGCATGTCATGAACTATTCTCTTGAGATCTTTAGGTGGTAATACAGGTATGGTCTAAGCAAGAGAGAATAAAACAGACTTTGAAGAGTTTTTTAAATTATAAAAGTGTTCATTCAAATTTTTGTCATAATGAATCAGAAAACTTCATCATTTTAAAGAATAAAGACAGATGCAAATATTTGTAAAGAACATCTATAAATGTCCACAGATGGAGTCAATATCTACTCAGGAACCATTTGCAGAATCTGAAGCTTTTCATGATCAGAAAGCAGTCAGATATAATTCGTCATGACTGCGGATGCTCCATTTAGGGTGAAAACTAGGTTTTTAAAGTTGGTATTGGTTCTTTCTGCAGTACTGACAAATTGGAGAGTAACTAGTAGTGAGCTTGTTGTGTGAAAGGTAGTTGAAGTTCTTAGAACTAACAGGACCTGGGGGAATATGATAGTGGAAGATTTGTTTGATGCAAAGAAGGAGCAAGTTTATTCTGTGGTGTTCTGGGAAAAAAAATGAATATGATAAAGAAAGTAAAGTCCTCAGAAAAATTTTTGGCACAAAGAGTGAAAATGTAATTTTAGGAAGACAGCCTAACCCCTCCTTTATAAATGTTCCTCCCTCCGCCAACTCCGCTCCCCATGAGGCACACAGACTGAGAGACACACGCCTGCTAAACGATGCCACTTTGGAGGCGATGTCTGCATTAGGTGACCCTGTTCTCTTGGCTCCAACTAATTATACCAAGGGTCACATGTCTCAGATTCCCTTTCTCAAAAACACAAAGAAAATAAAATGTCATCAGATGGCTGGGGAAGGTGGAGCTGGCTACAAGATCAGAGTTTGCCCAAAGGCAAGTCAGTGTTGCTGGAGCCTGTCAGATGAATCCAGTCTGCAAAAAAACAAGAAAGAAGCAGATGTTCAGGGAGAAGAGGAGATAAGAGACTGTGAAAGCCCAGAGAAGTGATGGAGAAAAAATATCTGATGACATTCCAGATTTGGAAAGTCCAGAACTAGGTTATCGGGGATGCTCTTTTATATTTGTAATGCCTCCTGCTCATGTCCACCTTCTTCCTAAGCTATTTTGAACAGGATCTCTATTTCCTGAAATTAAAAAAAAAAAAAAATCCTAAAGAAACCCAATGACTCATAGTTTCCTCCTCCCTTCTTCCCGAACTTCAGATGCCAAAACCAGGACAAATGGGTACAAGTAACAGGGAAGTGTATTTCCTTTCATGATTGAAACTGTCCAGACCTAGCATAACCGTCATTCAAAGTGTTCAAACAGGCTCTAGAATCTGTCTCTTGCTATAATCGATCATCCCACTGGAGTTACTTATGTTTGTTTTTCTTCATTTATAATGTTTGGTTACTGTCAGAATACTGTTTAAAGGTTGAGGTTGAGAAGCAAAAATAATTTCTTAATCTTGTCTACATACAATGGTAGTGCCCATCAGTTACCCCTAAATTCCACAATAACCACTGGATCTAGGTAAAGTGTGCTGGGGAAATGGCTATACACTTAAAAGCTGTTTGACTTTTCCAGGTTTCTAAACTTCTCAAAGCCTCAGCCTTGTCATCTGTAAATTGGGTGCACAATCCCTTCTCTGAAATCTTTGGGCAGGAATATTTCAGTTTTCAGAATTTTAAGACTTCAGATATTTTGTGGGGTTTATATACCGTATTTTATGTAAAATCATCACCAAAGTTTGTGTAATACCCTTTACTATCATTGTGTCTGAAGTGAAACATTTAGATATACACACCAACTGGGATAAATAGAGGACATAAATAGTCCTTATATTAATTCAGGCCAGATTTTGCTGTCGGATAAGATTGCTAATAAAACCCTCCTGTGTTTCAGAAACTTTTGGATTTCAGCATTGTGGAATGGGCTTGTGACCTGCAGTATTTGCCTCTTAAAGGTGTTGTAAGGATGAAATGCCACCATGTAGATAAAGAAGTTGGAACAGACTCTTGGTCTCTGTTGGCTTGTGACCTGCAGTGTTTGTCTCTTAAAGGTGTTATAAGGATGAAATGCCACCACGTAGATAAAGCAGTTACAACAGGCTCTTGGTCTCTTTTTTTCCCACCCTTGCCAGGGATGCAGATTCCACCGTGACCCCAGGACTCAGCTTGTCTCTCTGTTGCCACCATTTGTCCTGGTGGCTTCTTCCAATCCCCTCTTCTTCCCTCCAAACCTTGAGTGGCAGATATAGTCCAGCTGAGCCCACATAAATGATGTAAGAGGTTTCAAAGACAGCTCTGTCACCAGCTGAACTTCAGCAGGGTGCTTGGCACATAGTCAGGGCTCTGTTTGGTCACCATCACAACTACTTCTGCTACTACTGGTGGCATTGCTGTCTTTCTACCCTAGCTACCAATGCCTGGCCATGGCTCCTTTTGCAAGGAGAAATTACATCCTGAGTGACATTTTACTGTCCACTCAAAAAAATAGGAAAGATCCGGGAACAGTAAACAAAATAGCTTCTTCTCTAGATGGAAGTATAGGGAAAAAGAAATGTATATCCAAGTTGGCATTCACTGGAAAATAGGCCATTTGGATCACAGTCTTTGGTTATTCAATTGAATCCCATACTTACACACCTTCAAAAATGTTAATTGAGCCCTACACCACTTTAAATGTGTTAAGACTGAAGAGCAATCAAAACTCTTGTAGGAAGGGACTGTCCTTTAATTCTTATCCTAGCAGTTTCTTGTAACTTAAAAAATGCTGTGTGGAAAACTCCCAAGCACTCCAAAGGAAGTAAAGAAACTCCCATCAGCATTGAGGGACTGCAGCTTCAGTCTTCCCATCTCACTTGAGCCAACTCAATGGGCTGGGAGTTTCTAAGTGCTTTCCTTTGAACCTTTGCAAGTTACTGGAATTCTGATAAAAAAATTCATTTTTCCTTCTGCCCCCTCTCCCAGAACTAATTGCTCTCTTTGTTAATCACAACTGCACCAAGATCTAAGCTTTATGAGCATAAGGTAGACTAGCAGAAGATATGTAGGGAATTAAAATAAAAAGAAAGAAACAGAGAGAGTTTAAAATGCTTCATAAACACCAACAAGACATACTGAGAGCACTCAAGATTGGCAATAAGTTTTAAGAACATGGTTGCTAATAATGATAGTCCACTTAGATGAGGCCAAGTCTTCCCATGCCAATGAGACCTAATTTGCTGCATACTAATAAGAAAAGTATCTAAAAGTCCATTGATTTAATCTCATTAATGGTTACCCTCAAAAGCAATGACATGATAAGTTTTCTACAATTTGCTTCTAAATAAAAAGAAAAATAATCAAATTTAGAATTAAGTAAATTGCTTTAGCTTGCCATTTAAAAACAGCACAAGTAATCTAATTTGCTAAATTTATTAGGAGTAAATGTGAATGAACTCAGAAATTGAATTTGGGCACCAGTGCTGGGGCAGTCTCTGTATCAACATGTAAGAGAGCAAAGCTAGGTAAAATTTCTTTTTGTTTCTGAAGTCTGAAAATATATGAAATAAAATGGGGAAGGATGCCCAAATACAAACAGACTGAGTTTATTCCCATGGTATCTTACAATGGAGTCAAAAACATCTATTGGAATAGACAAACCCGTCTTTACAATGGCTAAGTGTCTACTTACGCCCTGTAAATACTGATGAAGTTCAGCTTCTCAGCCTGGTCAGTAGATCTTATTAGTATTTATGAAGTAATTTGAATTTTAAAAATTCCCAGCCAGGTGCAGTGGTTCATGCCCGTAATGCCAGCAGTGTGGGAGGCTGGGGCAGGCTGATCACTTGAGGTCAGGAGTTTGAGACCAGCCTGCCCAGCATAGTGAAACCCCACCACTACTAAAAATACACAAAATAGCTTGGCGTGGTGGCAGGTGCCTGTAACCCCAGCTACTTGGGAGGCTGAGGCAGGAGAATCGCTTGATCCAGGGAGGCAGAAGTTGCAGCGAGTCAAAATCATGCCATTGCACTCCAGCCTGGGTGACACAGCAAGACTCCGTCTCAAAAAAAAAAAAAAAAAAAAAAGCACCATTGGTTCAGTTGCAATTGTCCAGAATGATAAGTTAGCATATCATATCATTTTGGGGCAGGGGCAAGTGGAAAAAGAAAATATTTTAGGGGATGGATGGGAAGAACTGTTGCTGCTCCTCTCATGTTTACAAAATGACTGTTCTTTGTATTATTAGCATTGTCCTATGTGCCAACACCAGTGTCACTGAGGTAACAGGCAAAGGGAACCGACCTTGGGCCAGATGCTTGATACATGCAGTGTCCTTGAATGCCCATAGCCCAGTGGGGTTACTAGTATTGCTCCACTTCACAGATGGGGAAGCTGAGGCTTAGAGAGTTTAGATTACCTACGCAGCATCATTCAGCCAGTAAGTGACAGAATTAAGATTCATATTCATATTTCTTTGAGTTCAAAGATTGTCTATTATTAAAAGTTACTCAATAAATACTTATTTGAAAGGTTACATTTTACTTAAAGAAAATAATTTTCACTTCTAGTAACAATAGCCA
The DNA here is from genome assembly GCF_000001405.40 of Homo sapiens. Lineage (NCBI taxonomy): Eukaryota > Metazoa > Chordata > Mammalia > Primates > Hominidae > Homo > Homo sapiens. Next base: position 221,763,936 of record NC_000002.12, on the reverse strand, counting down.
ATGGCTTTCTACTTTCAAATCCAGTTTTTAGATATTACTTTTACCTTCACAACAATCTTGGCTATTGGTGTTGAGGTCAGTGTCATTATTCTCATTTTACAAATGAAGAACCAGCGATCCAGTGACCCTAGGTAATATACCTAAAATTACGTGTTTTTAAGTGGATGTGTCTCTTAAGCCCAAGTATATGAGCTTGTATACCAAACTTTGCTCTGTCCCCCACTGCCTCCTCTGTTCAAGGAAAATGAAAACTAAGACTAGAGGACCAAGGTCCATCTTCTGACCTCTGATGTCTAACCAAGTTTCTAAGATTGTGTTTATCTAGAGAAGAGAAATAACTATATGAGAAATGGTTGATTATTTAATTCAAATTAATAACATGAAATCAACTATTTAGAGGCTTGTGTTGATTTAATCAAAAATATATTAATTTGGGCAACATGATGAACAGTCTTACAGGGTGTGTAGAAAGACTAGCTCTCCCAGGATCTAACAATATTGCTATTAGACATCACTCACTTGGTTTATTCCATAAAATCCCTTGGCTACAATTCAATCCCACCTCTTCTCAGTTCCTCAGGAACACTGGTTCATTTTCCTTATTTACAGGGAAAGTGTTAAGCCTCATTTTTTCTTAAGCTAAAAGACCAAAGCGGTCAGAAGAAGAGATAACAGGGATCTGACAAGGCCACAGGGCAATTACATGTCTCTCTCCTATGTACCTGCCTGAATGTTTATGTGGGATCGGAAAAGGACAAGATGCCCTTCCTCTTGTGAAGTCTCCACTGATCACAGAAGCACTTTTGAAATAATTTTTTCCATTTTGCTCCTCTGGGCTGCTTGGCTTTGTAAACTGTCAGCAAAGCCGTCAGAGTGGGAAGCTAGATATTGCAATCTCCATGGGCGGATGCTGCCCAAATGATGTCTGAGAGATGGCAGGCACAGGAGGGCAGAGCAAACCATGTCGTTGCAATATTCCTGAATCCCTCGGGCTAATTAGGCCTTCACATTCTTTTATAACAGTGAAAAAAAAAATAGCTACTTGGAGATTCCATTAGAAACTGCCCACTTTCAAGGGACATGAACTAGCCCAGGTATTGCTGCCAGTAAAATGAAACTTTTCTCTCTTGATTTGAGATCATTAGCTTCCTGTTTTACAAGAGACCATCTACTGTTCTTATCTCCAACCAGAGATCCAAGGGAAGCCCTTTCATCAGCCCCTGGGACAGGATTATCTGCCACAATTGTTGATTACTCTGTGTCAGGAAAGTGAGAGCTTGCAGAACAGGCAGTAAGAGAGAGAAAAGTGAAATAATTGCTTTGTGGGGAGCCCTCAGTGTGTCCAACACAGGCAGGAAGCACTGGGTACCTGGTTTCACTTTATCTTTACAACAACGCCAGGGAATAGGTCAAATTATTATCCCCATTTCACAGATTGTGGGAATTGAGACTTGCTTGTTATCAGAGTAAGTGTTGAGAAAATCAGCGGAATGTTTTATAAAGAGTAAGGTAAAAGGTAAGATACAGGCATACAATTTTCTTGTTTAAGGTGAAGGCTCATTTTTTTTTTTTTTTAACTGGCAACTCCCCATCAAGAAAACTACATTTTTCCCCTTCACAATATTAGGTAGAATCATTTTATTGCCTACATTAGGCTTCCTACATTTGCTACATATTCGACGTAACAAATATAATGTATAAATGAAAAAAGATTTTAAAAATGGCATTGATTATCTTGACTGGTATGAAACCATAAAAAAATAAATGTAAGTTTACATAGTTGTAAAATATGAAATCTGTATGTATATATTTGAATGTTATTGAGCAAATATTTGAGTGCCAGACCCATGTTAGATGGTAGAAATTTTTTTGGTAAAAAGATGTCCTATTGTTTCTCTTTTTTTCATAGCGCTTATGGAGAAAAGATGATAAGAAAATATATCACTATTTATAAATAATGTGGTGTTTCTGAAGTTCAAATATGAAATGAAGCACAAAACCCTAATGCTCAGTTTTTGTATTACAAACTTTATTTAAAAAATCAAAATGTGAATTACACAAAATAATTGCATAGGAACAATTTCATTTGGGAATAAAATGAGTGTTTACCATGAATCTTGAAAAGACGTTAAATTATTTAATTAAAAAGAATTAATGAGAAAATAAAAATAGAAAAGAAAGTAAGCATAATATGATATGCAATAATAAATAAGTGACATCGAACAATTCTTTTGACATTCTTCACAAGAATTTGTTATCCCCTTCACTCTTGCTGCTCGATAGAATCCGAAACAGTGCTTGGAATGAACAGCAGCATCTTGTACATATGCAGGGTATACATTTGACTTTCTCTGTAGAAAACACCTTTTTGCAGGTGATGTTTTTCTGACACAATTTAGGTTCTACAGTTGCTAAACCAAATTCTGTTATTTCCTAATTTTGAGAAAAAGGATTAGGAAAAGAAATACAAGCTAAGCAATTTTTGTTACCAACAGAGATATACCAAAAGCATAGATATGCTATTCTTCAATTGCTTGGTGAATTATGCCTTACCCTGAATCATTCTACAAAGACTTCACTGAGCATACTTCAATTTAGAAGAATAACCATAAGACCTCCAATTAGAACTATAATTAAAAGTCATTTGGGGACTAATAACCAAGGCTTACAATGTTATCTGAGTTGATGACAGTGGAGAAGAGATGAGGTTGCATGGTTCAGCTTCTGGTCAGAAATGCCAGCTCGTTATTATACTCCAGTAAATTTCATGCACTACTATATTTATAGCTACTATAAACTGAAAATATAAAAGACAGAAAAAGTGGAGATATAGTGATCACATGATGGGCCTTGGAGGTTCAGTTTGATATCCATGGGATTTATTCCTTGATAACGAATATGCCTTTTGGTTTTACCCAACTAAATTTGTTTTCCATTATTTCCAAACTTTTGTGAAAATTGGCATAAAATAAAAGATTTCATGGAAAAAAATCGTATCCACTTAGAAAGATATGATGTTTTGCTTTGGCACAGTCGTTAGGCCCCAGACCTCTCTCATCATGGAGACTGGAACATTGAGAGTTTGGAATCTGGATCTTGAGAGGTTCCGATATTTTGCTGTCCTGATTTCCCTACTGCTGTGGTCTGAATATTTGTGTTCCTCCTATATTTATATGTTGAAATCCTAACCCCCAAGTCAATGGCATTGGGAAGTAGGGCCTTTGGGAAGTGATTATGCCATGAGGGCTCTGCCAGACGGGCCCTCACCAGACATTGAATCTGCTGGTGCCTTGATCTTGGACTTCCCAGCCTCCAGAACTCTGATAAATAAATTTCTATTGTTGATAAGCCACCTAGTTTATGGTATTTTGTTATAGCAGGATAAACTGGCTAAGACACCTACAAAAGTTGGGAATTCTCAACTAGATTTTGAGATAACAAATTGTTTAGCTATTCTAGATCTAGAAATGCTTCTCTTTAGGGACAAATTTTTGAGATAGCTTTGCAATTCCTTTCTTTTCCAAGAATCTAAAGCTAAAACAAACACACAGAAAATCAAAACCTGCTTTTAATAGATTTTCTTTTAGGCTAAAATTATTATTAGTGTGTGTTGGGCTCAACAACTTAATCCAGAACTGAGAATAAACTGCTTCTCTAGTGTCCCATTCAGAAATCAGGAATGAGAATACATGGCAGGAAAATGACTACCAAAATCGGAATAAACTTGAGGTTGGCCAGAAATAAAACCACATACAGCCAACTGATCTTTGACAAAGTGGACAAGAACGTACTGTGGGGAAAGGACACCCTTTCCAATAAATGTTGCCAGTAAAACTGGATTGCCATATGCAAAAGGATGGAATTGGACCCCAATTCTCACCATATACAAAATCAACTCAAGATGGATTAAAGACTTACATGTAAGACTGGAAACAATAAAAATACCGGAAGAAACCCTAGAGAAAACTCTTCTGGATATTGGTCTAGGCAAAGAATTCATAACCAAGACATCAGAAGTAGGCAACAAAACAAAAAATAAACAAGTGGGACTATATTAAACTAAAAAGCTTCTGCACAGCAAAAGAAATGATCAACAGAATGATCAGACAGCTTGCAAAATGGAAAAAAAAATTTGCAAACTATTCATCTGACAGGTGACTAATATCCAGAATTTATAAGAAACTACAACACAACTCAGCAGCAACAACAGCAAAAACAAATAATTCCATTAAAAAGTGAGCAAATGACATAAATGAACATTTTTAAAAGAAGACATACCAAGGGCCAACAAGCATATTTTTAAAAAAGCTCATCATCACCAATCAACAAAGAAATGCAAATCAAAACTACAATGAAACATCATCTTACACCAGTCAAAATGGCTACTGAAAAAAGTGAAAAAATAACATGTTGGTGATGATGTGCAGATAAGGGAATGCTTATACACTGTTGATGGGAATGTAAATTAGTACAACGTCTGTGGAAAACAATATGGATATTTCTCAAAGAACTAAAAACAGAACTGCCATTTGATTCAGCAATCCCACTGCTGGGTATCTACCCAAAGGAAAAAAATAATTATGTAAAAAGATACCTGCACTCATATGTTTATTATAGCACTGTTCACAATAGCACAGATATGGAATCAACCTAAGTGTCTGTATTAGTCTGTTTTTGCATTGCTATAAATGCATAGGGCTGGATAATTTATAAAGCAAAGAGGTTTCATTGACTCATGATTCTATATGCTGTATAGGAAACATGGCTGTAAAGAAAGCAAGTCATTTGCTCAGTTTCTGTTGAAGGCCTCAAGAAACTTGCAATCATGGCAGAAGGGGAAGGGGGAAGCCTGTGTATTACACAGTGAGAGGGGGAGCAAGACAGAGAGAGGGAGGAGATGCCATGCACTTTTAAACAACCAGATCTCACATGAACTCACTTATCCCCAAGGAAATGGCACTTAGCCATTCATGAGGATTCCATTCCCATGATCCAAACACCTGCTACCAGGCCACACCTCCAACAGTGGAGATTATATTTCCACATGAGAGTTGGAGGGGACAAACATCCAAACCATATCAGTTCCCATCAATGGATGACTGGACAATGAAATTATGGTATATATGCACTGTGGAATACTATTCAGCCATAAAAAAGGATGAAATCATATCTTTTGCAGCAATGTGTATGAAACTAGGGGCCATTATCTTAGGTGAAACAACTCAGACACAGAAAGACAAATATTGCTTGTTCTCACTTATATGTGGGAGCTAGACAATGTGTGCACATGTACATAGAGTGCAGAATGACAGACAATGGAGACTCAAAAGGCTCGGGGTTGGGATGGATATAGTAATAAAAGCCCTTTCTTCACCATTATGTAATATATACATGTAACAAAATTACACGTGTACTCCATACATTTATACAAATAAGAAAATAAACTAGAAGTTGTAAAACCATTTGAGAACATCACGTAAAAAAGCAAAAAAAAAAGAATCACTATGCTTATTTATAAATAAATAAAGCAAGCAGGCAAGCATACACACGTTTAAGCTTTTGTGAAGCCAGAGAAAAAAGTAACTTTTGTATAAATAGGAAGAAGTTGAGGAAGTTAGAACATAAAGGAAGTGGGAGGATTAGAGCAGCCCAGCAGCTGTTTCGTGGCTTTGTAGGGCCTATTTCAGCATATCTGGCATATGTAATCATGCGTCAGGGTAGACTTCGTGGGGAGTCCTATATTTACCAGGTAAGTGACCAGATGTCTTTGCCAATGTATGGTAATTTCTGGAAAAGGGATTTAAAAATTCAGGTCATACCACCCAAAATAGGAAACCAACTCTTCTTGCTTTAAAAGGAAATTTATGGAAAATTCAAGATAAACCATCTGTGCAATAAGAAATACACATCCTACAGATGGTGAGAATTATAGGATCCATAATACTGTTAATAATAGTATCACTTGTAGATGTATTGTATAAGAAATATATGTATGTGTGACCATGGGGTCTGTTAGGGTAGTACTTTATATTGATACACCACAGTCAGACTCCATCTCTGCCACAGTGTTGGACACATAGTAGGCTTTCAGTAAGTCTAGAAACAGAGAAGGGAAGAAGGGCTTTACGGTTATCTTGAAGTATCTGCTGTGTGTATTAACTGAAATTAGTTATAATGGACCATGTAATTTAGCAACATTGAGACTAAGTGCAATTGTAGGAGGAAAAAAGGTAGGCGGTTTTTGTTTTTTTGTTTTTGTTTTTTTTTTTGTAGTCAGGCCCTCTCCGTCTTCCCTCTTTTGAATGACTATACGATATTTACCTGCACTGTCAGTACCATGGCAGAGATTAGATCGAAGATCCAGATCTTTCCAGGTTGGGCATGGGCAGGAATCAGGAGCTGTCATGCACTGTAAGATTTCAGTCACCTGAACTTGTTAGAAAAGAGGTGCCGATGATTTCTTCCTATTGTGGCTGCCCTAGTGTGCTAATAGTGATTAATTTTACATCATATGTTGACTAGTTTTGTTTTAATCCTATGTGGTATGCTAAAGCCCTCTTGTATGGCCACTTACTATTTTTAGAAAATTTATTTGTGAGCCAGTTGTTAAACACAGCTGTTCCTAAATATTAAATGATTTAAACTTAGAGTTAAATAATTGTATTAAACTCTAAGGTAATAAATATTCAAATGCATTACCTCCAGTGACTTTACTGCATTTTACTATGATCTATGCCCTTGAGATTATTTATTCCTTTTGTATTCGAATGTGGGGAAAACTATAAAATGGTACACTAATGTACCTATCTTCTGAACTCCGCATTCAGTGATAGCACATTGGTTGCCTGAAATTGGCCATAGTAAGAGTATTCACTTTACAGAAATTGACAAATGCTACAAATCCGGGCTTTTTCGGGGGTTGAGGGGAAGGGGATGGTGGCTAAACATTTTCCAGCACCTCACAAAGTAAACATCATGTTTTTCACTGCATCAGTATCTATTACTCTCTATCTTCTGGAACTATGTCCTGCATCTTTTAAATAATCACTCCTCCCCTCCTTTAGGTAGTTTTTGCGAGGCTTTCAACTATTCTACTCCATTCCTTGGTCACAGATACAGGAACATAATCTAGGTTTGGCCAATCAAAATTACCCTTCCTTCTGACCACAGTTGGAAGGGTAACCCAGGGAGGAGCATGTGACTTAGGCCAAACCAGAGTCCTTTCCTGATGTTTTCTAGATCAATGTTGAGAAAGTTAAAGCTTCTTTTTTTCTTTTTTTTTTTCAGACGGAGCCTTGCTCTGTTGCCCAGGCTGGAATGCAGTGGCGCAATCTCAGTTCACTGCAAGCTCCGCCTCTGGGGTTCACGCCATTCTCCTGCCTCAGACTCTCGAGTAGCTGGGACTACAGGCATCCGCCACCACGCCCGGCTAATTTTTTGTATTTTTAGTAGAGATGGGGTTTCACCGTGTTAGCCAGGATGGTCTCGATCTCCTGACCTCGTGATCCGCCTGCCTCGGCCTTCCAAAGTGCTGGGATTACAGGTGTGAGCCACTGCACCCAGCCTAATTAAAGCTTCTCTTTTCCCTCTGGGATTGCTAAGCTGAGATGATGCAAGACTGTGGCTGTGGCCACTCTTCCCCCAATATCCACATTGCACATAAGAAGCCAGTCCCCATTAGAGAACCTGAGGCTGCCATAGCAAGTAGCAAAGACACGAAACAGAGGACAACCTGGTACTATCATTTGGGTCCCTGGGTGCAGACATGCTTGTTCATCCATTCTTTTTCAGCTGTATAAGTCAATAAACTCTAACTTAAGCTGTTTGGAGTTGAGTTTCTGTCACTTGCAATGAAGATTCCTAACTAATACAGTTGATTTGGGATGACCCATATCTTCTCTCTTGTCCCTTGTTTTCTTGGTTCATGGATTACATGTATACATGTGTGATTTTCATGCTGTGACCTTAAAATTGATCTAGAGAAAAAAGTCATTCTGGAAAACCAGATGCAGACATTTAGGAAGTCCATTAATCTCTCTTAACCAGGACTTCCATGGTTTTGCTGCCACCATGGGAATTGAGGGTCATAAAATGTAGAGGTTTATCATTTTAAAACCTAAACTCTGCCAGGAAGAAACAGGATTCCAACGCTATGACTGATTAGTGTCACTCCAGCAGAAGAGTAGTATAATGATGGGAATACCTCTCAAAATTAAATCCTAATGAAAGTATCAGTTGACTTGCTATCTTGATTAAGTTATAGAAACTGAAGTCTACTAAATCACTTATCAGCAGAACTGTGATTGTTATAAGAATAACAGAAATCAAATTAAAAAAGAAACTGAGAGAAAAGAAAAATTCAAAAAAGATCAGAAACTAGTTTTTTAACTCCCTGTGCCTCAGTTTTCTCACCTATATAATGGGGGTTATAATAGTATCCTGTAGAGTTATTATAAAGGTTAACATTTATAAAGCACTTAAACAGATCCTAGCTTATATTTGGAACCATATAAGTTTTAGCTCCTTTTTCTGTCAGTGTTCTGGAGGGAAGCAAATGGCACTCTCAAGTAGTTTAATACAAGAGAGCTTAATAAAAGAACTATTTAAGAGTAGGGAAATCCTCAATGGATAATGAAGCATTCTGAAGCTAACAAAAGAGTGGGAAGGAGTTTGAATTCCTGGAACCGAACTAGGAGCAGCTACCAGAACCTAGAAGGAGAAAATTATGATGAGATGGTTGCCTGACAGTAGCCATGGCTTTAAATGAGGATTCAGAGCCAACTTGAGGCAAACTTGTAGGTAAGGAGATGGGAGAATAAATACTCTGATTTTATTTTCCTTTGTTCTACTGCTAGAGCTACCTACTGGCCAAAGTCAACCTGAAGTCAGAATAGGAGTCTGCTAATGTAGCCCATGCAGGTCAGCCTCTGCCAGGGCACAGAGCAGAATGGAAAGGGTGAAGAGTAGATGAATGCAGTGAACAGTTGATTCCTCAACATCCATTCTTGCCCTTCATCTGAATAAAACAATCATATTCTCAATACAGAGAACAGAAAATATTCAGTAAGCTACCATATCATCACAGGTTGATTTCAAATTGGCCATAGTCTCACCCTAAGCTAGGATGTCATCTACCACTGGTGTTCTTCATATAAAGACATAAGTCACAAAACATAGCTCCTAAAGTTCTCGTGCTATGGCTGGTCACCAAGGTTAGAAATCACCATCTCTTTCTTTCACTTTCCATTCTGTGATCCCCTTACCCTCTCCCAGGACATGGAGTGAACAAAGTTCTTTACTCATTGGGGTGATGAAAACTTTCATTCCTATAATATTTGAGTTCTTGATACTCATGTCTTTATTGGTTGGTTGTAGGTTTTTATTGACCAGGACTACTAAGTGAGGGAGTATTTGGAGTTGCTGTAGAGAATCCTCTGGATTTCAGACATAGCCCTCCTTTTTCCCCATTATATTTCAGCAGGCTATTTTCCTCTTTGGAAATGGGATCAGTCACCTTAGCCCAAAATAATGATCTCTTTCTTACCCATTGGTTTAGCAGCACAAGAAATAAAAAATGGCCAGGGAGAATCTCAAGTTCCAGGCCTCCAGTACAAGAAATGTACTTCCTAATGGAATCACTCTTTTTCTGAGCAGTAAGATCTCTAAACCCATAAAATGGAAAGGCTTGGAAATGGAAGACAAAATTCTTTCAAATGGAGCAGTAGGAGTAATAATGAAAGGTCACTTCTACCAGCACCCTCTTCGTTCTTGGACTTGTGTTTCCTATGTGAAAGTCTGTTTAATATACTGGCTGATGATTTAAGGCATGATTAGATCCTGTAAGATAACAACCAGTCTCACAGAGTGGGGCATCCTGGTATGGGCCGTAAATGAGCCTTAAACAATAGACATTCATTTGTTCTATCAAGCCAGCCATTTCCAAGTGTTGGGGAAAATGGCAAGACTAGTGAATTTCTAGGCATTCGCTTATTTTTTATGCTTATTTCATGATAACATATGTCCTCCAGTACTTCTATGGAATACTCTGGTGATAGAAAAGGCATTCTGAAAGTTCATGAATGGTTACAATACTAGAAGTTCAATAAGTAGAAAAGACATGACACCTGGAATATATATTAGCTGCCACCTTCAATGATAGAAGGGGTTCAATATAATCAAACTACCCATGTAAGGCCAACTATCCCTCTTCAAGGAATAGTGCCATACTGGGAAACAGTGGTGGCTTCTTCTGTTGGTATATTGGGCACTTAGTAGTGAAAGTAGTTAGGTTAGGCTTGGTGAAATCCAATAATTAAGTGGTCAAGATGACTCATCTCATGCTTGTCAGAAGCCTCTTTCCCCTGCCACCCTCACGCTTCCTGAATAAGTGATGTGGCATGGCTTTGGTGGCAATGATGAAAAATATGCACAGGCTCAACCTCATAGACCTCTAACAGGGCATCCTGTGCCCAATCCCAGAGGGGTTGCTAGTGCAAGCAGTGGCACCTACAGCTTAGTGGGAGCGGTAGGAGGGTCTTCACAAGACTACTTCTGCACGATCATTTTAGATGTTAGACTTTACTACATATACATTATACATATATTCATCATACACAATCTCTGTTTACTATATGACCTCAAAAGCTTCAGGCTTCCCAGAGATTCTGTGAACTAGTCAATATGCCTTTAATAATTTTTTCTGCTGAAATTAGCCAGGGTAATTTCTGCTGCGTATACTTCAGCATCTTGATCAACTCGCAAAGGCAACACAACACCAAGATCATGATTAGAAAAGCAGTGGTAAGCATCAAGTCCCAAATAAGAGAGGAGGTTCAAAATGAAAGTGCAGGTAAATAATCAGAATTCATGGTGGGATGTGTGTGTGTAGACTGTGTCTAGGTACGTAGCACAAGCCGAGGCCATGAGCAGTCTCTAAAATCATACCTGCTTCAGGAAGTTAGTCCAGTGACTCAATACTTTGAACCATACTAGAAGCACAGGAGGCCCAGACCTTCACAGACAATAGAGATTAGTGAGTGGGAAGGTTTCACAATGAATATGGTAATTGTTCCCAGAATTGGTATTTTAGCTGGAAATATTTAATTGTGGTAATACATCTGTTGAACTTCAAATGAGGCAGATAATAGCGTATAAAAGGTCACATTATTCATCATATACAATCACTGTTCCAGAAGTCACTGCTTGGAGCAAAACTGTTCTAGAAGATATTACTGTATGGCTCCTATCTTAGAAGAAGGTAAAAACATAAATAATGTGTATTCTTGTTAAATAAACATTTCCTTGGAAAACATCTACTCATTATCATCTCTCTTTGGATTATCTACCTTTGAGTGAATTACCATCATAAAATAGTTAGAAATCATTTAGCTTATTTTTCTTTTTAACATTTAGCATTTATCAAATAATGCTTTCCAGCCATTTAATTTTAATTAATTGTTTCAGCTTACCATACACTTGTAACAGGTTATTTTCCATCTTTGTCACTATGAATTGTATTTTTCCTAATTGATCATCCAGAGATGTCACTCTTTTCATCCCTGGTTAGAAGATTTTCTATTACTGTTAATGGATTACGGTAATCTTTTTGTGTTTCGTAAAGCAGGAGGTGATGAGGTGATGTGAATGGAACTGAGTCACCCAGCCTCAGGTGCCACGGGAGGCAACATGCTCCAACAGAGGCATTTTCTCTTTTTTTAGATTCCTTTTTTTTCTTTATTTCTTCTAAAACAAAACAAAAGAAGCAAACAAAAAAAAAACCCCACAGAAAACAGGATACATGTGCAGAACGTGCAGGTTTGTTACATAGGTATATGTGTGCCATTGTGCTTTGCTGCACCTATTGACCTGTCCTCTAAGTTCCCTCCCCTCACCATGCACCCCTCAATAGGCCCCAGTGTGTGCTGTTCCCCTTTCTGTGTACATGTGTTCTCAATGTTCAACTCCCACGACTCCCACATATGAGTGAGAACATGTGGTGTTTGGTTTTCTGTTCCTGTGTTAGTTTGCTGAGGATGAGGGCTTCCAGCTTCATCATGTCCCTGCAAAGAACATGATCTCATTTCTTTTCATGGCTGCATAGTATTCCATGGTGTACATGTACCACATTGTCTTTACCCAGTCTATTATTCATGGGCATTTGGGTTGGTTCCATGTCTTTGCTATTGTAAATAGTACTGCAACAAACATATGTGTGCATGTGACTTTATAGCAGAATTATTTATATTCCTTTGGGTATATACCCAGTAATGGGGTTGCTGAGTCAAATAGTATCTCTGGTTCTAGATCTTTGAGGAATTGGCACACTGTCTTCCACAATGGTTGAACTAATTCACATTCCCACTAACAGTGTAAAAGTGTTTCTATTTCTCCACAGCCTCACCAGCATTTATTGTTTTCTGACTTTTTAATAATTGTCACCCACAGAGGCATTTTCTTTTGGAGAAAGAGTGGCAATTTGCCTTAATGACTTCTATTCTGTCGTGGGATTGAACAAGAGTATATGGGCTGGAAAGATTGTCATGAGTGAGATACGGCATTTTTTGGATGTGTGATTTTCTCTGAGGCTTCCTGACACTGCTCTGTCTACCTAAGGTTTATTTACCTTGAGCCCTGGTCCCTTTTGGCTCTTTCCTGGTCAGAAAGAGTTTAAGAACAACAAAACTTTCACAACTCTCGAGTACCTGCAGGTCAAAATTGAAAATGAGACAATGACTCAGGTTGCTGGCAATGAGGGTAAGACCCTGATTGCAGAGAAAGCAGGGTATGCTTTGAGAATAATCAGGAAAAGTATTTAGTAAGGTTTATTTAACTTAAGGTAAGCACAGAAATGTTCCCTTTTCTCCTTCTTCACTTCCTCCTCCTAGTTTTCTGTTTTACCTACTCACAGCCAGTTACATGTTTCTTTTTCAGAACTTTACATTAGAAAGGCAAAGTGAAACAATAGTCTAGTTATGCCATTGTTCTTCTGATTAAAATGGCAGCCTGTAAAGCCCCACGTATCATTCTGTGGGTCACAACAGACCCCCATATTTGTGGTGATGTACAAAGTACTACTTTCAACAATCAACTCAACATAAAACTATAAACCAAGTGTTTGTTGCCTAACACCAGCATTCGAATGAGATTGACCATAATGAAATATTGTTGGATATATGAGCTCAAGGGTTTTCTTTCCTACTTCTCATATTCCAGGTCTATTAAATTATTGATGTTCACAACTGAAGGCACAAAGGACCCATGGATGTTTATGTGGTTGAACTGAAAGGCTGGGAACAGACCTTCCAAGCTTATGACAATGTATAATTTGGAGCCATCCAATGTTAACTTAATACTGGAAAGGCAAGTGAAGTTTTGCTAAGGATGTGAACTTCAGATTTACTGGTGTACTTCTGACTCATAAGCACAGTGTTGAAATAGCTTTAGATCTCTGCTTTCTCTCAGCGCATTTCCAGCACCACTTACTACAGAATCTATTGCAAAGGCTGCCCTATCTCTACCTGTTCCTAGCCTTAAGACAAGAAATTATACATCATACAGTGAGGGCTATAGTAGGGATTGAAGCAATCATTGAAGAAATTATTTTTTCATTCATAATGTTACTTGTATCAACATCAGGAAAAAAAAACTACCCATGCTTTTATTCGTTCATTTATTCAAATTACATCACCAGACACTGTCAGGAAAAGTGATACAAAGATAAATTACAAATGATCACTCCAGCGATAGATGATAGATCTATTATCTCCAGTAGATAGACGATGGGCAGATAAGTAGATGGACAAATAGATAGATGATACATCAATTAAATAATCAAGTAGATGAGATAGAAAAAGACAATCATTAACCTCTAAATGGTCGGTATAGCAGGACAAGGAGCTATGTAGCTATGTACAGGCTGCTATAAAGGCAGTATAGCATAAAGATTAAGGATCTGTATTTTGGTTCAAATCCTGGCTCTTCCACTTACTAGCTGTGTAACTTTAGGAAGTTTCCCTAACCCCTCTGGACATTAATTTCCTTATCTTTGAAAGGAGAATAATAGTATTTATAGTGTTTTGTAAGGATAAGTAAAACAGCTATCCTCAAATTGTGATCTTCTCAAAGTGTGGTTTGGGGACTTTTGGGATTCTAAGGTCCTTAAAGGGGCTATGGAAGATCAAAACTATTTCCCTAATAATGTGAAGAAATGGCTTACCTTTCTCCCTCCCTTTTTATCTTCATACTAATGCTAACATGTTATATGCCTTTCCCTCTTATTATCTCATGAGTGTAGAGTGGAGTTTTCCAGAGATCACCTGACATGTGATATCTAAACAGAATGAATGCATGGGAGAATCCAGATGTCTTTCATTAAGCCAGGCATTAAAGAGATTTACAAAAATGTAAAAAAAATCACTCTTCTCACAATTAGTTTTGAAAAATACATTAATTTCATTAAAAACATTTATTTTAGCACATTTATAATTATTTTATTTAAAATTTTAAATCTGATTTGTCTGAACCATTATTTTTAAATAAATTAATAAATATTTTGAAATTTTCTCAGTCTTAATTATATTGTAAATACAGATAGACATAACCAACATAAACCAAAGCTCTTCAGTGTCCTCATGGAAGGATATAGAAGGGACTAAAGACCAGAACATTTGAGAACAGCTAAAGAGAACATTGTTGATACATATAGGAAATATCTAAATGTTAGCTGTTACTATTATTGCTATTATGAGACCTAAAATCTAGATTGTTTGTAGTGGAAACTGCTGATGACTCAGGGGAGCAAGTGTGGTTAATGGAAACTTGGAGGACTTAATGTCTAAACTGACTTTTAAAAGGGCTGATACACTCTGCATCTCTGGCTTTAAGAGGGGATTAATAAGTTGGCCTAGACATTAGTCACATTGTATTGCATTGTGTTTGCAATGCATTTATCATGATGGGATTACAAGTAGTGTGTGAGATGGTGCTGGCATTGACATAGCTGATAGTCTACTTGGAAAGCCAAAACTTTCATGTAGAAAGATAACTGATGATATAGGATTACAAAACAAGTGCTAGCTTTAGCAGGTGGATGAGAAGTGGCAAATAAAGCCACTAAGTCTTGTAAGATTTATTTTAAAAATTATTATTGAAGGGATATGTGGTTATTTTTTAGAACAATCATTTTGTTTTATTTTTATGTTTTAAAATTAAACATTTTCTGCATAAATATTCTAGCAATCCTAAGGGTGGTTGGGGATGGAAAAAAAGTGAAAATTGGACTTTTGGCTCTCTATCCAATCGTGCTCCTCGATCCTGAAGTAATTGTCATGAAGAGGTTGGTAAATATCTTTTCAGGCCTTTTGATATGCATCAAATAGAGTAATAGTAACAAAATTTATAGCACTTACCAAATACCAGACCCTATTCTAAAATATTGACCTAGATCAACTCATATAATCTTTACAAAATTCCATAATGTATTTACCATTATGGAATTTACTCTTTTACAATGGTAAAAGAGTATTGTTCCTTTTCTACCACTGAGGGAGAGAGGTGTACTAGGTCACAGAGAGGCTAAGCAAATTACCCAAGCTAACAGAGCTAGTAAATGACATGCTACGCTTTATGTAGATAAATAAGCAGGTCGACAGAAACATAGATAGAAAGGTATTTAGAAAGAATATTTTTTAAAAATTATGTGAATGGGATTGTATGATACATGTTGCTGTATGACTTGCTTTTTTCACTTATCAGTGAAATGGACTCTTACTTTATTTGATTTAAGAACTCCACAATCTTTTTACATAGGCGTATTATTAGTTTAATAAACATTCTGGACTCCTGTGATACAAATACGACAGTGTTTTATTTTTCTCCAACCATATCCCAGGTCTCAGTCCATTTGAGAGACTAAACAGAATACCATAAATGGGGTAGCTTATAAGCAATATAAAATTATCTCTCACAGTTCTGGAGCTGGGAAGTCCAAGATCAAGGCAGATCTGGTGTCTGGTGAGGACTTGTTTTCTGGCTTATAGATGGGATCTTTTTGCTGTGTCCTCACATGGCAGAAGGGGCTAGCTAGCTCTCTGGGATCTCTTTTACGAGGGCACTAAATACAATCATAAGGGCTCTACCCTCATGACGTAATCATCTCCCAAAGGCCTCACCTCCTAATATCACTGTGAAAGTTAAGATTTCAATATATGAATTTAGAGAAGACACAAACATTCAAACCACATTACTCCATCTAATCCTCATTTCAAACCACTTCAGGACATCTAGGCCTGGTCTCTCAGTAATTTGAACAACAGCAAACTCACCATAGTCCAACTTAAAACTCCTATTTTCTCCCCTCCTCTTTGTTCCTCATTGCAGGCCTCATTACAGAACTCAAACTTGGGGTGTGGGTGTGGTGGTGGCAGTGATGAGTCAAAGGGGCAAACGTCACTTCCCTTGCCTGGAAGGGTGGCTATCAGGCTGTCTCCATGGCCTGCACAAAAGTGGTGGTTGAAACCTCCTGTGTGACAGGTGTCCAAATGCTGGATCATTTATGAGACATGTGAGTTCTGTGCCCCTGGGACTTCCATGAGAGACAGGCAGAGCTTTACATAGAGCTAGAATCCTTAAAAGACCTTCCAGTATGAAAGTGGAAGAACTTCACTGTCTTCTACAGACTTTCAGTGGAGAGGAAAAGATCTACCAGGAGAAACTGAAACCCCTCTGCTATGCTACTTTATGAGATATTAATTTACACTCCCCATGTGGTATGAGATTCCCAAACAAGAATTAATTAATATACATATGAATGCAGAATCCCAGGAAGTTCAGATGAGACGGATGCAAAAGCACTCTATGGGTCTGCTTTCATAAACTGGGGCCCAATTCTACCAAAGATGAGCTCACACTAAAAAATTACAAACCACAAGAAGAGAGAAATCACCATGAGAGAGAAAGAGGATGTCTGTACGTACAACACACGAGAAAAAGTCCCCAGAGAACTAAAAATACTAGAACAATATAAAGAGACGATAAGATAAAGTTTAAATGAAAAAAGCCCCTATGAAATAATAGAAAAAATTAAAATATAAAACATATTTTCTGTACTTTCCAAATCTTTTATAAAATTTTTATAGATTTAATCTTTTTTTTTTTTTTTCTTGAGACATAGTCTCACAGTGTCACCTAGGCTGGAGTGCAATGGCGTGATCTCAGCTCACCACAACCTCCACCTCCCAGATTCAAGTGATTCTCCTGCCTCAGCCTCCCAAGTAGCTGGGACTACAGGTACCCATCACCACACCAGGCTAATTTTTGTATTTTTAGTAGAGATGGGGTTTCACCATGTTGGCCAGGCTGGTCTCAAACTCCTGACCTCAGGAGCTCCATCCGCCTCGGCCTCCCAAAGTGCTGGGATTACAGGTGTGAGCCACCATGCCTGGCCTAGATTTAACTCTTTAATCTACCTACAATTTATTTGTGTAGATGGTGCAGGAATCTAGTTAGTTTTTCCAAGTGGTTGTCTATTTCCCCAAAATCACTTTTTAAATATTTTTTGTTCACTGATTTTGAAATGCCAAGCTAATCAAAATGAATTCCTAAATATTTTATATATATGTGAATATATTTCAAGATGCTATTCTGCTTCATTTTTTATTGCTATACCAACACTTTTTTTATTAATTTAATTTTTAGCATGTTTTGATGTTAGGTTAGGAAAGTGGTCTTTCATATTTCTTCTTGTTCTGTATTTTTTTGAAATTATTTTCTACCTTTTAAATTCTAGACCATACATTCTCAATGACTTGTGTGATATCACCCCCAAGAGGGTGAAAATTAGTTTTTAGTGAGCAAAAAAAATCTTACTGTTTTATGCATAAGATATAAATGCAGTAGATAAACAGATACATATTGGTGGTATTAATATTTTATAGGGGGATGATTAGAAAAAAATTAAAAGGGCTCTTTTGGGTGGTGATAATATTAATAATAATAATAAGTTGAAAGAGATTGTTTTAGATGAATTTTAAAGTTAGCTTGTCAATTCCTACCACTGATTTTTGCAAAAGAAGACCCTGGAGACCAGAGAGATGTGATTTGACCTAGGTTGCATTGAAAATTAGAAGCAGATCTGGGATGAACACCCACTCTTGACTTTTAGTTTTAGATTCTTTTCACTGTACTGCCTATCCTGATCTCTCCTGGCACCTATAATATGAAATCACTCCCAGGCCTTTCAGCAGCTTCTGCACATTGGCCAGTCCTGAGCACAAGCTATCCATAACCCTCCTGCTCTAGTCCAGGAAGTCTGTTTCTGAATCTAGTTGTTGATGTCCATCTTTTGTCCTGTCCCTTCTGTTCCCTGCTTTCTTTCTCTTTCTTAAATCTTTGTTAGTTAATACTGGCATCTGTTGGAGCCCTCGAGATGAGAACAGAGTGAAGGATGTTGATACTCTAAAATCTGGGCTCTGGGCTCTAGGCTCTACTGAAACTTAACCAGAACTTCAGAAAAACAGAAGCTCTCTGGGCAATGTTGGTCAGAGAAGTCTAAGAAATCATAGAAGATGAGAAAAAAATGAAAACAGAGGAAGAGGAACACAGCCATGAATAAACGAGCAGGTGACAAAATGTTAACAATTGCTGAAGCTGGGGTCATTATGCTATTCTCTCTACTCTTGCAAATGAATGAAATTTTTCATAATAAAAAGTAAGCAAAATAAAAACTTCAAATTTTCATCAAATTCAGAGTCTCTACTTTTTTACCAACTCATACTTCCTCTGAATTTCCTTTGACAGGCTGTGAAGCAAGTATCATTATCCATCTTTTTTCTCTTTTCTTTGATTTGCTTTCTCTCCAACCACCCCTGCTGTTTCTGACTCTGTTATGAAGGTAGAATTGTGGGGAAAGAAAATAAAGGAGAAGGGGGTAAAGTTCTTTGAACTTAGAAGGTGTCATCTATAGTTCTTGTAGTTCTCTCTTGGTTATTGAAGCCCTTTGTCATATTAGGCATCCAATGGCTCTTTCTCTTTGTGATGGCTTCATGGTGTTTTGGAAGGCCACTCCATGACTACTATAATCACAGGTTACCTCCTGATGACACAAATCCCTGATGGCTACTATACACTTTCTCTTTACAACTCTGCCTGTGGAAGCCACCAGATGGATCCCAATAATTACCTCTCTCGTGGTATTCACCCTTGTGTAGTCCCACATTATACCACCCTTGATATTTAATACAGGAGAAATTATGGTATATCCTTCCAAGGTTAGGTTATAAAACATTCTGTAGCAGCTGGGCATGGTGACTCACACCTCTAATCCCAACACTTTGGGAGGCTGAGGCAGGAGAATTGCTTGAGGCCAGCAGTTCAAGACCAGCCTGAACAACACAGTGAGACTCAATCTCTATAAAATAAATACATAAATAATAAAAAAAAACATACTGTAGCTTCCCTCTTGGCCTCTCCCCACCCCTCTCTACCACATTGCTTGCTCCTGAAAAACCCAGCAACTATGTTGCAAGTAACCCTATGAAGACTACTGAAGCCACCTTCTAACAGCCATGTGAGTGAACTTGAATATGGATCCTACAGCCCCAGTCAAGCCTTCAGATGATGGTAGCCCACATGACAGCTTGTGTGCAATCTCATAAGAGACTCTGAGCTAGAATCACCAGCTGAGCTGCTCCCAGATTGCTGATCCTTAGAAATGGTGTGATACATTAAATATGTGTTGTTTAATGCTGATAAATTTGGGGATTATTTGTCATATAGCAGTAGATAACTAATACACTTCCTCAGCTCTGGCCCTAGCAGTCCATTGCTGGGGTCGCTTTATCTCTGAAAGCAGACCTCTTGGGAATGGTCTTTCCATTACAAATCTAATGGTCTTTCCATTACAAATCACAGAGGTGTTTACTTAGTCCAAAGAAAACATGAATCTTTGCTCTGCTCTCTGTGGAAGTGCAACTTGCTCTGCCTGTGGCCTTCTCTCCTCTCCTTGACATTGCAGGGGTCAGACATGAGGCTCTATAACTTTAAACTCAAAATAATAATCTTCCCCAAAATTCTCTTGTGCTCCATTTTTTTATGGGTTTTTATATTAATTTTCCAGGGCTGCTGTAACAAGTTATGCCAAACTTGGTAGCTTAAAATGGCAGAATGTTATTCTTTTACAGTTCTGGAGGCAGAAGTTTAAAATCAAGTGTCAGTGAGACAATGTCCCCTCCAATGTCTTGAGGGGAGAATCCTTCCTTTTTCTTCCAGCTTCTGGTAGCTCCAGACACTCCTTGGTCCTCAATCTTTGCCTCTATCTTCATGTGGACTTTTCTTCTGTGTCTTTACCTTCTCTTCTTTTGTCTCTTATGAGGACAATTGTCATTGGATTTAGGGCCAATTTGAGTAATCCAGGATGATCACTCCTTAAGATTCCTAATTACATCTGTGAAGATCCTTTTTCCAAATAAGGTCACATTCAACAGTTTTGGGAGTTAGGACGTAGATATTATTTTTGGAGGCCACCATTCAACTATAACCTGTGAGTTACTTTATTTCAACAGTCACCCAGGTGGTAAGGAAAAAATAACCTAATTACTCTTGGATCCCCCTTCATTAACCTTGACAGGGGCTAAAAATCATTCTTTGTCTTTTGTTTGGGCTGGAGAGAAATATTGCCTTAAAGTTATCATGTATTCTGGTTTATACCTCTTGACCCTGTGTAATTACTAATAGTGCCCTCTTTTGCTCTCAAAGTGTTGTAGTTAGGATAAGTAACATAAGAGTCCCAATTAAGGTTTTGGCCAACTTTTAGCAAGTCTTACAGGTAGATATTTATAACTTTTCTTTAGAATCTTGGGATCCTTGGTACCCAAATGTCTCAGAGATGACAGAAAATGTTTTCTCTGACATACAGTTACAATTTTTATTAATACTTATTTCCTTAAAAGTGAATTCCTCAGAGGTGTGGGGTTTTATAATCATGTAGCAGGTGTCATAAGGAAGAAAACAGGGACCAAAAGTGAACATTTTAATGACTGCATTTTTTAAAAGAAAGTCTGAAAAGATCTGATCTGAAAATATAAGGCATGAGCAAGGCTTCTCACCCAAGAAGTTCTTTAAAATTTAGGGGTATACAAATAATGTTTTCCTATATCCAATCCTACAAAGAAAGGAAAGTGTATTTGGCATCTTAAAAGTGGGGTCCACTAAGTTTCATTCTTTTATTCTTCCTGCTCAAACTTATGATGGGTTAAGAAGCAGGGCTGCATGTAGAGGCAGGAACAATTCCAACAGGCAAAGAATAAGGCCAAGTCAGCCAAAGCCACAATCTATGGAAAAACTAGCCTCATTGGGTTGATTAATTGATTCTCCTCATGATGTTGGGTTATTGCATTCTCAGTTTCCAACATGGGTGGATAAATCCCAGAGGAGAGGTAAACGAGCTTTCTCAGTGTTCTGCAACAGAGGAGTCTTTGTTTTTATTGTTTGTTTACTCATTCATATTCATATGTCAAACTTTTCTTCAGTATATGCTGTATTCAAGTCACTTGAGGAAGATTTTCCAGGTTTTTAGGTCTCAGTTTCTTTCTATGTTAAATGAAATTGCTGTTTATAGTCTGGTTCTGAACTATTTGGAGGGATAACCATCTTTTCAAATGGCCAGTTACTACTCTTCCTCCAGATTTTAATTTAAATGTCACTTCTTTCAATACTTCTTCCTAAAAACACTTGACCCATCCATCTTAGGCTAAGATAGATACTCGTTTATGAGTTTCCCAATCCTTTGTGCTTCTTTTGTCACAGGATAACTGTGCTTTATTATAGTTGCTTGTTTAATTGTATGCCTCCTCTTCAAGATTTTATGCACCTTGAGGAGAGAGACTCAGGTGTCTATTTTGCTTGTTCTCCAGTGTTTACCCATGTAATTTGGCACGGAGCCAGTACTCTATCCACCTCTGTTGAGTAACTGAAGAAACTTAATGTATTGGTGGTTCTTACCCAGTTTTGGATCATGAACACTTGAATAATGGATGAAATCTATGGAACACTTTCAGTGGATTTGTAACCACCATCCAGGCTCAGTTATGGATTCTGGGTTAAAAACCCTTAGGCTGGTTGATTTACCAATCATCTACCAGCCCTAATATTCTAAGATGCTATGAAATCATTAGTCTCCAAACTTTCCAGAACACAGATTTCAGTATCCCTTGGTGCAAGAGATAAAGCGGAGTTCAACATGACCACAGAGATATCACGTGACTGTACATGAGTGATGCCCCCAAATAATAAAAGGCATTTGGAGAAGAAAAGCCTCCTAAAGTCATGAAGGTTTTTGCATTGGAAGGGCCTTACACTTCCTCCATTAAGAATTATCAAAGCAAGAATTCTCTTTTGCCATTCTCCACAACACTTACCCTCTGCTTGACATAGTGAGAAAAAGGAACTCACATTTTTTAAACAAAAGTTGAAAATGGTTGGCCCATAGCTTGTATTCAGCCGAAGAGCACCTTTTCCCCACTTCTTTAATGGTGTTTTAAAATTCAAAGAATTTCACATTTAAATATCTAGATTTCTCGGTTTATTTCATAAAACAGAGAATGAAAACGCTGAATCACCTTTCCCATATCAAACTGTCTAGAACTGAGGAGATTTCCTTACACAGGGCTCTTGAGTTTGTCATAGTCTAGACCACTCCCTAACTTTAGATACCTGGTCTGTTCAGTCATGTACATTACCTTTCTATACCCTGTGGCTGTAGTGTGCTGCATGTGAGTGAGGTGGGAAGCCTTGGTTTGTAGCATTTGCTAATTTCCATGATGTAAATTCTCCCACTATGGTCAATTTCAGTCTACCAACCTGATGTCAGTCAGTTTGCTAGATTTCTTAAAATTTAACAGTCCTCTCTCATGAAGAAGTACAAGCTGGTTTCAGCATACTATTATTATTTGTGATCTTAAAATATTAGAAAATCAATTTCATTTAAGTTGAACCAAAACTTCACTTCCTGTACTTCTCACATATATTCCTAGATCAACCCTCTTTATCAATTCAGAAAACTCTTTGGGTTTGTTTCATAGCCTTGCAATTATTAATAAAATAATTTTTGTTGTGGGTATGTAAGGTATACAACATAATGTTATGAGACACATATATAGTAAAATTGTTACTATAGTGAAACAAACATATCCATTATCTCACGTAATTTTTGCCATTTTTCTTACCTGTGGCAAGAACAGCTATAATCTATTCATTTAACAAAAATCCTGAATACAATACACTATTATTAGCTATAGTCCTCATGTTGAACATTTGGTCTTCAAATTTGTTCACCTGCATATCTGCTACTTTGTAGCTTTTGACCTGCATCTCCCAATTTCTCCCCACCACTCAGCCCTTGGTAACCACTGTTTTATTTTTTATCTTTGTATCTTTGACTCTTTTTTTTTTTAGATTCCACATAAAAGTGAGATTCTGTAATATTTTTCTTACTGTGTCCAGCTTATTTCACTTAGCATAATGTCCTCCAGCTTCATCCATTTTGTGGTAACTGCAGGGTCTGCTTTATTAAGGCTGAATGATACTCCATTGTATATATACACACCACAGCTTCTTTATTCATTCATCTGTCGACAGACACTTTAGTTGTTTCTATATCTTGGCTATTGTGAATAATGCTACAATGAACTTGGGAGTGCAGATTTTTTTTTCAAGGTGGTGATTTTATTCCCTTTGGGTATATACCCTTAAGCAGAGTAGCTGGATCGTATGGTAATTCTATTTTTAATTTGTTTAGGAACCCACATATAGTTTTCCATAATGACTGCACCAATATATACTCCCACTAACAGTGTACAAGAGTTCTCTTTTCTCCACACACTTACTAACACTTACCTCTTGTCTTTTTGATAATGGCTATCCTAATGGGTACGAAGTGATATCTTATAGTGGTTTTCTTTTTTTTATTTTGTTGAGATGGAGTTTCACTCTTGTTGCCCAGGCTGGAGTGCAATGGCACGATTTCGGATCACTGCAACCTCCGCTTCCTGGGTTCAAGCGATTCTCCTGCCTCAACCTCCCCAGTAGCTGGGATTACAGGCACCTACCACAATGCCTGGCTAATTTTTGTGTATTTAGTAGAGACAGGGTTTCACCATGTTGGCCAGGCTGGTCTTGAACTCCTAACCTCAAGTGATCAGCCCGCCTCAGCCTCCCAAAGTGCTGGGATTACAGGCGTGAGCCACCAGGCCCAGCCTCTTATACTGGTTTTGATTTGCATTTCCCTTATAATGGTGTTGAGCATCCTTTTATATACCTGTTGGCCATCTTTACATCTTTCTTAGAGAAATGTCTATTCAGGTCCTTTGTCCATTTTTAAAATTATGTTATATGTTTTCTTGCTATTGAGTTGTATGAGTTCTTTATAAATTTTGAATATCCACCTCTTATTCAATAGATGCTTTACACCTTTTTTCCCCAATCTGTAGGTTGTCTTTTCATTCTGTTGTTTCCTTTCATGCGCAGAAACATTTTAGTTTCATGTTGGACCTTTTTTTTTTTTTTTTGCTTTTAAAGGAGAAAGTACCAGAGAGTACTATCAAAGTTTCAAAATGTGTCTTTTTCTCACCTAGTTTCAGAAATTAATTAAGGCGGATGATAGAGTTTGGATCTGTGTCCCTGCCCAAATCTCATGTTAAACTGTAATCTCCATTGTTGTAATCTCCAGAGCCTGGTGGTAGATGCTTGGATGATGGGTGCAGTTTCTCATGAATGGTTTAGCACCATCCCCTCGGTGCTGTTCTCCTGATAAGAGTTTTCACAAGATCTGGTTGTTTAAAAGCGTTCAGCAAGTCTCCCCTCTCTCTCTTGCTCCTGTTCCAACAATATGAGGTGTTCACTCCCCCTTCATCTTCCGCCGTGATCGTAGGTTTCCTGAAGCCACCCCAGAAGCAGAAGCCACTATGCTTCCTGTACAGCCTACAGAATCATGACCCAATTAAACCTTTTTTCTTTATCCATTACGCAGTCTTGGGTCTTTCTTTATAGCAGTGCGAGAACAAGCTAACACAGTGGATCATCAAAAACTGGTATCATATTACAAAAAGATGCAGAACAAAAACCCAACATGATAAGAGTAGCAATATTGGAATTGTGTGATTACACAATTTCTATTTTATTCTGTGTGCTCTTCAGAATTTTCCAATCTTTCTACAATAGATACACATTGCTTATGGAAATGTCTCCCTATCATACTATAAGGCAAAATTTAATGATATCAATTCCAGTACATGTTTAGTATAGAGGTAAATAACTTTCACTTTGTCATATAGAAAACAAAATGATCTTCAGATCTCTGTCATTTACATAGTTAGGATGGCACATTGGTGGATGATCTGGTATAATCTTATTAGCCAAATGTTCCTATGAAATAAGAAATGTAAATAATTAGAAATGAAGCTAGATGCATGAGAAGAGTATCCTGTATAGGGGCAGAAAGTATTAACGGGGTAGAATTGGGGTAGAGGAGGGTGGTCAGTTGCATTTTGAAGAGCCAATTTCTGTTTACCATATGTTTTTCCTGATAAGTAAATAAACGGTACAGAAAGTTCCTTATACACTCCATTTTGCCAGGACTTTCCTAGTAGCAGTACATCAACTTTCGTCACATTGGCAAGAACCACACCCAGGAAATTTCAGAGTTCTTTGACCTTGAGCTCGTATATTTCATAAGTGTCTAAAGCTCTTTTGCAAGTCAAGCATCTCTAGTCGCTGGAATCTTGCACACACGCACACGATATTTTCTAATCCTCTCCTAGAACTTTCTTTGAAATAATAACGTCCAAATAGGTTTCTAAATAGGAGAAATTTGTGTGTGTGTGTGTCTGTGTGTGTGTGGGTGTCAGATAATGCCATGGCATTGATGTCTGAATTACATAGAGCTTAATAAATATATTAAGTCAATTAACTTAACAAATTCCATGAATAGACCATTTTTTAAAAATATCCCCAAGAGAAGACATTTTTACTCACAATGAATATCCAGAAGACTGACTGATAGCAAAATAATTTTCATTATAAACGGAATAAATATATTTTATAGCTAAAAACAGTCAGGAGAATAGAATAAGTACACCTGATTACAATATTAAAGATAGGCTCAGTTGAAATAAAAATGTACTATATATAGTAGTGATATAAAAGAAGCAAAACATGATTTTTATAACTTTTTCTTTTGAAAAATGCTTGTGTAATTACTACAATGGGCTTAAATACACAAACTAAGCTGACATCATTGAGTTCATTAATGACTCTCAAAAATACTCAAACTCATTAGTCATATTTGGAGGATTTTTAGAAGCCAATTTACTCTTCTGAAAACTAATCAATAAAGGGGGAGAATTACTTCTGAGCCATCTGTACATTAAGATAGCCAAATAATCATGAAGAGAAAGTCCCTCTTTACAGATAAATTCCAAGGAATAAATGCATAAGGAATTATAGAATTAAAATATCACTATTTGGCAGCCCAGAATAAAATAACCGATCTAGGTGAAAACCCTTATAATCTGCAAAAACGGTTAGATGAAACACTGTGAGAAGCCTCTAATAGATGAATCAAATTTGCAATGCCTGAATGCCTGTTTAATATTAACATCACAAAGAGAGAAAGATACTAACTAGACATGGCAAGCTCCCCAGGTGATACAAAATGAATTTATAACTAGCTCTGAAGTATCGCTGCCTAAAAATGAAACCTGAGCTTATCTGAGTCTTTAGATCAAACCACAAGTTTATGGGAAATTAAAGGGCAGAAGAACATGGCAAATGACACCACAAGTCTGTGAAAAACAAAATCCAGAGTGTGGGATTTGATTCAACATAATACGGATGGAAGTAGTGAGTATATAGGAAACAAGATGAGCCATGTGTTGAATGATGTTGAAAGTGGATAATAGATGCATGAGGGTGTGGTACAATATTATCTCTATTCTTTTATGTGTATCAACTAGCTATTAGGGTAGTGCTTCATAACAAACACTCACAAAGCTTCAGTGGCATGCCACAATGAATATTTATTACTCACACCTCTGTGGTTGACTGTTAGTGGCTTCGGTGGTGCTACTGATCTTGGCTGGGCTCATTCTCATGTCTGGGGTTAGCTGGCTGTCAGCTGACTGACGATGTCCATGGTTGGAAGACTGAAGCATCTCAGCTTTGCTTCACAAACCTCTCATTCTTCAACGGCCCAGACAGGCACATGTTTACTTCTGTGACAGGTGCAAGAAGACAAGTGAAATACAGAAAGCCTCTGCAGGCCTTGGCTTCAAAGTAGCTTCATTCTATTGACCTCAACAAGTCACATGGCAGAAGGTTAGAGTGCAACAAAGTTCTGTGGCCAAAGGTATGGATGCAGGTGAGAAATTTAGGCCAATATATGTTTGAAATTTTTCATGATTAAAACTCATGGATGAAATTGGAAATCATCATTCTCAGTAAACTATCACAGGGACAAAAAACCAAACACCGCATGTTCTCACTCATAGGTGGGAATTGAACAATGAGAACCACATGGACACAGGAAGGGGAACATCACACTCTGGGGACTGTTGTGGGGTTGGGGGAGGGGGGAGGGATAGCATTAGGAGATATACCTAATGCCAAATGACGAGTTAATGGGTGCAGCACACCTGCATGGCACATGTATACATATGTAACTAACCTGCACATTGTGCACATGTACCCTAAAACTTAAAGTATAATAATAATAAAATAAAAAATAAAAAAATTTAAAAAACCTAAAAAAAGAATAAAATAAAAGTTTACATAAATAGCTATGTACAATGTAGGCAATACCAACAACTGAATAGATATAACAATATTTTGATACTAAAACAGTTTACCTAAAGACTGTGATGCATTCAATTTTTGCTATTTTTTTCATAAATAATTGATGGGATAATAATACCTTCTTCAAGAAAGCTTTATAAATATTAAACGAGGCTTTGTTTGTAAAGTGCTTTGCATAGTGCTTGATACCTAAATACCCAATAAATAAAAATAAAAACAACAACAATAATAATTGCTGCTACTCTTACTGTTACTATTAGCCAAAGTTCTGTGCTCTGAAGAGATCATAGTCACAATATGATAACACCTCTAACTTTACCTTTAGATTAAATGAATTATTTGATTATATATGCCAAATCTTATTTCCAAACAATGCAAGTAAACTAATTGTGAACATACTGAAAGATATAGCTGTCAGAATATTTTTGTAGCTTTGTTTACAGAAGCAAAATACAAATGAATAAACAGAAAACTTGGGTATAATCTATATTTCCAAAAACAACAGAATGCTTAAATAAGTTTTGGTATATACTGACAAGAATGCCATGCATTTATGGATAATAAAGTTAGGGAAGAATATTTGATGTTGTATACTACAACTTTACTTTGTAATATAACTTTATTTTGTATGAATGCTTGGATTCATGGAGATACACATAAATGTTAACAATAATTTTCCTTTAGTGACAAGATTATCCTTTTTCATAGAATTTATTTTTAGAGCAGTTTTAGGTTCACAGCAATATTGAGCAGAAGGTACAGAGCTTTCCTATATACTCTGTGCCCCATACATGCATTATCAACATCACATATAAGAGTAGTACATTTGTGGCCAGGTGCGGTGGCTCACGCCTGTAATCTCAGCACTTTGGGAGGCCGAGGTGGGCGGATCACGAGGTCAGGAGATCGAGACCATCCTGGCTAACATGGTGAAACCCCGTCTTAACTAAAAAAACAAAAAAAATTACAAAAAATTAGCTGGGCTTGGTGACGGGCGCCTGTAGTCCCAGCTACTTGGGAGGCTGAGGCAGGAGAATGGTGTGAACCCAGGAGGCGGAGCTTGCAGTGAGCAGAGATGCGCCACTGCACTCCAGGCTGGGCAACAGAGCGAGACTCCGTCTCAAAAAAAAAAAAAAAACAAAACAGTAGTACCTGTGTTACAATTGCTGAACCTACCTTCATGCATTATTACCACCCAAAGTGCATAGTTTACATTAAGGTGCACTCTTGGTGTTTTAAATTATATGAATTTGGGCAAATGCATAATGACATGTATCTATCATTATAGTATCGAATAGCATAGTTTCATTGCCCTACAAATGCTCTCTGCTTTGTCTATTTATCCGTCCCTCCACACTAGCACCTGGCAACCACTGATGTTTTTACTGTCTCTATAGTTTTGCCTTGGATTATTCTTTCTACTTTGTTTACAATACATTTTTGAACCAAGAGTAGCTTCATGAAACCTAAGTGTCTGATACACTGTTTCAGGAGATAGGCGATAGAATCTAAGAATCACTGATGTAGACAAAGCCAATAGCTATATCTACAAGTGCATAATTGATTTGCTTAAATTATTATTCCTAAAAATGATAACAAATTGCTCAGTTGATAAATGCTTGTGCTAACTTGTTAGAAGCTCCACGCAGCTAAAATAGTCAAATCACTTGCCTGTAGCCGTAGCATCACACAATGAGTTATGTTAAAATGATTAAAACCTTGACTTCCTCCAAAAACATGTTCCCCTTAAGGCAAGATGGGATATGGACTTTGACTAGAACTAGAAGCATATAGGCAAAGGAGTATCCATGGTGGAAAAGCATTTTCTAGCATTAAGTTCAACCAGGGAGGCAAAAAGGGCAGACTTTAAAAATGGATCCAGGCCAGGAGCTGTGGCTCATGCCTGTAATTCCAGCACTTTGGGAGGCAAGGCAGGCAGATTCACTGAAACCCATGAGTTTGAGACCAGACTGGGCAACAGAGTGAGACCATCTCTTAAAAAAATTATGAAAATTAGTCAGGTGAGGTGGTAAATGCCTGTAATCCCAGCTACTCAGGATGCTGAGGTGGCTGTATTTATTGAGCCCGGGAAGTCAAGTCTGCAGTGAGTCGTGATCGTGCCACTGCACTTCAGCTTGGGTGATAGAGCAAGACCCTGTCTCAAACCAAACCAAACCGAACAAAACAAAACAAAACATACACACACACACACACACAAAAATGGATCCAGAGTGTATTATTGGTCTTCCAAAGGTATTAAAACTTTTAAGCAATGATTTTTATTTGACTCTTGTGAAAGCAATGAAAATGTCCATTCTTATTTTAGTTTATTGGGTTGGCCATAATTTGGGATAAATATTCCAGAGCCTTCTTGGGTTTATTGGTAGAGTGCTTCCTTCTCAGCACCTACATAACTGTAACATTGTGAGAAATCTGAGGGAAAGTAACAACCTACCATTTGGAATAGGCACCTTGAGTTGGTTTTAGTCGTTTGAGAAATAGGTCTTCATTTGACTCTCCTCAAGACCACTAGGATGGCATAATATAATAATGAGAAATACTATATTTCATATGACTTAGACAAGTGATATCTGCATATCAAGCCCACTATTAGTGCAATACCTCGATTTATAGCATTTGTGTAAATAATGAACTGCACAGTAACTATAGTTCAATGTAGACAGGTGACTACCTTTCAGGCATGGAACGTCATTTTGATAATGTAGATTGACAAAAAAATGTTAAAATAGAACTCATTTTTAAAATTTGCATATATTATAATAAAAGGAAAAAGAGTGTTCACTTTGCCTATAAGAAAGAGAAAAGTAAGAAAAAAATGAATAATTCAAGGCAAATTTACCAATTATTCTTATTACAAAGCCATTGACATATTGTATGACTAGTTCTTCATTTATCACCTATTTTGTATATTTCCAGCCAGAAGAAAATTGTGGGAAGATCAATTCACAGTTTATAAATGAAATCATTGAATATTAACTTTGATTTTGTCTCTGATACTTTCTAACTTGAATAAGTAGATGAGCCATTCTGAACATTAGTTTTCCCACTGGCAAGAAAAAGACATTTTGTATACGCAATATATTTTTTAGCCAATCATAGGAAGGTTGTTACAGTTATACACACAAACACAAAGTACTTCTGATATTGGTGCTATTAGGTATTTTTTTTCTAGGTTAATGAAGAACATTTAAAATACAACTTGTGATATTAAATTTTCCAGACTGGTAGGAATTCTGGCACTGAGATTTACCTAAGTTTCTCTCCATTATATTCACTCATTTATTCATATTGGCATTAATATGGTGGGCACCTACCATACCTTCAGTTTTATTCTTGGCAGTGAAGATCAAAGGTGATTGAACAGGATGAAGTCACTGCTCAGTGGAATGTATATTCTAATAGGTGAGACAGGCAGTAAATAAACAACTGAGTTAACTTCAGGTAGTTGTAGGTACTGTGAAGAAAATCAGAGTAACAGGAGAGTGTTTGGAGAACCTTGAATAGAAAGTGATCTGAGAAGATATCTCTGTAGAAGAGGCACTGTAAAAAAATCATAAGAAGATACCAGCCACACAAGAATCTGCAGAAGAGCTTTTCAGGCAGAGGCAAGGAGCCAGTGCTAAGATCCTGAGGCCAGAAGTAGCCTTATAGAGTAGCAGAAAGTAGGCCACCATGGCTGAAGCTTAGTTGGCTAGGAGAGCTGGGGGAGGTGTGGAGTAGGAAGGCTGGAAACTGGGTTTCTAAGCACAACCAAAGGCAATTGAAAGGTTACAAGCAACAATGATCAAATATTGAGTGAGTCCTACAAAACAATTGTGCAGTGAAAAATTTTCCATTTATTTCAGAAAAAAATATTTAAAAAAATTTTTCCCATCATTTGGTAATATCAAGCTGCTAGGATAGTATTTATGAACTAATTTATTT
The DNA here is from genome assembly GCF_000001405.40 of Homo sapiens. NCBI lineage: Eukaryota > Metazoa > Chordata > Mammalia > Primates > Hominidae > Homo > Homo sapiens. The sequence goes on along the minus strand of NC_000002.12, from coordinate 221,732,148 downwards.
TAAAAAAAACACATTCAAATGGTCCTGGTATATTCCAGAAAATTCCCATCTCTTAAAGGTCTCTCTGAATTCCAGAAAATCATGCTTGCATTTGTTAAAATGTGCTTTATGATCTCAAAATGCTGGGTTAAAGAATTTCCTTAAATGAGATGCCATAAATTAGACTGCCTGAATGCTGCAGATTACACCATAATTTGTTTTCTGCCAAATAGATAATGCATTCAGCACATTACATTTATTAGAGCTGCTAAACATCTACCCTTTGCTCTCTAATTAGGCTTTTCTTGTTACTGTGTGTTCCAAAAAATATGACTGCTCCATTCCTTAAGGCTGATGAGCAGGATTAGAGTTAATTCAAACAAGAGTAGGTTTAACCTTTGTTCAGTTGTGTTTATCCAGATTACTCAGCATCAAGGGCCTGCTGCTGAATGGTAGAGTCCCGTCAAGATAGGCCTGGCTACCTTCGTGTCGCATGCCTGCCATTCACTTAATTCTGCCCTATTTGTCATGGTAGCTGAAGGATGTCTCAATCAGCAACATCTGGAAAGTTACTTGAGAAACTTCTTGTTGATCAGTTACTCATTGTGAGACACACACAGGTTTGGTTAAGCAGAGACTGGCTTAATTATTGGTGAGGGTTTCTGCTTTTCAGGACATGACTAAAATTTCACTCTGTCTATGCCATTTTTAACTCAGAACAACAAGCTGCCAGGAATACAATTGTTGGGCTCTATTTACAGTTCTTTCTTTGTGTCATACAAGTTCATCAAATGTGCTTCAAGGGAGTTTGGATTGGGAAGGACACATGGGGAGATTTTGGAAATCAGTTATTTTCAATTTCTTAACCTGAGAGGGAGTTATATTGTATTTGCTTTATAATTAATCATTGGAACCTACATATATGTTTTATATACTTCAGGTGTATATGTTTATTCCATGTTTTAAAAAAGTGTGGTTCACGTATGTGTGTAAATGTATAATACCTTTCTTTTAAGACAAAGAGGATGTAACAAAGATGTTACCTTTTCCTTCTGACTTATCAAGTCTCATTTGTTCTAAATCTGCTGGTCACTTCATTCCCCAATGATCCCATCATCTCAGGTATTAAAGGTCTGTCCACATACTTTTTCTTTCCCCGTTAATTCTATTACTTTTTCTTTCCCCATTAATTCTATTTATTCTTCTTCTGCTTGCTATTATTTTCTGAGGGTTCTTTTTTTTCCCAATTACAGATTATAAATTATAAAGCAGAGATCATATCCCTTCTGCTTTTCATCTTTGCTGAACACATTCTAGATATTCAAGAAATACTTCTTGATTAAACCTAGCAGATTTTTAATTTTTTTTAATTTTTTTTTGTTTCAATATCTTTAGAGGTATACGTGGTGTTTGGTTACATGGATGAATTGAATAGTGGTATAGTGAAGTCTGATATTTCAGTGCACCTGTTACCCGAGTGGTGTACATTGTACCCAGTAGGTAGGTTTGTACCCCTCACTCCCTTCCCATCCCCCACAGTTGGGTCTCCAAAGTTCATTATATCATTCTGTATGCCTTTGTGTACCCATAGCTTAGCTCCCACTTATAAGTAAGAACATACAGTATTTGGTTTTCCATTCCTGAGTTACTTCACTTAGAATAATGGCCTCCAGCTCTATCCAAGTTGCTAAAAACACATTATTATTATTATTATTATTATTATTATTGTTGTTATTATTTTGAGACAGGGTTTCGCTATTGTTACCCAGGTTGGAGTGCAATGGTGCTATCTCGGCTCACTGCAAACTCCACCTTCTGGGTTCAAGTGATTCTCCTGCCACAGCCTCCCAAGTAGCTGGGATTATAGGTGCCTGCCACCACGCCTGGCTAACTTTTTATATTTTTAGTAGAGATGAGGTCTCACCATGTTGAGCAGGCTGGTCTCGAACCCCTGACCTCAGGTGATCCACCCGCCTCTGCCTGCCTAAGTCCTGGGATTACAGGCATGAGCCACCACGCCCTGCCAAAATACATTATTTCATTCTTTGTTGTGGCTGTGTGGTATTCTTTAGTGTATATACACCAAATTTTCTTTATCCACTCATTGGTTGATGGGCACTTAGGTTGATTCCATATCTTTGCAATTGTGAATTGTGCTGTAGTAAGCATAGGTGTGTAGGTGTCTTTTTGATATAATACCTTTTTTTCCTTTGGGTAGATATCCAGTAGTGGAATTGTTAGATTGAATGGCAGAACTAGTTCTTTAACAAATCTCCATACTGTTTTCCATAGAGGTTGCACTAATTTACATTCCCACCAGCAGTGTATAAACATTCCCTTCTCACCACATCTATGCCAGCATCTATTGTTTCTTTTTAATAGCAGCTATTTTTGCAAGAGTAAGTTGGTATCTCATTGTGGTTTTAATTTGCATTTCCCTGATGATTAGTGATGTTGAGTGTTTTTTAAAATATATTTGTTGTTCATTTGTATATTTTCTTTTGAAAAATGTCTATTCCTGTCATTTGCCCATTTTTTTATAGGATCATTTGTTTTCTCTTATTGATTTGTTTGAGTTTCTTGTAGATTCTGGCTATTAGTCTTTTGTCAGATTCATAGTTTGCAAATATTTTTTCTCATTCTGTGGGTTGTCTGTTTACTCTGATGATTAATTCTTGTGCTTTTTAAATAATTAGACCCTATTTATTTATTTTTATTATAGTTGCATTTGCTTTTGGGATTTTAGTCATAAATTCTTTGCCTAAGACAATGTCAAGAAGCAGTTTTCCTAGGTTATCTTCTAGAATTGTTATGGTTTCAGGTTTTAGATTTAAGTCTTTGATCCATTTTGAGATGATTTTTGTATAAGGTGAGAGATAGGCATCCAATATCATTCTTCTGCATGTGGTTATCTACTTTTCCCAGCACCATTTATTAAATAAGGTATACTTTCCCCAATTTATATTTTGTATGCTTTGTCAAAGATTAGTTGGTTGTAAGTATTTGGCTTTATTTATAGGGTCTCTATTCTGTTCCATTAGTCTATATGTCTACTTTTATATCAGTACCATGCTGTTTTGGTAACTGTAGCCTTGTAGTATAATTTGAAGTCCAGTAATGTGATGCCTACAGTTTTGTTTTGTTTGCTTAGGATTGCTTTGCTATACAGGATCTTTTTTGGTTCCATATGAATCTTAAAATTTGTTTTCGTAATTCTGTGAAAAACGATGCTGGCATTTTGATGGGAATTACACTGTCTCTATAGATTGCTTTGAGCATTATAGTCATTTTCACAATATTGATTCTTTGAATTCGTGAGCATGGGATGTATTTCCATTTGTTTGTGTCATTTGTGATTTCCTTCAGCAGTGTTTTGTAGTTCTACTTACAGAGATCTTTCCCCTCCTTGGTTAAGTATATTCCTAGGTATTTTAATTTTTTGCAGTTATTGTAAATGAGATTAAGTCCTCAGTTTGATTCTCAGCTTGATCATTGTTGGTGTATAGCATTGCTACTAATTTGTGTATATTGATTTTAAAACCTGAGACTTTGTGGATTTTGTTTATCAATTCTAGGAGTGTTTTGGAGGCGTCTTTAGGGTTTTCTAGGTATATGATCATATCATTGGAAAACTTCCTCTTTTCCACTTTAAATGTCATTTATTTCCTTCTCTCTTGCCTGATTGTTTTGGCTAGGACTTCTGACACTACGTTGAATAGAAATGGAGAAAGTGGGCATCCTTGTCTTGTTCCAGTTCTCAGGGGGAATGCTTTCAACTTTTCCCCATTCAGTATTATGCTGATTGTGGGTTTGTCATACATAAACCTAGCAGATTTTTAATTTCTCTGTTTCCTTTTCTCAGTGTCAGGACACAATGCTAATAAATATATTAGATATATTTATTCTGATTTTGTTGTTAAGAAAAAGTAGCAGTATTGAGTAGCGGTCAAGAACATGGATTTAGAATTTAATAGGTTTGGACTCCAATTCCTATTCCAACACTCTATAATTGTACATTCTTGGGAGAATGAAGATGTAGTTTCTTTTCTTAAAATGAAAGAAGAAACAGTACCTACCTCATGTTTTTAAAAGGATGGAGTAAAGGTACTGCACATAGAGCATTTAGAAAGCTGTCTTACATTTCTTGCATATTGTAAGCACTCGACAATGTAAGCTATTATTATGCTTTTTATTATTACTACAACCTGAATAACTAAACACATTTTAGCACTAACCTATAGTCAATAGCTTGTCTCAACTACATAAACTTTACTCTAAAAATTGGAAGAACACCAATGTTGTTTAAAGTTTTAATATGTCAAATTTTTGGCATATACTGGAAAAATAGAGTCAAATGCATAACTATATATTTATCCATTTAAATTGACTTTTTAAAAACTGACAGACACCATTAAAATATACTATATTCACAGATGATTACTTATCATGTGAAATGGCAGAATTCAGTATCATGTGGTCTGAATGGACCTCATCCAAGAGGACTTAGTTACAAATCCACCAGAAGGATCTCATTATAATGCAGCTTCACCTATAACTAAATCTGTGTCACTGATTCCAAGGGCAGTGAAACATCAAGACTTCTGGGCAGTGATTTGTGTTGGCATCTTTTTCTCTTCATACACCATATGAGATTAATTATACCCATCTATTTGCATTATGTATACTGTTTTACCTCTTAAACATTGCAAGATAGAGCACTTTCAGTAATAAAAGCTACCACTTACTGAATTGGAAATGGAGGTGATGTAACTCAGCCAAGCCATAAGAATTTTACTCCAGGAAAGTAAAATTCAGTGGTCTGTACTATCTGCCAGCATCCACCATGTGAACCATCTACCACTCTAACATTCCAGCAAGAACATTGGGGCTTTCATCTCAATGCTTGATCCCTTTCCAGATACTAAACTCTGGCCATTCAGCATTTTTATGCTTCTGACCATTAACATATGCTTTCAACTAACCTCTCAATATCCTACTTATTCTGTCGCTGTTATCTAGCCTTGTCTCTTCTTGTATTCCCAACCAGTCTAGGTCTTCACTTTCTCTAATTAGCCTTATCCATGGGACATGGAGGACCTCTGTATTGTGCAAGCCAGTTTGGGTCTAAGTTGTAATCCTTGTTGGGATTCTGATGTGTCCGAGAATTCCTGGGAGACACATGGGGAACTCATCCTTATTGAAGTTTGTTTATACATACATATATATATATATGAACTCATCCTAAGAATGTGAAAAAGAACTCATCCTGAAGATTAAGAAAGTCAGCACTTAGTCATCTGCAGTCATCATAGGGAAGAATAATTCTAAGTATAAGCACATCATATTCCTTCATTCAGAAGCTGGAGTGACCTTGGGTCGTACTCCATCAAATAACCTTGAAAGCACCCTTGATGATCTGTCCTCAACTGATAATCCCTCCTATTATTTTATTGCAGTCTATCACTCTCATTAGTTCTAATTATATTTACTTTATATATTAGTACCTTGTTGTTTGGTGTTGGATGCATATATGTTTACAATTGCTAATCTTCTTTCTGAATTTACCTCTAATCATCATATAGTGATTTTCTTTGTCTCTTCTTACATTTTTGACTTAAACTCTATTTTATCTGACATAAGTATAACTACTCTTGTTCTCTTTTGGTTTCCATTTGCATGGAATATCATTTTCCCTTCCTTCATTTTCAGTCTATGTGTGTCTTTACAGGTGAATTGAGTTTCTTGTAGGAAGCATATACTTAGGTCTTTTTTTTTATAATCTTTTCAGCCCCTCTCTATCTTTTAATTGGAAAATGTAAGCAAGTTATATTTAAGGTTATTTTTGGTAGGTAAGGACTTACTCCTCCCATTTCGTTGTTTTCTGGGTTTTATTTATATATATATAATATATAATTTTATTTTTATATATATTATTTTATTTTTATATATATTATTATTATATAATATTATTTTATTATAAAATTTATTATATAATAAATAAATATTTATTATAATTAATAAATGTATAAATTATATTTATTATAATTAATAAATGTATAAATTATATTTATTATTATAAAATTATTGTAAAATAAATTATATTTATTTATTACAAATATATAAATTATAAATTTATATATTTATATATAAGTATATATAAATATATTTATTACTATTTTATATAATAATTTATTAATAAATTAATTATATTAATTAATTTAATAAATTAAATTAATCAATAATTTAAATAATTAGATTAATTTAATTATTAATTATTAATAAATATATATTAATATATAATATATAATATTAAAATAATGCATTCTTTTAAATTTATTTAAAACAATTAAATTAATTTAATTATTTAATTAATTAAATATTTAATTATAATTAAAAATTAATTATATTATATTAATAAATTAATTATATTAATTATATTAATTTATTTATATATTTATTTATATATAAATAAATTATATTTTTATAAAATTATTATTAAAATAAATAATTATATTTATTATTAAATAATAAATATATAAATAAATTATAAATAAATAAATTATTATTACATAATTTTATTATATAAAAATAATATATAATTTTATTATATAAAAATGATATATAATTATATATTATTTTATTTTTATATATTATTTTATAATATATTAATATATATTTTATATATATTTTATATATATATATAAAACCCTTTACCTTTCTTCCTCTCTTATTGTTTACCTTTGTGTATTGTCAGTTTTCTGCAGTGATAAGTTTTTATTCCTTTCTCTTTCTCATGTGTGTATCTGCTACAATTTTTTTCCATGTGATTATTATGGAGCTTACATTAAAAAGAAAACTTAAGCTGTTTTAAGCTAATAACAATCTAACTTTGATCACATATATGTGATCAAAAATTTTTGCCCTCCCCCTCAGTTTATAATTTTATTACCTTAATGTACATCTTTTTATATTGTGTGTCCCTTAGAAACTTGTTATAGTTATCTTTGACCATTTTGACTTACAGTCTTCATACTAGAGATTTGAAAGGTTATATGCCACCATTGCAGTAATGGAGTATTTGAAATTTGATAGTAATTTACCTCTACCAGTGAGAATTATACTTTCATATGTTTTCATGGTAGTATTTGTCATCCTTTCACTTACAGGTGAAACACTCTCTTTAGCATTTTTTATAAGGTCTGTCTACTGGTGATGAATTTTTGCTTGTCTGGGAAAGACTATTTCTTCTTTATTTCTGGAGGAAATGACTCCATGTCTCATATCCAAGGTTTGCTGATGCAAGAGGTGGGTTCCCATGGTCTTGGGGAGCTCCACCTCTGTCGCTTTGTAAGGTACAGCCTCCCTCCCAACTGCTTTCACTGACTGGTGTTGAGTGTCTGTGGCTTTTCCAGGCACACAGTGCAAGCTGTTGGTGGATCTGCCATGCTGGGGTCTGGAGGATAGTGGCCATCTTCTCACAGCTCCACTAGGCAGTGCCCCAGTGGGGACTATATGTGGGGGCTTCAACCCCACATTTCCCTTCCACACTGCCCTAGCAGAGGATAAGAGCCTCGCCCCTGCAGCAAACTGCTGTCTGGACATGCAGGCACTTCCATACATTCTCTGAAATCTAGGAGAAGCTTCTCAAACTTCAATTCTTGACTTCTGTGCACCTGCAGGCTCAAAACCACATGGAAGCTGCCAAGGCTTGGGGCTTGCACCCTCTGAAGCCACAGCCTGAGGTACACCTTGGCCATTTTTAGCCATGGCTAGAGCAGCTGGGATGCAGGACACCAAGTTCCTAGGCTGCACATACCAGGGGGGCCCTGGGCCTGGCCCATGAAACCATTTTTTCCTCCTAGGCCTCCAGTCTTGTGGTGGGAGGAGCTGCTGCAAAGTTCTCTGACATGCCCTGAAGTCATTTTCCCCATTGTCTTGGCAATTAACATGTGGATCCTCATTACTTATGCAAATTTCTGCAGCCAGCTTGAATTTCTTCTCGGAAAATGGGTTTTTCTTTTCTATCACATCATCAGGCTGGAAATTTTCTGAACTTTTATGCTCTTCTTCTCTTTTAAAACTGAATGTTTTTAACAGCACCTAAGTCACCTCTTGAATGCTGTGCTGCTTAGAAATTTCTTCTGCCAGATATCCTAAATCATCTCCCTCAATTTCAAATTTCCACAAATCTCTAAGGCAGAGGCAAAATGCCACCAATCTTTTTGCTAAAACATAGCAAGAGTCACCTTACACCAGTTCCAAACAAGTTCTTCATCTCCATCTGAGACCACCTCAGCCGGGATTTTATTGTCCATATCTTTATCAGCATTTTGGTCAAAGCCATTCAACAAGTCTCTAGGAAGTTCCAACCTTTCTCACATTTTTCAGTCTTCTTCTGAGCTTTCCAAACTGTTTCAACCTCTGCCTGATACCCAGTTTCAAAGTCACTTCCAATTTTGGATATCTTTACAGCAGTGCCACACTCTACAGGTACCAATTTACTGTATTAGTCTGTTCTTATGTTACTAACAAAGATGTACCCAAGACTGGGTAATTTATAAAGAAAAGAGTTTTAATTGACTACCAGTTCCACATGGTTGGAGAGTATTCACAATCATGGCAGAAGATGAAGGAAGAGCAAAGGAACATCTTACATGGAGGCAGGCAAAAAGAAAATGAGAACCAAGTGAAATGGGTCTCCCCTTATAAAACCATCAGATCTTGTGGGACTTATTTACTACTATGAGAACAGTATGGGGAAAACCACCCCCATGATTGAATTATCTCCCACCAGTTCCCTCCCACAACACGTGGAAATTATGGAAACTACAATTCTCAATGAAATTTGGGTGGGAAAGCAGCCAAACCATATCATTATGCATCAAATGAATATACAGCAACAAAAAAGGCCATGCATAACAAACCCAGAGATAGTATTATATTGAATTGCAGGGAGGGGGAGCCCTTTCCTTTAAGAATTGGAACAAGATAGACATGCCCACTTTCACTACTTTTATTCAACACAGTACAGGCAGTTTTAGCCAGAAAAAGTTAGGCAAGAAAAAGAAATAAAAAACATCCAAATTGGAAAAGAGAAAGTCAAATTATGCCTCTTTGCAGACTACATCTATAGTCTTTTCTTTATTTAAGATCATGTAATCTTATATATAGAAAAAGTTAAATATTCCACCAAAAAAACCTTATAATTGATAACTGAATCCAATAAAGTTGCAGGATACAACATCAACAACAAAAATCAGTAACAATTTTATATATCAATAATGAACTAGCTGAAAAAGAAATCAAGATAGCAATTCCATTTATAATAGCTACAAAGAAATACCTAGGAATGAATTTAATAAAAAAGATGAAAGACCTTGATAATGAAAACTACAAAACATTAATAAAAGAAACTGAAGATTACACAAACAAATGAAAAGACATCTCATGCTCTTGAATTGGAAAAAAATAATATTTTCAATATGATCATACTACCCAAAGCAATCTACAGAGTCAATGCAGTCCCTGTCAAAACACCAATGACATTCTTCACAGAAATAGAAAATTTCTAAATCTTCTATTATTGTTCATGTGAATTTCCTAAAATTCGTATGAAACCATAAAGACCTAAAAGCAATCCTGAGTAAAAACAACAAACCTGCAGGCATTACATTACCAGATTTCAAAATATACTACAAAGCTATAGTAATCAAAACAACATGCTACTGGCATAAAAACAGACACATAGACCAATAAAACCAAATAGAAAATCAAGAAATAAAACCACATATTTATGGCTGTCAGATTTTTGACAAAAGCCCCTTTTCATTGGGAGAAGGATAGTCCCTTCAACAAGTGGTTCTAGGAAGACTAGATATCTATTTGCAGAAGAATGGAACTATGTCTCTAACTCTCACCATTTACAGAAACCAACTTAATATGGATTAAATACTTAAATGTAAGAACTAAAACTACAAAACTACTAAAAGAAAACAGGGGAAATGCTTTATGACATTGGTCTAGGAAAAGATTTTACGGCTAGGACTTCAAAAGCACAGGTAACATAAACAAAAACAGGCAAATAGGGCTATATCAAACTAAAAAGCTTCTGGACAGCAAAGGAAACAATCAACAGAGTGAAAAACAACCTGTAGAATGAGGAAAATAATTGCAAAATATTAATCTGACAAAGGATGAATATTCTGTCTATACAAAAACTCAAACATCTCAACAGCAAAATAATAATAATAATAATCCAATTATAATTGGTCAAAGGATCTGAATAGACATTTCTCAAAGGAAAGCATACAAATGGCCAATAGGTATATGAAAAAATAGTCAACATCACTAATCATCAGGGAAACGCAAATCAAAACCACAATGAAATATCATCTTATCCCAGTAGATGGCTATTGTAAAAAAGACACAAAAATAACAATTGCTCGTAAGAATGCAGAGAAACTGGAATGCTCATATACTACTGGCGGGAATGTAAAGTAGTACAACCATTATGAAAAATGTCTCTACTGGGTATTTACCCAAGGGAAATAATGAGTGTATTAAAGGGATATCTTCACTCCCATGTTTATTGCAGGGCTATTCACAATAGCCAAGATATGGAATCAACTTGTGCCCATCAATATGTGGTTAAAATATGTGGTTGTATACACAATGGCATATCATTCTGCCATAAAAGGGGATGATATATTGTTATTTGCAACATGGATGGACCTGTAGGACATTAGTATGAAATAAGTGACACACAGAAAAACAAATACCACATGATCACACTCATACATAGAATCTAAAATTATTCTCCATGTGAGTGAGATCCTGGCTGGGTGCTGTGGCTCATATCTGTAATTCTATTACTTTAGCAGGCCAAGGAGGAAGAGTTATTTGAGGCCAAGAGTTTGTGACCGGACTAGCAACATAGCAAGACCCTGTCTCTACAAAAAAACTTTTAAAATTAGCTGGGTATACTGGCATATGCCTATAGTCTCAGCTACTTGGGAGGCTGAGGTGGGAGGATTGCTTGAGCCCAGGAGTTTGAGGCTGCAGTGAGTTATGATCTCTCCACTGCACTCCAACCTGGGCAACAGGGTGAGACATCAGCTCTAAAAAAGAAAAAGTTTATCTCTTAGAAGTAGAGAGTAAGATAGTGATTATCAGAAGAGAGCAGGGAGAGGGGATGGGACAAGACTGGTCAACAGGTACAAAGTTACAGTTAGGTGAAAGGGAGGAAAAACTTTTGATCTTCTATTACACAGTTGGGTGACTATAGTTAACGGTATTATATTGCATATTTCAAAATAGCTAGAAGAGAGGATTTGGAATGTTCTCACCAGAAAGAAATGATAAATATTTGAGGTGATGGATATGCTAAATATCCTTATTTTATGATTAACCAATTAGTATGTGTCAATTAAAATAAAACTAAAAAAAAGTCACAACTCACTCAAGAGTTCACATGGGAGATATTTTTAAAAAGTTGTTTAACTGATTAATTAATTACAGTTGTAATGAGTACTGTGAAGGAGAAATTTACAGTGGTATTTGGGTATATAGCAGAAAAATTTGTGGCACATTTCTTTCTGACCCCTTGCTCCTGCCCTCTGCCTAGAATATCTTTCTCTTATTTTTATTAAAATCCTCAAGCAGCTTCTCACACGAAGGCAGATGTCCCTCCTGCATGTTGTCTTTCTTACTTAGTTCAATAAGAAGCACCCTTTCTTCACTTTGCATCCATGGACACATCAGTTGTCATTTTCCTTATTCAACATTAAATTTTAGTTGAGAAGGATTTTTAAAATTTCCCTCTATGGACCAGTCTCTGAAAGCAGGGGACAATCTCTTGCACATCTTTATAAACTTCCGCATACCTAACATAACACCTTGCAAATAAAAGTTCAACATATGTGTGTACTAAGTTAAAAATCATGTTAAAATCCAACTTAGAGGATTCTACCCTTTATGTGTCAAAAGTCCATTTCAGTAATTTTACTGTTGTTTATTGTTGAAACAATAAAATATGTCCAACAGAATATTTTAAAAATGTGAAAAAGTATAATTATTTCATATTTCTTTTAAAATGTAATACTCAATGTGTGTATAAAACTGTAACAAAGTTTTTTCTTGTTTTTTTTTTAATGTTCCATATTTTAAAAGTTGTGTATAGTAGTAAAGAATATAAACAGAGCAGTAGGACATACAAAGAAAATAGTTCGCCTTCATTCCCTATTTTCACTCACAGGATCCTATTAAATCCTCAAAAACACCTTGTAAGTGAGCATTACGGTTGTCCTAATATTGTGAATATTGTGGAGAAGAGGCCTGCATGGCTTCCAGAATGGTGATCCAAGCAAGATTGCACAAACAGTGGAAGAGCTGAACCTTACCCAAGATCTCTTACCTACCTGACCTCTTCTCTCAAGAAAAATCTCTCTTTTGTCACAGTTTCCATTTCCTTCACTAGTGTGCTAAAGCTGGTCTGACAGAAAAGGGAAATTTTTATTTATTCATTCTGTCTCTATGAACCAGACATTGTGTTAGGTGCTGGTGTTATAATGGTTAGCCAAGAGCAGATTGAGTCCTTGCTCCCATTGCTGTAACAGCCTAGCTTTGTGGTTTGAGAGGTGTGTGGAAATAAATGAAGCCTGTCCAAATGAGAACAAGCAAAGACTATCATTCAGAGCTTGCTGTCACAAAGAGAAAACCATCAAGACTTGCATTTGGTAGAGACTCACAGGCAGGCAGAAGAATGAGAAAGCATTGCAGTGGAGAAAAGGGAGGGCTTCAGGTGTGCCCTGATTGGAGGTTGTTGGCATGGGGAAGCGGTAGATGGTCTAACTAGAAGTGGGGCATCTTATGTGATTGGGTGGGAATATGGATTCAATTTTTTCCAGTTGGTCCTAAATTGGAAGCTGGGGCAAAAATTAAAGAAGCTGTCAATTATTATTTAAGTTTTGGCTGTTTGGAGCTGATTGCTACAGGGGTTATTGTTCAGTTTCCCGGGCTGGTTGATGCAGATAGTAGTTTGTTTTTTTAGATTCATTTCTGTAGATAGGTTGCCTTCCTGGGCTGTATCGCTGCTGGTTGTAGGTCAGAGTTTTATTTTTATATGTTATCTGGCCATTGTCTGCTTGTATATGCAGGTTCTCAGATACAGCTTTCAGGGTTTTCTGTTCTTCAACCAAAAATGGTCTATTTTCTTTTTTAAATTATACTTTAAGTTCTACAGTACATGTGCAAAACATGCAGATTTGTTACATATGCATACGTGTGCAGTGCCATGGGAATTGAACAAGAACACTTGAACACAGGGTGGGGAACATCACACACTGGGGCCTATCATGGAGTGGGGGGATGGGGGAGGGATAGCATTAGGAGAAATACCTAATGTAAATGATGAGTTAATGGGAGCAGCAAACAGTCTATTTTCTGTGAGTTCATTTCTAGGTTGAAGACTGGGGCTTCCAAGCACATTTTTTCACAAAGAGAAAATGAATAATAGCTATTTTTGAATGATCATCCAATGTATTCCAGACTAAGCCTGATAAATGCAGCCCCTCATTCAATATTCACAGTGATCCTGTGAGGTAGATGCTATTCGTGTTTTCATTTTACATATGAGAATGCAGAGACACACAGGCATTAAGCAACTTGCCCAAAGTCCCCTAGGTTAGAAATGGAGGAACAGGGATTTTGAGTAAATCAGTTTGACTATAAACATTTGATTTTAACCCATTTACTCTAATCTGTGCACTATAGTCTCCCTAGATGGCCCTCAGCAAATAACAGTTCCTTTTCTTACAAAGTCCAAGTATGACAGTAGCCACCCAGGCTACTGCATATAGCTGCATATATACTGCAATAGCAGGGGTGAAGAACAGAATCAGCGGCACTTTGAGAACAGAATAAGTGCTTGGGTCCTTCAGGAGGACAGACATAAAATACAAACACAAAGAGGCTTTGGTGGAGGACACCAACATTCTGAGAAACAGACATATCTGTGGTCAGCTGTTCATAGTTAAGGACAGCTTGTGACCTTTTTATCTCTGACATTTCTGTGGTCCAAAGCAGAGTGTGTATATATCAGTTTTAGGTGCCACATAGATGGCAGCAACATGGCATAGACATTCCATAACTATCTTCCTATGCCTCCATCCCCTGAAACTACCATGGTTTAGTCATGCCCTGTGTACTGCTTCTTACCATGAATGTCATACTTTTCTCATTTATGGTTATTTCTTTGCTTCCAGACGAGGGAAAGGGCCTTCTGAGCACAAGTCTTTGTGCACAGTGTGTGTTCAGTTCATTTGGCTCGTGTACCAAGAAGGGCAATGAGAAACATTGTGATTTTTCTTGCTCGAAAAACAACTCCCTGAGGTTTTAGAACTAAATTATAACTTAAATCAATAGTTTGACCTTAAAGGGTATTTTTCGTGCATTTGAGGCATGAGAAATGGAATAATAAAAAAATTCTCTATATTTATATAGTATTGTTTCCAAATGATTTGCTCTTTTTTTGTAATAAAAATCCTAACACTGTTGAGATTATATAAATCTGTTAGTTATTTTACAGTAATCCTAAACATGTCCAACAACGTTTCTTAATTATTCCATCTCCTTCCATTTGTCTTAAAGCCATGCTAATAATGAAGTCGAACTATGATTGGAGTGATGGCGGTAGGGTTTTGGTGTCCTGGGCACATCATAATCTAAACATATCAATTATAAGGAAGGACAGGACACTCTATCACTTCAGTGTAACTAGGTGAGGCACTTGGGAAGTTCCACTAGCTCTTACAAAGCACTGATATCCTGTTTGGTAAATGACTGTTCCTACATGCTAAGTGGTATGATCCTTAAAGTTCCCATTGGCACCGCATTCTGGAAATACCACTAACTGGTTGGGACATCCTGACATGGAGTGACCGAAGACTGGCCAGACAGCTGATGTTTCTCTGAACATGATGGGTCACCACTATTAATCTACACCTATGTGGTGGAATTTAGGCTGGAAGTGAAACCACTTTACAGTGAGGGTAAAGAATGCTTTTCTCGTGCACAAATTGAGTGAGTGATGTAATCTCGCTCATTGTCTGTCCTCTCTTTTCCACTCATTCCTCCTGTGACCACGAACCAACTTTTTCATGAGAATTTTCCAAGGATCAACTGACAGAGATGTGTTCATTTTGCATTCAAGGCCTCACTTGCAAACCTGGCTAATGTGTCCATCACCAGTGCAAGTACCTGAGCTTATTCTCCATGCTGGACCCTGTGCTAACCGTTAGTTCCAAAACATCCACGCCAGCTCAGGCTGCCTGCCCACCAGATACCTAATCCATTCTCATATCTGTTCAGGTCTAGGTTTCTGGTTCTGATTCCTAACTGATTCTCAATTTCTGGCTCTATATCTAGATTTAGCATTTCCCCAATAGTCTTGGCTGTCCACATTGTGCTTGAAAATACAATAGAAAACGTATCTTTCATTCTGCAACCATAGAAACCAGCCCTAGTTTTTATGACTAACTGGTTCCAGTTAGTCATTTAATAGCTGTGTCAACAGGAGCAGCTCCAGAAATGTGGGGGAGGAAAGTGCATAGAGCCTGTGGGTCAGATTGAAGTATAAAGGTCGAAGATAATATAGAATTTCTACGAAAAGCTCAGCATGGAAAATTAAGATATAATAAAAAGAGCCTGCTACTTTTTTTCTTTAACACTCCATTGACATTGTGAGGTTCTAAAACCTGTAGCTAGCAAATGTGAAAAATGGGATATAACTATTTTCAGACTAGTCTGAAGCTCCTCCAGCTTGAGAAGGGATACTTACTTCTGCAATAAACTTTTTGAAGTTTTTACAAACACCCAAGTCATGGAATTGACCCATGGAATGCCACCTTATACTGATATTTCTATCCAGTGACAAGAGAAGTTTCATGCTGATAAAAAATGGAGGAACCTATTTCTGATTGTTGACTCAGCACTTTGGTAATTTAACACTGGTTTAATATACAATTAGCACAGTTCAACTCCACATCGCTTAAACCTACTGCCTGTAGAAGCCAGTTGCCTCATTAGAATGACAAAGTAGAGACAAGGGACTCTGAACTACATTGCACAATGGAATCCCTTTTTTTCCCTCCCCCAACCCACGCCCTACTTCTCAAGAATTTAATTTTCACCTTAATAGAGGGAGCTAGCATCCAAGAAAAATTTCCAGGGAATGGGTAATACTTACTCAAAGATTACACTGGTTCTCTAAACCACAAGACAACTGTCCATTTAAAAGGTTAAGGAACTCGAAAAGATTAAGTGGGATGATGCATAGTTGTACTTCATAAAACTGTAGGTTGTATATAAAAATAAGAATGAACGCACTTGTGTGATTTTGGCATCATTGTTATGTAAATCCTGCTGGGACTCCACAGTCCCGTTCAACTCTCCTCTCTGCTAAGAAGCTTACAGTGAGTCCCAGCACTCACTCTCCAATCTCTCTTCTCCTGCCCTTAGTACCATGATTTGACATTTCACATGCATAAATTGTCACGAGGCATGGCTATTTTCTTTCCAACCCCTGAGGGAAGATATTTATATATCTCCAGAAAAATAGACACTTGATTTATTTATTGACCAAGGGATTGTAAGGAGACAAATTTGTCAAGACAAGGAATTCCTAGACAGCTACATCTGATGTGTCTACGTTCCCCCAGCCTGTCTCACTTTTGCCTTGAGACTTGTTGACACCAACATCCCAGGGTAGTTGTGAGCATCACGTTAGATAATATACGTGTAAATTCATTGTAAACTGCAAACTGACTGCAAATGATTAATGCTGTAGGATTACATTCAAAAGTTTAAAACAGAATATGTATATAAAAATATTAAAGTTAAATTAAGATTACTCATCAAATATCAGTTAGATGCGGTAGTATTTCTTCCCTCCAGATTAGAGGCTTAAGGTAGAATATGGGATACTCTTAAATTCAGATCTTCATACAAATTCAGAATTTGCCAATGGCTTTTAGTAGTCTGAGCTTTACTTATTTTCTCCTGTGAAATTAGGCAGTTGGCTACGTTGATTTCTAAATTCTCCTCTGCTTCTGCAAGTAAATAAAATGTTGTAAGATTCAGCTTTCAGTCATTTCATTTGCATAAAAGACTGCTGGTTGAAGAATAGTCTATGGGAAGTCTACCAAATTTTGTAGCTCATTTCTCTGACTTAAAATGCAGTCTTTGATTCCAAAATTCTTCTAGTATTAGATTATCTCTATTAACATACATAATTTCTAAATTATTTTTTATTGGAGCCTTTAGTAGATGTGTAGCACCAGAGAAGATATTTGGCAATTGAGCAGGAATTAATACTATATTGCAAGGAATCTCAGTGTAATATAAGGAGCTATTTCATGAGTTAATTACACAAACATTACTTGATATAGGAGTCTTGGGGAACAATAACATTTCAGACTATGATGCCCAGAAAAGGCTTTACAGAAGAATTTGATATGAGTTAGGATGTAGTAAGAGATGTAAAAGGGACATCCAGCTGAGGATGCAAAGTGTAATAGTGCAAAGGTGGGAACATACAAAGGATGTTTTTCTGACAACCAGTAAAACAACCTGATTGCAGCAGAAGGTCAGATGTGGTGGTGGGAGATAAGGCTTGAAAAATAGGTTAGCCCTAATTAGGGATGGCATTGAATGACACTGAAAGAACTTCAAAGAACTATATCCTTCAGGCAATGGGGAGCAGGTTCCAAACTTTCAAGAAAGACAGTAATGGATTGAAATTTTATATTAAAAATAAATTGCCATCATTCATCAGCATGAGTTGGAAGAATAGACAATGACAACAAGCAAAACTATTAACAGTTTATTCCCACTGTCCAGGCCTGCATTGATAAAGTCTTGAACCAGGTCGCCAGCAATAGGACTTGAAAGAAAAGAAGAAAAGCAAAACACTGGGGAGGGAGAATTGTCTGGGTAGGAGCAACAAGTGAGAGGAACAAGACAGAAATGCCAGTGAGACTTTAGTTCTGGAGAACTGAGCACATTAGTGGTGTTCTTTGAAGAGGAAGAGGAAGTACTGGAAACCAAGCATATTTTGAAGATCCTAACAGGGTCTTCAGTTTCTTTAGAAAGTGAATTTGTATGGTGGAAATAGAGTACAGGAGGGAGGTAAGTATTATCAGAAGTGCCAGGAGGTGATCCTTTCTGATTGAGAATAGATGACTTGGTAAAGGCATTATTGGGGGAGTTGAGAAGAGTCACAAAAGTCAAACCTGGTCCAAACCTTCTTTGCACTCACTAATGTGTGGACCTGGCCCAGAAACAAGAAAACTTGATTTTTGGGGTCAGACTCTCCTAGCTCTACCTTCCAGCTCTACCACTAACTGACTGTATGACCTTAGGCAAGTTACTTGACTACCCGTGCCTCAGTTTCCTCTCCTGTAAAAAATAAAGGACAATAACAGTGCTCACCACTTAGGATCAAGTAAACACATCTATATAAAGGGTTTGGGACATACTATGTTATTTTTATTAACTTTTCTAAATTTTTATTTTCTCTTGTATAGAATTAGGTTTTACTTATGGACAGACTATAAAAATTTACTTAAGGACAAACAGAATTAAATATAAAAAAATTCAAAGCTCTCCGCAAAATCACTGGTTTAATGCCAGTGTCACTTTAAATAACGAATCCAATCACTCAATAAATATTTATCATGTACCTGCTATATGCCAGATACTTTCCTAGTTATTGAGGGCGTGTCAGTGAAGGAAACAGATGTGCCACTTGAGACCAAGTGGGGCTGGACAGGCAATGAACAAATGGGTAATCTGATGCCACGTGAACAACGTAAAGCAGGTCAAGGGAAGAAAGAAGAAGGGAAGTGGACTTAGATAGGGTGGTAAGGGAATGCCTCTCTGGCAAGGTGATATTTGAGTGTAGTTTTAGCTGAATGAAATGAGGAAGGAAGCCAAGCAGTTATCTAATGGGAAGAGCTTCCAGAGAGAGACAACTACGGATGCACCATGCCTTCTCAAGTCAACATGAACTCTGTTGCCTGGAGGACCTCAGAGTGCTGTGAGGTTGGGACACTGAGTGAGAAGGGAGAGGTGTGAGGTGAGGTCTGGTTAGGGCAGTTCTGGGGAACAGTACTGCTGGAAAATGTAAAATGCAAAGTTATATGCAGTAAAATGCAAGCTATACATGTGATGTTAAATTTTCTAGTGGCTACATTAAAAGAAAAAAGAAATAAGCAGTGAGCTTAATTTAACTCAATATATTCAAAAGATCATTTCAGCACACAATCACTATAAAAATGTTACCTGACATGTATATTCTTTTTTTGGGGGGCATTGAGGTGGGGGACACTAAATCTTTGAAACTTGGTGTACATTTTCCACTTACAGCACATCTCAATTCAGACCAGCCACATTTCATGTGCTTAGTTGCCACATGTGGTCAGCGGCTTCCATCCTGGATGGTGCAAATGTAGAGTACAGAGTGTTGTAGCTCGTGGAAAGGAATTTGCATTTTATTCTAAGAGGATTTGGAAGCCATTAGAAAGTTTTGAGTTGGGAAAGGTGTATGTGTGTGGGTGGGGGGAGGATGAGGATGACATGATTTGATTTCATCTTTAAATCGTCACTCAATAGATGTTTCATCAAGTATGAATCATACTTCACACGCGTGGTTAAACAAGAAATAGCACCTTGATTTACTTCTTTAAAATCAGATTAAACCCAGTTCCAAACCTTGCTTGCTAGGTTGACATTTCTTCCTAAACATTATCATGATTCCTCTTCCTTCTTTTTTCCATTTCTAAATTTTAAATTAATTAATTGGGTGTTTGCATGGTTGTAGTGGGAGGAGGGTAGCCATGCAGTGCTAAAGCATTGGAAAAACTTCCATATATCAGTCCACCTTGCTTCCTATTACTATACCCATTTGCTGAGCTCAAATGTTCCCAGAAATCTGTGGCTTCCATGCCATCCATGGCACAGGCACATTAACAGAATGAGAGCTTAATACCTGGTGCCCAGACTGCCTGGTGCTTAAATTTAGGAGATACACTGATTTTCCTCTTTTTCTCAGCCCTGGGGACAATTTTTTTTCCTATGTATCTTTTTTTTCTCTCCTCCCTTTACTAAAGAATGCCTAATCTTATCTTTTCAATCACTCAAATTTCAAAAGAGACAAGAAGGGAGTCTTCCAGCAGCTCTTGCCCTCCCACCCCGTGTCTCGAAGTTTCTGATGCAAAGCATTTGAATGGGCTTGACTACTTGCTCAGAACAAATGCATGAGAAATAAGAGGGAATACATGCAAATTAGCACCTCAGTGAATTACCCTGCCACACTAGCTATTATTATTGTGTAGAAGACCCTTAATTGGTTATTGAATATTTCTGAAAGTCTCTAAACTGGTTAGATTCACATCAACCAGAAGTGTGATCTAGGTATGGCTCTGTAAAATGTAAAAAGCAAAGAAATGACTTCTAAATGATTTATTCACATCTAATTTTCTTCATGTCTAAGGTCTTGATTCTTAAAATGGGGTCCCTAAACCAGAATCATTGGCATCGCCTGGGATTTGGGCATGCAGAATCCAGGCACCACCGCAGTTTTAGCAAGCAGAAGCCGCATTTTGCCAGAATCCCCAGATAAGTGATATGCACATTCAAGTGTGACAAGCACAATCTAAGACACAGTGGCTCTCATTTGGAGATTATATTTGTAATCAGCAGTGTCTCCTCCTGATAAATTAATCCATCAAAGGGTAAATACCAGCTGCCTACTATGTGTAAGGTGCTGAGATTAGGGACGGTGGAGGTGCATAACAGTGTGAGGCAGTCTTTGCCTTCAAGGAGCTCATGGTCTAGTTGGAAAGATGAGATACAAACACATAAAAGTGAATAAGGATCTAACAGGGTACAGACAATAGCAGGTCAATAAGAGTTTATAATAGCTAGGTGTTTAGGGAATAGCGAGGTAAGCTTTTCAACCAAACCTGAAAGATGAGAAGGATTTATTGTTCCAAATTATATTCCTTTATTCTCCTTGAATCTAAGGTCATAGGAAGAATAACAGGGAGAAAAGGAAAGTTCCTTCTATCGAAGAAGTACAAGTCAAAGGCAGACAGCACATCTGAGAAAAGCAATACAGTGCCTGTGTCTTTATACACAAATCCAAGCAGAACATTAGACAGACTCCAGAAGGTGAGAGTTTGCTGCCAGATTTCACTTTTCCTTGCGGCATGTTTGGTGGTGCAGTGCTGAAAAGCAATAGCCAGCAACACATCCTTGCAGAAGCTGTGTGTCCTTGCAAATAGGAGACACATCTCAAACTCCAGATGACCCGCATTGTTGCCAATCAATGTGAGCAGGTTGCAGAGGTGTGAAATTGAATATAGTATTCTCCTTAAGCTAAACTCTTCTACTTACTTCAACAGAAAAATCCCCAGAGGGATCTATAGTATCTATTTCTCTAATGAGATTGTCTAGGTGTGCAAGGGATTATAAGCATTTGGTGGTCACAGTAAGGGACCTGGGTTTGGAGCCACATAGCAGACTAGAAAAAGATGCTATAGTTTGTCCTCATTTGAGCTTCTCGTCCTCTTTCAATATTAATAAAACTTAATGTAGAGCTCCTACCTTTGGTTGAACTCATAATCTTATTTTAGCATTTTAATGATTATTTTTTATGGCTTATAGGGGCCACACTGTCCATAATGCACAATTAGAGGTAAGATGCCCTTTGCAGGGTCAATGGCTCTGTACAACTCTTGTAAATATGACTGGTATATTTTACTTTTATTGTTTGATTAGCTTTAGCTATCAGGAATTTAAGATATAATTGAATCATGTCAAGTACATTATCATTGCACATGAATCTAAGAAAAGAATGTGATGAGTACACCATAGGTTTAATTCAGAGTTATTTAATTGTTTTATCCTAAAATACAGCTCCTCTCATCTCACTGGAACTCATACACTAAATTGGGACTTGTGGCTGCCAGAATTCATTTGTGTTCTTGGACTTTCACTTTGAAAACATCCAAGGGAGACCAGGAATCCTGCTGATAGCAGAGTAAGCCTCAGCTATGAAAGTCAAACTGGTGATAAATATAAAGAAAACCTTAATCAGTTTTAATGAATACAAATAGCATAATGCTTGGATCAGGGCAGTCCAGGGAAATGTTTAGTGTGGTTCTGTGAGTGGAATTCAACCATTTGTCTAAAAAAAGATATTGTTGAGGTAAGAGGACTTCTGGTTATGGCAAACAACAGTGATGGGGAGGGCATATGGAAAAATTTATTCATGCATGCATAGTAAGCCTTCTAAGGGTGGGCTCTTCTTGAAGAATACTTTTTTCTGTTCAATGCAGCATGAACACCCATTGAGCAGCTAGCATGAAAAGTAGGTAACTGTCAACTGGAAAGAATGGCAAACTAAAGTCTATACTAGAAGTTAGTCCAGACACATGAGAGAAGCTGAGGACACACTGGCTAGGCAGGTTCTTAGATCAGACTTCCTGGGCTTGGATCCTGATTTTTCCAGTTTGTTCCTATACTGAAGGAAAGACTGGCTGGATTGAACTTACTGAAAAGCTGTATGTGTGTATTCTCTGTGTCCACCTTGCAAGTTAGTTAGTGTCTCTCTATGACTCAGGTTCTTCACCTGTGATATGAGTGTAATAGCAATTCTGTAGATAAAAAGAGCAAATATATGTGTGTATAAGTAAGTAAACATGAATATATTTATCATATATAGATTATATATCTTGGAAGAATACCTGGCATATACACTGCAAATGTGTTAGTTCTTCTTCTTAAATTGTTGTAATTATAATAATTATTATTGCTGTTGAGTTGTAAATGAGCTGGTGTTACAGGAAAAGAAATCAATAACATGGCTTATGAAACAAAATTGTGTCTAAGTCTCTCACTTTCCTTAGAGTGTTAAGAATATGGAGTGATTGCTCAAGACTTCACTGGGGACTTGAATACTCTACAGTTATAGAAATGCAAAGGTTTAGCCAGCAGGAGAAGTGGTAGTGCTACAGATATGCAAAGAAGGTCCCAGAGGACTTAATGTTTAAATTGAAATCTTAAGGACAAGGAGAAGTTAGTCACACAAGGATGATGACGGAGGATGTGTGCAAAGGCCTTGAGATATGGGAAGTATTGCCCTTTTAGAGAGTGCAAGCAGTTTGATTTCACTGGAAATGGCAGTGGGATGGGTGTAAGTGTGGTGAGAGCAGAGACTTGCAAAGAACAGGGAGATGATTACGAAGGGCTCCTATGTCATGCCAAAGGCTTTGGACTTGTCACAATGAGAAGCGGTTGAAAGATTTTAAAAAGAAAAGGGAGGGAGAGGCATGATCAAATTTGTTTTTGAGCTATCATCCTGCGTTCAGATGGTAAATGGACTGAAGAAGATTAGTATTGGGGGATAAGAGTCTTTTTAGAGAACTTTCATTGTAATTCAGACAAGAGATGTTGGTACCTAAAAATAAACAGAATAGAGTCCCATCATATTACTGGCATTCAATTATACATTCTAAACAACAAAGAGAGGGGAGAGAATTGGAGAAAGAAAACAGACATAGAGAAATAACACTTTAGATAATGCCAACACTTCCTCACTGGGTGAAAGGAGTGTATGCTCCAGAGAAAGCCCAAAATGTGAGATACGAAACTCTTGTTTCTTCAATTTCTGTGCATCCCACCGTATAGATATCTCACCATGCTAAATGTCAAAACAGGGTTTAAATATGTATATATTTTCATCCAATATGGTCCCTAAATACATATTAATGTCTTCAACTAGTGCTCAGTTGAAGAAACAGCAATTTGTTCCAACCCTAGAGAGAAAACTGTTGGATTTACTGAGAAGGAGTAAGTCTGCCTGCACTGGGGCACCTTCCCGAGGCATTCCGGATAATTGTAACAATACATGACTTTCACCTAGCCTCAACGGTTTACAGCCTGATCTTGAAGTAAGGTATGACTTTCCTGCAGTGACACTGGGAATAGGAAAGTGGAGGGGATTGGAGAGATTGAATAGGCAGAATTGACATCACCTGGTGAGGGCTTGCATGTGGGATGTAAGAGGTAAGGAGGCATCAAGATTGATAACTAGGATTCTAACTTGACAGAATTTTCCAGGCTTTACCTTCCAGTTCCCCCAACATCATCAAAAAAGTGGGGGAGATTACTCCTTTACACCTTGGGTTCTGGATTTTATAGGGACAACCTGGGCTCATCCTTGGAGAGAGATGTTGGGAAAGTCATGCTGCAAACTCATGTTCCTCCCCTTCTCTTCATACAGTGATAGGTTCCAATTTAAAGAAATGGGAAAAACATGGCCAGTCGTGGTGGCTCACATCTGTAACCCCGGTACTTTGGGAGGCCAAGGCGGGTGGATCACCTGAGGTCAGGAGTTTGAGACCAGACTGGCCAACATGGTGAAACCCCATCTCTACTAAAAATACAAAAATTAACCAGGCATGGTAGTGGGCACCTGTAATCCCAGCTACTCAGGAGACTGAGGCAGGACAATCACTTGAACCTCAGAGGCAGAGGTTACACTGAGCTGAGATGGTGCCATTGCATTCTAACCTGGGCGACAATAGCAAAACTCCGTTTCAAAAATAAATAAATAAAAAATATAGGAGAAAGAGACACAATTGAAAAGCTATAATCAGATTCTCTAATGGTTCAAAGCAGTCTGTGGAATTCCCAAAAGTTAAGGTACTCAGACCCTATAATCTACCAAGTAAGTTCAAAGCAAGTAGACTCTCCAGAGCGAAAAGAAATATAGTTGCCATCTGACAGGTGAATAAGCAGGGTGGCAATGAAAAGAAGAAAACTAGGGATTAGTCTAAACTCTGGGAAGGTAAATAATTTCCAGGGTTGACAGGCAGTGAAAACCAAGAAGATAGATGAGCCAAGTTCAGTAAATCTCAGTGTAATCTTCATGCCAGAGGCTGCTCTGACATGAAGGACTGGTGTATATTCTAGGAATTTATCACATTTCTTCAGCTGAAGACTCCACTCTGAAATCTGCTTAAATACTCCCATATCAGCTCCTGGAAGGGCTGGGTGGGGAGGAAATTGGTAGGGAGATTAGGGGGGCTACAGACCTTCACCGTCTCATTTCAAATAGGACAGCTGTGGTTGGATCTTCCTCTGGGATTTGACTTGAAGAAAGGGCTCCAGCTATACTGAAAAGTTTGCAGGACACTTCAAGAACTCAAGTCATGGAGAGGGCATACAGTATTTTTTGCCCTTGCTTGTTTCAATAACCCCCTAGACACACCAATGTTGATCTTGCTGTCTTGTAGAATCCCTACTCCATGCAGCCCATTCAGCTGGGGTGTTTCTGTCTTGAAAATTCCTTTGGATTTCTTGGGTCCTGTAATGCATTGTGCCTGCATGGTTTGATGCTTTACAAGACACCCAGCTTCTCACCCATGAGGTATCAGTTCATCAATTAAGGCAAATTTCTGTGGCTGAATTAACCTTTCAATTAGCACTGTATTGTGACATTATCACTTCTAATGATTACTTGGTAATGAATAAGACCATTGCAACTGTATCAGTTGTGGGAGGTTCAAAGGGCTGCATTGGAAGGAGAAGAATGCCAGTTGCTCTCTAAAGCTTCCTCAAGGGCTCCTGCGAGAGGCAATCAGAGGAAACAGAATAGATTCAAAATCAGACGATGTTCAAGGAAATCTTGGCCAGATTCTAGTTTTCCACCTCTTTGATTCTCATTTAACATTGGGGCAATTCCTGTGAAGTACTCACACAACTATTTAGGCAGCTAATAAAGTACAACAGCTAAACTATGCTCCACTAGGATAATGTTTCAAACAATTCAGGTGGCACAGCCACCCAAAGGAATGGTATTTTTGAAAAACACTATGAGGTAATCAAATTTATATTGCAAAATAAATATGTCACTGTACTAAATTAGATATCATTGTAGACTGCTTTCTAACAGAGACCATGGAGACCGGATGCCAAAGGTTTAGGCCAAAGTTATAGAAGAAATACTTAAAATGAAAAAGATGATATCTATAAACTTAATTTTCCCTGCAATGTGAGAAATGACTGCCATCCATCAATTTTAATGGTAGATTTCTGTGGCTCTTCTGAGCACCATTGAATTAGGTTATCAAGGCTTGCCAGGAAGTGGGAAGTAATTAGAAAAAGAAAAGACCTTTCTAATTCCATAAAGGTAGGTGGTCCTGTAAAAATAACAACAATAATAATAATAATAATAACTCCTCTGACCCATACTAAAAGTTTCACCTAGACAGAATATAGAGCCTAGAATCCACTTTTATTCTTATAGCTGCTGTGGGATTGCTTCCTATGAATGTCATGTCTTAAACCACTGAATCCCTGTTGGGAAAGGCAGTCTCCTGTGTGTAGTCTTTTGACTCCTGCTTAGTGGCAATGTGCCATGGTCCTAGAACATTTCATTACAGAGAAATAAAGAAACTTTATAGCCTGTGCTATAAAGGTTCTTTACCGGAACTCTTGAGAGTCTTTTTCCCTATTTCAGACTTGAAGTGTACTTCTTTGCTTCAGCGTGTGTATCACATGGCACCTGGCCAATCCCACCGCTGTATCTGGTCCTTGAGGGGAGAGAGTGGCTTATGAGTGTGAGCAGACCATCTCCCTGATGCAGGGCAAGTCCTGCTGGCTGTGGGCACCAACATTCATTGTTGACGCTGATCTTGCTTTGTCTCTGCTCTATATGCATAAAGTGTTGGTCCATTCAGTGCCTGTGTGGATGGTGTCTTTCTTGGTGACCCTGGCAACTGCAAACCATGCAGAGCGTTGACATCTTGGGACTGCTGCTTCTAGTAGTAAACAATGTTAGGATCTTTGCCATCATCCATGCAGTGGGATTCCTCCAGTGGAACCGGAAACAGCTGTCCTTTGCTCAACCATTTCTTACCATTTCTAGCTGCGGTGCAGATCTATTTCCTATAAAATCTAAGTAATAGCCTGAAAACAGTTAAGGGCAATGTACTGTGTAGTATTGTAGTATTAAGCTTGCCTAATGGGCAGCAGAGTTCTCCTGTGGTTCCAGAAGTACTACTACATTAAAAAAAAATCTGTTTTGTTATTCACGTGCTTTAGAACTCTGAGCCTTTATTTGCATTAAAATTATATCAAATGCTTTGAGTATTCTTGAATTTCATTATGATGAAATTAATATATGCATGTCTTAGTCTGGGTGCCCTCAAAGAAAAGCCTGAGATAAGGTTTATGTGCATGTAGAAAGTGTATTTGGGAGGAGGAGGGAGAGACTGGGAAGAGTGAAACGGGAGAAAGACCATTGCAAAACTTTGTTATGGCGCTGGTATTCTGGGCACAACAATGATCTGGTCACTGCTGTGGACAACCAAGGATAAATTGCTGGGACCTGTTGAGGGGCCTAAAAATGCATTTTACATTACAATAGAGTATTTATCTGATGACTCTATCCCTGTGGGTTAAAGATTGCCTTGTGGGGTGTGAATGCTGTAAATCGCCTGCAGTCAAAGAGCAGAAAATCTATGGAGAGGGAGCAAGGTGTGGTGGGGTCTCCGTGCCGGAAGCCGAGTGCCACAGGACGGGCTTAAGTTAAAGAATTTGAGATGAGTTGCAAGAGGTGGCTGAATGAATACCTAACGTAGAAAAACTTGGAAAATAAAAAAAAAAAAAAAAAAAGGTTTGGCTTTAAGTAGAAATTGCCCATTATCATACCATCCAGAGAACTACCGGCCAATGTTCTAACATCATTCTATCTAGGCATTTTATTTTTTAATTTCATATTTCACAGCTTTTTTTATAATTAACCATTTTTGTATCTTCAATATATTTCCATGTTAATAAATACACCTCTGTGAAACTTTTAAATGATTGAACAGTATTTCATTATACAGAGGTGCTAGTATCTCTCATCTCTTGTGGTTGGTCATTTAGATTGTTCCTAATTTTCTATCATTTAAAAATAATGAAGACTAACTTGTTGTATACTTGTTCAATTATTCCTTTAACATTAACTCCTAGAAGTGAGATTCCTATGTCAAAGTTATGCACATTTCTAAGGCTTTTAGTGCCTAATTGCCCTCCAGAAAAGTTATAACTATCTCCCATCATTGTGTAAAACTGTCTTTATTTGATATTATTATGATTATGCTGTCTCCATTTGATACTATTGTTTCTAACTTCTAGCAATTTAATATGTAGTTATATTTTATAATTATTAATTTTTGTATTGTCTTAATTTTTCACTTTTCTTCCTCCATTTCTAGTGAACTTTTTAAAATTTTCAAAAGTTTATTGACAATTTGTATATTTAATTTTATAAATTTTTTATTTGTGTTATTTGCCTATTTTTCTGTTTAGGTCTTCATGTTTCTAGTATTAACTTGTAATTAGTCATTTTAATATTAAAAAAGACTTCTAAAATATATTATAATTATGCAATTATAATAATTTATAATACATATGCAATTGAAGATAAAATATATCTCTAAATACTTTATCATATGCAAACCTTAAATTTTCCTTATTTATTCATTAATGGGCTTTTTGATATTTAAATTTAACATTTTATGTAGTCAAAGATATCACTATGTTTTGTGATTTCTGTCTTTGGAGATAATGCTTATGAAGATTTTCCTCTCCCCAAAAGTATAAAAATTCACCTACACTTTAATAGTCCTTTGTGGTTTAATTTTCTATATTTGTTCTACACCTGGAATTTATGTTACAATATGGCATAAGGTCAAGATTAAACTTTATTATTTTTCTCCAAATAGCTGATGATTTACCTAAAAAATTTAACATTAAAGGGCCAGGCACAGTGGCTCATGCCTGTAATCCCAGCACTTTTGAAGGCCAAGGTGGGTGGATCACGAGTTCAGGAGATCGAGACCATCCTGGCTAACATGGGGAAATCCCATCTCTACTAAAATACAAAAAACTAGCTGGGTGTGGTGGCACGCACCTGTAGTCCCAGGTACTTGGGAGGCTGAGGCAGGGGAATCGCTTAAACCCAGGAGGCGGAGGTTGCAGTGAGCCGAGATCGCGCCACTGTACTCCAGCCTGGCTACCGAAAAATACTCTATCTAAAAAAATAAAGGAAAAAGGAAAAAAAGAAAAAGTTAACATTAAAAATATAGCTTTTCCCACTAACTTAAAATGCTAACATTATATCATATAAAATATACTTGATTGCCACTGTTTTTATATTTCTGCTTTTGTTTTTGGAAGGTTTCTAAAAAGGATCAACAACAGTCATATATGCCATGAGGTAAATGAGGGATGACAGAGCAAGTCTTGACACAGAGAACTCAGAGCAAACAAGGGGACCTGGATTGTTTTTTTAAAGCTATTGCATTGTTGCTTTTGTTGTTGTTTTTTGTGCGTGTGTTTTTGGATGCACTACACCTTGCTCAGCATAAAGCAAAGCTTCAATGAAAGCTTTCTGGTTATTTGACTGATTGAGACTGATTTGCATTTTTATGCAGGTGCTACCTAGAATATCCTTTACGATCTTGCTTCAGGACTGAATTTATTTATAAAAATTTATTTTGAGTTGTAGGAGGCTATGCAACTAGTAAGTGAGGTAACTGAGATTGGAACTCAGTTCTGACTGATATCTAAGTGCCTTCCACTCTCAAAGTCCCCAAAAGCCTTTCTGAATTATGTTTTTGATTCCCTTGACCTAAGATTTATGATTGCACTTTAGTGAAACTTTATTATAGTGAGATTATTATATATTTATTTATTGTAAACTGCTCTATCAAGCTAAGATATGAATACTGTGCTGGTCTATCCTTTTCACTCAACACCCCCGCCCCCATCCTCAGCTTTTGCGGCATAAAATACAAAGTAAGAATAGAGTTTAATGCAAATCAAAATAGCTGACATGTTGACTTTACATACATTTATGCTGAAATTAATACACTCTGCAGGATGGATCACTTCTTTAAAAAAATTCACCTTGCATGGTGTAAATGGAAGTTCCAATAATAACAAAAGAAAGAGGAGATGGGGAAAAATCACAATAACCAGATAAAGTGTCATTTTAGTAAACGGAGCATTTGGTTCTGAGATAAAATATTTTTATAATGAAGAAAATTTGCCCATAACTGTATAAGAGTGAAGACAAATCAGAAAAATAAGGCATTAATACAAAGAATAGAGATTTTTCAATTACAGGAACAAATATCACAGGAAGTAAAGACATTTACCTTGCAGCTTTAGAGAGACAATGACAAATTATTTAGTGGAGCATGCCCATTTTAAGACACTCTCTCACCCAAATCATTCATTCCATAAACCTTCATGGAGCCCAACTAAATGCTGCGAGTTAATGCATGAAAGAGAAACAGAACATTGGGTTTTCCAAAAGGAATTAAAGTCTAGTGAGAGAGACAGGTGGTAAAATAACCACAATACAGAGATGAATGAGAAAAGCAATAGAGAAATACACAACATGTTGTGGATATGCTATGAGATGTGTGAGTGGGTGGGCAAACCAGGGACTAAACAGTTAAGTAGTTGTTCCTCCATTTCTAGTACAATTTAAAAATGTACAAATGTTTGTTATTTTTATATTTAATTTAAAAAATTTTTTACTTGTGTTATTTGCCTATTTCTCTATTCAGATATTCATCTTTCTATTATCAACTTGCATAATTAGTCATTTTAATACTAAAAAGACTACTAAAATATATTACATTTATGCAACTAAAATAACATATTAGCCACGTGGGTGACTCACACCTTTAATCCTAGCACTTTGGGAGGCCAAGGCGGGCAGATCACTTGAGGTCAGAAGTTTGAAACCAGCCTGGCCAATATGGTGAAACCCCATCTCTACTTAAAAAACACCAAAAACTTAGCCAGGCATGGTGGCGGGCACCTGTAATCCTGGCTACTCAGGAGGCTGAGGAAGGAGAATCACTTGAACCTGGGAGGCAGAGGTTGCAGTGAGCCGAGATCGCTCCACTGCATTCCAGCCTGGGCGACAGAGTGAGATTCCATCTCAATAATAATAATAATAATAAAATAACATATTATATATATGCAATTGAAAATAAAATATGTTATTTCTCTAAATGTGTTATTATGTGCAAAACTTTAAATATTCCTTATTTATTCATTGATGGGTTTTTGATATTTAAATTTAACATTTTATGTAGTCAAATATATCATCATGTTTTGTTGTGGTTTCTGTCTTTGGACATAATGATTATGAACATTCCCCCCCTACAACAACTGGGGATTATGGAAGCTACAATTCAAGATGAGATTTGGGTGGGGACACAGCCAAACCATATCAGTTAAATAGTTCAGAGTGAGTAGAACAGAAGGTGCATAGAGGCATACAGTAGGAAATGGAGCCACGTAGATAAAGTTTAGTTACACTTTTGAATGCACATAATAGAAACCCAACTTAAATTAGTATAAGCAGAAGGAAATCAATGAAAGGACACTAGATTATTTCATGGACTGCCCAAATAACAGAGATCATGGAGTCATCTGAGCCTCAGAAACAATAAGAAATAGTTTCTTGAACATCATAGTCACCTTATTCTCCTCCCTTTTGGCCTAAAATGGCAGCCTTATTCTTCTCCAATCTGGATGAATACCGTGATCCACATAGTTTGTGGGCTT
The DNA here is from genome assembly GCF_000001405.40 of Homo sapiens. Taxonomy (NCBI): domain Eukaryota; kingdom Metazoa; phylum Chordata; class Mammalia; order Primates; family Hominidae; genus Homo; species Homo sapiens. Next base: position 221,700,465 of record NC_000002.12, on the reverse strand, counting down.
TATGTACCACAGCCTTGGGCCCATTGATGCTGCTTACGTCAGGCAACAAACTCAAACCAGTCAATTTGGTCAGGGGTAGAGAAAGATATTTCCTAGAAGAAGAAAGGGAACCTCCTGAGAGGTAGTTCTACAGATTTCTACTGCAAATAGGAAATGGCCACACTATAATTAGCAAGTTACAAGAGTCTAATTTACCTTCCAATTATCCTCTTCTTTTTCTTCATCTCCTCCCCACCCGAACTTGTGTATCTTCATCCTATATCCTCTTCCGTTGATCATCTTCTCATCTCTCATGGCCTTTTCCTGTTCAGTGGCTTCTTCTTTCTGGTGTGTCCTTTCCAGGTATTTTTCAGAGTACAGAGGCACTAGCTGAAATGTCTAGATCAAAAGCAATCATTCCTAAATTTAGAAGCCACTATTTCTTTCATCTCTATTTTCATTTGTCAAATGCTCACTGAACACTGTGGGGATGAAGAGATTGAAAATCAATAGAAATAAGAACAGCTTAAATGTGTTGCAAGATCACCATATGCAAAGCCTGAATTATCTCATTTAATTGCACACAGTAGCTCAATGAGCTAATAATAAATTAAATAACAAAAGGGTGTGGCTGGGATACAAACCTGGGCTGACTCCAAAATCTTGTGCATTAGTCACTACACTGTCTGAAATAAAGGATACTGTCTTTGTCCCAAAGATCATTGACTAGTAGATGGGGCAGTACGGAGTGATAAGCACTGTAACATTGGTAAGTACTGGCTTACTAATGAGGAGAATTTCTAGGGGAGGCACCTGACCCAGCATGGAAGGGAGTCTTCCCAGAGAATCCAACCCAAGGTGAATCCTGAAACTGAGCTATAGTTGGCCAGGTTTGTAAGGGCTGCAAAGGCTGCCAAGTGGAAAAAACAACAGGGCAAACACCATGAGTGACAAGAAGGTGATGGTGTACATTTATTGAATGGCACAAGGTTTAGAAAAGGCAGTTGGGATAAAAAACAATGGCAACAGAAGCAACTAGAAAAGCCAATAGCATCCCAAGAAAAGGATGTTATACACTACACTGACTTTGGACATCATCAGAGGCAACAGATAACGTCTGAATGATTTTAAACATCATCAAAGTCATATTTTAGAGAAAACACTCCTGGAGGCGGTGCAGAGTCCAGAGGCTGGGAGACTAATTAAGAAGCAATGTCTCAAATGTAAACTAAGCAATTTGAGGACAGGTACAAATCTTTCATTTCTGTGTTTCCAGAGCCTAACCAATTTTTGTTGAACACATGACTGAATAAAAGGACTGCTGCAGAAATTTAGGCAAGAAATAGGAAGGTCTGAATTAAGGCAGTCACAGTGGGCATGGGAGTTGTCAGATGAATTCTCTAGACAGTAGAACTGGAGAAGACTGCATTTGCCTTTCAACTCATTAGCTATCCTTTTCTCTTTTTCTTTTTAAAATTCTGAACTACATTAAACATTTAGCAGTATTGGAAATAATATAACACTTACTACTCAGGATTAATACATCTTAACTACTTGTCATATTCATATCATGTTTTAAATAATTTTCATGTTGTCAAAATGTACAATTATTATTTGTAATAGCTCTGTGATATACAAGTTGATCAAAGTGATGTACCATAATTTACCTAAGCATTTCTCTATTGTTAGATATACAAGCTACTAGTCGTTTTTGACATATCTTGCTCTGAGAGAAAAACTCTGCAATGAACAGCTTCAACATAGTTGTGTCCTTGAGTAAGATCACTACCTCTTCTTCTTTATTGCTCATTTAGTCTCATATTTGTTGGGATTGGCATCTGGGAAAAGATTGTTGACCTATAATTGGTATAAACATATAGGTTATTCCTTAGTGGAAGGCTGTGAAAGATGTGGTTGTGTCTAAATGGCCTGGGAAGCATCCCAGGAACAGTAGCACATTTTCCAACAAAATATTTTTATTTAAAAAAAAAATTTTAAGTCTGTGTCCATATTGTCAACAACTAGAACAATGCTTGACACTCAGAGGTTGCTCAATTTATCTTTGTTTCAAAAATGAACAAATAAATGAAGAAACAAAAGGGAACAAATACAAACAAATCAACTTAAAACTCCAAAGTCTATTACATGTGTATTTATTCATGTTCAGTTTTCTAGAATGCACCGTTTCCACCAGGATCAGAAACATAATGGGAAGGTTTAGAAAGAAGTCATATCATATTTAGAAAATAACAGGACACTCAATTTAGAAAATAAATGTTTCATTTCAAAGAGAAGAAAAATCCACTAGAACCCTTTTGTGTGTAGTAGCAGGAATTAGGCTAATGAATTGGAGGCAGCGTATCAGAGAGGGAAGGAGGGAGAGACAACTGCCCATTATACACCTCATTCGTTACAGGGAGGAACAGGGAAGTACAGTGGGGATTGGGGACCGGCCAAGGAACTTCCTGATTTGGCATCAACTGTGAAATCTCAAGTAAGTTCATTCTGTGTAATAAGGGCGTTTGTCAATATTCTAGTGTCTTAGAGTTTAGGCTCTAGGGGCCAACAGGTTTGCTTTCAAGCTTTGCCAACAAATACTACTGAATAAGGACTATTTACTTATCCTTTTCCAGTCTTTGTTTCCTCATATAGAGATGAAAACAATACCTACTTTATAAAGTTGTCGTGAAAGTTAAATGAAGTAAAGTTCTTGGTATATAATAACCTCTCAATAAATTCCATCTGTAACAATTAATATTGTCTGATCTGAAATTCTACCATCTGTAATCCTGTGGCATGCTTACTTCACATAGCAGTTGTACTGAGAGCAAATTTGGTCTTATGGGATACACACTATTTGTATCTGTACCCAGTTCACCGCGACACTGTTTCCTAACTCCCTGTCACTCAAAATGCAATCCATAGACCAGCATCAGAATCACAGAAGAGTTTTTAAGAAATGCAGACACAGGCCCTATCCCCAAACTACCTAATCAGAAGCTGCATTTTTAGCACAGGCCCTAAGGGATTTGTGTGCACATTAATGTTTGAGAAGGGTTCTTTTACCCAATAGTCATCCTCCTCCCCTTTTAACTACTGGTATTCCTGTGAGCCGCAGTGAATCATAATTGTGCTAAGCCAATCATTATCCTTCTGCTTCCCTGGGAAAGTAGACATCAGAAGTTCACTTTCCTAGCTACATTCTGAAGCTGGAGTGTGGTCCTGTGACATCATTCTGACCAAGGATGTAGGGTAAGTTACTTGGGAGGCTTCCAGAAACATTTTTCTCTCCCTCTGCCCTCCCATACACCTTGCTTCTTCCCCTTGAATCCTGAGAGAGCATAAAATCCCTGGAATTGGGTTGCTATTTAGCATTCACATAACAACAATGAGGAAAGGCCAACACAGTGAAGAAAACGCCAACACTATGGAGATGGCAGAGTATAAGGTTAGGGCCTGAGTCTTTGAGGATATTGTTGAGGTGCTGATCCAGCCCCGATAGTGCCCACATCAAGTGTTCTCATTAAGAGAATGTGTAATAAAGAACTAGCCTTACCCAAAGTGAGGTCTGGTCTTTGCCTTCAACTACTGGAAGGTAATGTCTGAATCCTTGAAACATTACACCTGATAGGCATGTCTTTGATGACCTCAGTCACCACATAGTCTAACAGTGTGATTTACAATGGGGGCTTTTGGTGGAAGTAGTCATTTCAGTTTTGCCTTTGAATGAACTGGAGTCTAGAAGTATCAGCCTGACCTCTGAAAAGTCTGGAGACTACAGGTCAGCCATGTAGGCTGTATAAAATCTCTGGACACTGAGGCTTTGGTCAGCTTCACTTGCAATACTCTGTGTGTGTCACACATTGTGGCCAGAAGGAGTTAAAGAGTTAACACTGTCCATGACTCCATGGGGAGAGGATGACTGTAAACTGAACAGTTAGATTCCACCTGGACTCTGTCCTTGATTTTAATCTGTATTTTTTCCCTGTAATAAACTGTAACTGTTTACAGTAAGTTCTTTGGATGTTTCTAGTGAATTATCTAAGAGTGGTTCTGGGGACCCCTAAGCTTGCAACTGATTGCAGAAGTGAAGTTAGTCTTATGTGGAGGACTATTTCCTCTAATGCTCACAGTTGGTGAAAACTCCTCACAGCGTAACTTATTCTATTCATTAAACCGCCCTCCATAGGACATTGTATTGTCAGATGCCTTGTCTACCCTAAAGGATATACAGTGGTTCTCAAAGTGCAGTCCATAGACCAGAATCCTTTACATTTTTGAAAAACATTAAAGACTTCAAGGAACTTTTATGTAGGTCACATCTATTGATAGTCACTGTGTTCAAAATTTAAATAGAAAACCTTCAAAAATTGCTTATTAATCCATTTAAAATAACAATAATAAACACATTCCATGTTAGCATAAGCATTTATATATAGATTAAAAAGACTGTGTTTTTCTCCCCAAACTAAAAAGGAACACTTTTTGCATTTAAAAAAATTATTTAATACTGGCTCAATAGAAGATAGCTAAATTCTTATATCTGCTTCTGTGATATGTTGTAATATGTAATTTTGGTAGAAGTATATGAAGAAAATTTAGCTTCATGCTACTGTGTAGTTGGAAATGAGAGAAATATTTTAATGTCTTTTTCATATAATTTTGCGTTTCTTTTTTGATACATTAGTCAAACTAAACAGGTGGTAGTTTTCTAAAGGTTAGTTGCAATGTAGAATCTGAAATTATATCAATTAACTTTTCATACTCTTTTTACACTGAAATCCATTGATTTACCTACCTAGCACATTCAATGGATCTTTTACTCATGCATGATTTTGTAACATCATACATTGATGTTACACTTGGAAAATATTGGTTCACTGAGTTGTGCAGATCTTTTAATTGTTGACATGTTTGATTATATAATATTTTTAAAGTCACATTTTTCAATAGCATCACTAACCCCATCAGGAAAGTCTTAAAGTTTTAGGAAGCTTTGAAGCTCACGGTGGCCAAGTTTTCCAATATTCTAATTTTTGGTTAGAAGCTCAAGTTTTATCATTAGCACCAAATCTTGTCAGTTGTTTTCCTTGGAATGGAAGGCTCATTTTAGATAACATATTTACCCAAAACCCAAGTTTGTCTATAAAAAAAATGGTATTCCACAAAAAGCGCGGCTAGTTCAACTAGTAACTCAATCTCAAGAGTGCTTTTCCTTGAGGCAACCATCACTCTTTTGTGCTCAGAAGAAGTATTTTATGCACTCTTCCTATTTCATTACACAGAACATTAAAAAGCACATGTGCACAGGGTTAAAATTTAATAAAATTAATAATTTTAAATTTTTACCACTTCATCAAGGTTATTCCTAAGTAAAACTGGCACATTTTTACTGCAAGTGTATGGCAGAGAAGAATTTAACATTTGGTGCCATTGCTTTAATTCATCCTGAGTCGCCAGCCATTTTACCCAGAGTTTGCTTTTGTATCATCGTTGCAAATGTCAAAAAAGTGAAAATGGCAGATAGCATATATTATTATGAAGATAGGTTTGACCTCGATGACCCTCTGTGACTCACTCATAGTGTAAGTGATACATTGGTTTTCAAGAGAATTCAGTGATATCACCAGATCTGCGAAACAGACAACCCCCACTGCTGGTCCCAGGCTGAGATGTGAGTTCTGAAAAGAAGATCCTGATCCTGCAAACTTCCTCTCTCTCAACCTTTCCAGCCCTCCTCCTCTGTTCCCCCTAATGGATTTGATCAACTCATCCATACTAAAAGAACGGTTGAGACTAAGGGCCTCAAAATCAGACCGTCTTGGCTCCCACGTACGTGAATCGGAGCCTCTGTCCTTGCTTCAGTTTTTGCATCTGTAAACTGAGGACAACTAATATGTTGTTTCGAGAATGAAATGAGTTAAATAATATAGAGTGCTTAGAACTCTTCTGAGTGTTGTAAGCTCCCATTAAGCATTAGCTCTTGTTATTACTATTATTTAATACGTTTCTTCGTGTAGCGAGATTTAGCTTTTAACAAGGAGTATCTTGTACAATAGGATTGAATGTTCAGCGATGGAATTTCAAGCACAGTCAGCAGTCAGGATATTTGTTTTTGATTTTTAGGGTCTAGTTTGTGGGGAAAATGGAGATTCAGAGCCCCCGAAACCCTCCATGGGATCAAACTACTCATATTAAGTGACTGTCTTTAATAGGCTTATTCTTAATGGTCAGCTAATACTATAATGACGGAGAGTTCCATGAGCAGGTGGTTATATCTTTGTTCAGTTTTTATATTCTACTAATGTCCTCACATAGCAATAGGCATGTGGTCAAGGGCTGATAAATGCACATAAACTATATATTCTTAAAAGAAAAAAAATTATTTGTAAGTGAACTGCTCCTTGGAAAAATAAATTTTCTAAAAACAACATTTTCACAAGTTTCACTAACCAAACCAAACCAAAAAAAAATAAAAAATAAAAAAACTGGCAATAATGTGAGTCCTCTGACTATAGCTCCCAGCAGAGCACAACGTGAGAATATTGTGACTCCCTAGCCCCTTGACAGCCCGAAAAAGCAGCTGCTCCTTGCATAAGAAAAATAAAGTTTAAAAATAATTTCCCAACAAAAAGAAGTACGGGTTATTGCATGTATTCATATTAGTTTCTGCTCCAGCAGAGAATGGCTTACGTAATTATACTTTGGGAACTGTCTTGTAGAGAGAGATTTATAGTTTTTTGCTTATAAAATCCTATTTCTATTTTGAAATATAGACTCTCAGCAAGTGTCACCCTGAAGAATTGAGCCTACTAGACTATTTTGTTACATCTTAGGGGATAAAAAAGCATGCGGCAGTTACACTATTAAGCCACAGCAATGGAGCTGCCACTCTCAACCTCATTACTCAAGACTCTCTTTAGGTTCAATTATACACCTCTACAGCTAAGGAAGATAGATAGAGGTCATTTGGGAGCTGTAAACCACAATGCCGTGAATGCAGAACTGTGTTCTTAAACTGATTCACACCTTGTTCTCCAGTGTTCTACAGCAGGGGCTTGGATTGAAATGCAGGGGCTATGACTGAAAAGGCTTTTTCTTGGTTTCAGCATCACAACCTGTGCTGGCTGGAAATTATTATGTCCATTAAATGGCAAGGGACAATGAATGTTGCCTTCATTACTTCAGTGGTAGTAGCAAAACCAAACCAAACCAAACCAAAAGAGGACATAGAAGTTCTTGGCCAGAATATCCTTTGGGGAAAGAGGAATGACATTTATAACTCGATTGTGTATTGCTTCAGTGAGAAAGGAATTGGGTAATTGAAAGGAGCAATTTGCTTTTCCAGCACTGACAAAAATACTGTCATGCTGCTCTGATTCAACTCACACATATCTCCCAGTGTGAAACATGTAAAGCGTACCAAAGAAAGTTAATTAAACAGGGCAAATCCACATGAAACTCCTCAAATCTACATGAACTTCTCATCGATGAATGAAAGATTCTTAGAAATTTAAGGTATGTGTATTTTACCGCCCCATAGCTACTACGCCCCTTTGCTTTAATGTCCTGGGCTCAACTTCTGCAACTTCTTCCCTAGCTGTTTCTTTAGATTTCAGAAGGTTGTCACCACTGGGAATTAAAGAGCGCATTAAAAAAATAATTAACAGAAACAGAAATTGTGCCTGTAAGAACACAGTGCTCTAATTCCCTTCACCTGTCTCAAATTAAGTAAACAGGATGTGTCAAGAAATATGGTTTCTACTGCCCCAAAATTTATCTTAATGAGTCCCCAGGAACTAAACAATCTAGGTCTTTAAGTTATATGTCATTCCATTGGACACATATCCATAATGCCAAAGTGTTTCATAAAAGTTCACTTCTGAATTATAGGCCATAAAGAATTTTATTTCCAATGATATATATTCATTTGTAAAGAAACAGGTCCTTTAAGAACTTACTTGAGGCCACTACAGAATCAATCCTGCTTCCTTCTCAGAAGACAATAATGATAGAATTTAAGTAATATACCAGGTCTTCTGTGACATGTTTTTTTCTGTCTAAGTTAATCTTAAAGTTAGATCTTTTTTATGAGATGGCATTTGAGAAGTTTCTTGAACTATAAACACCCTTAAAAACAGTGGACTTAGGAAACATTTCATTGAAATAACATTTAAGGTTATCTCAGATATATTGCTGAGAAAGTATTTTTAAGGGCTAAACATTTTATGGCCATCCTAATGGTGCCTTATAATAGAGCTGAAACATACCAGGATTCTTCCCAGCCTACGGATTTAGTATGTCCTATGAAATGCTATAAGCAGAGACTAAGATGATAAATTTTTCACATTGTATTTATTGAGATTTTACCACTGAAATTCTGCTTGTTGCTGTAAAACAAGGAATTAATTAGTTACATTTTTTGAGCACCTACCATTCCACATTATCAGAGTCTTCCTTGTTTATAGCATTCTATATCACACTTCTCTTCAAAATCACACTTTGGCTGCACTGGCCTTTCTACTCATCAGCTATGGCGAAGTTGCCCATGAGCACTTTCTCTCTAGAACTCTGCTTTCCCAAATATATGTAGATCTGTTTCCTGTTCATCTTTGAGATGATGTCAAAAGTCCCTCCAAGAGAAGTCTGCTCTGATCACTTCCAGCCCCAGCCACTCTCCATCACATTACCATGTTTATTTTTATTTTCTTTGCTATACTTATCACCATATAAAATATTTTGGTTTATAATATGTCAGAACTTGAACATAAACTCATTAAGTGTAGGAACCTTGTCTTCTTGCTTATTGGCAAGTCTCCAGACCCTAGAATGGCAAGCATGCAATAAGTACTAGATGCAATCAATGTATACTAAATTTCAGAAACCTTGGGAAACTTATACTTTCAATTATTAAGAAGGCAAATACTAATCAGTTTAAAAAGAGGGAGAATTCTTTAAACACTGACATGAAAACCATCCATGAGTAATTGTTACATAAAATAACAAGTTGCAGAATAATTCATTTAGGAGAGTACATTCCATTTTAGAAAAAAAGTAATGTATTTACACATGAGCTAGTATATCAATAGAATACAATTTTTTTAACGTAAACATTAGTAATTATTTCTGGAAGAAGAAATTACATGGAACTTTACCTTCTTAATTATACTGATATATCTATATTTCAGTTTTTGATGAATATTCATTTTTTCAACTAATAGCTATTGATTATTTACTATATCCAAGGACTATTCTTGATGCTAACTAGTATGTTAATGGACAAATCAAAGATTATACTTTCACAGAGCTTCCATTCTAAGTTCTATGAGGAAAATAGATCAAATGAAACAAAATAAAGCCAAATTGGGGCACGAAGAGTGACAGGGAGAGGGCTGCTATTTTGGATAGGGTGGTCAGGGAAGACTTTTTTTGGTGAGGTGATGTTTGAGCCGAGACTAAATGAGGTGTTCCATCAGGAGAGTCTTGGCTATGCTGGGGTAATCAACAACCACAAAACCTCAGTGGCTTAAAACAACAAAGATAATTTGTTTCTTGTCCACATCAATGTCCAGCTTAGGTTGATGAGGGCTCTGCAGCCTTCATGCAGTAACCCCTGCCTACTTTGGCTCTGCCATCTTGCGGCAGCCATCTGGAACTTGTGATCTTTCTGATACAACAAGGGAGGAGAAGGCTGGAGAGTCAGACAGCACAACTAAGCACAGCTAAACCTTTCACTTGGAAGTGACATGCCCTTCTCTTCACATGGCATCAGCCTATCATCAATGTAATCCTCTGTGTACCCGCAAGTAAAAGAGAAGCAGATATTAGTGAACATTGTGATGTCTACTATAAAGGATAAGTCATATCAATATCTGGAGGGAGTTTTCAAATAAAGGGGACAGAATTTGCAAAGGCCCTGAGGTGTGTATGAGCTTGTTGTATTCTATGAAGAAAGGCAATGTGGCTAGAGTATAGAAAGAGGAGAAGGGAAGGGGGTGTAGAAGAAGCCAAGGATCAGATTATGTGGGATCTCATAGCCCATCATTATTATTCTAAGTATGATGGGAAATCACTGGCAGAGACTTGAGACTGGGGATGATGTTACAATTTGTGAATCACTCCTGTTATCACAAAAATACAACAACATAAATGTAGCTATGATAAACAAAAATGATAGGCTATCAAAGTGAATAGATATGTAAGGACAAAAAGAATTATTAATCAGGTAAATAGAAAGTGATCCAAATAGTTTCAAGATGCAGGCAGTTCCAAAGTTTTGATTTCATATGAATAAATCCCTCAGGGGTGTGTGTGAGTGTGTGTGTGTGTGTGTGTGTAACACCAGCTGAAGCTCTAAAATGTCAAAAGACACGGAAAAGATATGAGCCCCTTTAATATGGGCAAACAAGTTAATTCAGTATGCACAGATGGCTGCTACATGGAGTTGGAGATAGGGCAGCTTCCAATTGAAGGCAGCCAGAAGCTGCTGTTACTGCCTCTTGGGAAAAGAAACTTAGAGGTTTTTTGAGCAGCTCTTTGCCATTTTAATGGGATTTTTGTAGTCTTCAGTCCTTTCTCAGTGTTCCTAGAATCTCTGGGTATATGTATGTCTTCTCGCTAGACTCTAACTGGAAACATCCCTGGTACTTTTGGTATATTCCTGAGTGTTGAAGGTGAATCAAAATTCAATTTCCCAGGTTCACATTGCTGGGCATCCTGCCCCACTAGTAGGCCTTCAGGCCCACCTGGGTCTATTCTTGTAATAATTAAGTGAAATTGTAAAGGGCAGAGAGTGCTGTATGAATATAAACTACCAAGAATAGAAAAAAATAGACATCCTCTGGGTCTTGCAGGATATATGCAGTCTGTTGTTGTTGTTGTTGTTTAAGCAAGAAGTTCAGCCTTCCAAACAACAGAACCCAGAGGAAAGAAAGAATTCAGCCCTGTTTGTGAAACATGATGCCCGATTCTCTTCCTACTGGTGTTATCATCTATTAATTTCAGCAAATTAGCCCATTCTCCCCCTCTTTCTCTACTCCCACAGCTAAGTCATTACTGAATCCTGTAAATTTTACGTGCTAAACATTTCTCACATTAGTCCATTCATGATCATCTCCACCCACTTCCTGCTCCCGTCCTGTCCAAAGTCCCATCACGTCACCCCTGAATTACAAATTTGCTCCCTAACTCGTCTCTGACTTCCACCCTTGTCTGATTAGATCCAGTCTATAGGCAGCACTCAGGGGCAAGTTTTCCTCTTCCACGTCTAGACATGTCTGCTTCTTTTCTTAAACCTTTCAATGATTTCTCATTGTTTTCAGACAAAAAACAAAATCTTGGTCGATAAAAAAAACAAAAAAAAAATAAAATATAACAAACAAAAAATCATAATTCAGAAACAGCTACCTCGTCTACCTTCTGCTTATGTTTTCGGCTTTGTATCACTCTGTCTTCCTCCACTTCATAACTTCCTTCACTAGGGAACTCCAGCCACGTTGCCCTTTCAGTAAAATGTACAAGCCCCCCACCCACTTTAAGGAGACCCACTAATGCTCTTCTCTAGGTCTAGGATAGTGTCTCCTTGACCCCCCTAACCTCACCTCATCTTCTTTGTTCTGGTTAACTACTATTTAAACAGAACTCCTATTGGGTTCTGTTTCTTAGTTATTTGCTTTGACTTTATTTTATTGAGAACACGGTGTGTAGGCAGTAATTCCTCAATATTTTTGAGATTTCCTTTGTGGTGTAATATGTATTACATTTTTAGATATGTTTTAAGTATGCTTAAAAATATGTATTCTCTGTTAGGTGCAGTATTTATAAAGGTCTATTAACAGGCTTATTAATTATGTTATTAAATGATACCAATGTATGGGTTAGGTTGATCAATTACTAAAAGAAGTATGTTAAAATCTCCCACTGTAAGTGTGGATCTATCAATTTCTCCTTGTAGTTTTCCTAGTTTTTGCCATAGCTTTTCCATCTGTGTTGTTAGTATCTATAAGTTGGAAATCTTCTTATGATAATTTTTTTTAGCATTGTGTTTTGCTCCTCTATATTTTTCGATAATGCTTTTTAAAATGATACAACTTTTTCTTTAAAGCCATTTTCATTTGAACTTGGCTTCGATGAGCTTGTTCATTTGAAGGCAAGTTATCTTCTTTGAGATTACTTTAAAGATTAACGTTACCTTTGTTATTTTGGAATTTTGCTGTGAAGTCTGGGTATGGGTTACTATTTATTTGTCAAGTAAATTGTCATGCTTTCGTAATCTGAGAATTCATTTCTTTGGTCAATTCTGGAAATATTTTATTCTTATGTTTGAAAATTACTTTTTTTATTCTCTCTACTCTCTTCTTTGAGAAATTCTATTAATGGATACTGAACTTTTTTTTATTAGGTCCCACATATATCTTAATGTCTTTATAATTTTCATTCCTTTATCTCTATAAACTTCATTATGTGTAATTGTCAAACTTATTTTCTCATTTACCAGACTTTCACTGGTTGTATTTAACCTTGTGTTTAAGCTATTTACTAAGTTTCTAATTTTAAAAACATTTTTTTAATTTCAAGAAATACCATTTGCTTCCCTTTCTACTGTTTCTTTGTTAATGGTGTTCCATCCATTTTTAGGTGTGTAATTATTCTTTAATGGCTTTAATTATTTTGAACATACTTATTGATACTCCTTTCTGATTATTGTTCTATTAGCTTGGGTTTATGAAATTCTAGTTCTGCTATTTGTTGAATTGGTTTTGTAATTATTTTTAGTATAGCAGAGCCCTTCCTCATCCCCCAGAGACAGTCTTTGTGACCTGGTTGTGGGATTATATCTTGAAATGAGTTTTATATTGCTTCATTCTGGATCATTGTTTTAGAAACAATATTTAAATTAAATCTTTAATTTAAGGCTTCCCAGACCATGAGGGTGTATAATATCTAGGCAAACATAAACAAATTTGCTTGTTGTCTACCTAAGCCAATGGGAAGCTTTTTTTCTTTTCGTTTATCCTTTCAGGAATGATACAGTTCTTTTAGGATCTTGGCTTTACATGGGGGTATTTCAGTTCTAACTCTCTGCCTCAAACAGACCTGAGAACTGTGGAAATAAAAATTTATGGCCCAGGCCACAATCCCGTGATTCCCACTAGCATGCCTGTTCCCAATGTAGCTGTAGTGGATCCACACTTGCTAACCATCCTGGTGTTCCTTTTTCTCCTCCTTTCTGGTACTTTAATATTTCTCTTTACTTATTGTGAATTGAACTATTCATACAAAAGAATGTTTATTATCTATGGTGTATCCACATGGTAGTCTGAGCCCTGAAAAGAACACAGACAAAGTCATTATGAATTCATATGGAATGATTTTCAGAATAGGTTGTTAAATAAAAGAATAGAGTGCAAAAACAAGTATATGCTATGTTTTATGACAGAAAGAAGAGAAAATAAAAACTAAAATATGTAAATAAATGTGTATGTGTGCATGTAGGCACTTATTTTTGCAAGGAAGAACATGGGGAGGATAATTTAGATTCTAATTAAAAATTGTTTAATTAAGGAGGTGAGTCATCAGAGGAAGGTAGAGTATAGAGATTAGAGGGAGACATCTTGAGTATATGATTTTATGTAGTTTTGACCTTTGAAATATGCAAATGTTTTACATGTTCAAAAACCATAGTACATAGAAAAAGACGAGTCAACTCTAATATTTACATACAGAAACAAATGAACCTAACTGTATATCAAATTGATAACATAATTAAACAAATAAAGTAATTAATTTGAATACTTTTTGTACACAGTAATCTAACTGTATATCATTAATGGGTTAGAGTCCATGGTCAAAAGGTACTGTAAAGAAACCTTGAACTTTAGTTAGAAGATTTGTTTTTTATAGTGGTATTGGTGTAGCGCAGTCACTATAAAATAATTTTGCATGTTTTGCACAACAAATGAGTAAATATATTAATGTTAGAAATTGGCATCCTAACTGTGGGAGGAGATAAAATGTAAAATCAAGAAGTTAAGAGCCCTATAATGCAGGATGTGAAGGCATAGTATGAATCCATGATTTATAACTGATAGGTCCTAGCTCTGTCCACTAAAAGGGCCAGAGAAGTAATGACACCCCTCAGTTGTGAGCACATTGAATGCCTAGACTTTGTTTTCAAAATGCCTTTTCTCCCACTATAGTCTGTGTTTGCACAGATATAGAGAAAGTTGGAAAATTATCCACCAAAGAGTTTGCAATGATAATGGAATGGAAAAGTTGGACAGCAAGCAGACTAAAAAGAAAAAAGGGAGAGAACACCTTTACGTAGATTCACTTGTTACAATGACCAACCACTGTTTTCGTAATTTGAAAATTTGAATGAAGTAAATATTATCAGATACTACGCATATTACCTAGGTGATGAAATAATCTGTTACACCAAACCTCCTGACTTGCAATTTACCTATATAACAAACCTGCTCATGTACCTCTAAGCCTAATATAAATGTTTTTATAAAAGACTGTTCACACAGAATAAGAATAGAAACATGTATATATCTTTTCAGCAATTATTTACACGCAGAAAGTAAAATAAACCTTGTTCTATTTTTTAGTTTTAATTTTTTATTAAATGTATTTCAAACTAAAATTTGCAATAGACTTATATCCACCATGAGTTATTTTCATGAGTTATTTCATGCTATACAAAGACATACAGAGGCAATCTCCTTTACCTCACCTCCTTTACTTCTGCCTCCTTGGAGTTACAAATTATAAAAGCACGGTGTGTAACCCAATATATTTTTCCTGTCTTACAAATATCTGGAATTTCTTGTTTTACAGTGTTTGATAGGGTTTCGATTCATTTTTTTCTATATAAATGATAAATTGGGTTAGCACCATTTATTAATTAATTCTTCTCTAATTATATTTTTAAGCCAGTTGCAGTGGCTCACACGTGTAATTCCAGCACTTTGTGAGGCCGAGGCAGGCAGATCCCTTGAGCCCAGGAGTTCGAGACCAGCCTGGGCAACATGCTGAAACCCCATCTCTACAAAAAATACAAAAATTAGCTAGGCATGGTGGTACACACCTGAAGTCTCAGACACTCAGGAGGCTGAGGTGGGACAATGGCTTGAATCTGGGAGGCAGAGGTTGCAGTGAGCCAAGATCGTGCCACTGTATTCCAGCCTGGACAATAGAGTCAGACCTTGTCTCAATAAATAAATAAATACACTTTTAAATAAATCAATGCCTGAACCTTTTCCCTAATGACCAGCCCAGCCATAGGGTAGGAAATCTTTAACATGTCTCTCTGAAGATATTGTACTAGTTGCTTATTTTATTTATTATTTATTTATTTATTTTTTTTAGTTTTTTGAGACAGAGTCTCGATCTTGTCACCCAGGCTGGAGTGTAGTGGCGTGATCTTGGCTCACTGCAACCTCCGCCTCCCAGGTTCAAGCAATTCTTCTGCTTCAGCCTCCTGAGTAGCTGGGATTACAGGCACCCACCACACACCCGGCTAATTTTTGCACTTTTAGTAGAGACGGGGTTTCGCCATGTTGGCCAGGCTGGTCTCGAACTCCTGACCTTGATCCGCCTGCCTTGGCCTCCCAAAGTGCTGGAATTACAGGCATGAGCCACCATGCCCAGCCCTAGTTACTTATTTTATATGTGGATATTGTTGGCACTCAATACTCATTTATTGCCTGACTCTCATGTACTTGGGTGTGGCAATTTTGGTCAGTCTTACAGACTCCAACGTGGTCTTCACAAACTGTGATGCCAGTCTAAGTTTTTATCTTTTTAAATAGCTTGTCCTTTCTCCAAAATAAGGGTAAGATTATCACTTTATCTTTGAGGTTCAGTAATTTTATAAACATATACCTATGAAAATGTCTTATGAAGCCTGTGCAGTAAACCCTTTAAAAATACAGACTTGGTTCTTTAGTTCAAGGAAATTTTCTTTCTTTACTTTTTAAAAAAGAGACAGGGTCACACTCTGTTGCCCAGGCTGGAGTGCAGTGGTGTGATCATAGCTCACTGCAGCCTCAAATACCTGGGCTCAAGCAATCCTCCCACCTTGGCCTCCCAAAGCACTGGGATTGCAGGCATGAGCCACTGAATCTGGCTGGAAATGTTCTATTGCTAGTTTATGTTTGGCGTCTCCCCCATCTGTTTCTTGTTTCTATCCTTCAATAGTAATCATTATATATACATGAGGTCTCATCTGTCCATCTCTAAAGTTTCATCTTTTCTTTCACAATTTGGATCTCTTTGTACTTTAGTTCTAGGATTTAGGATTTAGAAGATTTCTTCTAGTGATTTTTTAGGTCAATTGCGACCATCATGTTTTTAAACTCATTTATTATGTATTTTTCAGTTCAAAATAATGTTTTCTATTCCAGAGTCTTTTTTGTGTGTTGATCTTAAATCCAATCTAATTGTGCAAGTTGACACCTGTCTCCTTAAACAACTACTTTTCTTAGGAGACTTCTATTTACCCTTTTCTGTCCCTTGATCCCTGCCTAGATATATAGCTTTTTTTTCTTTCCTCTCCATTGTGTCCCTAAGGTGTCAGCACTCCAGTTGCAAGGGGACTTTAAGTGGCAGTGGTCCCTGCAGGCTATTGGTGCAGCAGCAGACAGGTGTTCAGAATCCCTGATGTGATCTCTGTTTCTTGTATCTCTAAGCCTCATGGGTGAAGAGGACTCTTCCCCACCTGTTCACTTCTAAGCCCTTGTGGGCTAGGATGGCCCACCACATTCCCATGTACAGAAGGTAAGCTTCGCTGAGGACTGGAAATCTCTACAGTCATCTGCTTCTGAAGTGCTCTCCGGCTGGTCCTCAGGACCAGAGCACAAAGGACAACTATAGCTCCTTCACTAATGTTCTCCAAGCTTACCTGACACTGCCCTCAGGAGTCACTGGCTGAGGAGAGACAGATGAGTTGGAATGGAGTTGAGAGTAGCAAGAATGCAGAAACGTCCATCTTCCTAGAATCCCCTGCCTCTTCATGCATTAAGTTTGATGATAAGTAATTTCCCTTCTCTGGAATCAGTAATTCAATCAATTAATATTCACATAAAAAATGTTGGTCTGGGGACAGTTATCTTGTACAATGGTGGTGATAATTAAAAGTATTATCAGCATTATGAACACAGAGGAAGCAAATAAAATATGATTGAAAGTCGATTGAACCTCTGTGATACAATATGGCTGTGTCCCCACCCAAATCTCATTCTCAATTATAGCTCCCATAATTCCCATGTCTTGTGTGAGGGACCCAGTGGGGGATACTTGAATCATGGGAGCGGTTCCCCCATCCTGTTCTCATGATAGTGAATAAGTCTTACGAGATCCAGTGGTTTTATAAACCAGTTTCACTTGGCTCTCATTCTCTCTTGTCTGTCACCATGTAAGACGTGCCTTTCACCTTCTGCCATGATTGTGAGGCCTCCCCAAACACGTGAGTCCATTAAACTTTTTTTCTTTATAAATTACCCAGTCTTGGGTATGTTTTCATCAGCAGCATGAAAATGGACTAATACACTGTGTTTTAGAGAAAATTTACCAAGGCAACTGTTTGTTTGTTGGTTTGTATGTTTGATTTCAGTGGCAGGGAAGGGAGAAGGAGAAGAAAAGAGATTCTCATGATCTGTGACTGTTCTTTCTGAAATTCAGGTAACAAAGCTTTGTAAATGTTAAAAATTATATAATAACTAATAGGACACTTACGCCACTTTTTCTTATAGGATAACATGCTTTAAAAATGTGTGAAGTATGGGGAAAAGAAAAATCCCAGATTTAAATGTTATGTTATTTTCCTAATTGCATAAATTGATGCCTATGTAAAAGTTTTTTTTAATGAAAAAGTTTCACTGTCATTGGCGAAAACATAATAGATCAAAACTGAAATCTTCATTTCCATTTGATTGGTTACAGAGAGAAACTAAAGGGGTATATTTTTAAATGGCTCACCTTTTGGGGCTAAAACAATAGGTAGCTGTCTCCTGTATTTTTATTGCTGTGTAACAAATTATCACAAACTTTAAGGCTGAAAAGAGCACTTATTTCCTATCTCACAGTGTCTGTGGGTCAGAAGTTGGGGTGCAGTTTAGGTGGGTTCACTGCAAGGCAGTAATTGAGGTGTAGACTGGGACTGGTGTCTCGTTAGAGGCTGGACTGGGAAAGAATGCACTTCCTCACTCACATAACTATTGGCAGGATTTAGGTTTCTGTGGTTGTAGGAATGACTGACAGTGTCAGTTTCTCACTGGCTGTTGGCTGGCAGTCACTCTCAGCTCCCAGGTGCTGCCCACAGCTCTTTGCCATGTGGACTTCTCCATAGGCAGTTCACAGATTGCTTCTTCAAAGCCATCAGAGGTAAGACTGTGTCAGAGAAAATCTGTTAGCAAAGGTAATCATGAGAGTGATAATCTATCACCTTGACCATATTCTATTCATTAAAAAGAATTCACAAGTCCTG
Source organism: Homo sapiens (assembly GCF_000001405.40). Lineage (NCBI taxonomy): Eukaryota > Metazoa > Chordata > Mammalia > Primates > Hominidae > Homo > Homo sapiens. The sequence goes on along the minus strand of NC_000002.12, from coordinate 221,681,996 downwards.
TTCATACTCAAGCAGAGATGATGGCACAAAACTATGAATATCAGGAGGCAGGGATCATGGGAATGGGGGGGTCACTTTCGAGTATGTCTAATACACATCCTATATTGTCATTATCTATTTACTTTGTGCTTATTTATTTTAGATTCTATAACTGTACAAGCATTGCATAGTGAGTAGTTAAGAGGTGGAACTCATACCTGGGTTGTCACCATTAAAACATTTTAACTTTGTGTTATTTTGGGCAATTTCCATAACTTTGACATCTCAAGTTTTCTCAGCAGTAAAAACGAGTATGGTAAGCGTATCTACTTCATAGAGTTGCAGTAAAGATTAAATAATATTACTAACTTTAAAGCACTTAGAATAGTGCCTAGCACATATTAAATACTCATAAATCATAGTGAATATGAAACACAAATATATAATAGGAAGTCTTTAAAGATACTTTAAAATAAATATAAACAAAGTTCCAGTGAGTTCTTTCTACACTATAGGAAATGGCTTTGTACACCTTCTATGGTGTTTAGACTTGACTTTAAAGACCACTGTATAAACTGTCATGCAGGACAAAAATCCCACTAATGAAGCAAAATAGACATTTATGTGAGATTACAGAATTCTCAAGCTGAATGATGGCTTCCAAGCCATTTTCCTTAACATCCCTCATTTTATAGATTAGGAATCAGAAACCCAGAGAGTGTAAATGTCATGCCAGAGGTTACATGGCTCCAGAGCAGTGGAAGAAGTGCAAGCAAGAAACTTCCTTGGAACTCAAAGAAAGGAATCACAAGACAAAATGTAGCCCTACTTTACCCATCCTGGAGCAAAACAATCTATATCCAATTTAGCACTATCATGATATTCCAGGATATTCTTGAAAATGTCTTACCAATTTGGTGATAATAATTTTACATATGTTCATGTCTGACTTTCATACTACACAAAAATAAATTCCTTCCTAGAAAATCCAGAAAAGCAGGTGTGCTAAGCTGGTAGATATGAGACATACTTAGTGGGGATAATCCCCATAAAAAAGAATAATTAAATACTACTTAATCATAGTGAGATGATAGATAATGTATTAATATTATGCAAGTCCAATGGGCATTGTCAAATGATTAGAGCCCCCATTTAAGATCCTACATAATTATCCTTCCTATCATGGCAGAGGCTTTGGTGCCTTTTGTTCATCAGTATCACTTTAAACCACTGTGGGACATTCAGCCAATCAGACCACTCAATTACCATGGTTGAATGGTCTTGACCTCATGAATATGAATAGAGGATGTACACAATAGAGCAGTACTTTTAATGACAATGAAACTGCCATGAGGGATAAAAGAAAGTGTGGATTTAAAAAAAATAATTAAAATTGAAATGAGAAAAATCATAATTAGCTGTGAGGATTACATATATTTGTGAAAATGTTTCTCACTTGCCTTTTGGACAAAGAGCTAGAGAAAATCATTTTATACTTCATTTCCTCTCGATATGGATGTCCCAATTGCTGACAGCTGGACCTATCTTGCATTTAAATAATATAAAGATCCATGTAAATATTTGGAAAACAGAAGTTGAAAAATAGGAGTTCAGAAATGCTTTTAAACCAAGTGTCATGAGGCTTAACTGGAGACATAAAACTTGAATAGTGCCTGATTCATACGTCATGGTTCAAAAGCAGTGCAATGTGAAGGCTGTCAGTCAAAGTCCTCGGACACTGTGGCACTAAACAGCAGTGTCAAGAAAGATTATAGAATATAATTAATATTTATGTATTTAGTCCTTTTATTCTACTTTTATGCATTCCAAACAGTGCCAAGCTTTTGCTTACAGAAATGCAAAAAGGAAAGAAAGAAAGAAAGAAAAGAAAGAAAGAAAGAAAAGAAAAATGACAAATTAGAATGAATTGAAAAGACAAAACAAAGGGAATATGAGTAGGGTCATAAAGACATGGATGAAGTCCATTCACAAACATGCATAGCATGAAATTTTACATAGAGAGTGTTGTTATAATCTGAATTTATTAACAGAGCCTGAGAAGTTGCAAGGGTTGTAAGAAAGCAAAGTCATCACGAAATTTTTGCTAATGAATGTCAACTTTGAAAATGGTCTCCTTGCTTAACTCTAACATCTGTCTTCACCAGTTGAGTCCTCTATCAATCTCTTCCTGGTCATTGCAATTGTACAATGCAAACATAGTACATTGCATGGTGAAATTGCTAACCCTGAAAAAGATGCAAGGCTTCATGAAGGAGATGAAAGTCAGATTGGATAACTGCTTGAATTACAAGCCAGTGGCAAATGAGGATCTGGCAGAGTTAGGGTGGTTAACAACTAAATAAGGGAAAATGGATGAGGAGAACATCACTGGTGTGTGCTTCAAAAGCAAAGGATTTGAATATCAAAGGATCAGAAAGGCCCTTGGGAAAATCAATGAAGCTCTTGAGTATTTCTGCAGAAATGACCTTCTATATCTTACTATGAAAGTCAAATGTGAAAGATGTCTTACTAAGCTATCATATAATTTTATCGGGGAAAAAAACTCAAATAATCAACATAATTTGAGTTTTGTTTGATAAGTCAGTGCATAGCTTCTACGTATGTTATAAAAGAAAATAAACTTCTTTTAAACTTTGCTTTTGCGATAAAATTTCTATCAACCTTCTCTATCCCCACCCTCACCTCCTACCCAGTCACTGTGATCATTTACTAGAAAATTTTGGTCTTTAATATGACAAGGTTTTTTAGTACTAAATGATGCCAATAATAACATGCTTGTTTGCCAGTAGCAAACTCCAGGAGTAAAACAGGATTAATTACATGATTCATGGTGTCCCTGAGATTAAAAAAAAAAAGTTAGTTGCTCAGTATTAAAAAATCACATTTATTTCTGATACCAAATGGGAGCCATACAATCAAGACACTGTGAGATGTAAAACATCACATGTTCTTACAAAAAGCACAATGATTATTTCCATGGGGTTACGTTTTCATTGCAGTTCATACTATAACCTAATGGCTGTCTATAAGCAAATAAGTTTGGGAAAGGCTGCATATTATTCTTGGAGATGTCCTGTGTACCCATTATGTTGCTAAGAACTTGGGTAAATCACTACAGCATTGTGGTCAAGAGCTCAGACTCTGGAGCCCAAGTGTCTGGGCTTTATCTTGGTGTATTAGTTAGTACTCATGCTGCTAATAAAGACATACCCAAGACTGGGTAATTTATAAAGGAAAGAGGTTTAATTGACTTACAGTTCAGCATGGCCAGACCTCAGAAAACATACAATCAGGGCAGAAAGGGAAGCAAACATGTGCTTCTTCAAACGGCAGCAGGAAGGAGAAGAATTAGCAAAAGCAGGGGAAACCCCTTATAAAACCATCAGATCTCGTGAGAACTCACTATCACAAGAACAGCATGGCGGTAACTGCCCTATGATTCAATTACCTCCCACCGGGTCCTTCCCCCAACACGTGGGCATTATGGGAGCTGCAATTCAAGATGAAATTCAGGTGGAGACACAGCCAAACCATATCACTTGGCTCTTGTTGTTAGGCCTTAGTTGCACTTACATCTGGGACATGTTACTAACCTCTCCATACCTCAGTGTCCTCATCTGCAAAACGAGAAGAAGAAGAAGAATAGTATTTTCTTTATAGGGTTGCTGTTTAGGTTAATTCATCATGTACAATACCTGACACCAGCATCTGCTATCACTTACAGATATGTCCTGCATAGAAACCAGCTTAACATTATTGAATTCTGTTTTTCACACCATATTTGATCACAGAAGCCCCCCAACTCCAGCCCCTACCACTTTTTTTCAATAACATCTATTAACATGCTGGAAATAAGGTACGTGAAATTTATAAAACTGTAGGTTTTAGATTGATGTGCAAATCACGATCACTTGTAACACTTTTTCAAAAAGAAAATATTCATCTTCCACCCCAAATGAAGATACTGAGTCCATGATGTGCCATGGGCACCATTCCCTGAATTTTAGAAAGTTCCCCAGGTGATTCTGACATGGTTCTTAACTATTATTCAGAGCAGTAGCTCTTCTAGCAGCATCTGCATCACATAAGACTTGTTAGGAATGCAAATTATTGGTCCTTGCTCCAGATCTAGAGCTCGGAAACTCTGCTGAGGGGGCAGGGGAGGACAGCAATCATTTCCAAGTGATTCTGTTTGAGAAGCACTGATATAGGAGAATGAGTAAAATTGGCTGCCCTTCAGTAGGCCCTCTATACATTTAACTTCTCTGCTGAGACTTTAAGAGACTTCAGATAGACATGATAAATTTCAAGTAGATTGCAGTATGTCTGAAGTTATTCTCCTGAAAAGAAGAAAAGCCGCTCTTCTATCTTCCCATTAAATTCAGAGCCAAAAGGTTTGGAAATCAGCTGAGCTTGGATCAGAATTAGCACAGTACCCACAAGGACCTGGACCTAAATAGAAGGCCACCTCAAGTGGTTTTGTACAGTGTCAGCTTAGCTAAAATCTAGAACCACATATCCAAGAAGAGAGGCACGTATCCAAGATCTCCCTTTCCGGGATGGTTCTGGGTTAGGGCAGGCCATTAGAGAAATGTGCCTAAAATTCGGAAGATGGAAATAAGGCGGCAGCTGTCACTCTCTGAAGGTGGATGTAGGTGTCAGGTGCTGTTGGAGAGCTTGCCTACGTGGCTGCTTTGTGGTCCTGCTTGCTGGCTGAGGCCAGCAGCTGAGCTTACAGCTGCCCTGTCTTCCTAGTTATGCAGCTTCTTCGAGTATGGGGCCAGATGTGTGTGCAGCTCCCCGGCGAAGGGCTCCAGCCTCTTCTGTAGGTCATGCACATCACTGAGGTTAAAGATGAGGGTCCTAGTTTGTCCTAATTCTCATCCACCTCAAATCGGCTTTTCCTCCTTATTGCCTGCCCTGCTGACTTGCAGTGGCCTCAGGACCATCCCCAGTGCAGAGGCAGCTGCCGTTCATACATGGCTTAGCCAGCCTCCTTTGGTGGTTGTTGGTTAGTCACTTGTGTTTCATCTCTCCAACAGTCCCCTTCCAGGCTCGGACTTCCACCGTGAAATCACTGAGCTTCTACTCAGAAGTATCTGGTATGTGTGCATATGTGTATGTGTGTGTGTGTGTGTATTTATATAGAGCAGATTTATACAACTCTAAGCAAAGGATATTGTGACCTAAGTAGCAAGGAGATTAGCTATTTCTCAACTGACTCTAAGATAGAAAGTTTTCTCAGCCAAAAGCGGGAAGAGTAAACAGACTTTAGCTTAGCCTATTTGGTGGAATGACTAATAGTAACTGAGCTATAGTGGATGTTGATTACGTGCCAGGCCATGTACTAAATACTTTTCATACAGCATCACTTAATCCTTACAAACCTATCAGGTGGGTACTCTCACTTTCCTCATTTTACATATGAGACAACTGAGGCTTAAAGAGATTGCATAGCTGACCGGTATCTGAGTATTTTAGAAATGTTTTGTATTACTCGGGATGCTGAAGAAGGAGAATCACTTGAACCTTGAACCTGGGAGGCAGAGGTTGCAGTGAGCTGAGATCGCGCCACTCCACTCCAGCCTGGGCGACAGAGTGAGACTCTGTCTCAAAAAAAAAAAAAAAAAAAAAAAAAAAAAAAAGTTTTGTATTAGGCTTCCCCCTAACCAGAGGACAAGAGATCTGACTGATACAGTAAACCTCCATTGCTTCAACTCTGTGCTCATTAAACAAACTTTAATGATTTGTCCACTATTAGACATGTTTCTTATTATGAAAGTAAAATATTCATTGAAGGAAAATTGGACAATTCAGATAAGTGTAAAGAAGTGAATAAAATCACCCAGAATCCCATCAATTAGGCAATTTCTTCAAAAATGACTTTCTACTACTTCTACGTCCTATAAAAATAAAATCCATTTTTATAGGTTTTCTGCTCCCACCACTTCTCGTTTTAAATACACGTCTGTTTCTATTAAACATAAGATGATTTCAATTTAAGTTTTATGTAAAAATAGACTCTTTGGTGTGAACAGAATTGTCTAATATTTGAAATGCATTCAATGAGTTCATGGTTAACATGCCAAGAAAAAAGCTTAAGACATAATAAAAAAAAGTGGTGGCTGTGGAATTTCCTTTTAATGGCTTCTGATAAGTTTTTACTTGCATTCTGAAAAAGTCCTTTACACTGTTTTATTGAGATGCCATGAAGTCACTGGGGCCAAGATTTACTGATGTTAATATGCCCTTTAGTAATGCTAAATCCAAGTATGAAAGGCTTAGGAGGCTCTCTCAGACATAAAACTCCAGTCAGTTCCTGGACTCACTGCCATAAATGACTCCTTTATAGGAGGAACTAACCAACGGGTCAGAGAATGGCAACAACGGTCATGAAAAGACTTTTTTTTTTCTTTTTTGCAGTTCTTTGTGTTTTCCAGTGATTGAGTGATATAAAGATAAGTGGGTTATAAGAGTATATGTTACCATTCACTGTGAGTTTCCATCCCTTAATATATAATCTTGCAAATGATGAACTCCGCAGTGTCATTGTGGCACCATGCAATTATCTAATAGGAAAGAGAGAGTCGCTCTGTTTTTTGAGCAGCACTCACTGGGTCAATTAATTAAACGAGTGCAAATGCCTTCAAGTGGGAGATTCAGAACCAAGCCAGGCAGTCTCATGAGATCAGACTATAAGAAACCAGAAATAAAAGGAGATCAGGAGAAATAAAAGGGAGGTGATTTTAAAGACATCACAAGGAATTCAAATTCTATCCTCTTCACATGAAGTTAAGACACATGTTAAAGCCACGTTGGTTTGGCCCCATGAATTATGGAGGCCCCTTCCCTCACTATTGCTTAGGTACTTACTCTATTGAATATCTACCTCTTCATTCAAGCTTATTCGGGTCATAGAGTCTAAAGATGGGGTGTTTCACAGTTTATATAGTATTACTTTATTGATTTTGATTTATGTTGCTAATAGAAAATGTCCGGTTTTTCTAGGCACTTAGTTTTTAATTAGTGTAAGCTTCCTGCTTATGAGAAGTTCAGCTTTGGTTAAGATATTTGATGCTATAACAGAGAATTAATTTAGAGAATACAATGTATGCACAATCCTCAGCAATCATGATTCTTCGCTCCCACAAAAAAAAACCTCTTTATTAAAATAATTGAGCAAAACCCTTGAAGATCTTAGTTTAAGACCACAGAAAAGTGTGATTCAAAGGAATGAGAAACATGAGGTGCAATTAAGCATTCTACATTAACCCACGTCCCTTCTGGGAAACCTCCATGCTATTCGAGTTCCACCTCAAATTGCTTAGACCCAGCAATTGCACTGCCCATAAAAGTCCAAAACCCCAAACTAGGCTGAGCATGGTGACTCATACCTGTGGTCCCAGCACTTTGGGAGGCTGAGGCGGGCAAATCACTTTAGGTCAGAAGTTTGAGAATAGCCTGGGCACCATGGCAAAACCCCATCTTCACAAAAAATACAAAAATTAGCCAAACATGGTGATGTGCACCTGTTGTCCCAACTACGTAGGAGGCTGAGGCAGGAGAGTTGCTTGAAGCTGAGAGGTCGAGGCTGTAGTGAGCCATGATCATGCCACTGCACTCCAGCCTGGGCGACAGAGCAAGACCTTGTTTCAAAAAACAAACAAAAAAAATCGTGCATTAATTCTGCACATGCTCTTCTCTGCCCCTAGGATTCCGCTTTCCTCTTGAGCTGTTTTTCTTCCTCATTATATTTTCCTCTAAGTGAAACCTAGCCTCATCTATGGTTTCTACACCAACAGTAACAGAACCACAGCAATATTTTTTCTGTTTATCTAATTTTACTAAACATTCTAAGAGGTACTGGGAAGGGATATTTTCAGCCCATGAAACCTCCCCCTCTTCTTGCTCCATCTCTTCTTTTCTCTTCTGTTTCCCTCTCTCCCTGCCTCCCCCAAGGATGCTCACTTTTTAAGTGGAGCAATTTTGCTCTCCTTTCTTAAGCCTTGGCACACTGGCACCAATGTCTCACATGGGGCAGGGAGTGGACTGAGAGCGAAGGGCAAGGCTTCACTTTCTACATTAAGACTTCATCAGGGCGTCTCTCCAGAAAAGCCAGTTTTCTCTTGAAGATAATTTTTTATTGAGGGATATTTTACCATCTGTAGATTGCATATATCTTCAGCATATAGTTGATGATTTTGCAAATTTAGGTGTAAGAATCACATGGTTACTCAACATGTCTCAGAGGTTTGCTCCTGATCTTTAATTACTGAGTAACATTCCAGGAATGGATAGTTTCTAGTTGATGGGCATTTAAGTTGTTTGTAAGTTTGGGTTAGAGAGGAAAAGCTGATCTGGAAGTGTAGATCCATGTTTAACTTTATAAGAAACTGCCAAATAGATTTGCAAAGTAGTTTGTACCATTTTACATCCATATCAGAAATCTAAGAGATGTCTAATTGTTACATATCCTTGTCAGCACTTGGCATTGTCAATTTCTTTAATGTTAATCATTCTAGTGGGTGCGTCATGGTGTCTCATTGTGCCTTGAGGAAAAATTTCAATGCTGATGAGTAAGATACATTTTCTCTACTTTGTTACAAAATCAAATGTTATTAATCACTGCTTAGTATAATCCCATTATTCTCCAGTTTTGTGAGCAAGGAATTCACCCTGAAACTTTCTTTTTCTCTGGAAGAGATCAGTGTTCTTGTTCATGCTTCTGGGATTACTAGTTAGTCTTGAACCAAAACTTCACTTATAATTTTCCTTCAAACCAGTAATTTTCAGCTGCCTGTGTAAGAAATTGTTTTTAGAGAGTTTTTCTACAACTGCCTGTGTATGAAATTGTTTCTAGAGAGTTTTTCTAAAGAGTTATGTACTGAAATATTTACAAATTAAGTTGTATGATAAATGGGATTTACTTAAAAATAACATGGAGTAGGGAAATGCCATTTAGTGGTCAGGGTATAGGTAAAACAAATTGGCTGTGAGTTCCTAATTGTTGAATCTGGATTTAGGTACATGAGGATTTTACTTTTATATATGTTTAAAATTTTCCTTCATGAAAAAATTAACATATATTTTAAAATCCTGTTTATTTAATTTTCATCTTATTTCACCAAACATTTTTGGTGGCACATAAGAATAGTTATTATAAAATGGGAAAGCTCAGGCAGATAAAAATCATTATTGGGGACAATATAGTTAAAACATTTTCACATCTACCTCTTCTGGGAAGGGGTCATGGGCTGACTGCCACCTGGCCAGTGAGGGTGGTGAACCTTCACTGAGAAAACTAAGGATCACTAAAACCAAAGAGAAGGTCAAGAAACGGAATTGGGTAGACAATTGTGGCTATAAGTGGCAGGAAGATGCAGCTATGGAAAATGGGTTATGTGAAAAATCAAGAGGACAAACAAATACCTGAAAGTGGTTACAGGTGAATAGCTTGTATGTGCTCTTTACAGCTGGCAAATAGAAGGATGGCTGTGCTGTGTGACTCAGGACAGAGCCACAGAGGAAGGGTGGGGCGGGGGAGGGTGGGAGGACTGTGAGGGTAGAATCAGAATGCAGATGTGCAGGGCCTAGTGTCCTACATTATTGAAGTTAGGAATTGTATTAGTCTATCCTCATGCTGTTAATAAAGACATACCTGAGACTGGGTAATTTATAAAGGAAAGAGATTTAATTGATTCACAGTTCACCATGGCTGGGGAGACCTCAGGAAACTTACAATCATGATGGAAGGGAAAGCAAACACATCCTTCTGCACATGGCAGCAGCAAGGAGAAGTGTAAAGTGAAGGGGTAGGGGAAAGCTCCTTATACAGCCATTAGATCTTATAAGAACTCACTCACTATCACGAGAACAGCTTGGAGGTAACTGCTGTCATGATTCAATTATCTTTCATCAGGTCCCTCCCATGACATATGGGCATTATGGGAGCTACAGTTCAAGATGAGATTTGGGTGGGGACACAGCCAAACCATATCAGATGTAATAATGGCTCCTATCTTCCTGGTGGATAAGGCCTAGAAGAAAAAATAATCAGTTATATAATTTTGCATTGTATATAAGGGGAAAAATACTTCTGGTCTCTAGGGGAAGCAAAGATTTTCCTAACACATAGGACTGAAAATGCATATATATGTATAAATTTTAAGCATAGGCAATTGCCTCAGGGATGCTGAGAACGGGTTTAGTCACTAGATAAACATTCTGAACCCTTCAGCAAGAGTGGATGGAGAAAAACTAAACCCAAACGTTTACAGCACATGCACAGCCATGAAATATGATTGGACCTGGACCCCTTCCAGCCCTCTGGCCAACACTGTGTCCCACCTCCTTGCTACCCACTTGGGGCCCCGCCTGGCTTTCAGTGATTAAGAGGGATAGCTTTTTCTTTCTGTTGCCCCAGTGGCCTCTGCAATCCTCTATTCGTCTGTTCTCTGAATCTGGGAAAACTCAAAAGAAGAAAAATAGTCAAAATAATTTGGTAGCTTGCTAAAAGGAATAACTTCTCTCTCTTTGATTAATTGCTCTGATCTTCCTTTCTCCATCAGAAATTTACTTGCCTCATAGCCTTTAATGATTAATTTGAAAGGACACAGAATTTAGATCGATTTGGGACTTTAGAAACTCTCTAGTGCAATTCCTTCCCTTCACAGATAAGGAAGCTGAGGTCCAGCATAACTAGCCCCAGCTAGTTATGGCACAGCCATGACTTAGACCCAGTCTCCCAGGTCCCAAGCTTGGGCTAGTTGCACCAAACCACCTTGTCCCTGGGAGAAAACAGCCAGTTCCTTGTCACTGCTTGCTGGTTTCCTCCAGGTTTTACTCCCTGGCACTGCAACATGCATGCTCCTCTTTTAAATAGGCCATATTCTTTCTCACGGAACTTAACTTTCGTAAACAGTTTCAAATAAACAGTTTGAAATGTGGATATAAAAACAGTTTTAGGGCTGAGCGCAGTGGCTCACGCCTGTAATCCCAGCACGTTGGGAGGCCGAGACAAGCAGATCAGTTGAGGTCAGAAGTTCGAGATCCACGAGCAACATGGCAGAACCCTATCTCTATGAAAAAAATACAAAAATTTGCCGGGCACAGTGGCACACGACTGTAATCCCAGATACTACTTGGGAGGTGGAGGTTGCAGTGAGCCGAGCAACAGAGTGAGATCGCTCACCACACTCCAGCCTGGGCAACAGAGTGAGACTCTGTCACAAAAAAAAAAAAAAAAATTAGCTCAAGCTGGGTGCAGAACAAATGGGGAGATGAGAGTAGCAATTTTTATTGTTTACCTCTCTCCTCTGCTATTCCAGGGGTGCTACACATTCCTCAGTATCTCATCTTTTACCCTTTTGAAGATGATGAAATCCTCCACATTTACTGAATGGTAATGTTAAAGTCCATTGTCGTTTCATCATGTTCCCATGTGTGTGGCCCTCATTCTGACATCAGCTGGAGGAAGAGCAAGAGCAACTAACAGGGGCAGTGAGAAGGACAGCCCAGTTCTGTGTGTCGTTGGGAGCTGATGGAGTTCAGAAGCTCACCGACAGACCAGGGGATCTCAAAGTTAAACCTGAGTAAGTGTCATCTGAGGAGTTTGGTGTTCATGCAGGCTCCCAGGCACCAGCCCTAGAAATTCTAACAGAGGTGAGGGGAAGAGTGGTAGACCTGCAAGGAGTGGGACTTAAATTTGTGTTTTCAGTTGGCATGGGAGAAGACTCTGATATAGATGACCTCATTCTATACTTAGAGCAGTGTTTCTCAACCTGTGTTCATGACTGTCCCCTTCAACAGACTTTTTAGATGTTTTTCCCCTAATCACCTCCTGTCCATGAAATTTTAATACCACATATATGCTGTGTATTTGTTTAGGTACAATGACACACTGGAAGACCACAAGCCATTGTAATAATAAATAAGAATTTTTGGTTCTACCAAAACCTCAATTTTTGCCCTATTGAGAATGCAGGCCTTAAACTGAGGAACAATTGATAACCAAAAAAAAAAAAAAAATAAATGTGAGCTTTGAAGTTGAAAGAACTGGGTTTAGGTCTTGATTGCAACTGTGGTATGTGTAAACCTAGCTTCATTATCTGGTCTAGAGAAAGAAGGATAATAATACTTTCCTCATATGAAATAGTAGGAGCCTGCATATAGCATTTCTACATCAAGCATCTTCTAAATGCTTTGCATCATTTCATCAACAATCTGATGAGCTCCCTATTAGCTCAACTTTACAGATAAAGGAACTGAGGCACAGAGAGGTTTTAAAAAACACTTGCTCAAGGCCATGCAGCTAGAAAGTGGGGAGTAGCAGAGCTGGGATTAAATAGTCTGAATCCACAGTCTCTGATTTTAACCACTACTTTAAACTTTAATGCATTAGCAGCTATGGTTAAGTCTTGCTTTGTAAGCAAGAATGTGTGCAAAAGAAAACTCACAGATGCACAAAAACATAGGACTGTGTTTATTGACACTTTTTTATGATTTTCTGAAAAATCATAAAAAGAAGATGTGTGCAAAAGTCACAGACTCACAAAAACATAAGACTGGGTTCTATTGAGACATTTCTTATGATTTTCTGTAAAAAGCCAATGCAAATATTAATAGTAAAATAAGTCAATTTTATTTACTTTAATGGAAAATTATATCAAATATTTATTTCTGAAATACTAGAATTAAACTTTATTAAAGGAAATACATGCAATCTATCCCTTGTAGAGAAATGATTCCCCCTGTCCCCAACAAAAAATTCTCATCCAGATGTTCAAAATATTTATTTGGAATCACAGATCTTAACATACAATCACCAATCAAGTACTAGGTAACCCTGTGAAGCTAGGAGAGTGGCAGTCAACCCTTTGTACATACAGACTCAATACTCTTGGTTTTAATAATTTGGGTGAGGGGTTAAAGGCAAAAGGAATTTGTCATTTTGCTGTGTCATAAATAGCATGAACTTAGTGACAACGTTTGGGAGAGAGGATATAGCTACTAAGTTGGCATAGCTAACTGCCTAACTCTGCAGCCCAGGGGCAATGACAATAAGCCTAATTGGCTGTTACTGAGTTCTCGTCCTGAGCCAGATATTGTGTTAAGTCCTTTGCATTCTTGATTTCACTTAATCCACAAAATATAACCCTATGGATTAGAAACAATATATTTTCTTCTATTTTATAGATAAAACAGCCAAGGATTAGAAAAGTCAAATAAAGTGTTTGCTATGGCTTGAATGTTTGTATCTCCTCAAAATTCATATGTCGAAATCCTAACTCCAAGATGATGGTGTTAAAAGGTGGGACCTCTGGGAGATGAATAAGTCATGAGGGTGAGGCCTCCATGATTTGTATTAGCACCCTTATAAAAGAGTCCCCAGAGAGTTAGCTAGACCCTCCCACACAGTGATGACATAGTGAGCCCCTAGAGAGTTAGCTAAACCCTTTCATTCTGTGACAACATAGTGAGAAGGTGCTGTTTGTGAATCAGAAAACAGGTCCTTGCCAGAAATCAAATCATCTGGTGCCTTGATTTTGGACTTCCCAGCCTCCAGAACTGTGAGAAATAGATTTCTGTTGTTAATATACCACTTAGTTTATGGGTTTTTGTTGTTGTTGTTGTTTGTTTGTTGTTGTTGTTGTTGTTATTGTTATGGCTGCTTGAATGAACCAAGACATTGTCTAAGGGCACACACTAGATAGTGTCAATGCTAATAAGACTAACTCAGGTATGTCTGAAACAGAAGCTTATTCTGTGTTTTACTGTCCTCTCTGCACTATATACTAGCTAATGATTAAAATAATAGATTTATTTAAAATTAATAATAAAATTAAAATAGGGCTTATTTAGAACAGAATTTCACTAATTTTACACATATTGATTGACTTACACTGTGTTAGGCCTAGAGAGCACAGCACAGACAAAAACAGACACATTCTCTGCCCCCATTGTATTTACATTTGGGTGTCAGAGATTTGCATTAAGCAAATCATTATAGAAATAACTTTAAAAGTGCAAGTGTTAGGAAAGTAGATAGCGCTATGAGGAGATATATTGTAGGAACTAATTTAAACTGAGACACGATCATCATGAGATAGATCAAGCTTTATCAGAAGTTGAAAAGGTGATTATTTTGTAGTGTAAGGATATGTGTAACATATAGGCGACATCTAATGGAAATGTGACTCAGGAGAAAGTCCCAAACTGATGCAGACACTCTATATTTGCAGGAATTCAATATGGCCTCTTCTTCACACCCTTACAAAAATGGTGCATATCTATCATATATAATACTATAGTAAATGGGTCTATAAAGAACATCCCATTTACTTCATGAAAGACTAATAAAGGACTGAAATTTAGCTCTTTAGAGCATCTTAGAATCTGTAATAGAAAGTCGATGTAAAAATACTTTGAAACAAATTAAGTTTGAATTTAGCTATGTACCAAATCCCAAGAGCTTTAGAATTAAGAAGAAGTCAATATTCATTCAAAACTCCCTAGAGTCACTGTCTTTCAATTATCATAGAAAAATAGCAAAGTGATTTATGGCTGTCATTTAAAATATGCTTCTAGAACTGTCAAGTATGCTCACCTACCCTGTATCTTCTGCCTGTCCTGATAATTACTATTATTATTATTATTATTATTTTGAGACAGAGTCTCACTTTGTCACCCAAGCTGGAGTACAGTGGGGCCATCTCAGTTCACTGCAACCTCGCCCTCCTGGGTTCAAGTTATTCTCTTGCCTCAACCTCCCGAGTAATTGGGAATACAGGCACACACCACCATGCCCAGCTAATTTCTGTATTTTTAGTAAAGACTGGGTTTCATCATGTTGGCCAGGCTGGTCTTGAATTCCTTATCTCATGCCATCCACACGCCTTGGCCTCCCAAAGTGCTGGGACTATAGGAGTGAGCTACTGCACCCAGCCAATTACTGCTATTAATGTATGTGCAGTTTTTCAGAGTTTCTGGGTATATTCAAGCAAATATAAATACATAGTTTTATTCTTGGTTTTTTTGGTACACAAAATATATCTTACTATACAAACTGTTCTGCACCTTGTTTTTTTGCTTTATCTTGGAGAGCAATTATAATCTTTGACTCTTTTCACTCTTTTCCACAGCTATATAGTAGTCATCATACGGATCTGCCATATTTTTTTTTGAGACAAGGTTTAACTCTATCACCCAAAGTGGAGTACAGTGGTGCAATCACAGCTCACTGTAGCCTTGACCTCCTAGTCTCAAGCTATCCTCCCGCCTCAGCATCCTAAGTAGTTGGGACCACAGGCGTGTGCCCTCATGCCCAGATGATTTTTATTTTTTATTTTTTGTAGAGACGGGGTCTAACTATGTTACCCAGGCTGATCTTGAACTCCTATGCTCAAGTGATCCTCTTGCGTTGGCCTCCCAGAGTGCTGGGATTGAAGGTGTGAGCTACTGTGCCTAGCCTGCCATAATTTATTTTATCAGTACTCTCTTTGTAGACATTAACATTGTTTCAGTTTTTTGGCCCTTACAACCATGATGCAATGAATTACTTTGAAAATCTCTATTGCTCATGTCTAAGCATTAGCTATAGTATCCACTCTATAAGGTATATGCACTTTGAGCGAGACTCCGTCTCAAAAAAAAAAAAAAAAAAAAGATATTGTCAAATATCTCTGTATTCCTGTTTCCCCACAACTTTCCAACTAAGTATGCTATTAACTGTTTGGATTTTCATTTTCATGATATGTGAAAAAATGATATCTAGTGCATTTTTATTTTGCTTTTATTTTATCGTTAATTAATTTGGGCATCTTAGTATGTCTAAAGACCATTTGCAATTTTTTTTCTGCCTGGTGGTATCACATCCCATTTTAAATTAAATTTTCAGGTTTTTCTGATCAATGTTTTGTTTTGTAATATTTGTGAAATTAAGAAGTCTGTATGTTTTTGTATTTTTGTAGCCTGTGATAGCTCCACGCAAATTACCTAACTTGCCTGAGCAAACTTCCTTGAAATAATTCAACTAAAACCAAGAACATTATGGAAATGAAAAAACAATTCTTCCATTTGAGATAAAATTCTTTCCAAGTTTTTAAATCAATTTGAATCGTGCTTCTTCTTTTGTGGTCATGGATTTTTTTTAAAAGCACTGCTATGAACGAGTTTATGTCCTGTAAAGAGAGGAACATCTTAAATGCATTTAAGAATTTTCTTTTAATGGGAAAACTAGAAAATAAAGGAGAGAAACTTTTTTTACTCAATCTCTATCACATAGCTTAGAGTAACAGTTGAATTTCTGAATTTAATCAACATATGATCTCCATCTCAGACCAACTCAAAAAAGAATTTGTACAAAGGATATTAACTGTCAATAGTATTAAGTGAATGATGAATCTTTAAGGGGGTGATTATCTTTCAAATAATCTTTCACATACAATTGTGTATTTATCTGAACATCTACTTATTTATGTTTTTGACCTCAATCTAGCCAGGACTACAGATTCTTAAAGTAAATGCACAATAAAAGTCAGTGTTAGTCCTCACTTAGGGTGTGATGAAAGTATAAACAGGTCTGTTCTCTTTATTTGTGATACCTAAGCCTTTGTTACAGGTTGATATGGTTTGGCTGTGTCCCTGCCCAAATCTCATCTTGAATTCCCACATGTTGTGGGAGGGACCCAGTGGGAGGTAATTGAATCATGGGGGCAGGTGTTTCCTGTGCTTTTCTTTTGATAGTGAATAAGCCTCACAAGATCTAATGGTTTGATAAAGGGGAGTTTCCCTGCACAAGCTCTCTCTTTGCCTGCTGCCATCCACGTAAGACATGACTTGCTCCTCCTTGCCTTCTGCCATGATTGTGAGGCCTCTCCAGACACGTAGAACTATAAGTCCGTTAAACCTCTTTCTTTTGTAAATTGCCCAGTCTCGGGTATGTCTTTATCAGCAGCATGAAAATGGACTAACACAGAGGTCAAGATACTCCAACTACTGAAGGGCTGGTCTTAACACTCCTGGAAAACATTCCTATTATCTCAAAACAGGTTCCTCATTTGGCTACCTCGACTCTCCCAGGCATTCTGTACAAGTGCTCCCAGTCTAACTTGGAAGTCCCAATAGATAGATGTGTCTGTGGGGACATTTGGTTAATTTCAATTCACTGCCATCAACACTGTACCCACCACAGTTCCCTGTATACATGTTAAGTCACAATTATCTTGCTTATTAGATTTATCAACAGATACCATCTTGAATTTTGATGCTTGCATCTTTTTGGTTGTTTTCTTAGAGCGGATTCTCAGGCTGTGAAGATTCTAGAGATAGTTATTTTAAAAATTGCTGCTACATCTGCCCTTTACCACTATTTAGGCTTCTCACCAGCTGCCCATGAATTCTCAGTGATAATGAGCTGTGGGTCTCTGAGGGCTGCATTCAATTCCATAAGTGCCCTGTGACATATTATCAGGGCTCATAGAGATGATAGCTACATCCAATTTATTTTACGTAATCTCCCTATTTTATGGTGGCTTTTGGTTCTCCAATCACAATTGCTTCTTATTTTAGATCATTTGTCTAAATGTCATCAATTTTTTATTTTTTTAAAGCCTATTTTTAAAAGGTCCCCTAAAATATTGAGACTATTATGTCTTTTTAATGTCATTAATTTAGGGACATTTAAAATTATTAAACCATGCAGTCATAAATATACTCCTGATATGTTATACAAAAGATATTAGATATCTTTATATCTTTACAAAGCATGAAACTTCACTTATACAAAGATAATGGAGGACATTAAAGATTTTAGTTTAAATCAGGCAGCTCATTAGCATGTGTTGATGATAATGTCTATTTCTATGAAGAAATCTCTGATATTAAAAGCGTAATGACTGCCAGGAAAAAATTTTGCCCTCTCCCTCCTTCTCTGTAATTATTTACTTTCTAATTTCTTCATTTTACACCCACACACAAAGAGAGCCTACTGCTCTTCCATTTTGCAGAGGCCACTATAATTTTTCTTGACATGGCAATTACTTTTTAATCTGGTTAGCATAGACTGTAATGGAACCAAGTTGTAAAACATCCTTTCTTGTTTACTCTTTTATTTTGCTTTTAATTTATTGCCTTGATTTCAATCCCTTTTATAAACTCATTAAAGCTCAATTATTCACTTTGAAGTCAATCACTAATCAATGCCATTTATTTTTATATTATGGAGAGCAGGGAGGATAGTTAAATGGTATGTCTGTATTTCACTAAAATCTGTGATAAAGATCAGATAGTTCTAGTGTTTACCATTTTAAGGGAAGGGGAATTCCGTGCAAATAAAGGGAAAATTTCTAGGAGAAGAGGCAAAATGCCTAGTCTGGTTGATGTTTCTGCAGGTTTGCCTTTTGAGGAAGGAAATGGATGATACATACAGCATTTAAAGCATGCACTAACTGTTCGTAGATTTAGATTGATTAGTGAGGATAAAGAACTGTCACTCTCTTATTGACTGGAATCTCCTTTGTAAAACTGAATCTAGAAGCTCAGAGGCAGAAAGAACACATTTTGATAGCAATTTTTAAAATGCTTCTGCACACATGGCTTCCCTCATTTACTCTTAAATTAGGTTTTTGAAACAGGGGAAGGCATTAATGTTTTCAGTGTGAAGGTGATAACATTAAAGCCTACAAGAGATTCAAGCAATTTGCTTAATGTCTCATAGTTTACAAATGGAAGATCAAGGAAAATCCTACATCTTGGTGCCTTGGTATATTCTACTCCATGTCATTCTGAGCAGTGAAGTTCCAGGGCTTTGATTTATATGTAGCTCTTTTACTTGCAAACGGTGGCTTTCAAGATTGCTAAATGAGTTTTTCTTATTAGATTGGATTCTATGAAGGCACACAGAAATTATATGACTATTTTGGTTACTGGCAGTGCTGTGCTGGTAAATCATTCTCAAAAAAAGAAAAAATTATTTAAAAGAAAAAACCCTGATTTATAGCATTTGCTGATTTCTGTGGGGTAAATATTATCACTATGACTGATTTCAAGCTTACCAAAAGGACATCATTGAATTCAGAATTGGGAAGAAATGCACACAGACAGTTCTTCCGAGCCAGTACAAGCTGGCCCCAGTACAATAGCATGGCCCTGCATTGTAACAAACGAGCCTCCTCTGTACCATAACTTTGAGTTCTGCTGTTCTGAGGACAGACAAAATAATTTTAAAATGTGGCACATATGTGAATGATAGCAAATTTTATAATTCAGCAAACATTTTAGGAATATCTACAACATATGGAGTAAGTAGAATCTGATCTACCTTCAAAGACTGTACAATCTAGTGGAGGTGCCAGACATGCACACAAGCAAAAGTAATTCAAGGGAAAGTCTCCCATGTGCTATAATGGCAGTGCTTGCAGAGGGCAATGGTAGGACATTAGAAGAAGGTATATTGCCTTCTTATTAGGGCAGCTGGTGAAGGAAGAATCCATAGAAGAGTCAGTGGTTGTACTGAGTGATAAAGAATAAGTAGTTTTGAGGTCAGGCACAATGGCTCACACCTGTAATCTCAGGGACCCAGGAGGCTGAAGCAAGAGGATGGCTTGAGCCCAGGAGTTTGAGGCTGCAGTGAGCTATGATGGTGCCACTGTACTCCAGCCTCGGTGATACAGTGAGACCCTGTCTCTAAATTTCTTTTTCAATGTAAGAAAAGAAAGTTTTTCAACCAAATTGTGAGAGTGAAGAGAGTTTTCTAAATTGAAGGGCAAATAAAAACAAAGTTCAAAACATACCCAGTTTATGAAAGGACAGAGGCTAAGTTGAACAAAATGATGACCGAGAAAGTTAGCTTGAAGAGATCATCTTGGGATAATGTTTCTCAAAGTGTGGTCTGGGCCTACTAGGGTCAGAATCATCTCCAAAGTTTTTAAAAAGTATCTAGGTCTCTGGAACCCATCTCTTGTCTACATTCAAAATCTCTCTATCTCATGATATAAGGTAGCATTTGAGGACCAGTGTTAATCAACAACAAATTTCCGAAGAATTTGAGGAAGAAAATGTTACTTTAGGTGAAAAAGACATTGGGAAAAGGGTGGATTCTCGGTAGGAGAAAGAGCTTGCTGGAATCAAAGAGACCAAGTTGAATTTAGGCAAGAGATGAAAAGGATTTGGAACTAGAGTAGATGTCAAAGACATGAAAAGGCTCATCTAGTTTGAAGAACTATTTTAGAGCTGGGGTTCTCAAAATTTCCTCCCTAGACACCTAGGAGGTACTTATGTGGGCTTTGGAGGGTCTGTTTAGCCTAAAAATAGTCTATAAAATTTTGTACACCTGAGTGCATTATTCTATGGAGACTATTTCCTGGCTTCACAATATTCTAAAATTAGTCTATAAACCACAAAAAGTTGGAAAACCATTGTTTTCAAGAAAAAAAACTAGCAGTGATGGAAGATTCGCTAGGTTAGGGGATGAGGGAGTTAAGGGATTTGAAAAATAATCATCATAATAATAAAAAGTCCAGTAGTTTCCAGCCTGAGTTGTTCAGAGGGTAATGACATTTTTAATCAAGAGAAGGACACTGATAAGAAAAGCTTTGTTTGAAACTATTACAAGTTCTTTTTTCTACAGAACAAACTTAAGATGCTTGTACTTCATCATTATAAAGGTGTCCCTCAGGCTCATAGAGAGGTCATAGCAAATAATATTTTATTCAGTGCTAAATATTTATTAGGTGCTAAATATTTTATCAGGTGCTTGCTAAGCCCTGTCAATACATTCTTATTTAATTATCACAATAACCAATTAATAATTATTATTTTGACTTTACAGAAAAATCAAGATTCAGAATATTAAATGACTTTATTAAGGTCTCAAACCTGGTAAATGGCAGAGGTAGAATTTAAACATCAGTTGTCTTCCCAACTCGCTCCAAAGTTCATGTTCTGAACTTCTCTGCTATGGCTGGCACCTTGGCATTCAGCAGTTGAAGATTAGGTCCATTTGAGCTTAATGACACTTGCACAGGAAAGAAACAAACCATGTCTATAGGCTAGATTTTGTCAACAAATCGAGGGACAGTTTTCTCTTTGACTAAATCAGAGCAGAGACCATTGTTCAGGCCAGAGATGCTGGTGAGAGCATCATCAGTGCAACTCAGAATTCTCTTAAGTACTTTCCAGCTTCTCTTACGATTAATTTCTGTGCCAAACCCAAGTCTCTTGCTTTATACTATTCACTCCTGCTCTTCTTCTTCTCCTATTTGGAAAAGTCATTCATTTGATTTGAAAGACAAAAATTAGAGCTCACTGCAGTCAAGATATTCCTTTAAAAGGCTTTCTATGAGATCGTTTAAACAACATGATAGACATGCAATTTCGGCATAACATTAAAATAATAAGTAGAAGCATGTAAATACTTAAATATGACCTGTTGTAGGTATAAAGCTATGTTTATTTCCAAAGTATTTCCCCACTGCTTTACATTGCGTGAGAAGCCACAGTAGCATGGGTTCTAAGCACTGTGTTCTCACTCCTTTTGTCTCACCAAGATGGCTTCCTTGGTTTAGAGCTAAAAGAATTGGGATAAAGCACAGCAAGACTCTGATTATATGTCAGCTTCATTTCTACTTAACTGGTTTGTCCTGATGGGATTGAGTATAGAGGGGAAGATTTCTTGGTAGAAAAGTGGAGAGCTGAGAGTTATGACTGAAAAAGAAGAGAAAATCTGTTTGATTCTCAGTACACTATGTGGAAGAAGGTTTCATATTAGTGGTCAGGAATGATGACAGTATAAGAGGTAAACCTGGATAAAAGAAGGCTACATTAGCATAGGCCAAGGTGGAGAGATAGGAGCTTGTATTATGAGAACACAAAGCAACAAAGAAGAAGCTCTAGGTTTTTCCTCTCTATTGATTTTATTCTCTCTCTATATATACTGACACCATCATAATGAATAAAAAGTTGACTAAATCAAGTACTTCATCATAGGAATAACTTTTCATATTTGAAAGGACTTATTCTCAGAAATACCATTTAATTTTCCACTCACTTCGAGAAAATGATAGCTAGTTTTTGCTTTTGTTTTGTTTCTTTTCTCATTACAGATTCTCTTTAGGGAAAGCCTAATGGAATCTCTTCTCCTGGGGAAAAAAACAGGTGCTCCTTCCGAAACCTGTGGAAGGCTTCTTTCTGTAGGTGATAACAGTCCTGCCTTCAGCCTTGGAGTCACCTTCAGTGATGGCCTCTCCTCCATCCCTCATTGGTCATCAAACCTTTTGCACTGCAATGCTGATTTCAACATGGGCCTCTGTTTCTAGAACCTACAATGACTATTGCATGTGCCATCAAGTTCAAATTCTTCTGTTACGTTTTCAAAGACCTTCAATCTGCTACCATGATACTTCTCATATTTTATTGTCTACTCCTCTGCATATAACACCTAGTTTTTGTCTGAAAGTCTGCCTATCCACATAACCAATTTTCTGTCCCCAGTCCTACTGTGTCCTGCCAAATTTTTATTGTTATTTTATTTTATTTGTTTATGTATTTATTTGTATTTTGAGATGGAGTCTCACTCTGTCATGCAGGCTGGAGTGTGCTGGCAAATCTTGGCTCACTACAACCTCTGCCTCCTGGGTTCAAGTGATTCTTCTGCCTCAACCTCCCGAGTAGCTGGGATTACAGGCACGCTCCACTGCACCTGGCTAATTTTTGTATTTTTAGTAGAGACTGGGTTTCACCATATTGACCAGGCTGGTCTCAAACTCCTGACTTTATGATCCACCTGCCTCGGCCTCCCAAAGTGCTGGGGTTACAGGTGTGAGCCACTGCACCGGGCCCCAAATTTTTATTTATGTTGCTCTCCAGATTTGAAATTTTGTTTCCTTCATCTTGATGTATTTAAATGCTGTCTAAGATTTAAAATCCAGTTCAAGGGTTACCTCTTCAAGGAAGTATCCTCTGAGCATACCAACTCTCATTTATCTTCTTCTATAAATTCTAAGGGCACACTGAAGGTCTATTTCAAATGACCCTTCTCCTGTGATCAGAAGCTATTGTTTCTCTCTCTGCCGTTTCTTTGGGTAAATTAGGATTGCCATCCAAATAGATTTTAACTTCCTCAAAGAAGTATAATTGTATGTCACTCTTCAATTTTAACCTTCCTAGGAAACAACATATAGTAGAAACTCAGTAAATTCTTTTTGCTTAACACACAATCCTCATGTCCATGATTTGAACTAATGCAATTGATGATCCTCAATGTTAGATATACCCTGATAGAAAACTTTCTGAAGGTTTGCATTGAAACAGAAAGAAAACTGTCCTGGAAAGAAGACTTTGTGGACAGAAATTCTGCTGCCCAGTGTTCTAGTATATTCTGACACATCCAAAAAGGTATATCTTGCTTAGGGAAATTTTCTCCCTTCTAGGCCAACATTGAAGGGTAAGAACAATAGGGTTGAGATCTTCTATAACTCAAATCCAAAGGGAAAATCATACGCCTTGAGAAATATCATCTCTTTTATCCAAGGTTGTTTCCAATTCTCCCCTAGATATCACTGAACCAAAACACCAATGCATGGGGTAAATACTTGCCCAATTATTAAGAGGATTGGGTGGGGAAGACTCCTCATAAAATCATTAAATCGGCTGTGCTCTGAAGATGGCCAAAAGCCTAGAAGGTCAGAGTGGCTGTGGCCTGGAGGCAACTCTCTTGACCATCTCAAAGTAGAAACTCCCTGTAATGAGGCTTTTACAGAATATTTGTGTCTGATAGCTCCCAAAAAATGGTGACCCTAGAGGCAAAATTAATATTTGCCTGCAAGCAAGAACCCAAACCTCTCCTTAGCTTTTCCACTTTCTTTTAGAAACTCTTTTTCATTTAAATAAACAAATTAGGCATTCTGAAATTCAAAGGCCTATACAATGAAAGCAGTCACTGTTCATGATGGATTAGTCTGATGTTTAAAAAGAAGGTTAAAAAAATGCAAAACAAGCTGCCACCACTAGTTACATTAGAAATAGATCACAAGTGATGCTGGATTCTGTTTCATCTGTGGGAGGTTAAGAAGAAATCGCATTCACAGAAGAATAAGCTTCACTCCAGGTATAACTGGTGGGAGGCTTCTAGGCTGTTTGCATATTATTCTTTTGAGAACATGTATACACTCCCTGAAATTCTACATTCCCTCTAGCTGCTTAGAGATTTTTTTAAATCTCAAAGCT
This sequence comes from Homo sapiens, assembly GCF_000001405.40. NCBI lineage: Eukaryota > Metazoa > Chordata > Mammalia > Primates > Hominidae > Homo > Homo sapiens. The sequence continues at coordinate 221,657,774 of NC_000002.12, read as the reverse complement.
CAAATCAGGCTCATATTTTTTAGAAGAAACTTCACCACATTCCTCATCTATATGTTTACTAAATCCTCATACCCTAAAAGATAGAGGTGGGTTACTTGGTTAATAAAGGCCATTAAAGTACAAGTATTTTAAGGGGAGAAAGAAGTCTTGGAATGTTGCTTTGGAGTCCTGGAAACTAGTTGTTTATTCACCATGTGTCAGGAAAGCATAGATCTAAACTATAGGCCTACAGATTATATACATCTAGGTTATCGATCTGAAATGTAAAATTTAAGGATTTGTGTCTTTAGTTCAGTGTATGGCAGCACAGACACAGAGTGTATACAGCGACCTCCACAGAGTAGTTACTTACTTTTCCCAAAACTTTGACATTATCTGGAGCAAACTATGCAGCTTCTAGTAAGTTTGGCTGCTCTAGGGATTGATGTGTTCCTCTATCTGTCACCCTACTTTAGTGGTTAGAAGTCGGACTTGAAGAACTGCAGCCACCTCCTGGATGATCTTTCCTTCTCCAAGCAGCCTATCCACTGCCAAATCACCCTTCCTTCCAAAGAAAATGTCTAATCATCTATTCTGTGATCTACCCTCAGCCCTCCACTTCTCCTAAGTTCAAATTGCCTAAAAGGGCGTTTGGAGGCCTAACCATCTGACCCCAAGCCACTTTCTCTTTCTGTTTTGCACCCTAGGATTCAGTGGCATGTCACTCTTGGCTCTTCTCTCAACATGCCCTGGATTTGTATGCCTTCATGTCTTGACTGATTTTTTTTTTTCTTGATCATGGAGCCAGAAGTCTCAAATTCAAGGTCTGCTGCCACCTTCATAGGTATGAAACCTTCACAGATCACTTTCCTCAGTCTCAATTTCCTTAATTGTATAATGGGGATAATAAAGTCTATTTAATAAGCTTCACAAAGGGTTATAAATGAGCTAATGTTGAGAAGAGAAGGTATTCTATGCTGGAAACATTGTTTAAGCTGAGACACTGTCCTGGACAGACACGTTAGTCAGGTTCATCTCAGAAAAATTGCCTATTTGGGGAGATATGTATAGATTTACCTGGGGATGGTAGTTTGTTCCATTAACAGGGTTTTTTGCCCTCAGCGCTATTGATATTTTGGGTTGGAAACTTCTTTGTAGTAGAGTGATATCCTGGGTGCTGTAGGACGTTTAGCCCCATCCCTGGCCTCTATCTAGTAACAGCCTCCTGCCAAGTTTTGACAATCAAAAATATTTCTAGAGATGGTCAAATGCCCACCCTTGCCCTAAGCCATGGGGGCAAAATCTCTCTATTAGATGTTTCAGAGATATATTATGTCCACGTCACTGTCCTGATGTACTGGTAACAATTTTCTAAGAGGACACTGTCCCTGCCTCACAGACATTTTTGAACTAAGGATGCAAACAGTTATGAAAGCAAGTTCCTGTAAGATATGTTCAAAGTAAATGAATGCTCCAAAAGAAGCATGAACTCGGGCTCTGGAGGCACAGAAGGAGCCATCAAGATTTGGTGAGCAGAGCTTGTGCTCAATACAAAGCAAAAAGATAAATTTGTCTCTGCATCAGTCTGGAGTTCAGAAAGGGAGCCTCTGGCTCCTGGTTTGACTTACCATGGAAGATGAATTTCAGTACCATTATTACTAAGGGAAGGCTTCTGCAAGACTGAAGAGGTAAGTGTTTCTGCAGAGGAACTGAACAAAGCAAGTGCAGGGAAGAACAAAAGGGAAGGAAAGGATCCAAGAGGGAATGTCAGATATTATAGGACTCTACTTTCTCTGATTTCCTAACCCTGTGCTAAACCATTATCTCTGCTCATTCTGATAGACCCATTTGCTTTCCTTTACTTTTCACTACTTCTTCCTAAGATTTGGTTTTTGTATGTTTACAGTTGAGGTTCTTGGAAGTATTGTTACTCCACCCCAATCTGCATGGACCCAACCACGTGGTATCATAGCGAATCTAAATTACTGGAGCATTTGGATGAGCCATGGTGGTGGCCCCTCCTGTTTTATTCCAGGCAAGTAGATAATCAACACTGAGTATGCACAGAGTGAGTGCAGCTGGAAACTCAGCTTTAATGTGAGTCCCACATCCTTGTCTATCAGAAATGAGACAGCCAGGTTAGTATTGGGGGCCACATTATGCAAGCAAATACATAACAATCCATCTGGTTGTCAGGGAAGGGATTCAAAGAACGGGAAGCTGGGGAGAACATGCCATATTGACAGTGCCCAGTGTGGGGCTTTTGAGGTCATCGCTACATGATACCAGCCTTTTATCCCACCCTGCTCAGAGAATGCTGAGAAAGCCAGGGAGGATAGAGATGGAGTGATGTAAAACATGATCACCGTAAATATCTCAGCATGCCTCTTGCTGACAGTGGGAAGTCCAGCTCTGGAAAAAACACTGTCAGCAGTAGCATCTATTTATGTAAAGGATTAAGCTAGAAAATGCTTATTCTTATTGATATTTTTAGCAGTTCTCCCAGAAATTTTGAAATTGTTTTCAATATGCTTTTTTGCTTACTTGGACTTTATACTTACATCTGATTCTAGTGAATGCAACCTTAAAATGTGGATTGACCACCAGGCATTCAGTACCTAAATTGAATAGGAATAGAGTAGTTAGAAATATTGAAAAAAGCCCTACCTCAGGTGTTTGGAAACCTGGATTTGAATCTCCGATGTATAATCTCTCATTTGATTGACCTTAAAAAAGTTGCTAATCTTATTTTTAATACCCAAACATCATTCTAGTGGTCCTAACTAGTTTTTAGGATTTCTATGAAGATAAAGTAAACTAATGTATGTGTAAGTAAACTAATATATGTGAAAGCATTTGGAGGCCCTATAGCTAAAAAGAAGAGGAGCAGGGTGGTGGGAAGAGGGAAAGAAAGGAAGAAAGAAAAGAAAGAAAGAAAGAAAGAAAGAAAGAAAGAAAGAAAGAAAGAAAGAAAGAAAGAAAGAAGAAAGAGAAAGAAGAAACAAAGAAAAAAGAAAGAAAGAAGGAAAGAAAGAAAAAAGAAAGAAAAGAAAGAAAAAAGAAAGAAAGAAGAGGAAAGAAAAGAAAGAAGAGGGAGGAAAGAGAGGTAGGGAGGGAGGGAGGAATGAAGGAAGGAAGGAAGGAACGAAGGAAGGAAGGAAGGAGAGACTATGATATTCAATATTCTATTTTAAAGGTTTCACCAATTCAAAACACTCTTCAGCGTTGTGAGAAATATCTCTGACAGAATTATTATATTCTGGTTAATGGCCATTCCAAATTATACACTGTGCTTATGTTTTCAGTGAGTGTTTTCCCCCTTATTCTATTGTCTTCACAATATTTGGTGGGGAGAAAAAAAGGGGATGAGCCACTTTCTTTTGATGTACTAAGAGCTTGATTAATAACAAAAGCATCAACACTATCCTAGATCTACAGGTTGGCAATGGACCTTCACTGATGGATGAAGGGGTTCTACCTAAACAAGAACACCTGGGGAGACTTATTATTAGGAAATGCTGATGTTTCGTGTGTTTCCTTGAAAGGGTAAACAATAGCTATGGAGCTAGGTTAGTAGCCTCATTGAATATGAGTGAAAGGGTCAGTTTTGATGGACACAGCCTTGTCAAGGTGGCCCCAAAACAATAGGACATCCTTCTTTGAGCTCCCGCTGTTTTTTTAGAGTAATCGTCTAGAAAGCATATTTAAATTTTGAATAAGCAAATCGTATAATTATTTCTCAATAGCTTGTATTAAATTGTGGGAGAGGGGCAACAGTGTGATAAAATTAGTTTCCAACACCCCAACAACTGAGGGGTTTTCTGTTTGTTTGCTTGATTGATTGTTGAGTGTTGTGGTTGTTTATAGTTTCTTATGATAAGAGAGAGCATTTTTTTTTCATTTCATTTTCTCATCAAAAGGATTTCCTACCATCAAGCCAACAAGACCCAGATGTAATTTCACTGATGAGCAAGACATCTCTGCCAACTGAATTCCTATTGATTAGCATCTGATTTTGTTTGTCAGCAAAAAGAAAAACGTATTATTTAATGTCACGTTTGGTACATAACCAGCGGGTTTAAGTGGTGGGAGGGAAGGGTGTGGATGCAGGGGTCTCTTTCAGAAACTGATGAAATTATATTAATGTGTATGATCATTTCTGCTCTCAACCAAATAAATAACATTCGTCATCTTAAAGCAACCAACGTCTTGCCCTGAAGATGAAAGGACTCATTGGCTTGCTGTCATTCTTCATAGTTAGAAGCTATCATGGCCTGGGATGGGGTATGTGATGTGCTGACTGTGGGTCCAATGTCACTCACTCTCCATCCGGCTTCCTGACTCCTCCTCCCTTGACAGCTTATTGGGGGATCAGACACAAGCCAGTTACTCTTCCCAGGTGGGAAGAATGACAGCTCCTAATGATTCATTCCAGCTGTTTGTGGAGATAAGGCAGCATGAATGCAGGCCCCACACCAGAATAGGATGAAGGGGATTTCTGGGATCACAAAGCAGACCTAGACTTTTATAAAAAGCCACACATACTGATAGACTACAGTTACAGAATACATTAGCATTTACCAAGAACTTTTTCACATGTTATTTAATCTGACCGCGACTAATCCAGTGAGGTCATTATTATTATTTCTATGTTAAACAAGGCTCAAAGATATTGAGTGACTTATCCAATATTATGTGACCATAAGGTATGGACCTAAGGGTTGAGCTAATGCCTGAGCCCCAGTGTTCTTTCCAATATAATAGACTTTCTATACTTTATTTCACACTGCTGATAAAGACATACCTAAAACTAGGTAATTTATAAAGAAAAAGAAGTTTAATGGACTCACAGTTTCACATGTCTGGGGAGGCTCATAATAATAGTGGAAGGTGAAAGGCAGGTCTTACATGGTGACAGACAAGAGAAAATTTGTGCAGGGAAACTCCCCCTTATAAAACCATCAGATTTCATGAGACTTATTCACTATCATGAGAACAGCATGAGAAAGACCCGCCCCCATGATTCAATTACCTCTCACCACACGTGGGAATTGTTGGAGCTATAGTTCAAGATGAGATTTGGGTGGGGACAGCCAAACCATATCAGCTTTATCAAGAAAATATATGTTTCATGCTTTTCAACTGAAACCCCTGTTTCCTGTTGGTAAGGATATTATTTTCTGATGCAGACCTTTTATTACTAATCACATACAATTTCAAAAATTTATGAAAGCAAATAACTTATTACTTAGGCGTCATAAGGAAAGAGCACGAGGAATCAGTGTTAATATTCAATCTAACCCATATACCTATCAGTGGAAAAACTTCATTTCTTTAGTAACTGCATATGCTTCTTTCACATTAACCTGTGTGTCCTGATATCATGAGAGGGAAGCAAAAGGGTGCACAACATAATTAAGTAAAAGAAAAAATTTCCAGGAATGACTTAAATGAAATGGATTTTCTTAAGTGATTGACCAAAGACCTATCAAGAGTTCCCACTCAATTCCTGATGCAGTCAAGAGTGTTTCTGGTCAATTATGGCCCTCAAGGAATTAAGAGGTCAGAATGCCCTCAGAGAGTAGCAAGAGATAGATAGAGAAATTTGGCATAAAACCGTGGACTATCTTGTCTGTGTAAGCCCGATTTTCTGAGAGGAGCCCACTGGCTCTCAAGTGGTGATAAGGATGTAGTCACCTGAAAATGGGCAAGCTGTCACCATCAAGTAAATGAAATGCTCTTTCATAAAGCAAACTCATGAAGCATGATTCAAGGTGGAAAATACTGTGGTGTTAGAATTTGTATATAACTCTGTGTGGGAGAATTCAGGAAACTTCAATCTTTGATTTATCTATATCTTATTCCTATCCAGATTACCTTTTCCAGTAATACTATTATTCACTGTCCATTAAGCTAGTCTCCTGTTAACAAATTCAGACTTCTCTAGGACATGCTCATTTCCTTTAGGTCTTGCTGGACTTTTACAATGGACAGTCAATGGTACTGTGATCTTTCCTTCCACATCCACTGTCTCATAGTCACTAACACTCTTCTCCTGCTGTTCACCCCATTAGTCAAATGTCCATTCTTTGACCCCCTTTTCCCATATTATTATATCTGCAACTAATGTCTTCTTCCCCTGCCTTGCCCTTGAAGCTGATGCCACGTTTGCTTTAACATAGCCTAAGCTTGGTGGTGAAGCACGTTGGGCAGTTTCTAAGCTGTGGCTGAGTAGAACTTTCAAAGTGTTTTCTTGACTCAAAGAGTCAGCTAAAGTTCTTAGTGATAATGTTGATAGTGGGAAATTCTTTCTAATTAGAAAAGCAAAAATATATACATATGTACCATATATATGTATAAATATATTTAAATATAAATATTTAAAATATTTCTGTAATAATATATACTATAATAAAAAGAGACAAACAGCTACATGATGTACATTAAAAGTATTAAAAAACAGTTTAAGATAAAGGTCTTTCTCTGAAAGATCTCTCGGTTTTACTGATTTGCACTTTAATATTATGTTGAACTTTTTTCACGTCAATTTTTTTTTACATTTCTGTGAAACTCTAATTGAGGATGTTATTACACATCTCAATTTTTGTCTCCTAGTAATGTAATGTAAAAAAAAAGTCTGCCTTTAATCTTAAAAAAAATAACAATTGTATTTGAAAAATACCACTTTATGTAACTTGTCACATTTTTACCTTTAATTTGGCTGTTAGGATGCATTGAGCCAAATATTGCACTTAATCATAACGCATATTTAAATTATGGTTAACATATTTGCTTCCTCCTTTTTACCCAACTGTATTTTCCTCTTTTTAAGGGAGTTTAAAATCATTTTTGAAGGAGGCAGAGAATAACTCAGTTAAATAAATAGATGAGTGTGTCTTTTAGAAAAAATATCAAGGCAGATTTTTTATAGTAATGGGATGACTATATGTTCAGAAAATGTAGATATAGTACAATTATAAAAATGGGAGAAAAAAGGCATATGCAAAAAAGTTTTTAATTAATATTAGTAATTATATTGTTATAATATGAGTATTATTCAGAGACTATGTTTGTAATATGGGATAAACTAGATGAACAATTATGAAATGTTCCAATTCTATCACTTTCAGTGTCCTAGAGAACTAGGATATTTGGTGTGGAAGGAAAGAGACACAAGTTTAACAGAGAAGAGGTTAAAGTAGAAACCTCTGTATCCCTGAGTTTGAACCAGAAGCATCAGAATAAATTTATGAAGCAATTTATCTTAAAAAAAAAATAATATAGATGTATGAATTCAGTACAGTTCTAGTGAAAAATCTAGCAGGTTTGTGTGTGTGTGTGTGTGTGTGTGTGTGTAAAAATCAGCAAGCTGATTCTAAAATATATATGGTAAGACAAAGGAACTGTAATAGCCAGCATAATTTTGAAAAAGAACAAAGTTGGAGGAATCACACTACCTAATTTCAAGAGTTCCTATGAAGCTACAGTAATCAAGCCCGTGTGGTAATGGCAAAAGAATAGACAATATAAATCAATGAAGCAGAATAGAAAGTCCAGAAATAGATACACACATATATGGGTTAATTGATTCTTTTCAAAGTTAAAAAAGCAATTTAGTGAAGAAAAGATAGTCTTTTCAGCAAATGGTGCTGGAACAATTGGTTATCCATATTCAAATCCAAATCTTGATCCATATCTTGCATCACATAAAAAAATTAACTCAAAGGGGATCATACACAATGTGAAACCTGAAACTATAAAAGTTCTAGAAGAAAGCACAAGAGAAAATCTTTGCCCTGCCTATCTTCACTTTTGCCTCCAGAAGCAAAGACAATTTCAGTCTATTAACATTGTGCCTCCTGGAATCTGTTGGACGTCTGATCCATAGGCAGTGGAAAATGATGTCTCTGGGGGGTACCTTTTGACAGCGGGAACCATGTGGTCCAAATGGTCGCAAGCACGCTCCAGCCTTTATAATTCAGCTGCAGGAGGTATATGTAGCCATTGCATCTTGACACAGTGGAGAAAATCATGTTATCTTCTCTCTTTCGCATTCTTGCAAAGGGCCCTACTGGGCTTAAATGGCCATTTGGAGCCAGCTTTCTTTTTATCCTATGAATTAGAGGAGAGAGCGCTTCTTGTCCAGTGATGGAAGAAATTCGTGGTGTTCCTCATTCTCCTTCCCACTGATGATTTGTTTTGCAGTCTCTCCCTTGGTAATGCTCTGTAGCAGCTGCTCTTTTCTCTTTGCTGTGTGTGTCTCATTTTTATCCTGGCAGACAGGGCAATTTCTTTGAAATAAGGCCCCCTTTCTCTGTTGCAAGCGACCTTGAGACATTCCACGCTATCATTCCCTAGCTGTATTAGTGACTCCAAATTCAATTTCAGGGTTCTTGAAAGCTTTCCCTTGTCCACCTTGTGATCAGTTGCCTTTAAGTGTCTTACAAGGCAATTGCTATGGGATCCTTGTATCCATTTTAGTATGTGCCTAACTTAGCCAAAGAGAATTGCAGCAAGCAAGGCTTCAATGCCTGGGGCCTGGCAGTGATCCAGCAACTCTGTTGTCTTTGGATGCTGTGAATGGCTAGTAATAGGAAAAGAGGGAAATGTCATGCTAGGACTGTGGGGTCCAGATCATGCAAATCATTTACCAATATATAGTAGAGACTCAATTACTCACAGTATATATGACCAAGAATGCTTTTTGAATAGAAAACTTGAATAATAAGCAATTATAGGCATATATTAAAATGCAGATGCATGCTTCTGATTGATGGGTGGGACAGCATACATGGTGATGCCATTGAAACATGCTATTTGTGGTTGTCATCAATTATTTTGGTGTTTGTCAAGGAACAGCCTTTTGAAACTCAGCTTCCTCATTTGTAAAATTTATGTCTAAGGTGTTTTTCAGGTCAGGCTCTTTAGGCTCTTCTACCCTGGTGAGTATCCAGAGATTTTTTTTTTGATTCAGTTGACCATGATTCCTTGTCTTTTTATCTCACAAATCCTATCCAAAAATAAGAAATAGGTTTCATCTCTAGTGCCCAGGATAATTGAGTGGTCATGGCTGCCTGGGTTTCCAAAGGTTCTAAGGCTGTGCTGAGGATCACCTGGGAACAAGCTGGAGCAGTAGCAGGGATGTTCCAGGTGTGCCATTCGGGGCCTGTGGATTTATTCCCATTACATTCTCACTCCCAGTATCTCATCTGTTTCCTCTCCTCCACATTTCTCCCCCTTGGTGGAATTCATCCTGTCTGAATAATATCAACTCTACCTACCGACGGAATTTCAAAGTTTACAACCTCCTGTCTGTTTGAAATGTTAACAGATTGTAATTACAGGGGAAACTGACAGGGATTAACAATAGAGTTAGGGGTTCGAAATTAAACAAAACCCCAAAAGATGAGTTATACCTAGTCTTTATTACAAAATAAATGGGTTAGTCCAGTATTGTGGCATTTCTCAGAATCCCTTCTTAGACATTCATGAAAGAGCAACTCTTTTTTCCCCCTCTTACACTCTCATTCCCCTGAAAAGAAACACCCACACTGACTACTACTATTTCCTGGACATGATAAAGCACATTAATAAATGCCACTTAGGAGGACTTTCAAGGATCTCAACATTCAAAGGAGATTCATTTATATCACAAGTGAAACTACAGCCCTAATAACTTTTCTGCAGTCTTAACCACCAATCTCCTGTCTTTAAACAGTGAAGACGGAAGATCAGCTTCCGTCATTACCCGAAAATGTTGTGCTCAATACTGAATAACATTTTAAATTCCAGGATTGTCCAATCAGCCAAAATATCAACCAAAATATCCTGGAAAGATTCACTATCATTGACTGGGAATAATTGTTACTATTTTTTATAGTAAGTGCACCATGCTTTCTCTGTCTATTAAGGCTGTTGGAGTTTGAAATTTCAGTTGTTTACCCATTATATTCAGTGCAATCCAGTCTTTTGAATTCAGAAAAGTGATGCTCTCTCTTTAGTGTTGCATGGATTTAGCTCTCTTTAGTGTGCTGCATGAATTTAGCTAGCCATTTTGAGGAGCTCAGGCCCATGTGTGTATATGTATGTTGAGCGTGTATGTGCTTTTGTGTGTGTGTGTGGGTATGTGTGTGTGCACGCTTCTGTACCTTTGGTGGAGTAAATGTCAGTATTCCCCAGAGGCACAGAATAAGCATTGGGAGAAGAGGGCGTGAAGATGAGGAAGTGAATGCTGGGGCATCCTAGACCAGTACATGCTCCATCCCTTTACCTGTCCAGACTTCATTCTCCCTCATTCTAGTGGCTCTGCTTTTAAGGGTGGGGAGGAGATCTATTTCCATTTTTCAAGATGCCTAAAGGTTGTGGATAGGTTTCTAAACTTTCCTTTAAATATGAGATTCTTAACACATAATGCTGACACAATTATGAAGTCTTTTAAACTTTGATATTTGTCATGAGAATATGTATTTTTCTTGTCTAAATTAGCAACCCCTTTAGTGGTGGCCTGTATTAGTCTGTTCTCACCCTGCTAATAAAGACATACCTGAGACTGGGTGATTTATAAAGAAAAAGAGGTTTAATGGACTCACAGTTTCACATGGCTGGGGAGGCCTCATAATCATGGTGGGGAAGGTGAAGAGGGAGCAAAGGCACATCTTTTTTTTTTTTTTTTTTTTTTTTTGAGACGGAGTCTCACTCTGTCCCCCAGGCTGGAGTGCAGTGGCGTGATCTCAGCTTACTGCAAGCTCCGCCTCCCAGGTTCACGCCATTCTCCTGCCTCAGCCTTCCCAGTAGCTGGGACTATAGGCGCCCGCCACCACGCCTGGCTAATTTTTTGTATTTTTAGTAGAGACGGGGTTTCACCGTGTTAGCCAGGATGCTCTTGATCTCCTGACCTCGTGATCTGCCCATCTCGGCCTCCCAAAGTGCTGGGATTACAGGCATGAGCCACCGCGCCTGGCTGCAAAGGCACATCTTCTATGGTGGCAAGCAAGAGAGCTTGTGTAGGGGAACTCCCCTTTATAAAACCATCAGATCTCATAAGACCTATTCACTACCTCAAGAACAGTATGAGGAAAACCGACCTCTTGATTCAATTATCTCCACCTGGCTCCACCCTTGACACATGGGGATTTTTACAATTTAAGGTGAGCCAAATCATATCACAGCCCCAGTGCCTGGAATGGAGCTTAGTGCAGAGTATGCTATCAACAAATGTTAAATAAATAAAGTTGTTCAATATTAGTAATAATATCATTTACCTTACCCTTTATTTTAATATCAGAAAACTCAGAGAATGAATCTCATTTCTTAACCTTAATGTAATAAAAGGAAAATGACATAAAAGATCATCTCACAGACAAAGTAGACCTGGGTCTAGAACTCAGGTATACTGACCCCTGTTAAGTTTCTGATTCTTCTCCCCTCTCTAATTCACCATCCTATTAAAAAGAAGAGCTGTATTCCCATTTGTCTTGGTGCTGTTTCTATGTTTTGAAAAGTAGGAAAGCTCAAAGTACATCCTTCATGAAAATGGCCTATGCCCTAGAAAATGTGAGATCTACTATTATAAAAATACATTATTTTCCTTTCTATTCTGCTAAAATAATTTTTTAAAAAGTCAATCCCAAATTTCACTATCATTTGTACCCCAGATATCTGACACCTTTGTGGAAAAGGTTCCATAGAAAACGTTTCCCTGTGAGGGCGTTACATTTAGGCCACCACAATCTGCCGTAAAATTTAGATAGTGAAAACAGAAGGCTACTTCTTTAAAAATGACTATTTGACATATATCCAAAGTATAATAATCGTATCCGTGAATGGCTCAATATATTTGGTATATAAAATTCAGAAGTACTGGATAAGGGCCTTAGTGAGTTATTTTTGTTTAAACTCTGCATTTTCCCTAGAGATTCTGACTTCTGTCAAGTTTAAGCTGTTTGGGCCTTAATATTTGTTGTGAAATAAATGACTTTGATCTCACAGATGCCATGGAGACACCGGGTGGAAAAGCCCCATTACTCAGAGAGAAAACAAATTTCATGGGCTGCAGGCATACATTCTGAACGTCAAGCCTGGATACAGTAGTCATTCTCCAAACAGAAATTGAAAGATCTGTAGAAAAATATCTGTTTCCCTAAGAGGCAGTTTGTCACGGAAGGAACAACAGATCTATCTCCATATGGTCAAACAGGATTTTTGTGATTCAAGGCCACTGCTGGGGAACCATTAGGGTTCACGTGTAGCACCAAGTATCTCCTTTGACGCATCTCTGTGAGTCCACTAGATGCAAGCTATTTAAGGCCAAAACTAGATCTTTTTTACATTTCCTGATATGATTTGGCTGTGTCCCCACCCAAATCTCATCTTGAATTGTAGCTCCCATAATTCCCATGTGTCATGGGAGGGACCCAGCAGTAGGTAATTGAATCATGGGGACGGGTCATTCCCATGCTGTTCTCATGATAGTGAATAAGTCTCACAAGATCTGACGATTTTATAAAGGGGAGTTCCCCTACACAAGTTCACTTGCCTGCCGCCATATAAGATATTCTTTTTCTCTTTCTTCATCTTCCATCATGATTGTGAGGCCTCCTCAGCCATGTGGAACTGTGAGTCCATTAAAGCTCTTTCCTTTATCAATTACCCAGTCTCTGGTATGTCTTTACTAGCAGCATGAGAATAAACTAATACATTTCCCCGCCAGCCTGGCACATAGTAAGCGCTCAATGGAAGTGTTCTGAATGAACCAGTTTACAGCAAAGAAGACTGGAGTCTAGGCCAGTGGTTTTCAACCTACGAAAATTTTACCCCCACCCACAGAGGGACATTTGGCAATGTCTGGAAACATTTTCAGTTGTCATGACTCGGGGGCGTGTGCTATTAATGTCTAGTGGGGAGAGGCTAAGGAGGCTACTACATGTGGTATAATGCTCAGGATGGCCCCCACAGCAAAGAACTATCTGGTCCAAATTGTCAATAGTGCTGAGCTTGATGAACCCTGCCATAAGCTATTAGAGGGAACACATGTCCCTCATTTCCTAGGTTTTCTTTCCACTGGAGATAGCCCCATCATCTTAACACCCAGGGCCTCTTTCTGTAGCTTCACACAGGAGAGAGGTGATTCCTCAGATTGGTGAGACCTGGATGAGAACCTGGGAACATGAAGACCAGCCTCATCCCTTTCTTTGTAGTCTTGAGCATCCCACAGGCTTCTGCTCTATTACTCCATACCACATGCCTTACAGTTCAGGCTCCAGGGAGACACAAAGAGACCTCATCTTTCCTGAGAGTGACCAGATAAGTCTATAATTTGGTAGCTCAGCATTAGGAAGGCCATTGTTTCTCCACAGCTAAGGCATACGATAAACCTCTTGCATGGTTCAGAATTCAGGTGGAGAAAATAAGTGCCATTAACGGACACCCAGGCCCCCTTATAGGCCATGCCTGACATTCATTGAGACCTGTGAATTTATTTCATTAGGAACACCCCGTGCTCTCACCCCAGAGAGTTCTGGATTTCTTCGGAGCAGATAGTCACTTCTAGGAGCAGGTCCTGCCTGGATGGATATGCAAGCATGTACTCATGATTTCAGGAAAATGCCTCTAAATTATTAGGACTTATGGGACCTAAAGATATCCTTGAAGTCACCATCCAGCCACCACTAATGTGACAGTGGATTCATAGACATGAGACACTTTGAAAATGAAGACTTCTGATTAAAGACTGACCTAGGTGTGATAATATGGACAGTGTGGCACCCAATCACAGGCTATGGAAAATGTGATGTTGTCAGGCTGAATAAATACAGAAAGTGGCAAAAAAAAAAAAAAATCCCTTTTTAGGTTGTGGCACCCAGACCTCCTTGCCGAACTGAGAATGGAAGATTATACATTTTCATTAGATGCTCTAGGTCTGAGAGAAGATCTTTTCATATTATCACTCTTCCATAATGATAAGTCTTGTAAAAAGCATCTTCCTAAAATGCTTTTACCAAAATTGACAGAGAAAAATGATGCTAGAGGCTTTTATTTCTCAAAGCTATGTTTAAACGCTTTCTCCAAGATATATTTGTTTTATTTTTAGTGTTTTCTCTATAACATCATCGATTATATCTGATTCCTCATTAACTTAGAAAATATGAGTAAGACTTGGGATTTTCATGTAGTGCTTAGATCCAGGGAAGAGAATACTGATAATTTTGTTTGTTTATGTTACGATGTCTTAGTAGACTTAGAATAGACTTCAGTTTTATCTTCTTTACTAGCTGGAGTAAAATTGATATTTGATGTTGAGCAAGAAAAAATTTATTTTTGAAAATGTCTTTCCTCATTTATTTGTTAATTAATTTTACAATTCTTTCATGATTTATGTTAGTTATTAAGATTAAGCTAATATCATCAACATCCCAGCATCATCATCAGTGTATGTATTAGTCCATTCTTACACTGCTATAAAGAAATACCTGAGAATAGGAAATTTATAAAGAAAATATGCTTAATTGGCTCATGATTCTGCAGGCTGTACAGGAATCACAATGCTGGCATCTGCTTAGCTTCTAAGGATGCCTCAGGAAACTTTTACTCATAGCAGAAGGCAAAGTGGGAGCAGGAGCCTTCACATGGCTAGAGCAGAAGGAAGAGAGAGTGGGGAGGCGCCACACACTTGTTAGCAATCAGATCTCACAATAACTCACTCACTCTCACAGTATTGTGAGAACATCATCAAAGGGGAAATCCACCCCCATGATCTAATCACCTCCCGCCAGGCCCCACATCCAACATTGGGATTACAATTTGACATGAGATTTGGGTAGGGACACAGACCCAAACCATATCACTGTCGTAACAGCTCTCATTTCTTGAGTACCTACTTTGTATCATTGTGATGAATACTTGGCACAGTATTTCCTTTAAGTCTTAAAATAACCTCATGTAATGGGTATTCTGGATTTTTCAGACAAGGAAACTCAGAGACATTCAGTAGTTTGCACAAGGCCACATGGCAATGTAGATCAAAGTCTAGACTGAATCTGAGGTTTCTCTACCCTCTTATCAGGGATCTAGATAGAGGATCATCTATATCCCTAATAGGCAAGGCACAAAGCCATTCAAGCAACATCAGTTGAATGCTTCTCCCGTGGTGTGCCTTGTGCTGGCTGCTGCCAGGAATAACAAAGTGGCAACTGCCAAGTCCCTGGCCTTAAGGCATACCCTGAATAAGGAGGTGGAAAATAGCAGATGAAAAGCTAACTAGAAGTGTTTCTCAAAGTTTTTATCAAAGTACCTCTTAGGACAGTAAAGATGATTCCGTAATTTGAAGGATCTACAAGTGTGGCCGCAAATGACTGCAATGTGCAGGGCCTATCTTTGAAGTCTTGTTTTCGATAAAAAGAAATGTTGCATTCTACTCCATAATACACTCATGCTGGATTTTTTGTTTATCTGTTTGTTATTCTTGAGACAGGGTCTCACTCTGTCACCCAGGCTGGGGTGCAGTGGTGCCGTCTTGGCTCACTGCAGCCACCAACTTCCTGGGCTCAAGTGATCCTTCCACCTCAGTCTCCAGAGTAACTGGGACTACAGGTGAGAGCCACTGTGCCTGGCTAATTTTTATTTTAATTTTTGGTAGAGATGGCGTCTCATTATGTTGCCATGCTTGTCTCAAACTCCTGGGCTCAATCCATCCTCCTGCCTTGGTCTTTCAAAGTGCTGGGATTACAGGCATGAGTCACTGCGCCTGACCTACCCATGCCGTTCTCATGTAAAAGTAAATTTTAAAATCACCTACCGGCAGGGCGCGGTGGCTCACGCCTGTAATGCCAGCACTTTGGGAGGCCAAGGCGGGTGGATCACGAGGTCAAGAGATAGAGACCATCCTGGCCAACATGGTGAAACCCCATCTCTATTAAAAGTACAAAAAAATTACCCGGGCATGGTGGCGGATGCCTGTAGTCCCAGCTACTAATCACTTGAACTCGGGAGGCGGAGGTTGTAGTGAGCCGAGATTGCGCCACTGCATTCCAGCCTGGGCGACAGAGCCGGATTCCGTCAAAAAAAAAAAAAAAAAAAATCACTTACCATTGACTGGAATAGCTGCTCACTCAGTAAATACTGCACTTTCTCCTTGTGATTTCACATGCCCTTGGCACATCACATTGAGGTTAACTTCACATTACACATTTCCTGATTTGAGAAGAAAGGAAGTTCTCAGTGATAAATTCCACAATGTTAAAGGGTGAGACTTAAGTAGCTAACCACAAAACTCATTTCTCTTTTAAGCACTATTCATCCATTCAAAAGTACATCTCTGATCTTTCTGATAATGAAACTCTTCTGTATCTTGACTGTGGTGGCAGAGACTCAAACTTGTACGTTGCGTAGAACTAAACATGTGCAAACACACACATAAGTGAGTGCAAGACAAATGGGGAAAATCTGAATGAGATCAGTGGATTGTGTTAACGTCAATATCCTGGTTGGGATGATGTATGGGTTGGGTAAGGCTTTTAAGACCTTACCACTACAGGAAACGGAATAGAGATATGCTATGGTGGTATCTCCTCCAAAAGTTATTTTGAAACTTAATCCCTGATGCAACAGTATTAAGACACGTGGTCTTTGGGGGGTGAGTAAGTCATGAGGGCTCCTTCTTGTGAATATGATTAGTGCTCCTCTAACAGAGCTTGAGGTTGAAGAGAGTCTTCCATGCCCTTCCATTCCTCCCACCACGTGAGGACACAGCTTTCATCCCCCCTGGAGGATGCAGCAACTGGCACCATCTTGGAAGCAAAGACCAGGACCATTATCAGACAGTGCCTTGATCTAGGACTTCCCAGTCTCCATGACCATGAGAAATAAATTTTTACTGTTTATGACTTACTTAGTCTGTGGAATTTTGTGACATCAGCACAAATAGACTAAGACAAGGTGCATGGGATCTACCTGTACTAATACTTAGAACTGTATCACAAAATATCTCTGTATTAG
Source organism: Homo sapiens (assembly GCF_000001405.40). NCBI lineage: Eukaryota > Metazoa > Chordata > Mammalia > Primates > Hominidae > Homo > Homo sapiens. The sequence goes on along the minus strand of NC_000002.12, from coordinate 221,640,803 downwards.
TCAGAGTTCTCCAGAGAAATAGAATGAAGTACCCTCAAAGAAACACCCAAAATAAGGTTTGAAAAAAGATGTGGGCATTCTGTAGCCCAGTGAGACTGACAAATAAGATTAACCATCATAACCTCAAAATTAAGTAAATAAATACATAAGTAATGAAATACATCAAAATATCTCAGAAAAAGGTTTAGTTTTTTTGAAAGTGAAAAAAATACATCTCTAGATTGAGAGAACCCAAATCTAGGTTTACATCTGGGTTTTCTATTGTTTCATTGGTCTATGTGTCTGTTTTTATGTCAGTATCATGCTGATTTGGTTACTATTGTAGCATATTTTTTCTCACCCCAGTTAAAATGGCTTTTACAGAAAAAGCAGGCAATAACAAATGCTGATGAGGATATGGAGAAAGGGGAACCCTGGTACACTGCTCCTGGAAATCTAAGTTAGTAGAACCACTATGGAGAACAGTATGGAGGTTCTTCAAGAAACAAAAACTAGAACTACCGTATGATCCACCAGTTCCACTACTGGGTATATACACGAAAGAAAGCAAATCAATAGATTGAAAAGACACCTCCACTTCCATTTTTATTGCAGCACTGTTCACAAAAGCCAAGACATGGAATCCACCTGAGTGCCCATCAATGGACAAATGGATAAATAAAATGTGGTATATATACACAATGGAATATTATTCAACCATAAAAATGAATGAAATCCTGTCATTTGTAGGAACATGGATGGACCTGGAGATCATTATGTTAAGTGCAATAAGCCCAGCACAGAAAGACAATATCGCACGTTCTCACTCACAAGTGGGAACTAAAAAATGGATCTAATGAAGAATGAGTAGACTGGTGGTTACAAGAGGCTGGGAAGGATAGGCAGTAGAAGGGGATGAAGAGAAGTTGATTAATGGGCACAAAGATATGGTTTGGTAGAAAAAAATAAGACCTAGTGCTAGACAGATTAGCAGGGTGACTATTGTTGATAATAATGTATATTTCAAAATAGCTAGAATAGAAAAATTTTGATGGTTATTGCAGAAAGAAAAGACAAATATTTAAGGTGATAGATATCCTAAGAACTGCAATATCCCAAGAAATTATCTGATCTTTACAAATTATATGAATGTATTAAATTATCTCATGCACCTCCAAAACTATGTACATTTATTATAGTCTGCATCAATAAAAATTAATTAATTAAATTAAAAACATTTTTTTAAAAAGATAAACCAAATCTAGACTGCTTTAGATATTGAGATCCTGGGCTTCGAATTTGATACCATGATTAGATAAGACTTTGGAGATCTTAGGATGGGGGTAAGTTTATTTTTCATGTAGAAGGGAGTTGAATAATTGTTCCTAAGAGTGTGGACAGTAGTATATTAAATAATTGTCCCTAGCTCTTCACTATTCTCTGCAATCACATCCTTTGCCATGTGACCTAGTAGCTCTTTCCGCTACTGTCAAATGTTTCCTCTTGCCCCTTGTCTTTAGCCTCTACCATAGGGCTTACTTTGGCCAATGGGATATTAGCAAATATAATACAGAGGCCTGAAATATGTTTACAACAATCACCTGAATGCTGGCCATGGCCTGGAGCCAACCCCAGCTTTGGAGCCTTAATCAGCTGACTCTGCTGACTACAGAAACATGAGCAAGAATAAATGATTGTTAAGCTATTGAATTTGGGGCCAGCTTGTTTCATAGAAAGATCTTCCCAACCTAAAATATTATTATTTTATTTCATAAAAACTTGAGTACCTACTCCATACCTGGAACTGTGTTATCTGCTGGAGGTATGATCATAAATAAAATGGACATGCCATGTGATCTAACAGAGCTTACAGTCACGAGTCTGTCATTCATGTTAAAAAGAGAAAGGATTCTTTTATACAGCCAGTCATTACACCACCCCCCAACATCTACTGATTTTAAATTTTAAATTCTTAAAAAATATTCCTGGTCACATGAATGTTTAATTCTGTGCAATATTTCAAGAACAAAGCTATGGTGTAGCAACTAGACAATGAGTTGAGTTTTTGCTTTTTGTTTGTTGTGTGTGTTTATTTCAAGGCAGAACAGTATAAATAGAAAATATGGTGGCCGAGTATTGCAAATAGCACAGTGGCTTTTTAAGCAAATGAACACGTGCGTGTGTGTGTCTTTTTCTGGGTACACACGTATGCATATAGGAAATATCACTAAACGGCATCATGGACTCAGTTACCCAACTGAGAAAAATATGAGTTATCTTTGACTCATCTTTTATGAAATTTTCCTATATATATCTTGAATATCTATATCTATATCTATATATATCTCCTTCTCTGTCATACTGTCATCCTACCCAAGTCATCACCATTTCCTCCCTGCAATATGAGGCAATAGGATCTTAACAGATCTCTGGGTCTTCTCTAGGTCTTCTCTTTCTCTCTCTGTTCATTCTACATCACAAAGATTTATCCAAAATATAAAACTGACCCTTAATTCTTCGTGCATGATGCCCTTTGATGTCTTCCTATTTCTGTAAAATAAAAGTCCAATCTTCTTAGTACACAAAGCAAGACCTTCCATTATCTCACCCTTGCTACCTCATCTCCTACTAAACTCTGCTTCAAACCCATGCACCAGTAAGTAGTCACTTCATCAGGGCAGGGATTAGAGCAAAGCAAGCAAGGTGTGCAGGGTGCAAAATTTAAAGCGGTATTCACTCTTTAGTTTATACAGAGCACACCTGAGAATGTGTGCCTCCTTAAATTGCATTCCTTATGCACCCGGCTTCTCTCACTCTGGTTTTCATGCTTCATGCTCTTTTATGTCTTCCACTAGTTTGCTCATACTGTTGCCCTTGCTTTTTTACTCCCTTTTCCTGCTAATTCTAATTCACATAGTGTAGATTTGGCTTAACTGTGTATTTCCTAGGAAGCAATTCCTGACCCCCAGGCTGATATAAGTTCACTCACATGTTTCGTGCTTCAGTAGGAGCTCTGGGCTTATTTCTACCTTAGTATTCATCATATTAGGTGGAAACTGCTTATCTCCTTGACCATAACATTTATTAAAATGTGGTCTTTTGTTTTTCATCTTTGTAGTATAAAAAGCTAGGCCAGGCATCCTTTAAGCCCTCTCTCTCTAGTCTCCCATATCTAACTCTTCACTCATGTGGCTGTTACCCTCTAAATGCTTGTCAAAGCCACCCACCTCTTTCCATGTCCACTCAAGCCACCGAGGCTCATGATCTCCTACCTGCAATATTACAATAGCCTCTTACCAGGCCTTCCAAATTCTATTCCCCCACCCAACCCACCATCTCCATTTGTCTACTTCATTGTAGCCATGGTAATCTTCGCAAAGTGTAACTATTATTATGTCACCACCAACCCATAACCACTTCTTATTGTACTTGGGACAAGAAATCAAACTTTAAAGATGGTCTAAAGCCCCTCTTAAAGGTCTGACTGTGTCGGACCTCTAGAGCTAATCTCACTAGATGTGAGCCATTGTTTATATTCTAGCCATCCTTTCATTTCATTCTAGAAGACCCCATGCAAGTTCCCCACCTAAGGGTCTGGACACAGGTAGGTCCCACTGCTTAGAATGCTTCAGGCCCTCCATCATTTCACTGGATTAACATCTCTTGCTCTTCATGTCAGTCCAAAAGCTGCTAGGTGCAGCCTCCATGATATCTCAATCCAGGTCAAGTCTCCTGCTATTCGTTTTCCTAGTTCTACATTCCTATGAGTGTCTTCCTTCAAAATACTCATCTCAGTTCCTCAGTTCATAGTGTTTCACGTTTCTGGGCAATTATTTTTATTCAACAGTATCTAGTTGTTGGGTGTTCACAAAATAATTTATTACAGAAATTTCCAAACATGCACAAAGTACAGAGACTATAACAAAGTCCCATTTCTTCTTGTTTTAATAATCCACAACATATGGGTATTTTATCTTTGTATCTTTATACTACCTCACTTCCTCCCAATATTATATTTTACCCTTAAATACTTTAGTCTGTATCTCTAAACAATAAGGACTATTTCTTTAAAAAAAAATTCCCAAAATATTTTCACATGATCACACTTCCAAAAACTAATGAGTATTTTAAAATTATTGAATGTCTTGTCAGTGTTCAAATACTGTGTGAGATTTTAAGTCCGACTTCCCACCACACTGAGAACAGGGACAATCAGCCTGACACAGTGCATGCCACATAGTTGATAATAAATATAGCTGAATAAGTGACTGACTAAATGAACAGTTGTTTAATAAATATGAGCTGAACTGGACACAGGAATACAAGTATACCTGGGGAAAACATTGCAGAGAAAACCAGTTAAATAAGCTGCCACTCCTTTCTTCACCCCACATGAGCCGTACCTTCTCTTCAGGTGGCATTCTTGGCCCTTGGAGCAAGGTGGTGCATTGGGACAAACTCAGAGCCAAGGAGAGGTGTCAAAGCTTTGTCTTTCCAACCCCACTATGGCTTGGTACAACCTGCTCTTACACTAAGTGAGACAAAGGGATGACAGTGTGCTTTTTGTCTCTAGGAGGCTTTACTTTCTTTCTACCCATCATCCTCTCTTTTCCATTCCCAGAGAGTACTGGGCACAAACAGGTATAATAGCTCCCACCAGTCAAAAGTGGCTGAACTTGGCATTGCAGGATTGGTGTTTGCCAAGAGGCTCTGAGTCCCTGTACAAACACTTGAACTAGGTCTGGGTCTGTTATTAAGTAACCCAAGGTTGATCTGATTTCCCCACAGAAAAGAACATTTATAATCAAATCTCATCAAGAGGGGGGAGGAAAAGCTTTGTTTCCACTTGCTTGTATTTTTACCTTCTTAAATATGTAGTTTATATAACTTATATAATTTTTCATTATAAAAAGCAACTTTTCCCTAGTTATGATTTTTTTACTCACTCATCAGCAATTTTCCATGTTATTACAAATCCTGGGTATACATTATCTTTTACTCCTTAATGTTCCATTAAATGGCATTTCCAAACTTTCTTTAGTGACTATTGCCTCCAATTCTGAATTATCATAAGTGATGCTTTGATTAATATCTCTGTACATAAAGCTTTTTCTGTATCAAAGATAATTTTTAGGGTAGATTCCCAGAAGTACAACGACCAGGTCAAATAATACGAATAATGTGGCTGGGTGTGGTGGCTCGTGCCTGTTGTACCAGCACTTTGGGAGGCCGAGGTAGGCGGATCACGAGGTCAGGAGTTCGAGACCAGCCTGGCCAATATGGTGAAACCCCGTCTCTACTAAAAATACAAAAAAAAAAAAAAAAAGAACCAAACAAACAAAAACACAATTAGCCGGGCGTGGTGGCAGGTGCCTGTAATCCCAGCTACTCGAGAGGCTGAGGCAGGAGAATTGCTTGAGCCCAGGAAGCGGAGGTTGCAGTGAGCTGAGATCGCACCATTGCACTCTGACCTGGGCAACAGAGCAAGACTCCCTCTTGGGAAAAAAAAAAAAAAGAATTTGAATAATGTGAAAATTTCTAGTATATACACACTACCCCATTGCTTAGAAAGCATTGTTGTTCATCTATAAAATTAATTTGCCTTTAAATTAAATTTAACTTTAAAGTACCATTTATTATTCTTCTATTGCATAAATAGTACATATTCATTACAGAAAAATTAAACAATACAGATAAGTAACAAGAATGGAATAAAAAGCATGTGAAATTCCACCACTCAGAGTTATACATACATATATATCAAGTTCTATAAGGTCTCAAAGAAGAAACATCACAGACTACTATCGATAATGAGGATTTATATCAGGAGTGCATAGGAACATGGAAAAATAAGGGAAGCTGTTCTATTAGCTGTATAGTCACTCCAGAACCAAACGCTTCAAAGACAGGGATTTCATTAGGCCAAATGCAGAAGCAGATTGAAATCCTCTCTTTGTACATCTAACCCTAGTTCATCGTGTGTTTTTAGCATTTTTACTTCCCTAAGAAGAGATTGGGTTGGGTTTGTTTGCTATCTTCTACAATATAGAACCTACATGGAACATTCCATATCACTTTTGGGTAGAGTTATCACAAGCCACCTCCAAGGCTGTTGTCCTTCTTTATACTCAGCCATTATATATTTACCTCGTGCCCCTGTTCAAACACCTTCAATCCTCTGTTTTCATTCCTACCAGGCAATTTACAAAGCAAAGATATACTTCAAGCTACTTCAAGACTCTTGAAGTATAAGATCTAAGGAGGATCTATATTTTCAGAATGTCATTCACATTGTGCTATATGATCTATTCAGTATAACATTGTTTTATAATCCACTTTATTCCCTTAATACTGAATCTTCAACACTAACTCTTAACATTCTGCCTTGTGAATGTGCCATAAAATAGCCAGTCTCCTGTAGCTGGATACGAGGTTGCTTTTGATTTAGGGCTATAGATTCTTTTAAATGATGAAGAGAAACTTCACAGACAAATTCTTTTCGGTTTCTTTCTACCCTAACATGTATTTGCCCACCTGTTTTATTTATTTGTTTTTATTTTATTTTATTTGAGACAGAGTCTCACTCTGTCTCCCAGGCTGGAGTGCAGTGGTGCAATCTCAGTTCACTGCAACCTCCGCCTCCCCGGTTCAAGCGATTCTTGTGCCTCAACCTCTCGAGTAGCTGGGATTACAGGCATGCGCCACCACACCCGGCTAATTTTTGTATTTTTAGTAGAGATGAGATTTCACCAGGTTGGCCAGGCTGGTCTTGAACTCCTGGCCCCAAGTTATCCACCCGCCTCCGCCTCCCAAAGTGCTGGGGTTACGGGTGTGAGCCACCTGGCCTATTTTATTTTAACTCTTATAATTAATTTATTTTATTTTAGATGTGTTATCTTAAACCAACCTGAAATCTTTGGTTTTTTTTTAATAGAAAAACTTTATGTATTCACATTAATTTTGATAACCAAATATTCATTGTCAATTTCCCGCCTGCTTTTTTGCTGTTTTCCCTGCTTCCTTGGTTATTATTTTCCCCTTACGCTTATTTGTTTTATCGATCAAGTTTTATTTTGAAGTAATACAATCTCTGATTTGGAAATAATACATTCCAATTTTTTGCTAGTTACCTTTAAAGTAAAAGAAAAAAAAATCTACATTTTTCTAACAAATAAAAGGTAGCATCTTTTGGTGCCCTTCATATGGGCTAATAAATTTAAACAAAAAATTAGTTCTGCTACCCCTGAAACTACCATATTTTATAGAAATAAACTGTTTAAATACAGATCATTATGGATAGACATGCTCTATTCTTCCTTGCTAAAGAATTCCAAGAAAATGCAAAATTGCAAGAATTTTAACATTTCATTGTTTTATAACCACATTTCCAAACGCTATTTATATACAGTTATGATTTACTGATTTTATTTACATCATTTTAGATATCTTCCTTATTTTTAGTGTATTCTTTTTATTGACTTAGTTTTAGTAGCTAAGTCAATTAAGTAGTAATTATCATATAATTTAATTAGAAAAGTATGCAGGTGCTATATTTTCTGAGTGACTCCTTGTTTCAGAATAAAAGAATTTCTTAATTTGATCTTCAAATACCTGAATTGGTTTTCTGCACTACCCAATTGGCTATTCACTATCTCCACTTCATTTTAAAATTCAATAATCATACTTTTACGGAAACCCAGGCTTCTCTGATTTCACTTCTTTCCCCCTTTATTACTCATTATCCTAAAAATTATATTGATAATATACATTTAGTAATTTATAAATACAGTCTTTTGTGTTTTTACAGATTATTTTCATACAAAAGTGAACCATCTTACTTCTCAGATTGGTCTTTTTATTTGGACTTTCAGTCTTTTCAGATGACTCTTGATTTGTTTCTATATTCTTAATTTATGGATGGAAGAGTGTGTATGAGTATGTACATGTGAGTGTGTGGGGGGAGGGTATCTATATATACAGTTCTAGGAGTTTAGATTATTGCTTTCATTGATTTTGTAAGACTATAAAAACCCTGTTTATGCTCAGTTAAGAAGAAAAGGAAACTGCATTTGTATTATGTGCTGTCGTTTGGTTTTGCATTTTTTGTTTACTTGTTTGTTTTTGTATACAATTACTTCCACATATCAGAGTTCAAGTTGTATGTGGGGATTAAATTGCACTAAAGATATAGATAGACATCCTAAGACTTGTACAAAAAAAAAGGTTTTTTTTTTTTTTGCATTGTGAAGTCAACTGGGGCTCTCTTTTGAATATTTTATTACATTCTCTCTTATTATGTTTTATTTATACATTACCTTTATTGTTATGGATTCAAGTCTATAATTTTTTTTTTTTTTTTGAGACGGAGTCTCGCTCTGTCGCCCAGGCTGGAGTGCAGTGGCACGGTCTCTGCTCACTGCAAGCTCCGCCTCCCGGGTTCATGCCATTCTCCTGCCTCAGCCTCTCAAGTAGCTAGGACTACAGGTGCCCACCACCACGCCCGGCTAATTTTTGTATTTTTAGTAGAGACGGGGTTTCACCGTGTTAGCCAGGATGGTCTCGGTCTCTTGACCTTGAGATCTGCCCACCTCGGCCTCCCAAAGTGCTGGGATTACAGGTGTGAGCCACCGCACCTGGCCGACAAGTCTATCAATTTTTTTAATGAAAAAATAATAAATTTCTTGTCTGGCTAAGTAAGGGCCCCCTCTACCTCAAAGTGTAACAAATACTTGCCTGTATATTCCTCTGTTACTTTAAATTTACGTGGATATTCAATCTTTCTGCAAGTTATTGTTGTATATATTATGATATAGTAGTTTTTTATTAGTTTCTCTCAGAGAGCTAGTCAGTCGTTCTGATGTTATAATGAATAATCTATCAATTTTCCATCGGCTTCCAGTGCCACCCCTATCATGTAGGTCTCCATATAAACTTGACTTTATTTCTGTATGTAGATTTCTATGATATCTAATGATATCCAGCCTTCAGCGTTATATTTTGCTAATCTTCTGCCAGCATAAAACTCTTCTAATTATAGTTGCTTTTAATCCAGGGCTTTCTCTAACTTTTTTCTTAAAGCATAGCTATTCTTTTACAAAAATTTGCTTTTAACAAATGTATTAACACACATTTTTCCACATATTATAGCACATATTATAATTTATCACTAACCATTTAAATGTCACTCTACATTTTGTAAGTCATTATTCACCATTGTTTCTTATATTGTCTTTCTCTATCTTGAGTTCTTGATCTGACTTCATTTTTGTTAGTCTGAAGTAATTCCTTAGGGCTTACGAGTGTTTTTGGTGATGTATTTTCTGAACTTCTACATATCTGAACATGTGCTCCTTTTCTCCCACAGGTGAAAGATACCTTCATTGGTTATAGAAATTTGGGATTTACAAGTATGTGCATATTGTTCCACTGTCTTCTTAGCTTTCAGGTTTTCAAAAAGAAAAGAAAACTTAGACTTTTCTGATGTTCTTTTTTACGTAAATAACCATTTTATTGTTGTTTTGCTTTTTCTGCCTTCAAACTACTCCCACAGGCCAAATATAGCTGGCTGCTTCTTTCTGTAAATAAAGTTTTATTGGGCCACAGCCATGGCCATCTTTTACATATTGTGTGACTGCTTCCACCTGCTACCCTGCAGCGTTCTATAGTCACAACAGGGACTGTATGGCCTGCAACATTTACTACCTGGTCCTTTACAGAAAAAGTTTTCGGACCCTGTTCCTAACCTAGCCCACAAGAACAAGGCTCCAGCGAGAGCACTTCAAACCTGGAAGTAGAGCAGAGGAGAAGACACTTGGAGCTTGGTAACCTTTGGATGGTGCTCCTAATACCATGCCATGAATGTGCCTCCAACAAATATGGGAGACCAACTTCGTAAACACTGCTTTAAAACAATGAACATGCCAAACATCTGATACCCTGATAGGTCTGCTATCAATTCTAATTCCAAACAACCTGCTGGTGCCAATTTTGTTTTCTCTAAGGAAGGTAGGAGCCAAGAAGGGAGAAGAGGAAGACCTTTTGGAATGGCTTTGTAAGTTCTGTGGCAGATCCAGATGTCATGTTATTGAAGCTATATATTGCCTGAAAGCAACACTTCTTTTAGGGCAGAACAATCTTGCCAGTGGAAGAGGTTTAATTTATAAGCAGTCTGATTTAATTTTCTCTGTTTGGACAGACTGTAATTTGGTGCTAGAAGGAAACCCTTAGAATAGCTTTGTTGTCTTAGCTGACAATTACACAACTTAAGTTGCTCTACCTCTGAACTTCATTACTCACACATACATGGCAGATTTATATTCTATTTCTCTTTAGCTGCTATTTCAAATCAGCGCTTAGGTGATAACAACTTAGGAAGACAAAGTAGCTCGTCTAATTCTACTTATGCCAAATTACGTTCGGTACAAGAGAGCAGAACATTTTAAATCACAGAATAAAAAAAAACTCAACTTCTTTTAGAGCTCCTAATTGGAAAAGGTAACATATCCAGCAATACCCTAGGACTCTGGAAGATCTAATTCATCTCTTCAGAAGGAACAATTATTCTCAAAGGCCAGCATTCTTAGCTCATACCACACAGGACCAGACACAGAGAGGAGCTGAGCTTTTTAGAATAGTGCATTTAATTGAAACTTGCTTTCTGTTCCATCTAGAAGAATTTAACTTGCAAAAAACCACTGGGCAAGCAATATGACTTTCAAGACCATTCTGTGGTTCACCGTTTTTATATAAGTCTAGAAATAGTCCAACAATCTTAGCAGGAGAAAAAATTAAGCCCATCTGTTTTGGAGACTTGAAAAAGCTTCCTTTACCCTCAAAACACTCCGAGCTTTACATAGAGTTCCAAAAAAACAGGTTCATTTGGTCTCAGATCTTTGTTTTATTTAACAAACACTAGCACAGTGCTTACTAGATGCCAGGCACTGCTCTGAGCACTTGACAAACATTAACATATTTAATTTTCACAATAGTTCTATGTGGGCAGGTGTTATTACTAAAATCCATTTTACAGATGAGAAAACCAAGACACAGAGGGTTAAGTAATTTGCCCAAGATCAGAGAAATAGGAAAAGTCAGAATGGGGATTTGCATTCCAGAGGCCTGAATCAGGGCTCAAACTCTTAACCACTAAGCTTTTCTGCCCGTGTGTCATCTCCACCAGCATGCCTTGCGACGAAAGGGAAATACTGAAGTCTCATGGCCCCCATGAAGCAACCTTGGCTCGCCCTGAGATAGCACCATGAGCTCTTCTAACATGAAACTGCTATAGCATTTATCCAGTCCCCATGACTTGTACTGAGGATTCTCGCATTGTTAAACAGCATTTCAGATGTATGCTATAAATCTACTTACTCTCTAAATTTTGTGGGGAGGGCACAAGCTCAGCACTGTGGTAGGTACCTAGGTACTGACTTCTACATTGATCCTTATCGTTCTTGGAGCTCGACTCTGAATATTTTATTTACTAAAAATAAAGGTGTCTTCTTGAGATGTGTTTTGCCTGGGGCAATTTGCTGGTGCAGCATCACAGGCATCCCCTGGAAAGGTGAACAGACCACAGGCCAAGGTATTTTGAGGGCTTTGGGACCTCTAACTTTAGGACGCCCTGCTATATTTAAGTGGGCATTTGTGGTTCTGATTATCTATTGATGAACCGTATTCCACAGTTTATAATTTATTTTCCCTTAGCATGAAGTAGAGTCCCATGTGTTCCAAGGCTGATATATGAGTGAAAGTCAGTTAACTAGAGAAAGACGTGCTCATCAGCCAACTTTCCTCTTGACGCAGCTTCATTGGTCTCTTTATTCAACATCCGGTCTCATGTAACACCCCCAGCACCATATGATACAAACATTATTATGTCCACTTCCCAGATGAGAAAACTAAGAAAACTAACTGTGTAGTGGTTATTTGCAAATGCTACTTCGGGGAATTGTGAAGGTCTCAGGATATAACCCTGGAGACTATCAAGGTTTTACGATAGTTGACAACTTATAGATTGATTTTATGATAGATCATGAATGTTCAAATACATTTATAGCAGTGGAATTTCTCTACAATTAAATGTTAGAGAAAGCCCCAAAACATAAAGCAAATTAAGGCTCCTTGATCTGGCCTCTATAAAACTTACAGTGCAGTCAGAAATCCACTTCCATAGGTCAGGAAGGGCTACCTGTTTTCAATGTTGTCAGGCAGGGGCCAGGCAGTAGCTGGAGGTGGGCATGTGCTTCATATTTCATGGCTTCATGAGCATGTACCCTTTATTTTCATTGAATATTTTCATACGCAAAGATGCCAAAAGCAGAATTTGTTGAATTTGCTTAGAATGCAACTTAGATTGCCACTTAGGGATTTTATTTTATTTTATTTTTATTTTTATTTTTTGAAACAGAGTCACCCTCCAGTCACCAGGCTGGAGTGCAGTGGTGCCATCTCAGCTCACTGCAACCTCTGCCTCCGGGGTTCAAGTGATTCTCGTGCCTCAGCCTCCCGAATAGCTGGGATTACAGGCGCATGCCACCACACCCAGCTAAATTTTTTTATATTTTTAGTAGATACAGGGTTTTGCCATGTTGGCCAGGCTGGCCCCGAACTCCTGGTCCAAGTGATCTGCCCACCTCGGCCTCTGAAAGAGCTGGGATTACAGGCATGAGCCCCTGTGCCCGGCCTACCACTTAGGCATTTATTTTATTCCTACTCAAATTAGATATTTTTTATAACACAGACATAACTCGTGCTCTCTCATTTCATTGGAAATAAATTTCAAATGTAATTCATTGTAACCCAAGGGACATAGACTCAAGATGGCTCTGTAATTTTATGATCTGTAATACTCCCCAACCCCCTGCTCCAAACACTTTTGAAAAGACTGATGAAAAGCAGACAGAGGGCTGGAGAAACAGAATAGAGCTGAAACCTCTGGTCTGCTGTACTCTGTTGCTGAAAACCAATAGTGATGGCTGAGAGTCCAATTTCTGAAGGATAATGGGAACTAAAATTACAAAATTTCAAAATGGAGTGCCTGAAGATGAGAGCTAAGTAAAGCTTGCTTGCTTGTAAAGAAAGAATGAGGGAAAAGGCTGCCCAACTGAATTGTGGAATTGGGGCTTTCTGAGAAGCTATGCCCTGACGTTCTTATGACCAGGAATCAAGCAGGTCACTGCCCTAGATCTGTGATATTCTCGATATTGCTGCAGAACAGGTATTCTAAAGTTGCATTTTAGGACCTGGTTCTAAATTGGAAGCAAAAGGCCTTGGTGGGGGAAACTCAAAATTCCAAAGCTGCTAGAGACAAAGAAAGAGAAAAACAAAACCTGATCAGAAACGTCTCTCAAAATGAATGTGCAAAGCAAACTTTCAAACAAGAAAAAAACTAAAGCTAAGAAAAGCAGACAATAAAATTAACATAAGTCTCCTATTCTGTTCTGAGTTTCTCAGTCTATACCTTTAATAATACCACACTCACTTATATTATATGCTTTGCCATATATGTTTTACCACATAGAACAAGCTCTCACTCCCTTACTAATTTTCTTCAGAATTGTCTTATTTTCGGCCTTTGGTGATTTCATGATAAACCTAAGATAAGCCTGCCACGTTCTATTAAAAATCTAAGATGAGGTTGCCATATCTGTTAAAAATGTTGGAATATGTATTAGAATTGAATGGAATTTACAAAGAATGTATATTATTGTCATACACATCCAAAGACATGTATGGTTCTACATATCCATGAACACAGACCATCTGTGAGGTTATACGGGTCTTCCTGTAAATGTTTTATAATTTTCTCTACAAAGGTCTTATACATCTTTGTGTTTTGTGGTTTGTAGCTTGTAGTTTTTGTTACCATTGTGAATGAGACATTTAAAATAACATTTTAAATTAATTATAACTGTGGTGTACTTTACCTTAAATGAATGGCAATTATATTGGCAAAGGACTTCTCATGAGCCATAATAGAGGCCAGGAGACAATGAATTCATACTTGTAGAGTGCTGACGTTAAAAAAATGACCAACTTAGAATTTAATATCCTGCTAGACTGTAATTCAAGGGAGAAAGAGAAAGAAAAATAGAGAGAAAAGGAGTAAGAATTTTTAATATACAAAGGCTAAGAGAGTTTACCACCTATAGATTACTAAGTTAATTCTTCGAGGAAAAAAATAAAGCCAGTGCAAGATGTAGGAAGCAAAAACCAATAGGAGATTTGTAGATTGGGGTTTTGTTCCTTGTTCTTCAGTTTTACTACCATGTTTGTAGATGTGGCTTTATCTTTATTTTTCCTACTTAAATATTCAAAGTATACTTTTGTGCTGAGATTTGTTTCTTTTTAAAATTCTGGAAAATTCTTATTTCTTATATTTGTACATTTTCTTCTTTCCGAACTTTTATTAGAGGCATACTAGAAATTTTTAATTTAAAATGTCTTTATTCTGAACTTTTAGTGGACGTCATTTTTTCTGTCTTTGAGTATCTTAAATATACTTTAAAGTCTTTATCAGATAGTTCCTTAAAATTAATTTTATTTGGACTGAATCACAGATAAAGACAAATGACCAGATAGTGAAATGGGCAAAGGTTACATGCAAGGAATCACAGAAGAAATCTAAAAGCCAAATAAACATAAAAATGTTCACTCCCACTAGGGAACAAGAACAAACATTTGTACAGTATTTACTATATGCCAGGTACCACTCTAGCACTCTATTTCATCTGAACTCATAAATTATTTTGAGAAAAAAAACAAAAACAAAAAAAAAACAACTAGTTTACGGGAAATGGAACAGAGGAATGGAGAGATTAAGTAACTTGCCCCGGGTCAAATATCAAATAGCAGAGCTGGGATTTGAATGGCTAGCCTAGAGCTGTGCTATCTAATATGGTAGCCATGAGCTGCATGTGACTATTTAAGTTTACATTTACATTAATTACAATTAAATTAAATAGAAACATTTAGTTCCTCAGTCACATTGGTACATTGGTCGCTGTTCAAGTGTTCAATAGCCATGTCTGGCTTGTGCTTTACCATAGTGGAAAGCACAGATAGAGACCATTTCCATTATGTAGGCAGTTCTGCGTGGCAATGCTGCCCTCAAAGCCTCTGCTCTTGTCGGCAATGCCACAGTCTTATCAAGGTGCTGTTCTTAGATGAACTTTTGTTTTCCCTTGCACTTTTAAAACTCCACTGAAAATTCAAGGTTCTGAGAGAGAATCCTATTGGCTTAGTTAGACAAATACAATTAAGAAAATTTAAATTGAATAAGTAATAAAATTTTTTTTATTTGTCAAGTTAGTAAAAATAAAGAAGTATGGCATTTTAAGTTATAGTAGGAATGTGGGGAAATAGAAATATTCACAAGCTGCTCTAGAAATGTAAATTAGTACAGCCACTTTGAAGAGAAATTTGGCAAAATCTTGTTAAATTGAAAATGTGGCCACGCATGGTGGCTCACGCCTGTAATCCCAATACTTTGGGAGGCTGAGGCAGGAGGATCACCTGAGGTAAGGAGTTCAAGACCAGCCTGGCCAACATGGTTAAACCCCATCTCTTCTAAAAATACAAAAATTAGCTGGGCATGATGGTGCGTGCCTGTAATCCCAGCTACTTGGGGGGCTGAGGCAGAAGAATCGTTTCAACCCAGGTGGCAGAGGTTGCAGTGAGCTGAGATCACAGCACTGCACTCCAGCCTGGGCAACAGAACAAGACTGTGTCTCCAATAATAGCAAAAAAATGCAGTATCCTCCAACCCAGCACCTTTTTTTTTTTTTTTTAAACAGCAGTAGCACTCTACGTTTTCTTACGCAATGACTTGTTGCTTGGGCCTAATGTTCTCACATAACAGTAGAAAACCAAAATTTGTTGTCACCTCTTAAAGAATCAAGAATTGCATACCAAAAAAAAAAACCTTACATAAATTAGAAGGATGAATAAATTTACAGGTGTAAATGCAAACTGTTTCCAACTCAAGGCAAGTAACAGCCCAGGGTGTTCTGGCAGGAAAACACAGGTAAGAAAAAAAGCTGAGTCTTATGGTTTGGACTGACAAGACAGGAACTACAACTGGTTCAGGAGCCCTTGCCAGCCTCTAGAGCATTCCCAGAGCACTCAGTTCTGATACATTAATACCCTGCACAGATCAGAGACAGCTGGTCACACAGGCTCACCAAGCCACAGACTTGTCTTCCACAGGCATGTTCTCACCTCAGCCAAGAAGTGACTGAGCCACACGTACTAAGGGTTTCAATCAAAGATATGTGCAGGGTATTAAACAAATACCAAGAGAACAGTTAACTTGAACACAAGATCACAAACAGCAATAAGCTCTACAATCCAGTCCAGTAAATCTTCTAGATATGTCATGCTTAGAAAAACTTATACAGGTAAGATGACTTGAGTATTTTTATAGGGAGAATTGTTTTCAAGGGTGAAAAATTAAAAACCGTATAAATATTCAAATTTAGGTTAATATATAGTGTAAATAAATGTGATGCATGCACAAAATTAAATGCTAAAAGGAATAAAGTATGCATATATTACATGTCATGTATAACATGTATAAAGTACAACAGAAACGTATAAATTGTTCAGTGAAAAGGTTGCAAAATATGTCTGTGTTAATAGCTAAAGTGTTTGTGTGTGTGTGAGTGTGTGTGTGTGTGTGTGTGTGTGTTGTTGTTTTTTTTTTTTTTCAGGAGATCTCACTGTGTTGCCCAGGCTGGAGTGCAGTGGCGTGATTTTGGCTCACTGTAACACCCACCTCCCTGTTTCAAGCGATTCTCCTGCCTCAGCCTCCTGAGTAGCTGGGACTGACTACAGGCAGATGCCACCACACTTGGCTAAGTTTTTGTATTTTTAGTAGAGAAGGGGTTTCGTCATGTTGGCCAGGCTGGTCTTGAACTCCTGACCTCAGGTGATCCACCTGCCTCTGCCTCCCAAAGTACTGGGATTATAGGCATGAGCCACCACAGCCAGCATTGTGTGTACTTTAACCACAAAAAGCAATACTACATGCTGTTCATGATTCCATATATTTGTATGGAAAAATACAAAGGATAGGCTGGGAGAACATCCACTATTGCAGGGAGAGAAAAGGAATCATGGATGGTGGTTAAGGAGAACTTCAGTTTCTCTGTAATTAATAATGTTCTTTTTAAATATAAGAAGCCAGAGAATTCTGGGAATATAACAGAGTAGAGAGCACCAGAAATCCTTTTCTCTACTCAGACAGCAATACTGGGAAAGGCTTAGAAGGTAAATTGCAGTTAATTTGGGTCAATTCCAGCCAAAGGCAAAATCTGGAAAGCAATTATATAAGTTAGCATTATTATAATTCAGGTTTGTAATTCTACATTTTGTTTTCTATGTAAGTGACTAATGCGTTAACAAATTATTAGTTGCCTGGGTATGGTAGCTCATGCCTGTAATTTCAGCACTTTGGGAGGCCAAGGTGGGAGGATTACTTGATGCCAGGAGTTAGAGGCCAGTGTGGGCTACATAGTGAGAACGCCCCCATCGCTACATAATTTTTTTTTAAAGTTAGCCAGGTGTAGTAGTGTGCACCTGTAGTCCCAACTGCTTTGGAGGCTGAGGTGAGAGGATTGCTTGAGCCCAGGAAGTTGAGGCTGCAGTGAGCCATGATCATGCCACGGTACTCCAGCCTGGATGAGGGTCTCAAAAAGAAAAATTGTTAGTTTATATTATTGGACATAAACTTTAATATCTTTAATGTGATATATTAATGTATCTTAATTTTATGCATGCATCATATTTATTTACACTATACTTTAACCTAAATGTGGATGTTTGCATTAATGTATATAAACTTTAATGTATAACGATATAATTTTGTGACATCAACAACTAAAAGGGATGTGGATGGGGCTGTAAAGGAGCAGTTTTGTGTGTTATTAAAGTTAATATGGTAAAAATTCAACTTAGAGTGCTATAATTCTAGGATGTTAAATGTAATCCCCATGGTAACCACAAAGAAAATAGGTATAGAATATACACAAAAGGAAATATGAAGATAATTAAAATGTTTCACTATTTAAAAATTAACTAAACACAAAAGCAAACAGTAATGCAGGAAGTGAGAGACAAAATTTCTCAGGCATATGGAAAACAAAAACATGATCCAGATGTATGCTTTCTACAAGAGACTTGCTTTAGATCTAAAGACACAAACAGATTGAAAATGAAAGAATGTAAGGAAATTCAAAATAGAACTACCATATGACCTGGTAATTCCTCTTCTGAATATATTATATACAAAGGAAATAAAATCACCACTTCATAAAGGTATCTGAACTACCATGTTGATTGCAGCATTATTCAAAGTGACCAAGATATGGAAACAACCAAAGCCCCAAACTGTCAGTTGACAAATAAATGGATAAAGAAACTATAGCATATGTGTATATGTGTGTATATACATATATATATATACACACAATTTATATATTATTCAGCTTTATAAAAAGAGGGAGCCCTTGTTTGTCACAACATGGATGAATCTGGAGGACATTATGTTAAGTGAAATAAGCCAGACACAGAAAGAAAACTTCTGCATGATCTGGCTTATATGAGGAATCCAAAAGAAAAAAAAGTGTCAAATACACAGAGATAGAGAATAAAACAGTGGTTACCCCAGGTGAGGTGTGGGAATTGTGGGAAGAATGGAGAGATGTAGGTCAAAGGATACAAATTATCAAATATATAGAATGAACAAATTTAGAGATCTAATGTGTAACATTAGGAGTATACTTAATAGTATTTTATTGTACTTGGGAGTTTTGCTAAAAGACTAAATTTTAGGTACTCTTACCACACACACACAAAATGTGTAACTATGTGAGATGATGGACATGTTAATTTGCATGACTATAGTAACCATTTCACTGTGTATATGTATATCAAACATCATTTTATTCAACTTAAAAATATAACAATATTTTTTAAAAAAAAGAAAGTGAAACGATGAAAAAAAGAGTTCCATGCAAACAGTTACTAAAAGAGAGTAGGTTGATTATACTAATATCAGACAATATGTAGTTTGAATTAAAAGGACATTAAATATTAATAAAGAATTTAATACAGCAAGAAAATATAATAGTTATAAACATTACACATTTAATAACAAACCATCAAAATATATGAAACAAAAATTGACAGAACTGAAGAGAGAAATTGAAAGTTCTATGATAATGATTGGAGATCTCAATACCTTTCTTAATAATAAATAGAACAACCAGCCAGGCACAGAGGTTCACGCCTGTAAACCCAGCACTTTGGGAGGCCAAGGTGGTCAGATCACCTGAGGTTAGGAGTTTGAGACCAGCCTGGCCAATATGGTGAAATCTCGTCTCTGTTAGAAAGACAAAAATTAGCCGAGCATGGTGGCAGGCACCTGTAGTCCTAGCTATTTGGGGGGCTGAGGCAGGGAAATTGCCTTAACCCAGGAGGTGAAGGTTGCAGTGAGCTGAGATCACACCACTGCACACCAGCCTGGATGACAGACTAAAACTCTGTCTCAAAAAATAATAATAACAATAATTAATAAAACAAACAGACAGAAGATAAGTTATGAAGTGGATGACTGAAACAACACAATAAACAAATTAAACCTAATAGAAGTCTACCCAATAACAATAGCATACACATTCATCTCAAGAATATTTGGGACATTTTCCAGGATAGACCGTATGTTAAGCCTCAATCAACTTAAAAAAATAGGTATAATATAAAATATCTTCTCTGACCACAACAGGATAAAATTGGAAATCAAAATGGAAAATTCACAAATTTGTGGGTATTAAACAACTTGTAAATAACCAATGACCAAAGAAGAAATCACAGGAAATTAGAAAATACTTAGAGATGAATGGAAACAAACACAATATACCAAAACGTATGGGATGTAGTGAAATTAGTACTAAGGGAGAAATTTGTAGCTACAAATGCATATATTAAAAACCAGGATATATCTCCAATTAAAAACCTAACTTTACAACTTAAGGAACTCCAAAAATAAGAATAAGCACAAAGCTAGCAGAAGGAAGGAAATAACAAAGATTGGAGCTGAGACAAACAAGCTAGAGAATAGGGAGGAAATCCTGACACATGCCACAACATAGATGAACCTTAAAGTCATTTTATTAAATGAAATAAGCTAGTCACAAAAACACAAATACTGTATGATTCCATTTATATGAAGTACTTAGAGTAGCACAAATTATAGAGAGAAAGTAAAGTGGTGTTTGCTAGATGCTGGTGGGAGGAGGGAATGGGGAGTTATTGTTTAATGGGTACAGAGTTTTAGTTTTGCAAGATGAAAAGCATTCTAGAGATGGATGGTAGTGATGGGTGTACAACAATACTAATGTACTTAATACCACTGAACTGTACAGTGAAGATGGTAAGTTTTATGTTGTGTGTATTTTACCACAAAACAGTGGGGAAAAATGATTTACAATTAACCATTTTGCTAATAAATTAAATTTTACTTTTAAAAGGTACTGTATAAAGGAAGAAAAGGAGAAAACCGTGTTCTACCTAGTCTAGGTGCCATGCGCTGGTGATATTGGTCAGTCCTGATTTTGTGAAGGGGCGTTGTTATTATTAGAATCAGCTTGTCCTTCGTCCTCACACTCCGGCTAATTTATAGGAATAGGTAATGGCCAATGCGAGCTAATATTCTATAGGCAGACAGAGATTTTTAAAAATACACAATAAAAAGCTAAAAAGTGGTAAGTGTTATGGGGACAAGAATAAAATCAGGAAAGGAGGGCATGGGTTATTAAAGTATTAAATAATACATCATCCCTGAGAAGATTAAATCTGAACTTCAGTTACTACTCCCCTTGCCCTGCAAAAGACTGGATACAGGCAGGCGTTTCTTTTCTAAAATTCTGTGCTGTACAGCAAACGTTTATATGCTTCTCTGGACCCCATACTTCTTTCTATGCTTCACCCTATAGACTAATGAAATTAACTATGCAACATTTGCATGATTTGATTACAAAGGCCATTTCTCCATGAAGAGACCTGAGCCTGGGGACCCAGAGGGGTTGTGTGGTGGCTAAACTTCTCACTTCCTGTGTTTTAGGATAAAGTATCAGCAACTGATAACCTGAGATATTTCTTACTTTCAACCTGAAAGCACCTAATATACCAACAATAGCTGTTCTCCCATTTTATAGCTGTTGTTTACACACACGACTCATTCATTAGGTTTGAAAAACGTGTTAACGAACACTATTAGAAACAAATATTAGAAAATATAAACTTCTGTAAATTCTGGATATTGAGAACTTAGGTGTCTTATTTTTAGTATTATTCTGTAATTTTTTAATTTCCCCCCTACAAAAGAGGCAAATAAATACTGCATTCCCCATTTTATAGATGAAACTCGTAAGGCTCCAGAGAGGTCAAATGATCTAGCCAAAGTCAGAAAGCAAATTACCGATGGGAGAAACGGACTCTCCTTCCATCCTCATTCAAACAGAACTATCTGGCAACTTAAAGGTAGAAATCTCTTAGAGGCAGCAATTTACTTCTTCCTTGTGTTTTGTTTTGTTTTGTTTTGTTTTGTGACAGTCTTGCTCTGTTGCCCAGGCTGGAGTGCAGTGGCGCGATCTCGGCTCACTGCGACCTCCGCCTCCTGTGTTCAAGAGATTCTTCTGCCTCAGCCTTCTGAGTAGCTGGGACTGCAGGGGTGTACCACCACGCCCAGCTAATGTTTTGTATTTTTAGTAGAGATGGGGTTTTGCCATGTTGGCCAGACTGGTCTTGAACTCCTGACCTCAGATGATGCACCTGCGTTGGCCGCCCAGTGTTTTCGGATTACAGGCATGAGTCACTGCACTGCAAAGTAGCTTGGTTTGACTGCCTTCAGACAGCCTGAATAAAAGGAAATATACAGTTCCCTCTGGGACTGGAAGGTGATGGGCTTCTCTAAGGACTGGTGCCTTAAGATAGACTGGTGCTTTGTAATTGCACAATAAAGGTTGGGTGAATTGCACTAAATCGAACCAAATTCGACGAAGTGGAACTGAGTTGCTGGTAATGAAGAGAATTAGTGCAGGGATTGTCTTTTCTGAACATCACAGAAGAAACAGAAACTGTTCTCCAGGGCTGGTAGAACCCAGGCATCAACAACCCCAATGTAGTTACAGTCTTTTCAGCTGCGATGAATTATGCCTGCTGAATAAAACAATCATCTTTCTAATTTAATGTGGAACAATGAACTCAGAAAAATAAAAGCAGACCATAGTCACTTGAAAATTTATTTTACTCCATCTTCCATACGTTTTTTCTATATCTAGGAGCAAATGTGTCAAAACATTTATTATTATGACTGCTTCCCCATAATAATGATGTTTGTCATACCAAACAAATTGAAGAAATATTTTCCTTCTGGAAAAAACATCTTAGGTAAGTTTTGAATTAGCATTAGTAAATCCTCACTTTTATCAGAATCTTCCAGTATTTTCTGGTTTGCCCTTCACTCCCTATGTACATATTTCCTTTAACATGTCACTTTTCCAGGTGACAACTGCCCTAAAGAGGCCAGTTTCCCACAGCAATATGTCAGAAACGATAAGCTTTCTTTGATTACACACAGCTAAACTTGGCCTTTTAAACACTGGTCTTTCCAGTCTATTACATGCTTACAAACCTTTGTTTTGCTGTCACTTGGGGGAAAAAAAGTATACAAATCAATTGGGTTAGGATTTTTTTTTTCCGTTGAATTAACTAGTGAAACCTTTCTCTTCTCTATTCCTTTTACTTACACAACTCAAAAAGTCCATCTTAATTCCTCCTAATGGTACCAGACAACTGTGTTGCGTGGTCCTTCAAGTTGCAGTAGGCAAAGTGCTTTGGGCCCAGATCAATCATAGCTGTACAAATGGGAACAAGCTACACAACCCATACTAAAACAGCAAAACAAATGGCCCCTACTTTTAATAATGCAGCTTTGCACACAGAGCACATAATGGCCTTTAAATTAAGAAATTAGTTACATTTCCTTGATAGCTCACATTCTTATTAGCACAATTGGCATACTTACTTGGCCACCTTATAATTATTCATAAAATATCATCTTACATGAGATATCTCATTTTCCACTACTTTTTACATTTTAAAAAATATTATTATTATTACCATTATTATTAAATGGCATATACCCAGCTATTTATGTAAAAGGAAGAAAAAAAGAAAAGATATTTGCTATGGGATGGAAGCTGGTAATTATGCTCTGCTAAGCATATCATGGACGTCCAGCTGGCACAATTAAAGAAATAGCTGATCAGTTCCAGTTATTGATTCTGCTAACATGTTTGTTCACGGTTGCTTCTTGTCTAATTAGTTTTTTCTGCTTTCTTAGTCTAAAAGCATACCTTTCCAGACGAGGCTATTTTCAGACAGTAGTGAGCAAGGCTTCCTTTAGTTACCCTCTAGATTTTTTTTTTATGCAATAGTTTGCCTATTCATTTATTCATTTAGCTAGGAGATGGCCTGAAAGCTAGACTTTTCTTTGGATTCCTTATTGAATTTCAAATCTGGATTTTACATGCTTTTCTTTTTAAATGGATGTCTCGGTAGCATTGGTACAGCCACATTTGAAGCTGTTGTCATCAGAGAATGACGTGGTGGTCGCCGTCCCCACAAATTGGAACAAGTTTGAAAATGCCTAAAAGATGCATGCTGCCTGTCCTATTTGGTGAGGCTTGTTAGAAGCCTTCATTCTCCCTCCTGCCAAAAAAGAAAATCTAACTCAACATAATTTCCATTTTCTAAACGTAGATTGTACAAAAAAAGTGAAAATCTTTTTGCTACTAACAAAATCAGGGGCGAAATGCAGCGTTAATTTCCAGAAATAAAAGCGTAGGTTGTGGTCCTAGAAAACCGACCTGCTCTATTGAAGGAGCAAATGCATATGGTATGGAATCTTTGCCTTCGTCAAAGTTTGTGGGATGAAGATTTAAAATACAGCAACAGATGCTAGTGCGAATTGGAGGCAGAGTGTCCGTGGCCCAGCGAGCAGTTTACTAATAAAGCCTGCCCTGGCTCTACGGCTAGGTGCCACGGCAATGGCAGCTGTCACAAAGCTCGGGAATGCCAGTACGCCGTCAACATTTTAATCACTCCTGTACAGGCAAAGAGTAAATGTTGCTCTTTTTTAATACTGCTACTTTTTTTTTCCTAATGCAAGATTTGGAAGCCAGGGTATCTGTTTGCCTAAGCATTAAAAATGAGACAGAAAAGAACCTTTGAGCATTCTAATAGGGATTTCTGTTCTCTCAGTAAAAGAAGATGGGATCGATCCATTTTTATCTGGTGTTTTTACTGTTAATTGCTGATTTAGTTGGTCCTGTTGCTATAAACCTTTCATACCATGGAATATGAGCCAATTTTCTTTCTTCAACAAAAGAGCATCTTGCAGATTATAATATTCCATTAACTTTACAGTTTTACTTTAGCACCATATCGAGGCATTGGGACACTTTGAGTCAAAGGATAGAAAATTAATTTTTACTTTTTTATTACGTTTGCAATAGAAAACTACCGATGACATAGCTGGTGTAGAATTAAAATGACACAAGAAATTATAAATGTTATTTCCTCCAGTGAAAAGAAAGTGGACAATTAAAAGCTTTAACACTGTTTGGATCCGTTATAAATGTCCACAAAAGACTGAAATTTGGGAAAAAAAAAAAAGTAAAAATGTGGAAAGTTTTAACCTTTTAAAACCACTGCTGTTAAAACCACAAGATTTTGGTGTAAAACATGATATACAATAGGAATGATAATGAATTACATCAACTCAACAAAAAAATAGTCACAAGTAAAATAATCTTCAACGAAGGCATATTTCGAAGATGATAATGTAATGGTGAAATTGGCCAACTCTGGCTCAAGGGCCAAATCTGGCCCACAGCCTGTTTTTACAAATAAAGTTTTACTGGAACACAGACACATTCATTCCTTTACACACTGCCTATGGCTGTTTTCATGCTATAGCAGCAGACCTGAGTGGATGCAGCAGGGAATGTATGGCCTGCATAGCCTAAAATGTTTATTTTAGAGATGTTTACAGAAAATGTTTGCAAATCCCTGGTATAAAACATAAAATATTTAGATATTTTCTGCCTTAAAAAAGCAGAAATAAGATGCAATTTCCTTTGCTCTTTTTTTGAAGGGGAGGGGACACAAAAACTAGTCAAATGTTCAAGAACCTAATACTGACTTAAGATAATGGATTGTTCCTAAAAGAACATTCCAAAGAGAATCAAAACCTACAGGAGGCTGGGCAAGGTGGCTCACATCTGTAATCCTAGAACTTTGGGAGGCTGAGGCAAGAGGATCAAGGGTGACTTGAGGCCAGGAGCTTGAGACCAGCCTGGCAACATAGCAAAATCCTGCCTCTACAAAAAGTTAAATAATTAGCTGAGTGGTGATGGTGTGCCCTGTAGTCCCAGCTACTCAGGAGGCTGAGGCAGGAGGATCAACTGAGTCCACGAGTTTGGGGTTGTAGTGGGCCGTGATCATGCCACTGCACATCAGCCTGGGTGACAGAGCAAAACCTTGCCTCAAGAGAAAAAAAAAAAAAAGAAGAAGAAGAAGAAATGGAAAAAAGAAAAAAAAATAAAACCTAAAGAAAAACTGAGACTTTGGAGCATCCCTGAAGAAATTAACTTGCTGATGTGTTCAGTTATTCAGATACTCAGAAAACACTATTAACAGGCTGGGTGTGGTGGCTCACGCCTATAATCCCAGCACTTTGGGAGGCTGAGGAGGGCAGATCACAATGTCAGGAGTTCGAGACCAGCCTGGCCAATATGGTGAAACCCTGTCTCTACTAAAAATACAAAAATTAGCCAGGCAAGGTGGCAGGAACCTATAGTCCTAGCTACTTGGGAGGCTGAGGCAGGAGAATAGCTTGAACCAGAGAGGCAGAGGTTGCAGTGAGCTGAGATCGTGCCACTGCACTCCAGCCTGGGTGACAGAGTGAGACTCCATCTCAAAAAGAAAAAGAAAAAAAAGAAAGAGAAGACAACACTATAAAAAATAAGAGAACCTGTCTTCACATTTTTAATTCAGTTTATTACCAATCAGTAATGCTTTCACTTTAACATATTGCCTAGATTCCCTCATTTCTCTGCCAATTATGTCCATAGCTTTTTGTCACTACCTGGCTGACCTCCTTTACATCTGTTTGACTGGATGAGCTCCACTTGTTCACATAGTCCATGTCCTGCCGCGCTGTCCCTCAGGCTGGGTTTACCTTTGGTGTCACCAACCCTACGATTCTCAGGCACTTCCTCCACCTTTTCCCTCCCCCCATTCCCACCTCAAACATTTAGTCATTTCAGGAGCTCCTCCCTTTTCCACTTCAAAACGTACTGGCAGGAGAGGCTTCAGACTCCTTTCCCGTGGTGTGGTGCCTGATAAGACTGACGCCACACTCCCCTCCTCCAAAAGCATTAGGTATTTTTTTTTAATTATTATTATTTTAATTTTTTGAGACTGAGTCTCTCTCTTTTTGTCCAAGCTAGAGTGCAATGACACAATCTCGGCTCACTGCAACCTCCACTTCCCAGGTTCAAGCGATTCTCCTGTCTCAGACTCCCGAGTAGCTGGGATTACAGGCGCCTGCCACTACGCCCAGCTAATTTTTGTATTTTTAGTAGAGACGGGGTTTCATCATGTTGGCCAGGCTGGTCTCAAACTCCTGACCTCAGGTGATCTGCCTGCCTCGGCCTCCCAAAGTGCTGTGATTACAGGCATCAGCCACAGCACCCGGCCAAGCATTTAATTTTATTTCAGGAGATAGGCACATCAAATGCACCTGTCCACACTTCAGACTTCCGAGAGTGGGAAATCCACCCTGGGGAATGGTGTTTTGCAGAGGTGAGGCTGTAGAGTTGGGGTGGGTCACTGAGGATAAGTCTTGGGTTGCCTTCCTGGTACCAGTCAAAGCATTTGACCAAGTACTGCTCACGTCTTAGACCTAATGGCCAATTGTGTCCTTTCTCTGCTATGCCTGCTCCCAATCTGACACATCCCTTCCTTAGGTGGTCCAGTAAAATAAATCCTCCAGTAAAATAAATTCCTTGAGGGCAAAGGCTGCTTCCACAGTCACCACTATATCCTCAGTACTCAGTACAACATCAGGTCTGAAACACAAGCTCGTGAAATATTGAAATATCTGAGTGTATTTCACCTTGCATAATGCCCCAGTGGCTGCCTTTTTTTTTTTTTTTTTTTTTTTTTGAGATGAAGTCCCACTCTTGTCACCCAGGCTGGAGTGCAATGGCACAATCTCGGCTCACTGCAATCTCCGCTTCCCAGGTTCAAGTGATTCTCCTGCCTCAGCCTCCCGAGTAGCTGGGATTACAGGTGCCTGCCACCATGCCTGGCTAATTTTTGTATTTTTAGTAGAGACGGGGTTTCACCACGTCGGCCAGGCTGGTCTTGAACCCCTGACCTCAGGCGATATACCTGCTTCAGCCTCCCAAAGTGCTGGGATTACAGGAGTGAGCCACCATGCCCCACCTGCTCTCTTAACTAAGAGTAAAAGCCAAAGCTCTCACTAGGGCCCCAAAGGCCCAACATGGTCTGGCTTCCATTTCCTCTCTGCCCTTCTCTCCTCTGCGTCTCCAGTCTCCTATAATCCCAGCACTTTGGGAGGCCCAGGTGGGCGGATCATCTGAGCTCAGGAGTTTGAGACAGCCTGACCTGTGCTCCAGGCCTGCTGGCCTCCTCTCTCACTGCCCTCCTTCTGCCGCCTCAGAGCCTTTGCACTTCCTGTTTCTTCTGCCTCGTGATACCCACGGCCTATGGCACTTGTTTCTTTCAAGCCTCTGCTCAAATGTCCATTCCAAATGTCGCACTTCCTCATAACCCTCCATCCTCTTAAACTTACTTTATTCTTTTCCCATAGCACATCACCTTCTAAGATAATATATGCCATACCTATGTATTTTTCTTGCATTATAGCTGTCTCCATTAGCATATAAACTGCACAAAAGCTGGAAATTTGTTTTCTTAATTGTTGTCTTCCCAGGATGTCAGTCCCTGACTGATACACGTCAAGCACTCCATGAGTATTTCCAGAATGAATGAGTTCCAAAACATATGAGCAAGAAACAGACTCACGATCACTCACTTTCTTTTTCTCATGACTCCACATTGTAAATATGCACAAATAAAGGCTAGTTTATAAAAGGGTGCTTCTTCCCCACCCACTCCTATTGTGCCTCCTGTTCCACCTGCTTCATCTCACCTTCCCTCTGATGTCTTTTCTAATTAAATAGAAAGTCTTCTCCCATCTCAAACTTCATCTGCATTAAGACCCTTGTTACAATGGACTCCTGAAGCCCGTGCGGCATTGCTGTCCAGCTGCCTGAAAAACCACAGGAGCTGAACTATGGGTGGTCCTCTTGGCCTGTGTCCACTAGGTCCCAGATGGCACAGATCTTCCAGACAGCAAATCTAATATATGTAGAGTCTGAACAAGTCACAGCGCTCTGTGATTACCAAGGAGAGAACCTCTTCAGAGTGATCATCATTATATAGCCATACGACAGTCCTCTCTCCTGACATATGGGCTGGGAGTTAGGATGACTGTCACCCCACTTAGTTCCTAAATTGCTGAAGGGCAAAAGAGCATTTCTTCAGACCAAGTAAAACCTCACAGTAGCTAGCATGATGTTTTTCCCCCAGTAAGTGTTCAGTGCAGAGATGTTGACACACAGTGGAAATGAGGAAACAAGAGAGAAATATGGCCATGGCTTAGTTATTTTTCTAGAACTACGTCATTACCAAACACATGTGATGGCTCTAGTAGGGGTGTGGTCCAGGTGCACAGGACCTGTTTTGACAACATATGCAATAAGTATACAGAGAGATGCAGATTCGAAGAAAGGTGTGTGCACAGAAGGAACTCAAAGACTTTTATATCTCTGTGATTTCACGGTCTTTTTTTGTAACATCCAGTATGCACCAAATATTCACAGGGAAACTTATCATCCAATTTTGTAACTTTTTATTTTTATACCAAATGAAAGTATGTACTTTTCCAGATTTAAACATAAGATGTAGAATTTCCAGAAACAGCTTCTTATCTCATAATTTCTAAATAAATTGCAACGTAATTCAACTAATTCACCTGTTATTTATGATTCAGGTATTTATTTTTCAATTGGAGAAAAAAATAGCCATATTACCATGGTTCCTGGTGAAAAACAAAACAAAACACAAAAGTATAAACAATTAAGAGATTCTGTGAGTGTACTATGGCCAGGGTGGGACTAAAACATCCACTCCGGTATAGCTGGGGTCGCAGCCCCTGCCGCATGGCTACAGAAACTCAACAGTTTTCCCTGCTACAATAGCAGCTCCTTTTCCTCCAGCTGCTACAGACCTCACAATTCTCTTTCCTTCTTTCTTTCCCGGTTCTTATATTCCCTCCACTGACCAAATACCCTCCTTATCAATTTGTCAGTGATGGCTGGAGAGGTGAGTCCAAATGACAAAGGCCAGGGAGGGCCACAGCCTGTCCTGTTTCCATGAGCCCGTCCCTCCATCCCAGCCCTCTCTCCCCAGTACTGCAGCTTCTCCTCATCCCATTGCCTGCTCTCTTGCTGTTTCCCTGCGCTGGTCCCAGTGCCTCAACGTGCCCTCATAGGACACTCCTCACTCCAGAGTTCCTATCCTGGTTTCTATACTCACAGCATAAAAAGCCCTAATTCCAAGCCCAGGATCTTCTTTGTCTAGCCGTAGGAAACCCCACCAGCAGCTTCAAGCTGACAACCAACACGGAGCCGGCTGACTGGCATCTCAAAAAAAGAAAGAAAAAAAAAAAACCTCTGCTCTCACTCACGGGCCTGCAGCAACGGGCGTGCATCTTCCTGGTATTGACCTTGGCATTGGCGGTGTACTTCCCCACAAGAACGTGTTGTGCTTGGAGAGTGGAACATGCAGTACCATACATAGAAACACCCTTCATGAATAGGTGGGAGTGGGGGAAGGGAGAATAATCCCTTACAGTCACACCTCAACTTCACAAGGAAAGGAAAAACCTTCACAACTGTGGGAAACCCTCAAAATTGTCAAGAATAAATGTCCCAGGTGAAAACTGCTATGCTGAAATTTCTCACCAAACTTCCTTTTTCTTCATTCAAGGCTCATTCGTGTAGAAACTTACACCAGTACAGTCAACTAATCTGCCTTCTACGTCTGAATTATGTCCTCCTCCCTTGCCCTAAATTCATATGCTGAAATCCTAATCCCCAGTACCTCATAATGTGACTGTATTTGGAGATAGGGTCATTAAAGTGGTAATTAAGTTAAAAGGAGGTCACTAGAGTGAGTCATAATCCAATATGTCTTGTGTTCTTATATGACACAGGCACACAAAGAGGGAAGACCATGTGAAGTTTACAGGGGGAAAGCAACCACTTAGAAATCAGGGAGAGAGACCTCTGAAGAAACCAACCTTCCTGACACCTCCAGAATTGTGAGAATATAAATTTCTGTGGTCTAGGCCACATAGTATGTGATATTTGTTACAGAAGCTCTAAAAAAATAACACAATATCCCTAAACCTTGTCACTGGTGTATAAATAAGATGACCCTCATTGGCAATTTAACTATGCCTGCCTTTGTTTTCATGTGAAAATCTTTTGCAACCTCTTAATTCATTAGAGAAAAAGAAACTTTTGAAATGCCACCCCTGTTGGAGATTGCTATGTAGAAGGGGTTTCAAATATTTTTCAGACACCAGTTTTGTAATCTAACAGAAATACATGGGAGGTACCTACTTGAGAAATCTTTCTAATCTCTAAATTCAGAGTTTAGTCAGGCGTGGCTGTGCACACCTGTAATCCCAGCTACTTGGAAGACTGAGGTGGGAGGGTTGCTTAAGCCCAGGAGTTTGAGGCTACAGTCGCTGCACACCAGCCTGGGTGACAGAGTGAGACCCTCATCTCAAAACAAATAAATAAATAAGTGGTGGGGGGAAATAAATTCAGGGTGTAGAAATCTGACAATTGGGGTGTGGAGTGTAATCCATCGGCAATTTTTTCTTCCCTTCTTCCACTGTAACAGAAGACTTAGCTAAGTAAAATGGGCACCAAATTAACAGCATATTTCCCAGCCTCCCTCTTCAACCTAGTCCTTGCTCCCCTTGCTGTTTCCCTGAACCTCACTAATAGAGGCTCAGCAGTAAGACTAGGATTTAGCTACTGGCAAGTGAGCAGAAGTGTACAACTTTCAAGTCATATCCATGAACAAAAAAAGCATGCCCCTCCCTTCTTTCCTCTTACCCCCGAGTCTGAATGCAGAAATGGTGATGACCTACCTTTAGGACAAGAGTATTGCCTTCAGAATTTCAGATATTGAGAAGGAAGGAGCCTCAGTCCCAGCATAGCTGAGCTTCTAGATATCCAGGCTCCTTAGATTGTTACATGAGAATGACATGAATTTCTTCCTTGTTTAAGTCATTGCATTGTGAGTTTCTTATTATAGCAGACTAGATTGTTTCTTAACTAATACTCGAGTGCTGTGAAATAAAAAAAAATAGATAAGAATCTGGACAGGATAAAAAAGAAAAAGCATGAAACATTTCCTATATATATCATTTATCAATGCACTGATTTATCACTTAAAATCAACGCTTTTTTACAAATAAAGGGAAAGTCAGATGATCAAATAGAAAAATGGGCAAGATACTTAAAAAGGCCCTTCACACACACAAAATATCTACATGAAACTGAAACATAGGAAAAGGTACACAATCTCATTCGTTATCACATGACCACAATACAACCCCAAAACCCCCACGATGGCTAAAATCAAAACCACTGACAACACCAAGTGTTGTCACAAATGTGAAGTGATTGGAGTTTTCCTACACTCTTTGCTGGTGGGAAGGTAAATTATATAATAATGTTTGAAAACTCTTTGGCACTGTCTACTGCCAAGAGCTGATTATATGCAGATCGTCTGCCCTACCAGTTGTGACACCTAAACAAATGTATGCCTATATTTCCTGAAAGGCATACACTAGAATGTTTTAAACAGCATTATTCATACTGACTCTAACTGAGAACATCCAAATGTCCACCAGTAATAGAGTAGGTGAATAGATTGTGCAATGTTCATACAATGGAATACTGTATAGAAACGACACAGCCACACAAAACAATATAGATGAATCTCAAAAGTGGAGTGCTGAGCAACGGAAGCCAGACACAAAAGAGAAGAGAAACTTCCTGAATCATTGTGCCAGGTAGCTCTTCCAGCCTAAGTAACTTCTGGGTTCTAGTAAATCCTGGCCAGTGGCTCCCTTTTGCTGCCTGATCCTTTCATGATAGCAACACACACGTATGCTTCACGAATGAGGACATTCAAGACTCAAAGAAAGATGAATTCTCCTTCCTAATCTATTATAGCCAAATAAAATAGAAGGAAAGGTAGGCCAGGTGCAGTGGCTCACGTCTATAATCCCAGCACTTTGGGAGGCCCAGGCGGGTGGATCATCTGAGCTCGGGAGTTTGAGACCAGCCTTACCAACATGGGGAACATGCTGGTCTCTACTAAAAATACAAAATTAGTCAGGCTTGTTGGCTGGTGCCTGTAATCCCAGCTACTTGGGAGGCCGAGGCAGGAGAATTGCTGGAAACTGGGAGGCTGAGGTTGCAGTGAGCCAAGATCATGCCACTGCACTCCAGCCTGGGCAACAAGAGTGAAACTTGGTCTCAAAAAAAAAAAAAAAAAAAAAAAAGAAGGAAAGACTCAATGACACATTATCATAAGGAAAGAAAACTTTACAATTAGCATATTTATAAGAGGCAAGTTAATGAGTTTTAGCTCAAGTAAGTTTCCAGTGTCTGTGTGTGGCTGGAAGCTGAGACTTAGCAAGAAAAGGCTGCAATGGATTGATAAGAGATGACTTGGGCAGACGAAAGTGTTGGTCATACAAGTAGAGAAGAAAAGTCTTATTTAAAAAGTTATCTGAGTACACAAAGCCAGAAAAAAACATGCTTATGAAAACAAAGCTTTGGAGCCAGATGGCTCTAGGTTCTAATCAGGGCTGTATAATTTACTATCTGTGCAACCTTGGGCAAATTACTTGGCCTCTCTGATCCTCTATCTGCCAAATAGGGAGAATGATTTTTTTCTATCTTGCAGCAATTTTGTGAGGATAAAATGAGGAATAGACATAGTACTCAGTAAATTTCAGCTGTAATCATTTCTATAGTTACTACTAATTTTATTATTCTTCTTATTATTATCATCTGCATAATTTAGCAGGGATATTGCCATTAAGCTACATGATTCATTGTAATTCTATTCAACATGATATATAAAGTACTTGCATGATCAACAGTACTGAATCTTAGGAAGAGATTTAATGTTTAGAAGATTTATTAGCTGAGGCATCGTTGTTCTTATGGCATTTTAAGTAAGTTATATTCTGGTTGTTCTTATTCATTCACATGAAGCGAGTTCTCCTTAGAGGCCTCCTGTCCTACTACGCAAATATAAAACAAAAAAGCCACTTGGCCTTTGTCTATCAGCTCAGAGAGTCATTTGAGCTCCCTTCTGTATGTAATACAAACCAGTTGAAAAAGAAACTAAGGACAATTATTCAGATAATTCAAGGAGCAAAAAAAACAAACAAAAAAACAAAAAAAAGAAATGAAAAACTTTATTGAATTATATTTTGTATGATGAGGCTCACCATGGAACTGTTCAACTACCAATTTCTTATAGTTTTACCACCTTTCTAGGCCTTCTAATTTTGGTTTTCTTGCTATTACAAAATGATATGTAGTGGTTGCCTAAATAGGCTTCTAAAATACAAAAATCTTGTTTATAGACATGGCTTAATACAGAAACACCTGAAATAATGCTCACAGTCTAAGATCATTAGGACAGAGAACCTTCTAGCTTGCTACACACTGGAATTCCCAATTGCATCTTCAAAGAAAGGTCTATGTTAGTGATTGCAGTCTGGATTTATAGACTGTTTTGGATTCTCACATCTCTATAGTCATTTGCATAGTACAAAAAACATGTTACATAAGAAGTCAGTCAAGCTAAATTATAGGCAGTTCTTTTCAATCAGGCCACTGCGGTTCTGTGTTGCTCAGTTCAGCTCCCTGTCTCCAACTGCTCAAATGTTGCCATGGTGACCGATTTTTGTCATGTACATTCCTAGGTCCCATGCAGCCCCCTCCTTCAGAGCACTTTGCCATCACGACAGCGACCGCTAGCTGTTATTATTTAATCTCCCCTTAGTAATACAGGTCACCTTTAAGGTGAATTCTTGAAACCCGAGTATAAATGATATGTTAGACAAATAAAAAAAAGTATACTAAATAAAATGATAATAGGAATGACCAAAAATTAGACTACTTAGCCTTCCATAAGCAGGAGCTCTATGAACTTACTCCCTTACTATTTTATAACTATATCACTATCCAGTTCATTGGAAGACAGATTTGATTCTTTTAAGACAAATGTAATAATGCGATTTAAAAACCATTGCGCTGAATTTGATCCACCATGCTGTAATCCATCTGATTGTTGAATTTTCCACTGTTATGACAGCTAAAAACAAACTCTCAGTATACTGGAAGAAGGAACTGAGGAATATAAAGACAGTCTAATTTATCCATATGCCTAAAAAGACAATGTCATATGGATAAACTAAATGTCACCTTTTTTTCCTTTTTAAATATTGTAGGCTGAACGTCTTTCAAATAAAAACACAACCTTAAGAAAATCACAAGAAACCAGATCAAAGACATAAATAGAACAAAATATGCACAAGAGATCTCATCCAAGATCAAAGATGTGAATGTAATTGCCATGAATAAGAAGTGCAGAGCTCACCAGAACAGAATGTCTTCGGTGCACAGAGAATTATACCCAAAAAAGAAAAAGAATAAAAGGAGGGGAAAAAAAGTATCTGGGAAATCAAACCCTCCACAGAGCAAGTAAAATGTCTTTATTTTCCCCTTAGCAGTAAGCAAAATTTCTATGCCGTCCCACTGAAATTACCAAATATGGGGCAATGCTTACCACATCCAAAAGAGAGAAGCATATCAGAATGCTGCCATTTTGTGGGCTAAGTACCTTTTTATGTTTTTTTCCTGCCAAAAAACCATCCCCAAATTTTTAATTTTTCAAAATCTTCCTCTATAAATCAACCTGGTACAGAGACAGTTTTCAAGAATGTGAAATGTTGAGGCAGCATTTGAGAGAGCAGCTTTGCTTGTTAAAATGAAGTAATTAATGCTTAAGGGAGAAATAAAAAAAAAAGTAGAGGGAGTTTCTTTTATTAAATATTTATCACTGGAGCCTTGGGTGGATGCCACTCAGAGAAGCAGTCGTTAGAGATGGGACATTGATTGAAGTGAATGTTAAGTAGTGCTTTACACTAAATAACGATTGCTGATTTCTTGGGAAAAAAAGTTCTTGAGATTCTTAGACCCTGTTCTTTCATAGTGCCTTACTGCATGTACTTAATTTTAAGTAATTCAGGCTTTTTAAAATGTACCTCTGCCTCTGACCTTATAGAACTTTCATCACATTCAAGTCAATGAACCTAACTCTCTTCTACCCACTCAACAGTAGCAGGATGCAGGAAGGAGGAGAGGGAGAGTGAGCAGGAAACAGAAACAGAGAGACAACTTGTGAGAACAGGTGCTGATCAGAAATGCAAGCTCATTTCTGCAGAAAGAGGAGGAATAGTAAATTAATACTCTATGATTTCACGTAGCCATCTAGGGGAAGACAAACTTATAACTCAGGTAAAGTTTGATCAGATGTCAACTCTGAAAGTAAATTTTCTGAATTTTGTTTTTGAAGCAAAAAACATTTGGGGAACCTAAACAATGCACTTCCTCGTGGTGTTTAGCCTTAAATATCTACATTAACATACACATACATTTTTACCCTTAGAATACAGGTATTACCATTGCAAATGGGTTTTTTAAAAAAAATACAAATTTGGGGCAATCTATCTCTATGAGGGTAATGTCTCCAACAAATGCACTTACATTCATCTTGAGACTATTTCTTATATTGTAGTATTATTATGGAAAGTGGTATTTTTATATCATTTTAGGTCCTGAGTCTTATCTGACTTTTATCTTGACCCAAGATCTTTACATGTTTAATGAGCTAATTTCCTAGACTCACTTCACCTGAAAGCAAAATTCAGCCTTCACTTGCATGAAACAAAGCACTATTCAAGGACACAGGATTCCTTACCACAGCAATTTCCATTGCAGTGTGAAAGCAAAAGAAAACTATTGCTACATCTTACATATTGCAAGAGACAATATAAGGTGGAAGGAGAATAGAAAATGTTATAAATAAACCCAGGATGTTGTAAGCAAGCCCTGAGTGACACTGGGGCTTGTGCCTCCTTAGCCCTAAGCATTTTGAGACAAACACATTTGTCCAGAGGAAGGAAGCCACCTCCCACTGGCAATATCCTTGTAATATTGATTGGAAAAATAAGCGTGGACTACGGATGAAGTGATTGCACCTCCTTCAGCTTCTAGAGTTTCTAAGGGAAACACTCTTTTCTCTAATCCATCTGTTCATGTTAACATTACAATGAGCAGCCTGCTTTGTATTTTCTGGAAGTTTAGAAATGTCAGTATAAGAAAAAAAAAAAGGACACTTTTCCATAGCCAAAAAAAGACAGTGTTTTACTAACATTGATCAGTAACACCTTTGGACCATTTCCTTGACAAACCAGTAAAATAGGTCTGGTAAAATGGAATTGCGTGCCTGTAAGTGATGCTAACACTGGGGTTCTGTTTCTCAACCCGAGGTGAACCTCCCCTCCACGCCCCACCACAGGACTTGTGACAGTGTCTGAAGACATTTTTGATAGACACAACTGGGTAGGGAGCGCTGCTGGCACCTACTAAGTAGAAATGAGAGACGCTGCTCAACATCCTGCAACACAGAGGACAGAGCCGCTACCTCCAAGAAAGAATTATTGTACCCAAAATGTCAGCGGTGTTGAAGTTGAGAATCCCTTCCATTTTCCCACCACTCACTCTTTCATTTCATGGAAGCAGTTTTTTACAAAGATATGAAGTTTTTGTTTACTTGGTCAGGCGCAGTGGTTCATGTCTGTAATCCTAGCACTTTGTGAGGCTGAAGCAGGAGGACTACTTGAGCCCAGTTCGAGACCAGCCTAGGCAACATGGTGAAACCCCATCTCTACAAAAAATACAAAAATGAGCCAGGCGTGGTGGTGTGTGCCTGTAGTTGCAGTTACTTGGGGGGCTGAGGTGGGAGAATTGCTTGAGCCTGGGAGGTCGAGACTGCACTGGGCCATGATTGTGCCACTGCACTCCAGCCTGAGAGACAGAGAGAGACCCTGTCTAAAAAGAACAAAAAACAGAAAACAATTTGAGTTTTCACAACTTTGCTTAGGTGTCTACTACATATTCATAATCCATTCATAGCAATGATGCTTATGATGCCTCTAATTCATGTGTTAAAAAAATTCAAAGTTTTATAAATATTCAGCTTGATTTTTGGACTCATAATTTAGTGACTGGACCTAAGCCCAAACCTTTTGTTGTGATGAGGTAGTTCTCCACACCGCTTTTCTTCTGCATTCCTATCATGAATTGGGATCTGGTGCCCAGAAAGGGCTTGGCAGCTCTGCAGCCCAGACTCCCACATTTTCCTTTGTGTGAGGACTTTTTGAAAGCCATCCTTACTAGAGATAGCATTTTTACTTTGGTAATTATTTGATTTTCACAGATTATGGCTTTTACAAAAAAAAAAAAGAAGAAGTAATTTCAACCACCTTTGTAGCCTATTTTCTGCTATAACACAAAGGCGGACTGGCGATTTTCTCAGAAAGCTCAAATATCTTTTTTGAACAAGACACTCGCTATGGTAGAAATTTCCAAAAAAGAATGTCCTCTTTTGGAGTCTTTTTGACTCATAGAGTTCTGCTAGTTGAGGTCAGAATGCTGCATGATTAGGAACTGACAGAGAAGGAGGCTGTTGAGTTTTGCCTGTGTGGTTTCATAGGGCATCCCATTAGAAGGCAATATCCTCTTTCAGATGTTTATAGTCCAATGAAAGAAATGCACCAGACAGTATCATGGCCACAGAGTCCATCCTTGGTCCACACACTTTGACAAAATTTATTGTGCAGTAAGTCATGAATAATTTAGTAACATGCAATGTACTAATTGTAAGTTATTTACTTCTAAGAATTCTAATTAAGACAAGTTAAGCACTACTTTTACTTGAAAATTTCTCTTATCTATTGTCAAACTACTCTGGAACTTTAGGCTACGTTTCTTTAATAATATTCTATAATCCAAAGTTGTCATGCAGTCATTCAAAATATGTATTGAGTGTACACTGCCTAATATATATATATTTTTTTCCTCTGCTTACTTCTGGATGTGGCAGTATGATCTATAAAGCAAAAATTCTTGGAAGCCTTTTATTTTTTCTTAAGTCAGTGTTTTCCAAAATATCCTGAGCATAAAGAATTATCTGGATGGCTTATTAAAAGAAAAGGCTCTGTAGCCCAAGACCTCTGTGGGAGGGTCTTAGGAATCCGTATTTTTTTTTTTTTTATTTTACTTAAAGTTCTGGGATACATGTGCTGAACGTGCAGGTTTGTTACATAGGTATACATGTGCCATGGTGGTTTGCTGCATGGGACCCAGAGATTCATGTGGCTTGCTAGGTTGAGAATGCCCAGAAAGAATGCATGTATATAGAAGACTTGAACAGACACTATTATAAACAATTAATGGATTGGGTATCTGTTCTTTGAAAAGTTGTTGGATACATATAGAGCACTTAGAAAAGTGTCTGGCACATAGTAAGCTCTTAATAAGTGTTGGATATTATTGTTTTCCCTTGTCATGCCTCAGTGTAGATTAGGGTTGTCATTTCCCTAAGTCAACCTTCAAAAACCATTAGCTCTTCTCAGTCAATGGCCCAGAGGCCTGTGTTTATTGGGTCCATAACTCCTTTTCTCCTTTTCCTCAGGTGCTTTTCCTAATTCCTTTCTGTTTTTCACTAACTCCCCTATTTTTAGTTGCTTTCTTATCTCTCTGTTAACTGAGTGTTCCTCCTGATACTGAGTTTTCCAAGAGTCTTTTCATTCTTCTAATTCCAAGAGTCTTTTAATTCTTTACCTGCACACAAGGAGTCCTTCCTGGGAATTCCAACATTCCGTTGATAATCATCAAGGTATGCGCCTTGATCCTACCTTCTAAGCCCAATTTTTCTGTAACCTGGAGTGTGAGGTTGACTATTTACAATTAATCCGAGACTTCTAAGGATTTGTCTGGCTTTTACCCTCTATAACTAGTGTTGCTTCAATCCATAAATGTTTAAACATTAGCTTGGAGTGTTTCATTTGAGTAGTTTAAAGCACCTACATGCTGCAAATATCATGGAGCATATGTTGAACTGGGAGTACCTGAATGGCATATTGCATTTTCTATAATTCAGAAGAAAATCCCTGTGCCCATTCACTGGCTTATCTATAACTGCAGCTTATGTTCTCTTTGAGCATAATGTTTGGAACAATCATTAGAAAGGAGCAGGAAAGGCTGTGTATAACCAATCTGCTCTTTTCCACATTACTCATCATTGCAGCTCTTCCGAAGAAAAAAACATTTACTTCATAAATCAGACATGTAAAATCTATGTCATTAAGCTAATGGGAGAAAATAAAGGAGAAGCTATAGCTTTGGCTATCAATTCATGTATATTTAACCTCTACACCTAATAGGAATTCTTATATTGTCAGGCTGCATTTTGCAACTGAAACATCACTTCACATTTTGTTAGGAATTCTTGTATGTATGCAAATGGCTTTATTCACAAAAAGAATATTTTTTCTTCGTAAAAATAATTTAATTCTGAAGCAGGTAAAAGAAAACAATTGCCTTTATCTTATTTACTGATTCTATCTTTTCAGATCTTAATGAAATATATTGGGGACACCTCAGGAAATTCCTAAATGTCCAGAGTAGCTACCATTACTGTGTTAAAAGAGGTTAAACTGCCCAAAGCCATAATTTCAAGTCTTAATTGAATGCTAGCAATTCAACCATGAGCAGGATCCCAGAAGAATGGAGAGGTTCTCTGTGAGCTTCACACAATGGGAATGCGTGGGCAGATGCCATCTGCAGCTCAGGGGTGGGGAAACAAAAAGACATTTGAGGAAGAGGGAATTTCTTACAGATATGATATAATGGGAAAGATCTGAAAGTCATCCATCATGTCTGTGACAATCATCACACCCAACAACAGCCAGAAGCCACGACATGTCACGTACCACCTGCGGCGTGTCAGGCCTTCTGCATCAGCACTTCTGTGCATCCTGCCACCTCCCCTTTGTTGCCCACTCCGCTGCACTGCATGGGGGGCTCGAGAATGCCCCCGCCTGACCCTGCCCCCAACATTTGCTAATGCAGGCTTTATTATCACACACCCCAACAGGCACTTAGTACACATTCATCTGGTGACACGGATTGACAATCGGCGCTGAACCAGGATGCCAGTGCCACCAGATGTTGCTGCATCTCATAAATTGAGTTAGCACAACTACACTGGTCCGAGAGGGTCAGAACAATGCAGCCCGGCAAAGGCGATGGTTACTTGGACGCTCTCATGTGGGCAGCTGCTGAGAGACGCAGAGAATGGGCCAAGCCGTCCATCCACTTCCTTTCAGTTTTCCTTAGAAGCCTCCCTTTTAAGTAATTTTCTCAAAAAAATGGGATACAGATTGGGTTAAGAGCAGAGCAAGAACAAAAATACAAGCTATGTTTTTACATCACTATGCATTAACAACCTGTAACTTATACCCAAGTGTTGTTCCTTTGATTTCAGAGAACCCCATGGCACATATACACACACATACACAGGCACTCACCCATTTAATGTGTGATGGTAGGATGTGTTATAGTTAAATTTGGATTCTATTCTCCTGCTTTAACCTCTGCATACTATTTGTCTCTATCTCATCTTCTCAACAAAATGACAATCTCCAAATGCAGGTACCATGGGCAGTGGTTCCCCTTTGGCCCTAATACAATACTAAACACATACTAGTTGCTTAATGACTGATCAGTATATTTTTGTTTAGTCGATTGGTTCTTATTTTTAAAAATATTTTCAAGGCCATGTAAGAAAACTGAAGACAACTTACAGAGTGAGAAAACCAAGGTTTGGAAATTGCTGGCCTGGACCATACTAAAAATGATCAGGCCAAGCAGTTAGATTTTATCACTCGAATTGAGGATATCAGGAGCCTGAAATTCCTATGCAAGTTCAGAATGATTTTTCAAGTTAATATCCTAAAAATTGTGCCAACATTTCATGATCCAGTCTTGTTTATAACCACAGTATAAAGAAACCATTTGCAGGTGCATCTAGGGGTATTGGTTACTAACGCATAGAAATCTATAAAATCTGCAAATAAAAGACACTTCTCCAGAGCAGTAACTTCATTGAGTGTAAAATAATTGGAACTCTTGCTAAATGAATAAATTGTTGTGTTTAGAAACAACCCTAGAAAAATGCCAGCCATATCCTGAAGCTGGCACTTCAAGATGATCAGGGAAAACCCGTCTTACCTAGGTATAGTGTTAATGTCTACACTGATGTCCTTTGAACTTGTCCATATTAATTACTTTTTACATCTTATTATTATTGTTTTTTCTAGCATTTTATGAATCTTAATCATACACATAAAAAGAGTTAAACTATATTTTGGTCAAGTTATTATATCCGTTCCTGAATATATTCTCTTGTTTGAGTTGTATACGTTGCTACAATTTTAACATCATATTGCATTTAAAACAACATTTATTTGGGACATGGATGCAATAAAAATATTTCATATTTACTATGTATACAAATGGTAGAGAGATGTCATGATGGATATAACAGGTTCTTCCTCTTTTTGATGGAAAGTTTACATTTAGTTTGTATATATAAATTGTGGACCAAAGTGTGGGTGGTGAAAGAGAACAAAAACAAAGTCAAGCATATGATTGTTAGTGATTATTAAGAACAAATTTGGAGTTATTTAAGACACAGTAATTATAGTATATCTGAACCTGGTTCTTAAACTGTAAGTCAAACAAAAAATGTAACCTAAGGACAATAAGAATTTATTGAATGTGTGTTTCCAATAAACAAAGTTTACATGTTAGAATTAAACTATGATTTAAATAACTAGATTAAATGCAGGCAAGAAATTATGTTAAAACAAATTAATTTGTGGGGTTTTGTTGTTGTTCTTGTTTGAGACAGAGTCTCGCTCTGTCACCCAGGCAGGAGTGCAGTGGCGTGATCTTGGCTCACTGTAACCTCCACCTCCTGGGGTCAAGCGATTCTCCTACCTCAGCCTCCTGAGTAGCTGGGATTACAGGTGTGTGCCACCATGTCCGGCTAATTGTTGTATTTTCAGTAGAGATGGGGTTTCACCATGCTAGCAAGGCTGCTCTTGAACTCCTGACCTCGTGATCTACCGGCCTCGGCTTCTCAAAGTGCTGGGATTATAGGCATGAGCCACTGCACCTGGCCTTAATTTGTGTTTTGAATATCTGTTCCTTTTTAATAGGGCACTTAGAAACTGACATTCTAATTTTGAAGAGCCAAGTTTTGTTTGAACTCAGGATAAAAATATACATGGCAATGCAATGTATATATTACATATATAAACACCAAGGGTACACCACAGGGCATGTGATGTATATGATATACCACCTCATCCAAGTGGCCTTGTCTGACACCCTATTCCTGTAACAGAAACCACTCATCTTATTTATTACATTATGTGATTTGTTCATTTGTGTTTTCGTCCCTCTCTCACTAAATTTACCTCTAAGAGGACAGAGACTTTGTCGCTCTGGTCCTTACAACATTGTGTTAAGTGCTTTGGACCTTACAGCATTCCTAGCACATAACACAATGCATGGCACTCAAAAGCTACGTATGAATGTTTGAATATATGTGGAATGCACATGCTCTTTTCTGAAAAGATAAAGATCTGTGATCTTATAATGTCAGTAATAATGTAAAATATTTCATTCAAATTAAATGCTTTTCATGAAATATTTTAGTATGCATTTCACAAATAATCTTTTTCAGTGAATCCTTTTCAATAAGTACTTTTCCATAGAGCAACTGAAAAGGGAACATGAAAGGAGGTTTAGATAAACCACAATAAAGCTTTATCATTAAAATTTCTGAAATCCTCAAGGTATTATTCCATGACTCACAAAATAAAGGCCTATAAAATCAATTAAATGAAACCAAGTTCAGCATATTGTATTCAATACTTAGATTTTCTGAATTTTATATGAAGTTCGTTTGCCAACATGGATGTATTATTTATGCCTGTATTAAATTTGCTTATGGTAACAACTACAATAATGAAAGGGGAGATTTTCTTGATTACAGAGAGTAGCATATATACTGTTTTAAAAGTTTCAGTGAATGTGTGTAATTTTAGAATAAAATAATTTTAAAATATTTTAGAATACTTTAGAATAAATTTATACTTTTTTCTAAAATTACACACATTCACTGAAACTTTTCAAACAGTATATAGCCAGGCATGATGGCCCACATCTGTAATTTCAACACTGTGGGAAGTCAAGGTGGGCAGACCACCTGAGGTCGGGAATTTGAGACCAGCCTGACCAACATGGAGAAACCCCATCTCTACTAAAAACAAAAAATTAGCCTGGCGTGGTAGTGCATGCCTGTAATCCCAGCTACTCAGGAGGCTGAGGCAGGAGAACCGCTTGAACCTGGGAGGTGGAGGTTGCAGTGAGCTGAGATAGTGCCATTGCC
The DNA here is from genome assembly GCF_000001405.40 of Homo sapiens. Lineage (NCBI taxonomy): Eukaryota > Metazoa > Chordata > Mammalia > Primates > Hominidae > Homo > Homo sapiens. Next base: position 221,596,904 of record NC_000002.12, on the reverse strand, counting down.
CTCCAGCCTGGGCAACAAGAGTGAAACTCCATCTCAAAAACAAACCAAAAAAAAAGCAGGATATATGCTACTCTCTGTGATCAAGAGAGTAGCATATAAAACTTTTAGAATAAAAGTTGCAGTGAATATGTGTAATTTTAGAACACAAATTTTAAAAATAAAATTTTATAATAAAATGTAGAATAAATTAACAATCTGAAATTTTTGTACCTGGTAATTATCTCTGATTCTAGTAAACCCTAAATGCATAGACAGATGGACATGTTGATAAAAATGGAAAGTAAATTCAAAAACGAAAGATTTTAGTTGTTGAAAAGTCTTGCCTCTAAGGGACTCAAGATTATACATCAAACAAACTTTTAAAAGTAGATGATTCCATAGACTTTTAGTGTATTAAAATACACTTTTCATACAAATTGTCTAAGATATTCCCCCTCAGCTGCACTTACTTAAGACTATTACAGTCCTCTGGCTTCGACATCCTAACAACTGACTCAGGCAATTGGCAAACAGCCAGTGTTACACAGTCCCACACCCATGAGTGATGCGTTTTAAAAATTGTGCACTATGTAATTCTGGAATTCTCTTTTTGAGAGAAGACCAAAACAGCGTGATATTTTATTTTCCAGATTTTGCCTTTCTTTGGACAAAATTTACTAATTGTTTTGCAAAAAGTAATACATATTTATAGGAGTCAAACATCAAAAAGTACTAAAGGCATATCATGACCCCCTTCTCTTACAAAGTTTTTTGTTTTGTTTTGTTTGTTGAGACGGAGTTTTGCTCTTGTTGCCCAGGCTGGAGTGCAATGGCGTGATCTCAGTTCACCTCAACTTCTGCCTCCCAGGTCCAAGTGATTCTCCTACCTTAGCCTCCCGAGTAGCTGGGATTACAGGCATGCACCACCACGCCCAGCTAATTTTGTATTTTTAGTAGAGACAGAGTTTCACCATGTTGGCCAGGCTAGTCTCGAATTCCCGACCTACGTGATCCAACCGCCTTGGCCTCCCAAAGTGCTGAGATTACAGGCGTGAGCCACCGTGCCCTGCCCAAAGTTTTTTTTTAAGTTGGCTTTCCTGTTTCATGAAGAAGTAAATTGGCATCTTTATTTTCTGTTCCATGTTTTGCTCTTGAGATTTCTAAGAAGAGATGCTTACAGCACTATGTTCATCCCAAAAGTTTGCCTTCTTGTTTGAAGATCAAACCAGGGCCTTTAGCCTGGCGCTGTGGATCATGCCTGTCATCCCAGCACTTTGGGAGGCTGAGGCAGGTAGACTGTTTGAACTCAGGAGTTCAAGACCAGCCTGGCAGCATGGTGAAAACCCATCTCTACAAAAAATACAAAAATTAACCAGGCATGGTGGCATGTGCCTGTAGTCCCAGCTACTAGGGAGGCTGAGGCCGGAAGATCGCTTGAGCCTAGGAGGCAGAGGTTGCAGTGAGCCAAGATGGTGCCACTGCACTCCAGCCTGGGTGACAGAGTGAGACCCTGTCTCAAAAAAACAAAAACAAAAAGACAGGGCCTTTGAACTTTCTTTAAGACCCTGGTTTCTCAGAGATTTCTCCCTGCCTGCTTTTCATAAAACTCCCCGTATCATTCTATATCTTAAAAAGGCAAATTCTTCCTGTTTAATTGACCTTGCCATTTTCTAATTGTCGGTGCCAAACAGCCCCCAAAGAATAATCCAGCCACCCTCTCTTCTTCACCTTCCACTCACTCTTTACATTTTTGAAATCTAGTTCAACACCATCACCCTACCACCACCCACAGAGACCTCAATGTAATTTGTCTTTCCTGGGGACCTGTTCATCATCCTAACCAACAGTTTTGGTTTTGTTGTTGTTGTTTGTTTGTTTTTGTTTTTGTTTTGAGACGGGGTCTCGCTCTGTTGCCCAGGCTGGAGTGCAGTGGCTCAATCTTGACTCACTGCAACCTCTGCTCCCTGGTTCAAGCGATTCTCATGCCTCACACCCCCAGGTAGCTGGGATTACAGGCATGTACCACCAAGCCCAAGTAATTTTCATATTTTTGGTAGAAGCAGAGTTTCACCATTTTGGCCAGGCTATTCTTGAACTCTTGACCTCAAGTGACCTACCTGCCTTGGCTTCCCAAAGTGCTGGGATTACAGGCATGAGCCACTGCGCCTGGCCCTAACCAACAGTGTCTGTCCAAATGACTTCTCTGTCACTCCTGGAGAACTGAAGGTTTCCCTCCTTTGCACGGCTCTCACCTTTGGGATTGATCTCATTGCCAAGCCTTGGCTTCTTCTCACCTCAGGACACTGCCTATGTTTCCTTCATGGGTAGTTTCTCTTCCTTTGAGTTTGTTTATTCCAGAGTTCTACGCTTTTTTTGTTGGTGTTGTTCTAAATCCCCACTTCAGATATCTTATCCACTATTGCTCCTTTGTGAGATAATACAAAACCTTCAAATCTTCCTATTCAGCTCTGGTCTCTGTCTCTGTCTCTCTCTCTCTCTCTCTCTCTAATCTCTGGAATTTCAGTTTTGCCTTTCCCAGGCCTCCTGATGCTCTCACCTGTTTGTCCCACCTAGTGCCTCAAACTCCTCTACTAAACTCACACTCTAATTCCCTAAACCAGTGTTTCTCAATCAAGGGTGATTTTATTGCTTTCCCTCCACAGCCCACCCCCATCCCAGCACACATGTGGCAATGTCTGGAGACACTGTTGCACTGGGAAGGGTGCTACTGGCTTCTAGTGAGTAGAGGCCAAGAGTGTTGCTAAGCACCCTGCAATGCACAGGGAAGTGCCCACAACAAAGAATAATCTGGCCCCAAGAGTCATAGATGTCCACACTGAAATCGTGTCTGAATCCATTTGCCACTGAAACCTCCCCTTATCTTGCCTGGGTGCATTGGCTTACACCTGTAATCCCAGCACTTTGGGAGGCTGAGATAGGTGGATCACTTGAGGTCAGGAGTTCGAGACCAGCCTGGTCAACATAGTGAAACCCCCTCTCTGCTGAAAAATACAAAAAAAAATTAGCCAGATGTGGTGGCACCCACATGGAATCCCAGCTACTCAGGAGGCTGAGACAGGAGAATCACTTGAACCCAAGGCAGAGGTTGCAGTGAGCTGAGATCGTGCCACTACACCACTCCAGCTTGGGTGACAGAGCAAGACTGCATCTCAGGAAAAAAAAAAGGAAAATGAAAGAAAGAAATAAACTTTGGCAGAAAGTCTGAGATTTAATCCTAATTCCTCAATTATCTCACTTTAGCCAATATCCAGAGTTTCATTTGGGTTTTTGCCTTGAAAGTTTCTGTTTGTTAATTATTTTCATCCATACTACTACCATTATTACATTCATGCGCTTGGGTAAAAAATGTAGTTTAACTGATCCCAATAACTCATCTCTTTTCCCTGCTATATTTGCACTCTACTGTTAAATTACATTTCCTCAAATACTGTTTTCCTCACATCAAAAACTTTCAGTGGCATCCTTCTGGAGCCTTTCTTATTCAGTATTCCTTGACAATTGGGCACTTATCAACACCTTCCTCTTATGTCCTAAGTGAACCTTCCATTCCAGGCAAACTGGCCTACTTGTTCCATTTTTTATTCTAAATGTAATAGTCATAATAAATAATTTTACAATACTGTATTAGTAGTTCTACTAGATAGCAAAATAGTTGATTAGTGAAACGTTAACAAAGATTGGTTTATCTTTTTGAAGGATCTATCCTTGATATCTTATGATACACATCTGTGGATTCTGGAGCTAAGCTAACTGGATTCAGTTCTTGGATCTGCCACTTAGGAACCTGGGCAAGTTGCCTTGTTTCCCTATCTGTAAAATGGGCTGACAATAATGCTTATCTCACAGGGTTGCTGTGCAACTTACAATAGTCCCTGGAATATAGTAAGCACTAGGTAATTAGGCGATTATCATTTCCTTTATGAATGCATATTTAAAGGCCATATTTTTGGGGGGTTTTTTGTTTTGTTTTGGGAACAAATACTTTTTAATTGGCTTAAAGTTTTTTATTTTTATTTTTAACAAAAAAATAATCCTGGAGAATCATGCAATGCTTCTAGCATTGGACACAATCTGGGATCACAAGTCTACACGCTTCTTTGCTACTGGTCCTGTAATGGCAGAACCTTTCATCTCACCTTTATTGTTTGCTATGACCCCTGCATTATCTTCAAAATAAGGAAACATGCCACCTTTTCTCCAGTATGACTTCTGTTGTGAAATGACCACTGCTGAAGGTACCCTTTTTCTGAGCTCTGGTTTGCCTTTCTTGACTGTGGTCATCACCATGTCACCCACATCAGCAGCGGGAAGTCTGTTCAGCCGTCCCTTGATCCCCTTCGTGGAGATGATATACAGGCTTTTGGCTCCGGTGTTGTCAGCACAGTTGACCGCAGCTCCTACCGGGAAACTCAAGGACATTCGGAATTTTGCACCAGAGGTCCCACCACGTCCTCGCGTCGCGTCAACATCTTTTTTTTTTTTTTTTTTTTTTTTGAGGCAGAGTTTCACTCTTGTTGCCCAGGCTAGAATGTAATGGCGTGATCTCGGCTCAATGCAACCTCCGCCTCCCCTGTTCAAACAATTCTCCTGCCTCAACCTCCTGAGTAGCTGGGATTATAGGCACCTGCCACCATGACCAACTATTTTTGTGTGTGTGTGCATTTTTAGTAGAGACGGGGTTTCACCACGTAGGCCAGGCTGGTCCTGAACTCCTGACCTTAGGTGGTCCACCCGCCTCAGCCTCCCAAAGTGCTGGGATTACAGGCTTAAGCCATTGCGCCTGGCCCACTTCAACACCTTGAACGATGGAAAGTAAAGGCCATATATTGATGTGTAGTGTAAATAATGTTATCATGTCTATTGGTATGCTAGCCAAAGTGATGTACCCCCAATGCATGTCTAATAGTTTGATCTGAATATTTTCTGAGCATATCATTAACCATTCTTTCTTTACGTAAGCATTATATATATACACACACACACACACACACACACACACACACATATATATTTAATGAGAGACCTAGCATGATTCTGGAAACCTAAAAATTCCTATAAGATGCAAAACTTCAGTATACACACTATTCCCACATCAGTAAAGGTCTCCATGTGGCCAGGGTTATCAAGTTTCTGAAGTTCAGTATTCAACTTATTCTTCATTAATTACAACGTGGCTCTGATCAACTTGGGGAAAACTACAAAAAGCAATTAAGAAAAAATCAGAACCAAGAATTAAAGACAAGCTTTCTTTCTACTTTTTATCTTTTTCCAGAGTTTCGATGTTTTCACTGTAGCTCCGCATGGATGGGTTGGAAGGTAGAGCAAACCATAAGTAATTTCTTTTGAAATGGGAGGACCAAGGAGGGGAGGAAGATGACATTTCTCCCAAAATCTGTGCCTTTCCTATAGAGTTACTGTTGTTTCTCTGTTCTTTCCCCTTTTCCGCCTGGGTGGTCTCTCTCCCATGAGTAATGGTAACAGCAAGAAAAACCACGGAAGTAACAATGTGAATATGTAACCACATGACTTTATTGCCTGTTATATAGGTTCCAGATAACCGTTTTATTTTGTAACTCAAATTCTTTCCTTTCCCAGTCTCCCCTGTGCAGTATCAAACTCTCCCCAACTCCTCTCTCAACCACCACCCTCTTAAGCTGAGCTAGTAGAACAAGTGAGGATCTGCCTGTAATTACTGCTTAATTCATTTGCATGTGGATGTTCTCATTATAATGTCATTAGCATGGGGAGGGAGTCTGGTTGCCAGAGCAACCAGGAGTGGGGCAGGTGCAGTTCAGCCTCAATTGGATTCTCTGCTCAGTTTGGTCAAACTCCACCTGTATTCCTGGCTCTTATCACTCTTGCGGCTGCCAAAATGAAAACATTCCGCAGTTACCCTCTTTATTTTGGCCGTGTCTCCAGAATTTCTTGGTAACCTGTACAGTTCACCTTGATTTTGCTAATAATCCCTTTTATTTTAACTAGCCATGCTCAGAGACTTTTTTCCCTCATCTTTGCTGTCCAATATGGTAGCCACTTACCATATGTGGTTACTGAGCACTCAAAATAAGATTAGTGTGAATTCAGATGTCCTGTAAGTGTAATATAAACAAAGGTCCTCAAATACTTAATATAAAAAATGTAAAATATCTCCTTGATAACTTCATTAATCTTAAGTCTATGTTAAAATGGGAATATTTTGGATATATGGGGTAAAATAAAATATATTATTAAAGTTAATTTCTCCTGGTTCTTTTTACTTTTTAAATATGGGTGCTAAAATGTTTAAGCTTACAAATGTGGCTTACGTATATGTTACACATTATATTCTTACAGACAGCACTGTCCTAGATCATTAATTCCTCTTGCCAATCTCTCCTATGATCAGTACTCCCATCTTAATCCACATAGACATTTTCAATAGCTGTCATCCTCTGCAGAGCCTCCACAGCTCATTCTTTCCAGATTGCCTTGCAATTTGCTTATTTCAGCCATCATTTCATAAAGACTCTTAGAGGTTACGAAATTCAATTTTCCTATCAACACAGGAATTCCCTCGTACAACGGTGCTAATAGATGGTTAACCGGAGCTGGGGGCCACTACTTAACAGAACAGCAGATACAGAAAAACTCAAATTCTAAGACAGTTTTTCCTTATATTGACAAGAAATCTGCTGTTTTTATAAAGTTACCTGCTGGCTGGGTGTAGTGGCGCATGCCTGTAGTCTCAGCTACTCTGGAAGCAAGAGTATCACTTGAGCCCAGGAGTTCAAGACCACCTTGGACCAGAGAGTGAGACCCTGTCTCAAAAAATGAATAAATAAACAAAATTTTTTTAAAAGCTATCTGCTGCTTTTAGTTCTGCCCTTGGAACAAAATTGAGTGAGGGTGCTCCTCTTCCAGATGACAACTCTCCCTTCACTGGGGGACTGCCGTCATGGTCTGCCAAGCTTTGCTTCTCTCTGTTAAATATTACCCACTCCCCTCAACAGTTTCTCATAAGACATGGCCTCGAGGCTCAACCATTCTTGTGGCCCTCCCCCAGATTTTTGTCATTTGTCAATGTCTCTGTAAAAATGTGGACTCCGGAAGTGGAGCCCCAGCTACAGTTGTGGAGCTACCGTGGACCATCCCCTCTCTCCATCTGGACACTAGGGTTTGGTTTAGTGAACCTAAAACTGCATTTGATTTATCATCTTCTCTATCCTGTTGTTGAAACATGTTGAGCTTTTCATCCACTAAACTTAACAGATCTTTTCTCACATCAACTGATATAAAGTCACAGCTTCTTTATCATCGACTTATATAATTGACCTTCTAAAAATATAAACCCAGGACTTTATGTTTATCTTAGTAAAATTTCACTTTGGGGCTTTATTCTACTCTTCCAGTGCATGAAGAGAATTTGAAGTCTGGTTCTTGCTCAGTGAATTAGCTATTCTTCTCAGTTGTGTACCAAAGATATGATAAACATGCTTTTGATGTCCTCTTAGTCACTGATAAGTGTGTTGAACTAGACAGAACCATCTTGCCCATTAAGATATGAGAGATTTTGTCAACTCTTTCTAAAATCAAGATAGATGATGATGTTATCTGATCAACTTATTCCACCAGAAAATAATAGCAGTTAACAACTCTTTATTGGCCTACTATGGGGGCCAATTTTTTGTTTTTTTGTACCAAGGTACGAGTTGAATTTAGTGTGACAATTCTGATGCCTGGACGGGCGCCGTGGCTCACGCCTGTAATTCTGGCACTTTGGGAGGCCAAGGTGGGCAGATAACTTGAAGTCAGGAGTTTGAGACCAGCCTGGCCAACATTGTGAAAACCCATCTCTACTAAAAATACAAAAATTAGCCTGGCGTGGTAGTGCATGCTTGTAATCCCAGCTGCTCCGGAGGCTGAGGCAGGAGAATCACTTGAACCGGGGAGGTGGAGGTTGCAGTGAGCTGAGATCGTGCCACTGCATTCCAGCCTGGGCGACAGAGTGAGACTCCATCTCAAAATTTAAAAAAAAAAAAAATTCTGATGTCTAATAATTACCTTTTCCTTCTCTACATGTTGCCAAGCTGTCTGTTTAATAATCTGTTAGGATTGTCAGGACATTTTCCCAGAGATAATCATTAATCTTACTAGTTTGTAGTTTCTATAGCCTAGCCTTTTCAGTCTTCAAATACCAAGATGCCGTTTGTCACTGGCCAGTTTTTTCATATCTTTTTCATTCTCAATGTGTTTTAAAGACGATCAATCATGATTCCACAATTGCACATGTAAGTTGCCTTATTTTCTCGAGAGAGAGTTGGATTGTACTCAGAGATTTATAATCATTTAAGATTTCTCTTTATTTTCATTTTTTTCCTTTCATCCTGGAGAAATTTTTTCTGCTTTAGTCAACACCATAGCCTGGCATCTAACACACTACCCGATTATTGACTGCTTAAGTTTTCGATCTTTTTTCCTTCCTGTTTCCTTTTTTTTTTTTTTTGAGACAGAGTTTCGCTCTATTGCCCAGGCTGGAGTGCAGTAGCACGATCTCAGCTCACTGCAACCTCCACCTCCCAGGTTCAAGTGATTATCTTGCCTCAGCCTCCTGAGTAGCTGGGATTACAGGCACCCATCACCACGCCCGGCTAATTTTTGTATTTTTAGTATAGACGGGGTTTCACCATGTTGGCCAGGCTGGCCTCAATCTCCCGAACTTGTGATCTGTCCGCCTCAGCCTCCCAAAGTGCTGGGATTACAGGCATGAGCCACTGCGCCCGGCCTCCTTCCTGTTTCTTATCAGTTAGAAAGTCCATCTCTTCATCTCAGTGAAAAAGAAGAAAAATTAAGTTATATAGGTCTTCTGCCTTCTCTCATTTAATATTAACATTAAAGCATCTTTCTCATCTTTCTAGCCATAATCAACAAATCTGTTCCTCCTCCATTTTCTGAAGACAAAAGGTAAATCTAGTTTTATATACATAATTTTCATCAAGGTGATGAAAATAGATTCCAGGAGGCACTTTCAGTTTCTTACAGTGAGTTTACTGATATTAATAGATCATTTGGAGCCTTTGTATAACTGTTTCTCCCCTCTAGTCTGTATTTCCAACTTAAAAAAAATAAAAATGTAGTCGTATTAAATAAAAATTTTAGCAAATTGTTATCAGATTTGCGATAGAAACATCCCATTAAACTTTCAATTTAGGACTGATGGCATTTTTGTAGCTTCTGCAGAAGTATATACTATTTTGATATTAACACATTTTATAAAATGGACTAATTATCGTGGAAAACATTATTCATTTAATTATTTGCTCAGGGTTTGCTCTGCTACCTATATTTCATATATGTATATGCCACAGTAGTTGGCAATAACTGAGTGGTCAGAATGGTCGAGTGTCATACATTGAAATGTTTTCTATGGCACTGCTACAGGGTTCCAGAGGAAAAGTCCTAAGTATGTGCTTTTGAAGAAGAGGATGATAAATTGTGACTACCTATGTTGCCATAAGGTAAGTGATTGTATATAATCGGTTGAATCTTGAAAGGTACTGTAAGCTATGCGTTTAGTGTTCTGCATTTATAAATGTTACAGCCACACTTAGATTGTATCTACTCCTGTAATGAGAAGGCAAACTGTGAAAGAGCAATTTGACTAATTCAGTCAAAATTATCATATCAATCATGTGGATATTTCAGAGAAAAGTTTTAAGTGCCTGGATTATCAAAATAATTACTTTATTTATCCATTCCCTTTTCTCTGTGCATATGAAGAGATAATCTGATAGCCTATTTTTTTTCTTTTTAGGAAAAGATATTCATTTAATATTGGGAACTACCCAATATAATCTCTGAAAACCTTTCACAGTTTTGCATCTGGCTTCTTTTGATAAATATTATCTTCTCACTTTTATAGCAGTTTTTCCAAAGCAAAGAGCATCTTTTTCCGAACTTATTTGTCAGTATAATACAAATTAAAAATTGAAGCATAATATTGTAGATTCTTTTCTCACAATATTTCAAAAACAGCCTTGAATTGAATTGGATCATACTGGCTTACTCAACTCAGTTAAAACAAAAAAGAAACTAGATACTGACGGCAATTTTATTCGTCTCTCAAATTTACAATAACCTTAAATTATTTTGCTTGATTTGTTTTTACACCAATCATTTAGTTTAATTTATCACTATACAAAATCTGAATAGGTTATCAAAGTACTGAAATATATAATTCTCTTAGAAAACATGTGATTCTGAGATTGTACTTCTTTTTCCACCCAGTGAAAGATTTTGTTACAACCTGCAAGAGAATTTTCTTACCAAAAGATAGCAATGGGCTGACTAGTTAAAAATGCATCCATCTGTTGGTTTGCTTATTGCCTTGCTATCTGAAACATGCAGATCTGAGTGGGTTGCTTTATTTATGAAGACCCTCTAGCTGTGAGAGCTATGAATCCATAGCTTGCATTCATAAACATAATAAAGGTTAACATTACAATAAAAGTTACATACACAGAGTAGTCTGTGTTTTTTAATAAATTTGAGTTTTTAAACAAGTAATTTTAGAAAACAGACCTTTTTATATAAAATATAAAATAGGATTCAGCTATTCTCCTTATAGAATTTTTACAGAAAATAAGGGATTTACATACAAAAACATCAAGTTGCATATGACCTGGTTCAATTTTTACTTTCTTTATAAATAGTAGAAAATTACCTTGAAGTGATTGAATTTGAAACTTGATTCTTCCCCAAGGAAAATATGTGGAAATTGATAGAGCTAAGATTATGTTATTTTATTAGAGTTGAAAGGGACAATCAAGATGATCTAGATTAGAACATTAGGCTTAAAGAGATGCATCTACTTGTCCAACATCAAACAATACAGAATCTAGGGCTCTTGCCTTCTAATGTGGTATTCCTTTCATTATTTAACATGCTTTTGTAGTACCCTGAGCTAACTTGTTTGATTTCCATGTTCTGCTTTGTTATATTTTAAGCATAATACACTTTCTGTTAATTAAGATTGTATTGTCTTTGGAAGAGAGCAATTTTGACTGATGTCTGTATTTCAATGTAAATTTCAGATGTGAAAAGATGTGAAAAGAAGCTGTGGCTCACGCTGATAGCCAGGCAAAGAGACAGCTTGCACACATGTACACACATACACCCATGCATTCTGCAACAGGTAAAGTCTAACATAAAATACTAAATATAAAAACAAATTAATCTCTGAAAGAGACAGTGCATGGGAAGGAGATGATTCCCGATGGACTAACATTGCAGCCGTCTCTGGTAAGACTAATAACAATGTTGAGAAGATGGAACCTTTTTACACTGTTGGTGGGAATATAAATTAGTATAGCCATTATAGAAAACCGTATGGAAGTTCCTCACAAACTGCAATTAGAATTACCATGTTATCCAGAAATCCCACTTCTGGGTATTTATCCAAAAGGTTTGAAATCAGTATGTCTGCACTCCTATCTTCATTGCAACATTATTCACAATACCCAAGTTATGGAATCAACCTAAGTGTCCATCAATAGATGAATGGATAAAGAAAATGTGGCATGTATTCAGAATGAAATACTATTCAGCCCTTAAAAAGAAGGAAATTCTGTCATTTGCAACATTGTGGGTGGAATTGGAGAACATTATGCTAAGTAAAATAAGCCAGGCACAGAAAAACAAATACTGAATATTTTCATTCATAGGTGGAATCTAAAACAATCAAACTCATAGAAGCAAAGGGTAGCATGATGGTTACAGAGCCTGGGGGGTGGAGAGAATGAGAAAATGTTGAGACCAGGCGCGGTGGCTCACGCCTGTAATCACAGCACTTTAGGAGGCCAAGGCAGGTGGATCACTTGAGGCCAGGAGATCGAGACCAGCCTGGCCAACATGGTAAAACCCCGTCTCTACTAAAAATACAAAAATTAGCCAGGTGTGGTAGTGTGTGCCTGAGATCCCAGCTACTCTGGAGGTTGAGGCAGGGGAATCGCTTGAACCTGGGAGCCAGAGGTTGCAGTGATCTAAGATCGTGCCACTGCACTCCAGCCTGGGTGACAGAGCAAGACTCTGTATCAAAAAAAAAAAAAGAAAAGAAAGTGCTTGACAAAGGGTACAAAATCTCAGTTAGACAGGAGGAATAAGTGTTTTCTTTAATTGATTGCATAGCATGGTTAATATAATTAATAATAATGTATTGCACATTTTGAAATTACGACAAGAGTAAATTTCAAATGTTTTCATCCCAAAAAATGATAAGCATTTGAGCTGATAGATATGTTAATTAACTTAACTTAATTATTCCACATTGTATTCATAAGTCATAACATCACTTTGTACCCCATAAATATATACAATTATAAATTGTCAATTTATAATAAAAGAACAAAGAAAAAAGACTAATGACAAATGGGAACAGTACTCTTCAGTAGAAAAGTACTTGTGAGACTCTTTTAAAAAACTTTCAATTATATTAAATAATAAAAATGTATGGTTCTTTTTTTTAACGATTTACTGTAATTACCTGTGACTTCACCCATTGAATCACAAATTAAGGTGCAAAAATATTAACAGCAACCAATTATTTTGTGTCAAGCACTCTGTTTATGACTTTATATAGAGTGTCTCACTTAGTTCTTAAAACAGTCCTGAGTTAGTCACTATTGTTAGCCCCATTTTAGAGATGAAGAAACTGAAACTCTCATGTAGACATACATTTCCCTCCTAGAATGTAATAAAAGTAAAGAGAATTACTGTGTGCGAGATGAGAAGCAGAGAACATGAGAGCTGAGAAGAGCTGAATTCAAATGATCAATGAGGGTCTTCCAAATGATTGCCTCCCCTATTTTGGCCTTAAAGCACTGAAATCAAATGTGAGTCTCAATAAAGTTACAAATCACATGTCATGGGCAATCAAGGCTACTCTCAAATGGTCAAAACCGCCAACATTACATCTGTGTGTGAGTCTTCTATGCCATATCCAAGAAGAAATCAATTTTTAGATAATGCTTAATTCTGAGAATATTTTTAAAGTTCAGCCAATTTTAAATTATCTTTGATTCCTGGAAAAAGTGAGAACAAAGGTAAAAATGGAATAGCCCTAGCTTCTCTAAACCTCATTTTAACCACCAATTGGCTATTCAAAACCATCAAACTTTTAAGCACAGTTGCTAACAATCAGCTAAGCTATTTGTGTTTGTTTGGGGATTTATGCCTTTCCTCTCTTTGTTGGGGGCAAATAACCAGCTAGAAGCAGCAGCAAATGTCTGCAGCTTTGGAAAACAGTCCTCAAGCTCCTGAAACCCAAAGTTGACTGCAGAGACAATAGGAAATGTAATGAGATATCCTGTTTACAGAAGTGGGCACATTTGTCCAATATGATATAACACAAGTCCATTCACTTTCGTGTGGCAGCAAGCAAGTAACTTCATGAAAATCTAAATTTGTTCCTTCAATGGCTATAATGATTGGACCCCATAAAGAAAGTCAATGCAAATTCTATGTGAGCACAGAAAAAAAGTAAACCTCCCAAAGTTTTGGGAAATTTTTCACCATCAGCTACTTTAATTTTATTTCATGGATTAGTTACAGACTAATCATTTATGAAAATATATATAGGGAAATATCCCTCTATACTGTATACATTCAGAAACTTATTTTTATGATTATTATTTCCCAAATGAAATACACTGAACATACATTGAAAAAAAATATATGTATTCCACGGTAAAGAAAGAATTAAAGAGAAATTTAATAATATGGATTTAAAAAAGAAAATCAATAACTTATCTTGAGGCTTAAAGAGGCAATTGTATACAGGTGCTGACTTTAATTAAGTCTATTTTTTCTTTAATAACCAACATCCTTCCCCCTCCTTTATATAAATTGCTTTTATTCTGAGTTAGAAGCTAAGAAGTATTACTTAGCAGGCATATTCTTTGGAAATAATGAACCTCTGTGGCTTGCAGAGTATTTCTGGGTTTGTGTGAGTTTGTGCCTGTGTGTGCACATGTGTGATATTTGTACAGATAATCTCCGGGTACACTTTGTATTGAAATACACCAAACCAACCCAAATTGAATTCTAAAGACCAATATTATTCTTGGCTTTATCTTACTAAAGAAGACAACTTACTAAAAGCCAATATCTATCCATAACCAAGTATAATTTATTGGGAGTTTCCAGAGCTTTAAAATACTAATTCCGAGTACTATTTCATTTATTCTCAACAATTTCATCATTTTGAAAATTAATCAACCGTCAAAAAAGTTGAACACTAAATGATACTAGATTTAAATTCTGCATGTGTTTTATCAGAATACGAATAGCAAAACATATTACAGAATTATAAATATGTAAATTATCTTTGAAAAAGAATCTGTGTAAACTGAGTAATCAATAATATGGCTTTAATTTTAAATGTTAAAAGCTTTATCTTTGCCACACTTCAGTCGTGTGTGTGTGTGTGTGTGTGTGCACATAATTTCCCAGCCTTCTTGCCTTCTTTGCATTTCATAGCCTTTTCTATTTTTATACTAAGTATTAAAAAGAAGCACTGTTTTTAGAGATTATGTTCAGAAAAAAAATCACAAAATTATTTTCTTGGTAATTATTAGCTTTATGCTTAACAAGTTTAAGGCATTGGTGAATCAAACATTTGCCAAACATTCCCCATGGATTTGCCAAGCATCTGTGTTAACATCTCAAATAAGCTCCAGGGTTATAAAGTTATTTGCTCAGGTTTATTGGTTATACTCTTGCCCCTGAATAACTACTGCTGCTTGCCTTTTGCCTTGCTAGATGAGAAACTCAATTGTTGTAAGAGACAGACGGCAAAACAGACAATTTATATAGGTAGATAAACCATAATATTCAAATTTATATCATTCACAGTTTTTACTTTCATACCTTCTTATCTCCAATAAAAGAAACCCAGAAATAGAAACACAAGAAAAGTAAAACTTGAGTATGGCTAATGTAAAAAGTTCATTTTAGTATATTATTATCTTATAACGTATTACATATTTCAGGTGACATGTGCCTTAATTGAGACAGAAGCAAATATATTTTATTTCTAATGACAAGGTGAAAATAATCTCTTTATTTTTAGAGAATATCAGGTTGCTGGTAGTTTTAGTGAAAAAACTTGGAACATTTTGTATAAAGATCCTGTAACTTTAGCTGATCAGGAATATGAAGTCAAATTTAAGAGACTCTATAATCAGAATGCAGATGGCACCAACTAAAAACAAAGTAATAAAAATAAGGCCTATGCCTCAATTCAGGCTCTTTTTCTAGAGATCAAAACCTAATTTGTATTAATGACCTATCTGACTTTTCAGGGAAGTAATGCACTGTTACAAATAGAAAGGTCTTAAAAGTGTGGCTTCGTATTATAAGATGCAACCTCCCTTCAATATTAAGACATTAAATTATACAGGGTGAAACCTGTACAAAGTAATAAGCAGAACATTCCTCCTGCTTCTCTCCAATTAGCAAAAACAAATGTTCCCAAGTAATTTTAGGAAGAGATGTTAGTACTTACAGGTCAGCTAAGAGTCAGTCAATCCAAGAAAGGGAAATCTAGACACATCGGATCACTCACATTAGGATAGAAACTAGGGCTATTCTTGGGCTCCAACCCCTGTTAAAGTACAGCAAGGGTGCTTTATTCTTTGCCTCAACAAGTCTTGGAATGGTTGACTTCCAGGATGATTTTACATTACACTGGTGCTAGGCTGCAGATGTGGGGGTTTGGTATATGTGTTTGCATTTTTGTGTGTGTTTGAGAAAGCAGTTTCTGAAGGAGCTATACACCAAAAACCTCCCACTAATAGTCTCCCACCCCCAGCGTTTGAAGAATCCCTTGTGTTTCTGCCACCCCTCGCTTTTTCCATCTAAATGTGGTGCTGGGCCTCAGGAGGTCTTGGCACACAAAGATTCTATCCAAGGCTGTCACTTGACTGACAGCAAAAAGGTTGCAGGAAAATGGACAGTGGTGTGTAGGTGGACATGGAAAAAGCAAAGAACTGAGCAGATTAAGTCAGAATACAGCAAGAGGAAGGTTCTAAATCACAGATTATTCCAGACTTAGAGCTAGCCCACAGTGATTGTTAACCATGTGAGGTACTTATGTATAAGAGCTTTAAAGCCAGCTAATCTTATTCTTAATCTAAATCAGGTTTTTAAAACAAGTACCCTAGTTTATAAATAGATGGCTATCTATTACACATACATACACATATTGTAAAGTGCCAAAAGAAGTGTATTGCTAAAGAAAGCTAGAGGTGGGAAGACCCAAAGCACCCTGAAGATCCTCACTACTTTTGCAATTCATTATGATTTCTACCTGTGCAATGATTTCTGCATTGCAAATTTAGTTCACTCAGTATCTTAACCAGGGTGATCCGTAAATAATACGGACACAACTAGGCATTTATCAGAGTATTTTAAATTGCAACAATCCGAATGAAAACTATACAAGTTTCAGATGAGAACATAATGAGACACGAAGGAAATGGGGCCAGCTTTCCTGAGCTGCAGCAAACTGACCATTTAATGGAACAGAGTTGATTAATTTTCTGCCAATGTTCAATCACCTCTGATGGGTGTCTAATGTAATATAAATAGGCAAGTTGAAGTTGCAGCTGTGGGACCTTACTCTTAAAGTATGTTGGAATCGCTCTCATAATCACCTGGGTATGTTTTGGTTCCAATTTATTTTAAATCAGAGCTGTAGGAGAGAAAGGGGATAGAGATGAAAAGGGTGGTTCTATACATGTTAATCCTGAATGTCAAAGAGAAGCATTAAATTTCAGGAGATAAATCCTGTAATAGTTATCATGTACAAAGAAAGACTTATACTAACCTGGGACAACATAACCTCCAATTCAGCCAGAGATGGCTAAGGGTGTTCTCTCTTAAAAAGCTACTTTTAAACTGGACGCAGTGGCTCACGCCTGTAATCCCAGCACTTTGGGAGGCCGAGGAAGGCAGATCACCTGAAGTCAGGAGTTTGGGACCAGCCTGGCCAACATGGTGAAACCCTGTCTTTACTAAAAATACAAAAATTAGCTGGGCATAGTGGCAGGTGCCTGTAATCCCAGCTACTCGGGAGGCTGTGGCAGGTGCCTGTAATCCCAGCTACTCGGGAGGCTGTGGCAGGTGCCTGTAATCCCAGCTACTCGGAAGGTTGAGGCAGGAAAATTGCTTGAACCTGGGAGGCGCAGGTTGCAGTGAGCTGAGATCGCATCAGTGCACTCCAGCCTGAGGAACAAGAGCGATACTTCATCTCAAAAAAAAAAAAAAAAAAAGCTACTTTTATATAGAGCCACAGATTTAAATAATCAATGGTGTAGAAATATCATCCTCTATATTTTAATGCCTTATTTTTAACTCCTTCTTCTGCAAAAGAAAAACCTGGGGTGCGTATACATACGGAGTTGAATATGAAGAAAAACAAATGGTTGAATTGAGATACCTTAAATGTCAGTTTGAGTCAAATGATCCGTTACTAACTGAATTTCTTTTTACCTTCTTACTTCAAATAACACATTGTTTGCCTGAATTAAGCCCATTTATTTGTGCAGAGATAGCCAAGGTCGAAGAGAAAGTGATTCCACATATCACTTTACATTGTTAAGTTGTATGACATATCTTTGTCTATAGACTCCTGAGTTAACACTTATTTTAGATAAATTCTTCATTGTTTTTAAATGTAATATGTCCAGAAAGTCCCCCAAAAATGTCAGTTTTAACCAAACCATATTTATAAATGTCACTTTGGTATTTCTGTATCTAGAGAGTTTTTGTCCAACTGATTTTAATAAGGTTTCACTAATTTACTGTGGAGCCAAATACTATGTAATTTCGGGAAAAGCCTATACTATGTTTCTTGGAGTTTTCACTGAGTTCCCTCTTTAGTCCATTTGAATAAATGGTCAAAGGCATAATCTTTAGCAGGGAAAAGGCTTTTTCTTATTTACTAACTGGTACAAATGGTTAGATTAAAGAAATAAGATATAAATATGATTTCAAAAGTAACATTTTCTTTATAAGTACACTTATTCCGTTATCTAAGCAAGCATCTAAAGGATTTGTACTGTACATAAAGAAATGCATTATCTGTCATTTTAGACATCTTTAGAATGTTCAGAGATCTTCTGAAATTACAAAATATTTGTTTGGAACATAAGTGCTTTGTAAATGCTTTAGATTATGATGGGGAAAGGAAAAGTTAGGTTTCCAAACTTACGTTGTCATTATGTAGTAAATCATAAATTATGTTCATAACCATATTATTTTCTTTCTTACAACATTGTATCGTAATTACACATTGTTTTTCAGAATACTATTGCAATACCTCTATAAATTGGAGATCTGATCGGACAATTATTTCTCCCTTAAGAGTGGCTAAAATGGCTGGTGGCTTATGCCTGTAATCCCAACACTTTGGGAGACCGAGGCAGGAGGATCACTTGGGACCAGGAGTTGAAGAGTAGCCTGGGCAACACAGTAAGACCATACCTTTACAAAAAAATTTTAAAAATTAGCTGGGCATGGTGGCATGTGCTTGTAGTCCCAGTTACTCAGGAGCCTGAGATGGGAGGAGTGCTTGAGCCCCGGAGGTAGAGGTTGTAGTGAGCCAAGATCCCACCACTGCAATCCAGTCAGCCTGGGTGACACAGTGAGATTCTGTCTCAAAA
Organism: Homo sapiens; assembly: GCF_000001405.40. Classification (NCBI taxonomy): domain Eukaryota; kingdom Metazoa; phylum Chordata; class Mammalia; order Primates; family Hominidae; genus Homo; species Homo sapiens. Next base: position 221,578,206 of record NC_000002.12, on the reverse strand, counting down.
AAAAAAAAAAAAAAAAAAAGTGGCTAAAAAAATTGTGCCAGCTTAATTTTATTCACACGTATATCACACATGTATCACATATATTATTCATTTTTCATCATAAGACAACTATAATTCCAAAACTCTTCTGATAACCACAAAGTAACATGGCTGTTAAATATTAAAAGTGTTTAATAGCTAAAATATTTAATATCTGGGGCTTGCAGCTTTGTGTTGGCATTTTGAGTTAGAATGAGTGAACCTCAGTTCAGAGGTGTTATATTGAAAGGTTTCAAGTAAAAAGCATTTTACACTTCTTTTGGGGAATGGCTTTCATGCCTAAAACATAAAATTGTTCTGATGTTTTACTTTAACTCATTTTCTCAATGCAGCCAAAAAGAGATGCAAATTATCTCCTCTAATTTCTCCTCCAGAAGGACACATTGTCTCTGCAAAATGTTCCTGAGAGGGATCTAGAGTTATTACAGAACTGAACTGAGCATCTTGGCACATGCCTTCTCTGTCTCTCCTCCTCCTTCTTGGGCCCCTGGTGGTGGAAAGGTCCCTGATGGTTTCTGGCCCCCACAACCCTGTGCGGTGGATATCACATATGGTCATGACTAGGAAGAAATCTCTTTATTTATTGTTTTTTTTTGAGACGGAGTCTCACTCTGTCGCTAGGTTGGAGGGCGGTGGCTCGATCTTGGCTCACTGCAATCTCCGCCTCCCGAGTTCAAGCGATTCTCCTGCCTCAGCCTCCCAAGTAGCTGGGATTACAGGCGCCCGCCACCTTGCCCAGCTAATTTTTGTATTTTTAGTAGAGACGGGGTCTCACCATGTTGGCCAGGATGGTCTTGATCTCCTGACCTCTTCCTCATGTGGGATTTGGTACATTGTAGACACTGAAGAAATGTTTGTTAGAACCGAGTAAAATTCACGGACGGCATCAAATGAAGTTTTAGAAAAGCCTTGCTCCCTTGAGAACTGCAACCTTCCTGTCTGCCCCTCCTCACCTCAGTGATGCAAAAGAGATTATTATTCTAAGTGAAGTAACTCAGGAATGGAACACCAAACATCCTAAGTTCTCACTGATATGTGGGAACTAAGCTATGAGGATGCAAAGGCATAAGAATAATACAGTGGACTTTGGGGACTTGGGGGGAAGATGGGAGGGGGCAAAGGATAAAAGACAACAAATACGGTGCAATGTATACTGCTCGGGTGATGGGGGCACCACGATCTCACAAATCTCCACTGAAGAACTTACTCATGTAGCTAAATACCACCTATACCCCAACAACTTATTAAAAAAATGAAACAAACAAACAAAAAAAGGCCTCTTGCTTTGTCTTGCTCTCTCATCCTCTTGATGCATGAAGACCTGAGCTCTGCAGCCATTTTTTTTCCCACTCAGGTGTAAAGGGCTCATAAGTGTCCTGCTTCTTATTTGCATAACAAACAGCATCAAAGCCTTGACATCAAAGGATGAACTCTGCAGTTAGGTTTCCTGGGGGCTTCCGGAAGCCCACCAATTGTTGTGTCAAATTTGTATATTTAAGATGCAGTAGCTTGTGGTAGAAGCGTTTTCTAACAACGGTGGGAATTTCATTAGGTAGAGCTTTGGTTATTCATTACCACTTGGTTGTGGGACTCTGGATTCCTCACACCTTCTTTCACGTATTTTTTACACTATTCTATTTGAAGACAAGCATAGCCTCTAGGTCCAAATCCAGTGGAATTACCTAGGAATATAAAAGTTGGATGTCAGCTGTCATAAATCAACAATAAAAGAAGAGAAGAATTTAGAATTTATTTCCCTTCCCTACTCTAGGAGTTAATAAAATAAAGCATCTTATTTTCTCATGGAGCACGAAAGGTAAATCACAGTGCTTGGTTTCCTTCTGGAAGGAACAATTCAAGCTGAACAAATGATTTCTCATTTCAAAATGTGAATGCTTATTAATTAAATATTATTTTACAGAAACAATAGCCAGGCATGGTGGCTCATGACTATAATCCCAGCATTTTAGGAGGATGAGGCAGGAGGATTGCTTGAGCCCAGGATTTTGAGACCAGCCTGGGCAACATGGTGAAACCCCATCTTTACTAAAAATACAAAAAATTAGCCAGGTGTGGTGGCACACATCTGTAGTTCTAGGTATCCAGGAGGCTGAGGTGAGAGTATCACGTGAGCCTGGGGAGGGTGAGGCTGTGGTGAGCCATGATCACACCACTGCAATCCAGCCTGGGTGACCTGAGTGAGACCCTGTCTCATAAAATAAAAATAAAAATAAAAATGAGTAATAACAGCTGGCTAACACACGCCAGGTACTATACCAGAAGCTCTATAACATTCATTCAGTATTTAGAAGAACCATATAATGTTAACTATCTACAATTTGTAGATGAGAAAACCATATCTCAGAGAGGTCAAGGAACTTAAAGACACACAGCTAGAAAAAGCCCAGCTAAAGTATCAAATTGGGGTTGTCTGAATTGAAAGTTCTGGTTCTCTAAAAGAGAACTCAGGGAGTCATTGGAGCACTATGGGCAGGTTCCATTTTTTTCACAAAAAATCCACCAGGATGCCTAGAAAAAGCAGAGTGGATTCATCTTCTTATTCTCTCTGTCTCTCCAGTCTTTCATACACCCTCCTTATCATTATTTGTCTACGGGTCAAAGGCTCCTTTCTCTTTACTTTGGTGAAATTGGCCCTCCACATACAGGTGGAAACCCCGGGATGCTTGGTGCTATTTACAAACGTCTTTTACGGATTAAAAACACCTTTGGAATTCAATCTTAATTCAATTCAGCATTTACAAGGTACTTCGTAGCTCAAACGTTTGTGGTAGGCACTGTATAAAAAAAAGTATATCATTGTTTTCAGATTATTCAATTACTATTTTCATTAAGTGTGTAAGCAGATATGTTTTGACATGTTTCTTAGTGTATTCAAAATAACCCCAAATTTTTACTGTAGTAAGACTTGTCTTACTCAAGAGTAAAGCAATTTTATTTTAAAATTAGGTGATTTTAGGTACTTTTTTAAAGGTATGATATTCCATTGTATCCTTATGACTCCGTTGATGTGTTGTAAACAGTCTCCAACATTTGAAAACTCCAGGTTGTCTTCCCATAATGTGGGTGGTTTTCTGCATTGATGGTGGCCTTTGTCCACCATCATTTTTAAAATTTTGCCTTACTCTTCAAGGAATCATATCTGCTAGGTTAGAACACCTTTGTTCTAGGTAGTCACAATGGACAGAGGAATTTTCAGCAGCTCATTTCTGTTCTGCAACCCAGAAATGATTTAAAGAGGAAGTTATAGTTCAGTTTTTCCAAGTTAGCATTTCCTGCTTCTTGGTTCTCCTGATTATCGGGCTGCCTTGGGTCCTGAACTAAAACATAGGAAGAAAAAAGGGAAAGTCAGTGAATGTACTCTAGCAAATGATGCCTTGCTTTCAGGCAGCTGTGTCTGGAAAGACTTTGTTTAATATTCAATGTGCATATCCTGGGGAAAAAAATGGTACATGTTTTAGAAATTTTACTGTTTATAACAATGCAGGCAGTCAGTTTCCCGTTTCAAACACAGATAGATACATGCAACACTCAAGATCCTGCAGAGAGGCAGCCAGCATCTATTGTTTAAAAAGGTTTCAAAAAGAATTCGGATTGCTCTTTTCTCTTTTGAATCTGTGTGCCAAATGACAGGGACCAATATTCGTCTTCTTTTTCTGTAAAACTCAGAAAGACACATGAAAGAACCCAGAAATGCATTTCTTAAAGGGATTTAGTGCAGTTATTTTAAATAATTTATGCACGCACACACACATACATATATCCCCCGAGTACATATTTTTTCCCTTTTTACTTGTGTGCAATCAGTAGCTACAATGACTGAAATCCACTTCTTTGGACTGTGACATTTAAGCAAATCTTGTATCTAGAAACCGAAATGCCCAGAGTCTCGCACAAGCTGTTCGTCTGGGCCACCAACTCACACAGCCGCCGCCCAGCGCCTCGGCACGCGTGCTCATCTTGTGTAAAAGTAAAAGTTGCTCATGTCATTAGCTCGGCTCTGAGTTTGCATGAGAAACCAGCGCAGCTCTCGAGCCACGGGAGAAAACACGATCTGCTGCGGAGCCCAGTGACCTGAAACTGTAGCAGTGACTCGAGACCTGTCCTCTCCTCGACGTCGCCCTATAACCCTCCCGCTTTATTTAGGATCCGCTTTTCCGAGAGCAGCCACTCAGGCAACCCCCGGAAGGTTTGTTAGGAGTTTCTCCTTGAAACGCTTTCCGATTCCATCTTTTGAAATCCAGCAGGCGAGAGTCACGACAGACTCCAGGACCTCTTGAGCGCTGTCCGCAGCCCCACGGTAGGAGTAGCCCTAGTGCACGAGACTTGGCGGTGGCTGAAAAGCTCGCCCAAACGCACGCACCACCTCTCTGCGGGGTTGCGGATTGCGGGTTGCGGTCTTTGTCCGCTCGCCCTTCCTCCGGGGCCGCACACTCCCGCATCTGGCCGGCAGGTGGCGCGGTTGGCTCACGATGAGCTGCGGCCGGGGCTGGAGAGGCTCCTCCACCTCCCAGCGGCCGCCCGGCCGCCGGGACCCAGGCTCCCCAGGAAAACTCGGCCCTGCTCTGGAGGGAGTCAGAGGAGGGGCGGCCTGGGAAGGGGAAGGGAGGCCTCATTGCTAGGAATCAGTGCCCCTGCCAGCGCCTGGGGAAATGCACCGAGTGGCGTTGGGGACCGGTCCCTGGGACACCGGCTGCGCTGCCTTCGCCGGACCGCTCTTAGGTGGCCGCGTCCACGGCTCGGGCATCGGGAAAAGACCACAGCCCGATGGTGCCAGTGCCCCCGGGGCCGGAGCAGCCGGGCGGGGCTCTGCGGGTCCTCCTGCTCGCCGTCTTCTCCCGGGGCAGGGAGGGCTGCCCCGGCTAGGTCGGAGCGGAGAGTCGCAGCAGCCGCTCCGGGCAGCTTCCCAGTCCCGGTCTGCCTTGTCTGTGCGGCTGCAAGTCCCCGCACCCACACTTAAGCCTTTCACTTCTACCCCACCGCTCCCAGACGGGCTAGGCCCGGTTCCAGGGACTGCCCCCAACCCTGCCCCCGGGAAATCCACAACTGGTTCCCTGCCCAAGGCCATCTCGGGGCGTCCTGGGCCCTGGGCGAGGTCCACGGCGTGTGCAGGGGGACGGGGCCAGCGGGGACTTCCTTACTGCTAGAAAGTCATTCGTTCAGTCTCTGGAGACAGTGACGGAGCCCTGCTGCGGACTGGACGTTGGGGACCAAGTAGGTCCCCGCTCTCCAGGCATCTGGGGAGCCAGGGAAGAAGCGAGTGATAGAGCCACAAAACTCCCCGCAAAGAGTATTTCAGAGGGGGAAGCGCCATAAAGACAAAACAGGGCAAGGTGGCAGAGGGTGGCGGTGGCAGGCGCGAGTCTGCAGCTCAGCCCGGGCGCGCTGGACGCAGACACGTCGACTCTCCTAAAGAAGCAACCGCAGGTCAGCTTAGACTTCTTTTATTTCAATAAAAGAGCGTTTTCCTCCATCTTAAACCGCCCGTGGTGGGAGAAAAGGTTTCCAACCTCTTCTCTGGCTCCCCTCGGTCAATTCCGAGCTTTTCCAAAGTCCCTCCGCCGTCCAGGGGCTCGACCTTCGAGGTAACGTGGGGGATCCCGCTGGCTCCCTCCGGCAGGCGGGGGCGGGGACCGGCCGTGCTCGCCCCCTAGAGCCCCGGGAGACCGCGCGCCCCGTGGAGCCCGGAGGGGGCGGAACCCTGGGGCGGGCCCTGCTCGGTGAAGGCGGGGCTCGGCCGCCCTGTCTGCGCCGCCATTGGCCGCGGGCCCCGGACTGGCGGGCTCACGTCACCGGCCGGGCCCGCCCCCTTGGCAATGTCTTCAGCCCGCTGCTCTCCTAACTTAAGCATTTATTCCACTGGGATAGAAGCGGCAGGAGCAGCGTTGGCACCGGCGAACCATGGCTGGGATTTTCTATTTCGCCCTATTTTCGTGTCTCTTCGGGATTTGCGACGCTGTCACAGGTTCCAGGGTATACCCCGCGAATGAAGGTAAGAGCGGGACGGCCTTTCTGTGGTCGGGGACAGCGAGGGGCCATCGCGGGTGAGGGGTCCTCAGGAGCGCAGGGCCAGGTGGTGCGGGGGGAGCCCAGTGTGAATGGTGCGTCCCGATTCGGGAGAAGGGGGCTGAGGCGAGGGGATCGGCGAAGGGGCAGCGGGGAACCGCCGGACAGCCTGCCCCGAGGCGGTGACCCGTGCACGCGGCGGGTCTGTCCAAGTTTGTAACCAAAGGCCAAAGTTTATCAGCATCCGCCAGAGAGGCCCGCTCGAGGCGCCCTGAGGGGATGCACGGGAGACAACGCCGGGATTTAAAAAAAAAATTACAAGAACCACGTCCTCTCCTGAGCCAGCCCGGGGCGAGGGGAAAACGCAGCCTGGAGCACAGTGAAGGCTTGGTGCTCCCGGATTCTAGCGAAAGCCTTTCGAGCTCTGGTTTCTGCAAAGTTTCCCGAGCCCTGCGCTTCTCGGGACCGGGCTGCGGGGCCTGCTCCGCAGCGCAGCGGTCGTGGCGCCGCTCGTCAGGCGCCAGTGACCTGATTTCTAGCACCCGGAGTCAGACACCTTTCTCCTCGCCAAGCCCAGCGCCCCGAGGGTGCGATTGCGGGCCTGAGGGGCCCGAGCTCTTCGCCCCGCAGACTTGGGGAACCCGCCGGCAAGTTGAACGCAGTCGAGTTTTAGCTTTTCGCCCCAGAATTGCACACAGTTTAGAGCTAACGTGCGGGGTCGACGGGACCCGTCTGGGTGCTCAGTTTTCTGTGCATCCGTTCGGACGTGCTGGGAGGATTGTATGTGCCTGTGTGTCTGTGTCGGGAGGTGGGGCGGGGCGGGGGGGCGGTGATCATTTAGTTTCTGAGAAACCCAGGGAGAGGCGAACTGTGTGTGTGTGTGTGTGTATGTGTGGTGTGTGTGTGCATGTCTGCGTGTGTGTGCATGTCTGCATGTGTGGTGTGTGTGCATGTCTGCGTGTGTGTGCATGTCTGCGTGTGTGTGCCTGTGTGTGTGCGCGCGCGTGCAACTGCGTGTATGTAGGTGCGCGAATGCCTGCGTGGAAGCGGACGCGGAGGATTGTATGTCTGTGCGCAGATGTCCTGAGTGTGTGCGCGTGTGTTCGAGTGTATGCTCGTGCTCTGTTCCAGCGTATGCTGGTGCTCTGGCCTGCGTGCATCTAGTCTCACATCCGTCTCTCATTCTTCTCCTTTCCGGCATCCATCTATCTATCCGTCCGTCCATCCGTCTATCTATCCATCCATGCATCCATCCATCTCTCCGTGCATCCGTCCGTCCGTCCATGCATCCATCCATAATGCATCCATCCATATATCTGTCCGTCCGTCCGTCCATCCATCCCTCCATCCATCCACCCATTCATCTATCCATCCATCCACCCATCCATCCATCCATTCATCTTTCCATCTCTCCAGACATCCGTCCATCCATCCCTGTGTAATCTATCGTTTTCTCTGTTCCGAAGGAGGGAGCCAAAAACCAACTTAGCCTTGGCTGGGCAGCCGGTACCCGGAGCCCTCCAGACGGAGGCTCTGAGAGATTTATACACCTGCCCACAGACATCGCTTGGGAGGAAAGGGGCCCTCTCTCGCCCTCTGGATCTCCCATCTCCTTCCGACGTGGCTTCTGGTGGTTCTGGTGCCATCTCGGCCGTCGCCGCCCCTCGGTCCCTAGGGTTATTCATTCCCCTGAGAGGAATCGTGGATCCCGCGTTCTCCTGGCCACTTCACACACTTGTTAGGACGTCCCCTGAGACCTCTCTCGCCCCAGATGTAGAGACTGTTTTCTTTCTTTTTTTTAAACCCCCTCTTTTTTTGGGGGGGGGGGAGAAAAACTTGGGAGCCCAAGACAAAAAGGCTCTGAGAGCCCTAGGCTAATGTTGAAGGGGAGGGAGGGAGGTCTGTTCCCCTCCCCTCCCCCACCTCCCCCTTAAAAATTAATTCACTTTGTTGCTTTCTATTCCCATCACGTTTCCTTTTCTCTCTTTTACCCTCCCTTTCTACTCCCTCCTTTTTTTGTAAATTGGGTCTTATTGTTTCCTTTGTGTCCCTAATCCACCTTACATAAATCCAAATGGATGTAGCGGGCTTTTCTCTAGGGACAGAGAGAAGAGAATGGTTGCGGTGGGGGTTGGCGGTGGGGAGAGGAGAGGAGGGAAGGGGGCGGGAACTCCAGGCGGGAGCGACCCAGGGAAGGCTCTACATTTTAAAATCATTAACAGACCCCAGGAATTCAGACTCCCCGGGAAAAGTAGGGGAAAGAGACTGATTTTTAACTCCATTGACTTTGAGGTGAAATGAGAGGGAAAGTGGGCAGAATCCAGGGGTCTGGGGGTAAGCTTGAGTGTTGGGGTGCGCATGAGCACGGATGGCGGCTTCCCATTCCCACCCCTCCCCCAGCCTGAAGAGCCAGCCTGGCTGATCAAATTAATAACCCAGTGGTTCCTTTGAGGTGGGCCTTTCGACCCCCAGGACTGCAGATCTCGGTGGGAAAGAGAGGTTTTGAATTCATTGCGTCCCTTTGGATGTTCCCCTTACCTAGCGCTCTTCTAGCCTGAGCGGGGTACCGCAGCTCGGTGGGCTGTCCTCCCTTCCCCCCAAGCTTTGACGCACTCAGGTGTAGCACAAGCACACTAAAGCCGTTAGGCAGCACTCCATACCTAAAATTCAAGCCAGTGATTTCCTACGGGTGGAAGACGAGTCTCTGATTGTCCCCCAACACATCTTGAGAAAGAGAGAATACTTTCGGTACGTTTGCATTCTGATTCTGCACGTCTGGCATTCCCTCTTTCTGAAACTTTGATATTTAAAAAAGCAGCGGATACCATATTCAGGGACTATTTACTTGGTTGTGGAAGGGAAAATGTTAGGGAGAGCCTTTTCCTGACCCTTTGGATAGGATACTCTCTGATAGAAGAGAGAATTCACTTGTGGCTCTGTCACCCTGATGAGTTATGTGGTCATCTGAAACTTGCAAAAACAAATAATTCTAGTAGATACCAGACAGAGATGAATGCAGATTTTGCTCTGGAGTGTAACTGCTCTACATAGATGTATTTATCTTTTTGAATTGTACTTCAGATTCTCTATTCATCCTTTTTAGAAAAATGAATCAAGTGAGTCCTAGGATGGAATTTTAAATGTTAAGCAAGTTGAATAAATAAGAACCTGCAGATTTAAAGAGGGGGAGAAGATCAAATGAGTAATGATTATTTACATAAGTGAGCCCAAGTTTAGGTTTTGATCAGTGTTGGATATGCACAGCCTCAGCACATATGGAAACGCTCAGGCAAATGGTTTTTGTGTTATTGGCTTTTTGCAATTGGAAATTCATCTATTTTTCTTTTGTTTTTTGCAGTTACCTTATTGGATTCCAGATCTGTTCAGGGAGAACTTGGGTGGATAGCAAGCCCTCTGGAAGGAGGGGTAAGTCCTGAGTTGCTCTCTGATCCAAAGGGTAAAAAAGGAGTGATTAGCAACTTTCTGAGAGTCCTAATGGCTTGATTCTTGTTGATTGTGGTGAGGGGGTCAGATTTCCGCTGTGGCCTATGAAGTGAATTACGCTTTGTTGGAGAAATCCTATACTCCCTTTGGATAACTCTGTCATGGAAGAACTAGAAACCAAAAGGGCAGAAAGGGGTTTCAAAATTAGGAGACTGGTGGAGGCACAGACTTAGATGCCTATTTAAAACTAAAATACCAACAGGAAATATGATCCGGGGACCAAATTAGAATTTATGCCTATTACTGTGATGGCCATGAAGTCCTGACAAGGTTAATTTAAGAGCAATTGTCCTGCTTCCAGATGAAAAAAAAAGAATAAATAAAGATATGAGAGAGAAGACATTTCTAATTGTACCTGCATGAACTGCAGGAAGGCTCTGTACCTTGCTCTCACTCTTAAATCAGCTGCTGTTCTTTTGCACACTGAGAGACAGTCATGTGAACTTGTGTCCAAAAAACCCTAAGCCTGTGTATTAATGGTGCTAAATATGAAAAGTTTATGTGTCTGTAATCTTGAAGAATCTTTGGGGATTGAGTAGTCTGGATTATAAGGTCTGAAAAAAGCATCACTTCATTTATTCTCAAATTTGTAATACTTGTCATTACTGCCTCCATCTTACTAGGTCAACGGCCACATTCTCCTACTCCCCCTAAATAACCAGTCAGAATGAATCAGCTTTGGAAAGAAAACAGTACAACATGTAACTGACTTCTGCCAAACTGAAATAACTCTCAAATCCTTTTAAAATTAAACAAATCATCCTACCTTCACAGGCTTGATAGTTTATGGCTGAGTCCATTGATTAAAAACAATGGGGGTGAAAGATTAGGAGTTTTTACTAGGCAAAAATTGTAATGCTAGAACCTGGCGTGGGCTCCACACCGGTCCATTGAATAAAGAATGAAGGATTTTAAATTAAAGATTCATAGAGTCTGCTATCAAGGACATATTTCAGAACTAAGACTAAGCAAGAAAATAATCATGAAAATGGAGAATTTTAGGCTGTCTTGTTGCAAACAGATTTTGTAATCCACCTGAAATAAAACAGATTGCCCTGTCTTCCTATTTTTTCTGCCTGAACTTGACTGCCATTGGTTTGTTCTCTCCTGAAAAATTCCAGTCTGCCCTTAAAACCATCTTTTTAAAGGAGGGAGGAGTGATTGGCAGGCCTCTGGCAGTGTAGACAGGCTGTATTCACCACTGATTGCAGGCAATTGCCCTCATCCTTTGAATGTGAAGAAAGGTACGGCTTTATCTTGGTGAGAGTCAGACTCATTGTTAATCCTATACCCTGGAAAGGTCACTGATTCAGGCGAGGCTTTCCCAGGCTACATGTACCAGGGGTATTGCTTGGTAGGTTAAAATGTATTAGAACTGCTGGTAAAATTAAGGATGGAAAGTGTCAGTACTTGTATTAATAAATTCAGTGAGCCTTATTTTTCTTACTGGCTGCTTTTAAGTTTGAAGAGAGTATATACATCTAATCAAATTTTGAACCTGACTTGTTTCACTAAATATATGTGTGAGCTATATGACAGCAAGGACTGACACATTTTAGGGTACAGTCCATAGTCTATCTAGTTTCTGGAAAGCTTTTATTGCAATTTAATATGCTGCAGACATTTTTTTCTTCTTCTTCTTCTTCTTCTTCTTCTTCTTCTTCTTCTTCCTCTTCCTCTTCCCCTTCTCCTTCTCCTTCTCCTTCTCCTTCTCCTTCTCCTTCTCCTTCTCCTTCTCCTTCTCCTTCTCCTTCTCCTTCTCCTTCTTCTTCTTCTTCTTCTTCTCCTTCTCCTTCTCCTTCTTCTCCTTCTCCTTCTTCTCCTTCTTCTTCTTCTCCCTCTTCTTCTTCTCCTTCTTCTTCTTCTCCAGAGCTGCTGAAAGAGCACCTGGTCACTTTTTCTAGACACAAAACTTATCTTGGTTGACTTGAGGTCTATTTAAAACTATGCAGAGCTGACTGTATACGACCCAGTACTTTTAATGGGCTGGATATAAGCAGGTTTTTTTTTCTTTTCCTTAAATATTAGGCATGTAACATTTTAAGCATTATTGTAAGATAAATAATTTTATTTGTATATAAAAGAATTAGTCATTCCAAAATACACAGTAGCCATTGAGAAATTGTGTCAAGTTATAAAGTTTAATTAATTTCTAGATTTTATAATTGACGAGGACTTTTTCAGGATTAGAGCAAAGGAATGAATTGGGTATCTGTCAATGAGGAATGGATTGATTGTCTTTAAAAAGTTCTTTCTAGCTGAGAGTAAAAGCATATTGAGTCTTGATCATTCTAAAATCTCTGCTTGCAGTTAGGACATTTAATGTCTTTATTCACTGTTAACTTGAGATAGTAATTTGGTCTGATAATGACATTTATTTCTTGTTGTTATGTTTAAAAAGAAAAAAAAACAACTTGATTTGACAATACCACCAAGGAAAATATAAATTAGAATCAGAGACAATCCATTGTTTGTCTATAAGAACAACTAAGCAAGACATGAGAATTAGGGAAAGTGATGGCTCCTGATAACATCGTTGTAGCCAAAAGCTACTTTCTTGGTAATATTCACTTAAAAGAGTATATTGAGTTGCTGACACTGACTGTGAAATATAAAACTAAGGGAGGATTTGTCACTGTTCCAGTGAATTGATCAGTGTGGTTAGACAATTACGTTCAGGCTGCAAAGTTCATATTAGACCTGAATTATCCTGCATGAACTCTGTAGAGATACCCTATGTGCCTTCATTGACAAATGTGTTTTTCCAAATTCCCATTGTTCTGAGAAGAGAAGCATGCTGAGTAGGTGTTTTTGAAGATGGGAATCTATTTTTGGATTTACATGAATTTCCTAAAATAAGTAAATTACTGGTGATTTTATTGCTTACTGGATAAAAAGAAATTTTCATCACCACAGGGCACTTACCCCCTCCTAGTTTCAACTTTTATAATGGTGGCAGATGAAAAGGATACAGAATTTTATGGCTTATGGTCCTTCACATAGTAACATTTCCATCCATTAAGAGTTTGCCAGTGCATAGTTGGGAAACCTATTAAAAGATACATTATGATTCTATGCACTTCACTGGACTGCATGGAGCTTTACCTGGAGCTATTACAGAATACAATTTTTTAAAAAAACTATCTCTTGTTCCTTCTAATTATATTCATATGTTTGTTAAATACTTAAGCTGATTTATAACAGATCTGTATCAATGCATTACTGTAGATGTTAATGAAGAATTTGAGGCTGCCTACCAGCTTAGTAGGAGTCCCAAAAGTTTTGCTGCTTTTCGGATTATTTTTAAAAGCTATAATGACAGTGAAACTTTTAGTCACAGTGGTAGACGCAAGTTGTCCTACCATTAGATTCTTTGTGTTAGGAAGTGGAATGCAAAGAAAATGCTACCATCTCCTTTCATTTTCTTGGGCCTTCAGTCATAAACAGCACTTGCTATTTTATTTTTAATGTCCACGGAAGAGTTAGAAGCAAAGCATGTCTGTTTTCTAGTTTTGTTATTTGTCTATGTTTTAAAAATGAGAACATGTACAAATTTTTTAATTGAATACACAGTCTTGAAAAGTTGTCTACTGTTATAAATGATAGCATATTTGAGAAATCCAGCCATAAAATTTACTCCCTGTCTTCCTAGGATTACTGAAACCAGAATGGTGGGATTTTCTTTTCACCTTTAAAGAGTAGTGAGGGTGCCAAAAAAATCAATTGCCTTTTTTTTTTTTTTTTTTTTTTTTGAGGTATTAGAGAGCAAAGTTCTGACAGGAGCACTACTAATTAACTGATAATTGTCTTCCTTTGGCAAGCTCTGCTCTTCCTGCCCTTAATTTGCAGGTCTCTGCTCAGTGGTTGAAACAATACCCATACTAGTTTTTCCTTTATGAGTAAATTTGAACTGTTGCCACTTGAAATTGTAGCTGTTGTAATAGGTGAATTTGAGGTTGTTGGACCACCACAAGGAACTGCCGAGAACTCACAAGCAGTAAATCCACCATTGCCTCTGGATTTCAGGCAAAAGATTGAAACAATTAAACAAACAAAAAAAAAACTTCCTCAATAAAATATTGTCTTATCTCCCATAAGATCCTTTATTAGTGATGATTGGTGCTCAGTAGTTTGCTTCATTATTGAAAGAAAAATAATCAGGTGTCCTATGAGAATAAAATGGGATTGACAAATCACTGCATGATGAAACTTTGTAGTTGATACATCTGCTTTGGATCTTTGCAGTGGGAGGAAGTGAGTATCATGGATGAAAAAAATACACCAATCCGAACCTACCAAGTGTGCAATGTGATGGAACCCAGCCAGAATAACTGGCTACGAACTGATTGGATCACCCGAGAAGGGGCTCAGAGGGTGTATATTGAGATTAAATTCACCTTGAGGGACTGCAATAGTCTTCCGGGCGTCATGGGGACTTGCAAGGAGACGTTTAACCTGTACTACTATGAATCAGACAACGACAAAGAGCGTTTCATCAGAGAGAACCAGTTTGTCAAAATTGACACCATTGCTGCTGATGAGAGCTTCACCCAAGTGGACATTGGTGACAGAATCATGAAGCTGAACACCGAGATCCGGGATGTAGGGCCATTAAGCAAAAAGGGGTTTTACCTGGCTTTTCAGGATGTGGGGGCCTGCATCGCCCTGGTATCAGTCCGTGTGTTCTATAAAAAGTGTCCACTCACAGTCCGCAATCTGGCCCAGTTTCCTGACACCATCACAGGGGCTGATACGTCTTCCCTGGTGGAAGTTCGAGGCTCCTGTGTCAACAACTCAGAAGAGAAAGATGTGCCAAAAATGTACTGTGGGGCAGATGGTGAATGGCTGGTACCCATTGGCAACTGCCTATGCAACGCTGGGCATGAGGAGCGGAGCGGAGAATGCCAAGGTAAGAGGGTCCATATTGCAGTTTTTTCACTGGGGCTTAGTGCGAGTAATTAAATCAGAGATGAGACTAAATGGAGTAAAGCCAGTAATTAGTAGCCCCTGTGGGATGTGGTGGGACACAGGGGTCTAATGAGTAAGTGCTATAGCTCCAGGTGGCAAAGCTAAGACGTTTCTAATACTGACAAAATAAATGATGCTGCTGTAATCAGCAGAAAGCCAAACACATTTGCTAACAGGCACTTATATCTGAACTGGCTTGATGCGCCCTCTGAAATGTAAATGAACAAGCTGAAGAAACAGCCTTGATTGATCCTTACTTAAAGAGGGCGGACACATTTTTGAGCCATAGTTTTCCTGTCTATGGACTTGGTAAAATGACAAAGATTGTTAAATATCTCCCGTCTTCTGCATAAGTGCGTGAATGATCTAAATGTGAAATTAGGATTAAGTTGTTCCAGTTCCCTCCCACTGACTAAAATCGAGTGAAGAAAGTCCATTTTTTCTTTCTGCCTTGTGGACCGGTGGAGATATGACCCAACAAAGTGGAGGGACATTGCTTCAAGTACATTCTGTTCCCTGAACACCCACCGATGGGTTCTCTAAATGAAATTAATCTTGATGAAAGACCTCTTTATTTCTCTTAGGAGGTGGTAATTAAGCAAGCAAGAGTCTTCTTATTTGATCTGTGGTCAGAAGCAATAGCAAATTGTGACCCAATTTGGTATTGATTTCAGTTATTGAGTTTTTGAAGAAATCTATGTATTTTTATCACATTAATTACTACTTACCATATTACTAAGTGGATTTTTTTTTCTCACCTCAGGTTCAGTGTATGCAGTTGATTCTTGCTTTTTTACCCCTTCCTGTCAGAATACTGGGGAGTGTATAAAGTCCTTTGCTTTACAGAAAGTTTATATCTGAGTAAGAGATGAGAGTAATTCCTATTTATACAGATTGTTTGTCATGTGTGAAATAAGGCTCAAAAATATCTTTTATTCCAAGTTTTTGTCTTGCTTGATACTTGTTTTTATAATGTAGTTATCAACAGTCTGCGGCTGCCAATCCATTATGGTTACTACAAAATAGTTAGAATGTAATTCTGGTCTCATCTATGGAACAATCAGATTAATCTTTTCTCTGGGTAATTGTTGAGCTGTAGATGGCATTGCCACATGGTTCATCTGATTTGGTGGTTAAAGGGCCTGAATTAACTGACTGCCAAACAATTTGTCTGGCATTTCAACCATTCTAATGACAGGGTGGGATTAACTATGGGGCAATCCACTTGATTGACTGAAAATCCAGTTAGAACATGAAGAAAATTGCATTTTTTGGTGATTTGGTGTCATAAAGTTACACGTTACTCCATTCATAGTTTACACTTGTCTGAAGTGGCATTCCTGCTTAGCTATAGTTATTTCTAGGAGTAACTAACAGTGAATGTTCTTTCATTTTGTGGTAAATAGAAAAAAGAGTGGCTATCTTTTCTGTTGACTCAGTGTTAAAAATTCAAAAAAAAAAAAAGGAAATGTGTAAATTTAAAAGTTTACAAGTTGGAATTTAAGGATTTTTAAAATAAAGATTAAGGCCTCGATTTTTGGTTTGCTCTTGACTTAGCAACTACTAGATAAGCTGTACTGAATTGGTAACCCAAAGTATATTCTGGTATTAATATAAGAAAATATGTGAGTGCATTGTTACTGGCAACTAAATTACTATGATCATAGCAGGAACAGTGAAATGAGCAGGGCAATGACATGCCATCACATTTTAGAGTAAATTATTCTGCCTTTTCCGTTTTGTAAGACAGGAGCCGCACATCTTCACATGTCAAGATTCTTATATATATTTTTAAAAAAACAACATTGGCTTCCATTTCCTGCTAAAATGTTCACTCTCAGCATTAGCACATCTTCGTGTATCTAATGTCATTGATTTTCAATTGTCACAGAGCCTAGTAACTCATACATTGCTACATTGTGAAACTCCTTGACATTTTTACAACCAAAATTAGAAAGAAAAGAGAAAAAGATGGTGGGCAAAGTGAATATAAAAGCAATCGAACATTTTTCTGGTTTGCTTTATGGAAATAGTCTTGGGGGATCCAGTTAATCACGTGCGTCCTCGAAGGGGAGGAATTTAGGGTTTCAAATCTAGTCCACTTCCGAGCAAGCTGTTCCTAACATGAGGCCAGATATTTCACAGCAGAAGCAGGTGGATTGAGTCGTTTTTGAGAAACTTCAGTGTTTTCAGGTGTGTCAACCAAGTTTGTTTTTGTTTTTTGTTTTTGTTATTTTGCTTTTTTTTCTGCTAATAAAATGATTAACTCTTTCAAGACACTTTTTGCACAAGACCTTGCACTTTGGTTGTTTGTTTCTGTTATTGCCATGTAAAAATTTCTGATGTAGTTAGGTAAGAAAAAACTTGAATGACAAAGGATTCCAAGCTTGAGTGAGACTTTATTTATTTATTTATTTATTTATTTATTTTGAGATGGAGTCTAGCTCCATCGCCCAGGCTGGAGTGCAGTGGCGCGATCTTGGCTCACTGCAAGCTCTGCCTCCCGGGTTCACTCCATTCTCCTGCCTCAGCCTCCCAAGTAGCTGGGACTACAGGCGCCCGCCACCACGCCTGGCTAATTTTTTGTATTTTTAGTAGAGACGGGGTTTCACCGTGTTAGCCAGGATGGTCTCCATCTCCTGACCTCGTGATCCACCCGCCTTGGCCTCCCAAAGTGCTGGGATTACAGGCGTGAGCCACCGCGCCCAGCCAGAGTGAGACTTTTAAAAGATGACTTGAGACTCTAAAAGTCTTAGGAATAATAAAAACAGTTGGCCCTATCCTTGATATCATGATAGGCATCAAGAGTAGCACCCAGGCACAGTGGAAATAATATAGAGACGAGGAAAGATGTATGAATTTGGTCACTTAGCTAGATGACCTTGAGCATGTTTCTTAAGCCCTGTGAGCCTTGGTTTGTTCATCCATAAAATGGGATGATAATAGTTATATTTAGTTTACAGACTTGCAATGAGGACTTGGGGTTGTAAGATTGGTAAAAGTCACCTCAGAGATCATGCAACAACTTGATACTAGCATTTCTGTTGTCATTGTGCTCTTCCCAAGGTCATAGCTATTGACTTTTAAGAGCGTTGAGTTGAAATAGTAGAAGGAAAATCCATCCCCTGACCACTCCTTGATATCAAGGCTAAAGATAGGAAGCATCTCTCTCCTTTGCCCTAACAAATAATAATATACGTTTTCACACTTTGTATTGAAAATATTATATGGAGTATGTCATTTTTTTTTCCTCCTCGATAGGAAAGAGAAACTTCCTTTGAACGAGCAAAAAGTGACTTGTGGGTAGGACAAGAAAGAGGGTGTAAAGAAAGCTTAAGAAGGAATATAAAGGAAAACTGGCCAAGTCTTCAGAACTCTGGCAGCAGTTTCCTCCCCAATTGTCTTTTCAATGGTTCTACTGTGGCAGGACAAATAGAAGAACAGGTGAAAGGTCACCTACTTCCTCATCCATCTTCCTTGGGGTCCGGGAGGTCAGAGGGAAGATTGATTAAGATCTTAAATGTTTGACAAAGGATCCTTGGGCAAAAATGGGCAGGGCGGGCGGGGGCCTGGGGTGTGCTGTTGTTTGACTCTAACCCTGATCATCCACTGAGTCGTCAAAGGACCTTGGGGACAGAACTACACTTCCTCTTGCAGTTCCTACCCCCAGCAGTACATGCTAATGGAGAGGAAGGATGAGGGCAGGGGGATGGTGGCTTTGCCCTCTGAAGCAGAGGCAAGTTCATTCTGCTCTTGAATAACATTTTCTGAAATGATTTGGCTTGGTCTCAGTAGAACAACAATGTGTATGAGCTACTTACCCATCTTCTCAAGGAGAATGTATCGCAGGAGTTAGCAGCCCTTTGAACTTGCCTAGTGATTGGATGCAGAGGATAATATAATGATTCTAGTTAGTCCTGCTTCCAGGCCACATCAGACTGTTGGAAAAAGGAAACAAAATCCACTTCAGACATCTCCTTCCGGACAGACATACCCCTAATGAAGAAATGTTCCAGATGTTTTACAGGACTGTTTTCATTACTTTAGAAATAGTAAGCAGAAGGAAGAGAGGAAAATATTCCATTAAATTTTTTTTTAATTTATTTTTTATTATTTGTTTTTTAACATAAGAGATGAAGTCTCACTCTGTTGCCTAGGCTGGTCTTGAACTCCTGGCCTCAAGTGATCCTACCTCAGCCTCTCAAAGTGCTGGGATTACAGGTGTGAGCCACCTCACCCAGCCAAAAAGATTCGTTATTAGTGTATTTTTTGCTTAATTAAAAAGCTGAAAAATGAAAGGAGAGCTCCAGATTTTCTCTTTGGGAAATACTAATCAGCAGTTTTCAGAGCATACATATAAAAAATAATACCAATAAAAACATTCTTTTGGAGTCACTCTTAAGGCCAAATGATTACAACTATGACAAAATTAAGCTAGGTAAGAATCAAGCCTTGCTGAAGTATACAATTTTGTTGTATATTGAGGTCATCAGTATTAAAATGTACTCATATCAACAAAAGGTATCGTATTAAAAGCTTTTTAAAGAAAGAACAAGATAGAAATGTTCCAATGGTTTTAAAATAAACAGACTTGTGCTCTGAAAAGAGGAAGAGAGCTATGTCAAAAAAAATGATTTCTTTTTTCAACTATACTATAGAAGGAGCTTAGGAGAAAGAAGTAATGGAAAGGAAATATTTAAAATCTACTTCACAGAGATGCTGCTTCCATATCCTTTGCACTGTTGAAATTTTTCCTCTACCTTTGAATCGTATCATTAAGAATCAATTGCTTGAATCACATGGCTGCTTTTATCTCCGGCTTTGAAGCATGGCTGTGATCATTGAAAAAATGTAATTCTTTATCTATAAGAGAGCAGCGTTTAATTATTGTCCTTTTTCTGATATACTTTTTTTTTTCCTCTTTGTGTGACCAGGCTGCCTTTGTGAGTGTGAATCATGCAATAGTCTCTATTTGGGGTTCACCAAAACATCGCATAGAAATCATCTCAGGGATTTTTGAATATGGTATTCAAGATTTGATGACTTATTTTAGTCTAACTGAGCTTCCTTGTATCTTTCAGAAATGAATTAACACATAATTATTCTGTTAAGATCTGAGCCTCTAGGAAAAAGCCTTCTTAAGTGGTTTTTCAGTTACTGCTGTGCAAAGCAGGGGTGGTCATGATATAAGTTTGACTTTCACATAACTGAACTTTACTAGTTAATGGCGGGGGGTGGGGGAACGGGTAATTGGTAAATTTAACATTAGCAAAGGACTGCATGCTTGTCAGATAAATTTCTCATATAGAATTACATAAAGTAAAAATTGTAAGTCTACCATTCCCTGCCCACACACACACACACCCACATCCACCCATACATACACACACACAGTTTTCAAAAGCTTACTCCAACATTTTACAAGTTACCATTTTTCACAATTTGGCAGGCAACTCAAATATAGCCATATACATGTATTTTTAAAATAATAGATGGAATCATCCTTGTAATTGTCATCCTGTTTTTATGATGCTTGACTGTCATAGATATCGCTGTATATTAGAGAATATAGCTTTTCTTAATTCTCCTTCATTGAAGATGAATATTCTGTAGTATAAGTATACCATGCTTTATTTAATGTTTTCGTTATTGGTAGCTATCTAGGTTGTCTCAGTATTTCCTAGTAATACTTTTAAACTAACACATTAATGTGTAATCATACATGTATATTTTTGTTAAAACATTGAATGATTAACCTTGCTTTGCTATTTTTCTGCCTTTATCTTGGACATATGAATTTAGTAGAACTTCCTTATGAGAATGTCAGTGGGGGGAGCATTAGGCATAACCAAAGTAGTAACATCGATTATTTGGTGGAGTTATGTTTCATGGAATCAATATGATATGTTAAAATCTTTGCATGTGACTAATGTATTAATGAGGTCCTTGTTCATGATTTCTACTCAATTGGGTCCTTTTTAAATCGTGTTTATGAATCTTCTTTACATCTGAACCTTCAAAATTCTCTGCAGCACATGAAGTTAACATACAGTTAGCACAAAATGGCCAAGAACTGCCTTTGGAGTTGAGCCACTTAATCAGATGTGCAATTGTAGACACTAACTTAGCTTCCCTAAACTCAAGTTCACGTTTGCAAATTGGTGGCAATAGTATCTTATTATATATGACACACATATATGCATGAATGTATAAAGGGCCTGGCACAGTGCCTAGAATCATTAAAATGCTTAGAAAGTGAAAATTGTTACTCTTATTTTTATTGTTGTTAGATAGAAATATGGTGACAATATGGGCTGTTTGATCAATCCAACAAAGAAACCATTTCATTTAGGTTCCAGAGTAGAGAGTTTTTTGTTTGGTTGGTTTTGATCTTCTGAGGAGGCAATGGTGACAAATACAGGGAAGAGTGAAGCGATGGTACCAAATGGCTGGTCTTGTCTACATTGATCCAATCCTCTGTGCCCCAAGTCACTGTGGTTCTCCATGTGGTCCAGCTATGTTCCCCAAGACCCTTTCATGTGGTCTGCAAGGTCAAAACTTTCTTAATAACACTAAGATGTTATTTGCCTTTTTTTTCTAATTCTCTCATGAGTGAACAGTGGAGTTTTCCAGAAGCTAACTGATGTATGATAATGTTATTAAGTTGAATACAGAAGCAAATACAGTGATCCCCTTTAACTTTGGACGATATGTTCCAAGACCCTCAATAGATGCTGAAAGCTCAAATAGTACCAAACCCTTATACATTATGTTTTTTCTATACATATGTACCTATGCTAAAGTTTAAGTTATAGATTAAGCACAGTAAGAGAATGCCAACAACAATAATAAAATAGAACAATTATAACAATATATCTTAATAAAAATTATGTGAATATAGCCTCTCTCTATCGTTTTTTCTATCCCTTTCTCAAAAATATCTTACTGTACTGTACCTTCGGTAGGCAAAACCACAGAAAGCCAAATCATGGATATGAGGAGACTACTGTAAAAGAATCTGGTTGTCCTCTATTAAGCCAGACATTCAAGAATATGAAAAAAAAAAGTAGTGACTGGGCGCAGTGGCTCACGCCTGTAATCCCAGCACTTTGGGAGGCTGAGGCAGGTGGATCACGAGGTCAGGAGTTTAAGACCAATATGTTGAAACCCCAGCTCTACTAAAAAAAAAAAAAAAAAAAATACAAAAATTAGCTGGGCATGGTGGTGTGAGCCTGTAGTCCCAGCTACTCAGTAGGCTGAGCCAGGAGAATCGTTTGAACCTGGGAGATGGAGGTTGTATTGAACCAAGATCTCACCACTGCACTCCAGCCTGGGCGATACAGCGAGACTCTGTCTCAAAAAAGAAAGAAAGAAAGTAGTAAAACAATGTCACTTTTCTCACTAAGTTTACTTTTGTTTTGGACAACAGTGTTTAAAATATGCTATTTGTGTTAACATGCAATGCGTTAATTGTTATTTTTCAATGAATTAAAAATAATTTAAAAATTTATTTTTCAGTTTCAATTTGTATTGGTAAATATTAGTAGTTATAACTCACACACACGAAAACATTCTCAATAATTTTTGAGAGTATAAAATGTTTGAGAGTTCGGTTCTGAGGCCGAAAATGTTGAGAACTACTGCACCTAGTCCATCACTTTTCAGTTTCTTTGGAAGGTAACACAGACTGCACTTCTGCAGGTCATGGAGAGGCTTTAAAAATGAAAATGAAATCAAGCCCTAAAAACTTTTTCATAATCTGGGAGACTTAGGTAGTTTAGAAGAATGACATTTTATTTACTCAACCCTTTAGACATTTCTATAAAATTAGGCAGCAATTTATAGCTCTTGGCTTTTTAAAAACTGGTTATCTGTGTCCAATAACATGGCTCAGTGCTCCCTTTAGTTTTACTGTGCTCGTGAGAAGGAATGATTAAAGAAGGCCTCAGCTGTCCCCTGTACCCCGAGAGACTGTATCTCACTTAAGGCATAAAAGCTTTCTCCCTGTATCCTGTTACAGCTGGTACCTCTGAGCTGTTTTGGGGAGGAGAACAGGTGAGGTCACTTGGTTCCATGATCTGGAGGGTAATTAAGAATCCCATGACTAAATGAACATTTTATGAATATTCAGGGTCTATTTCTTTTTCCTGGGAAACACACATGTTGGTACTGCTTACAACTCCCTTTGGAGACCTCAGCCTTTTCTGGGTGAATGCAGGTCGTCAGCTGTCTGCCCAGCCCTGCAGTTCCAGGCAGCAGATTCTTCATTTGCATATTCTGTATTCGTCCTCATGCAAAACAGCACACCCATTTCCCCCTTTCACAAAGGCAATGAGGGCTTCCTTTGGAAACCCCAGCCAAAATCTCCTTCTGTTTATGCAGAGCCCAATGATTTAGACACCATGCAAATTAATTCGGTTTTGATTTGAATGCTTCCAGAGATCAGGGGTGGGAGGCAGAGAGGAGACTATTTGCACAGGGCTCTTTTTATGCACCTCTGCCCCCAGTGTGGCTGGTTGTCACTCTCCGGCCCCCCTGCCCCATGCAAAATAACCCAAGTCCCTGCTGCTCATTTCATTTTGACCTTTGGAAAAGGAACCCAGCCTTGGTGAATCCCTTGGCTTGTCTGTTTAGTGACAGCTTCAGCTGGAATCTTGCTGTTCTTTCTGAGGTGGGAGGGGATGGCACTATTCAGATTATGCTAGGAATGTTCAGATGTGTCCCAACAAAGGGCTTTAAAAAATTGTAAAGTAAAAGATACAATTCTTTGAAAAAGAATTGTCAGAGCTCAGGAAGTTCTGAAAATAGGCCTTAGGTCACTAATGGGCTGGAGTCCATTCATGCCATCAGTGAGTAGATATTTAAAGTCTATGATGTACAAATCACCACTGGGATTTTCATCTGTGTTTCTTCATCTATGAACGAATACATCAATCTTCATACCTAGAATCACAATTAAAATTTCATATTTTCACTTATGTCCCCAGATAAAATTCTTTAAAATGTGTATTGACTATAATTCTGTTTCTTATTATATTTGTGGATTCACTTTTTGTTGAATATTGTCTTTTGTTTCTGTCTCCCTCCTCCCCACTCCCCCCAGTGTCTCCAAATTTACTTATTTTTTAACCTTACCTTTATTCCTTCTAGAATGGGAAGGCAAGCGTACTGCATATTTTACCCAACAAACTTAACTCTGGTTGAAACCAGCACTATCTTCTGAAAGGCCACGATCATATATGCATTCTATAAACTAGAAGAAGAGGACTTTGCATGAAATGTTTTTGAAGTTCAATTAGACTTGAGTTCAAACTAATTTCACAGAGCAGAAAATGGGCATAGCTAGACGTTGCAGTCTAATTAAGTAAAAGCAAAGTCAGTTAAAACAACATCTAAATGTGGAAGAGCTTTGGTTTTGCTCCACATGGTCTGACAAAGTTTGATGATGCTGTTCAAAGTCCATTTGGGATGGATTATTAGGATTAAAGAGCAGCAGAATGCTCTCTGTACATGGTGTGTTCCCTGGTGTCATTAGCGGATGAGAAAATTCAGCTGCTTATCTGGCTCTTGTTTCTCAGGATGGATTTAAACAGACCCACACTTCTCAAAGGTGATCTTACTAACCTCTTCTTAATAAGTTACAGATCTCAAATTGCTCAAAATCCTTAAAATACCATTTGAAGTAAGTTGATTGATAATTATCATTTCCCTTCCGTTTACAGATATTTTCTGCACCAGTACAAAGCTGTGGTACAGTTTCTTAATTACCCAGATAATCCTGTTTGCTTGTATTTTTAAACTATGAAGTGCTGGGTAATTATTCAATTCTTAATAGAAGGCAAATGGCAATGTAAACAATAATTAGGATGTTAGACAGACTAATGCGCTTCAAAGCAAATTGGATTTTTTTCATACTGTTCAGCTTGAAGTCCCATAAAGCTAACAATTTAGAAGCAAGGCGAAAAAGGTTCCATGTTGTTCATATTTTATGGCGTTATCTCTTCATGGCTTGTTTCTGTGAATAGCAGTTTGCCCCAATGAAGCTGCCTGTGCCCAAGCCAAATGTTTCTGTAACAATCGCTTCCCTGCTGTTTGACATTTGGCTATGTTCTCCCAGGGCTCCAGATTGGGCCTTTGTCTGCTTCAGATCTGAGGGGTCAGAGGTTAACAGAATACTGATTTCCTCCTATAATACCATGGCAGGTAAATATGGGCCAACCTCATGATCAGTTAAGACTCAGCTCAGTTAGGAATGCTTTTTCTCTTGGGCTTTTGTCCTTAAGAACTTCCCTGATTTAAGACTTCACGTTTCCCAGCTATTGCTTTCCACAGTGGATTCTTCATTAGGATCGCAGCTGTCTCTTTTATGTGACTTCTTCCTTTAATAACCGTTCGCAACTAACTATCCCCAGAAATACCTGAGCTGAAAACTACAAGCAAATTATTGCTTTTGATGAATGAATTTTACAAACTGAATATGGTAATACTTTGCAATCTTTAGGCCCTTAATTATGTCTTGTAGTCTTATCCCTACTGTATGTTTCACTGATGAAATAATAAACTGATAACAAAGGCAGTAAACAAAGATACTTTTATAATGTGGCAATTCCCCAACCCCTCCTTTTTCTTGTCTAGCCTCATGATGTGTTGCCAGTTAGAGGTGCAATTAAATGAACAATCAGTTTTATTTTCCATTTTCATCACTTATGGAGAGGCCCAAGTATTCATCAATATCAATGTTATTAATGTTTTACATCAGTTTAATTATATCAGCCTTAATTTTTCTTCCATAGACTAATGTTACTAAATAGGTTGCATCTTAATTGGTTATGATGCATTCACAGGCTTTAGACATTTAAAATACTCGATCAAATTTCTCGATCAAAATTCATCAATTAATTTTAGGACATCTTTCTACATATTAGCTATCCTGTTTGTGTTTGGCCAACCTCTCTTGCTTTGCACTGTGAACTTGAGGCTTGGATTCATTTGTTTTCAGATTTAAGTGTTTAAAAAAGACATCTCCACTTTGAAAAACAGTTTCCTTTTGAAGTGCCCAGCCTGGCAATGGCTGAAGCAGCCCCAGGCAAATTAACATGTTAAAAGAATGGATCAATACCTTTCTGGCTCCTTTACCCTCCTCGCACTCTTCCAAGGGAGAAGAGTTTTGAAGAACCCTAGGAGGCCCTTGACAGAGGTGCCAGGAGGCTTCAAGAGGACTGTCAGTAGCCCAAGTGGGGAACATTGACAGCTTGATCTAGTGCCCAGATCGCTTCTCCGCTGGCCATTTGAAAATGGATGCAAGAGGAATTGACAGCTTCAGGAAAGCTTTAGCCGTTCATGTAATTATGGAGAGGATTAGAAGAAAAGTGTTGGGTGACATAAGAGATCAATACAAGGGCACTAGTTGACTGAATTCACCTTTAGCTGTTAGGGCACTCCATTTTGTAATATTTAGCCTGTGCTTAGAGAAGAATGTTTGATAGGCTTGTTTATTTTTTTAGGGGTTGTGTAGACCTATGCATAAGAAAAAGAAGACATAAGCAGCCTCTGGTTTTTGAGCGTGGACTTGTAGATAATTAACAATGTAATGCTTCCAGTCCTTAGGGTGCAAAGGTACTAATTAACTAATGGGAGAGATTGAGATTTCATTACTGTGTTCTTTAAGGAGGTGCCAGCAAAGAAGTGCAGTTGAAAGTAATATATGAATATTCAGGTTTCTTTTTCAAACCCTTTCTTTTAGAATTGCCTCTCTGCTTGTATCCTAGAGTTTAAAATTAGCACTGATACACTAAACCAAGGTAAGAGTGTGGTTGTTTTTGTAAGAAAAAAAAACTCATGTTGATGGAGAAGTGAAAACATTATCTTTGCATGAATGAAAAGCGTCTTTAAAAGATTTGGAATCAACCACTGAATGGTCTCAAATGATCTGACTTTTGGAAGTTTTCCTCCATAGGATAAAGAATGGCTAGTGTACTTAACTAAAATAAGCCCAAGTACCTAATTTATTCTAGCCTTCATACATGATTCTGGGATTCTCTTGTACAACATGTTGGAGCTACAACTTTTTCAATAATTTTAAATGGTTACTGAATATGACAAGAATCCTACACTATAATTTCAGCAATTGTACTAAAACTTTTTAAAAAGCATTGTTAGATCTTTCTTCTAGAGAACCATAAAATCTTTTACTGAAGAGAAGTAATGTTTTACCGTATGAAAATCATAACTTTTATTGCAACTTTGAAAACTAGATACACTAAAAAGAACCCCTCCCCAAAAAGGATTGTTGACTTCTACAAGAGATAGTGATTAGAAAACACAACCCATTGAGTTTTTCCAATATTTTCAATTATATCTTCTAGCTGGTTATCACTGATCTACAGGAAAGCTATTGATTTTTGTATGTTTATCTTACATCCAATCTTCTTATTGAACTATCTTGTGAATACTAATAAGTTTTCAGTTAATTCTCCGGAGTTTTCTAGAGAGCAAATAGTTTCCATTGCAAACAATCATATATGTATTTTTCTCTTATTTAAAAAATTAAGCCTCTTATTTCAAACTTTTATATTACAACATTGGTCAGAATTTTCAGACCAATAATAAATAATAGGGTAGATTGTGAACATCCTTATGACCAATTTTAATGGATATAACTTAACTATAATATCAGATCTATTTTCTTAATATCATATTAATTTTAAACACTTCTCAGAGGAGTGAATGTTGAATTTTGTTAAATTTACATATTTATCTTGGTTATGTTGCTTTTTTGGTTTGTTGTATTTTGTATTTATGAGATCTAATATATTAGTAGATTTTTTCTCGTGATAAACCATAAACTCTCTTTGCATTTGTAGAAAAAAAAAAGCCTTATTAGATAGCAGTGAATTTTGACAAATTCTTTTGAATTCAGTTTGTTAATTGAAAACAGTGATTAGGAGCCAGAACTTTGGAATACCAACTGAATTTTAATCTCAGCTCTGCCACTCACTATGTGACTATGGGCTAGTTAGTAAACTTTAGTAATTTGGCTTTCTCTTCTATAAAATGGGAATAATGATACCTATTGCATGGGTATACTTAGTGTTAAATAAGATAATATATCTAAGTCTCAACAAGGAAATGGTGTCTATTAAGTGTTCAGTAAGTGTCACAATTTTTATTGTTTATTTTGAATTTCTAATAAATATCCAGGTGACATTAGTCTACATTCTCTCTCTCTCTCTCTCTCTCTCTCTCTCTCTCTCCCCTTTCCTCATCAGGTTTTGGTACTATAATTGATTTATAAAATTAAAATAGTTTTACATTAAAAAATTAGCACTGTAGAATGTTAATGTGCATGAGAACTATCTTTTCTTTGCAAATTTGAAAGATTCCACCATTAACACTGGCTCTGGACTGTGCACTTTGAATTGGGGCACTTTTCTCTATATTTGCTAGACTTTAATAAAAAGTAAAATAACCACAACAAAGAAACTATCTCTCAGACCTTGTTCAGTTGCTTTTCAAATCACATATGTAGATTTTCCAGCCCAGCGTAGTGGATAAGTTCTTTGATTTGGTATCTTTTTAGCCTCTGTTTCTTTTACGGTGAACAGCAAAGATGACACATTGCTCTCATCCATAATTACATTATTGAAATTTCTCATTACTTGTGTAGTTTTTGTTTGTTTGTTTGTTTGTTTGAGATGGAGTCTCACTCTGCTGCCCAGGCTGGTGCTATCTTGGCTCACTGCAACCTCCCCATCCCTGGTTCAAGCAATTCCCCTGCCTCAGCCTCCCGAGTAGCTGGGATTACAGGCACATGCCACCATGACTGGCTAATTTTTTTTAGTATTTTTAGTAGAGATGGGGTTTCACCATGTTGACCAGGCTAGTCTCGAACTCTTGACCTCAGGCAATCTGCCTGCCTGGGCCCCCCAAAGTGCTGGGATTACAGGCGTGAGCCATGTGAGCCACTGCGCCCGGCTTTGGGCTTTGTGTAGATCTTAAACATGCGAATTAAAGGTAATGGGTTTGTTAAACTCAGTTAGTTCATAGGCATGGTAGAGCTACTCTTTAATCAGGAGCCCTGGCTGCCAATGAGAATTCTGGTTGAGAAAATACTTAATATCCCATTAGGGGAAGCTACTTTTCACTGCAGAGTGAATGTGGATGCAGCCTCTCTGAGCTGTGGTGCTTTACTCTCCTTTTTATTGAGAGACCAACAGCCAGAGAGAGAGGGGAGAGTGAAAGTGAGAGCAAGAATGAGAGAGAGAGACCAAGAAATAACTGTTTGGAGACACATCTGGTGCTCCTTAGATCAGCAACTTTGACACAGCAATTTGTAAATACTTTACATTGGTTTTGAGGATTGGAAAGTTTCATTTTTCACATAACCACACAAATTCTGTGGGCCACAGCAGGCAGGATGAAGACCAGAGGACAAACATTCACTGGCTCAGTATAAAGAAGAACTGTTTAGCATTTTGAACTAGGCAAGAGTAGAGTGTGATGCTTTTTGAGGCATATTTTTTGGATGTGTTCACATTGGCTGCATGACCCCAGGGTACCTAACAGTGAAAGATTGGAGGTCCTGTGTTTCTTAAAAGGAGCACCACTGGCATTTTGGACAGGATGATTCTTCATTCAGTGAAACTCCATGAAGAATGGAGTTTTACAGGACTCCCAAGTGGCTGGGACTACCGGAGTTATAGAGAATTTAGTAGCCCTAGTAGTCCCTGAGCGGTAAATCCTGGTGTCGTCCTCAGTCATTTTGACAGGCCAAAACCTGCCCTTGCATTTTGAAATGTCCTGGGATGGATGCTAATCTCAATTATGAACTTCTAGACTATGAGGTTACTAAGATTCTAAGATAGAATGTTGAGTACTCTGCTTTGGGTATTTCATATATCCTTGGGTAGACAATCTAGGTCTAAGATCTTGTAACATAGAAAAGATGGAGAAGCTCTTCCAACAATCCCAGCTAGCCATCTCTCTTTCTTATTTTTATTTTCCCTAAATCTAAGAGTACGTCATAATATTTCAAAATCAATATCATGTTTCCTCCATGTATTAGTCTGTTCTTGTATTGCTATAAAGAAAGACCTGAGAATGGGTGATTTATTAAAAAAAAAAAGTGGTTTAATTGTCTCATGGTTCTGCAGGCTGTACAGAAAGCATGGCCTCAGCAACTGCTTGGCTTCTGGTGAGGCCTCAGGAAGCTTTTACTCATGTCCCAAGGCAAAGGCGAACAGGCATTCACATGGTGAGAGTGGGAGTGAGAGAGAGAAGGACAACGTCCCAGACTCTTTTTTTTTTTTTGAGACGGACTCTCGCTCTGTCGCCAGGCTGGAGTGCAGTGGTGCGATCTGTGATCTTGGCTCACTGCAACCTTCACCTCCCCAGTTCAAGCGATTCCCCTGCCTCAGCCTCCCAAGTAGCTGGGACTACAGGCATGCGGCGCCACGCCTGGCTAATTTGTCCCAGACCCTTTTAAACAACCAGATCTGTGTGAACTAACTGAGGGAGAACTCAGTCATCACCAAGAGGATGGTGCTAACCCATTCATGAAAGATCTGCCCCCATGATCCGATCACCTCCCACCAGGCCCCACCTCCAACACTGGGAATCACATTTCAACATGAGATTTGGAGGGGAGAAACATCCAAACTATATCACTCAATAAACACAAATTGAAGAAGATAGGAAATATCTTTGGGAAGAAATTATTAACGTTTCACAAAAGTATCTGGAATGATGACCATCAGCCAAGTGCTCTACCAGTTTTAATTTATTTCATCCTTAAACAGCCTTGTAAGTCAGGTACTGTTATTATCCCCATTTTTACACATGGAAAGGCCAGGGCACGAAATGATGGATGTGTTTGGCCATGTATACTGCTTGACAATTTGAACCCAGATAGACTGGCTCCAGCTTACACACTTGAGAACTGTTAGAAAGAAACTTTCCCCCAGTGCCTTGCATTCTTATATAAGGTGAGAAGAGTATTTAAAAATGCCTGAGTGATTGACTTGTTAAGAGTGCCCCGTAATTATTCTAACATTTTTCAGATATTCACCTGCCAATGGGTGGCCCTTGTGTTATTTTGAACGGCCTTACAAAGAGCAAAATGCAGCTGCAAGGCTGGAGACCTTGTCAAAGAGTATATTACTGGGCAAATTATTTTTATTTTGACTCTGTATCACAGCAGAAACAGATGATCCCTTTTCTTTTCAACTTAAGTAATTGGGAAGTTACAAGCATAGACCCAACTTGAGAAAAGACAGAACATCATCTCATCTTAGCAGGAGGACAGCTTAACCAAATGAGAAGTTTTGGATTTCTCTAATGCTTCTGTAATAAATCTAGAGAGATTTAGAAGGAAAATCAATCTTAAAATGAGAATGAACTTTTAATAATCTAAATGTTGGGTATGTGATTTTTAGCTGATTCAGGTAGAATATTTGTTAAACGTTTACAGAATAAAACAATGGCAATGAACCAACCTATTTGGAAAGCAATCCATTTAAGTAATAAGAAGAAAAGGGAAAAAAGATGGAAGAAGCAATTGCTGTTGGAGGTACTTGTCACTTCCTGTAGCATCCACAAGTACTTTCTCACCTTCCCCTGTTGTATTGCTACCTGTGGCTTCAGTGGAAATGACTCACCTTTCAGCTCAGTAGAGCCAGTATATCCTGAATTATGATAGCCACAAAAATTTGTCCCCCCCCTTTTATTTTTTTAGCCTCTTAGCTATTCAGAGTCAGATTTTCTGTTTCTTGTAACACAACCCTAATTAATACAGGAGGCAGCATTATTTTAACAGGCAGACTAGCTATCTATATACAAGTATTTCACATATGAAACACGATGTTTGCCCAGGGTGAGTAGTTGTTTTTCCAAAAGATTTCTTTATAGTACTATAAACAATGGGGACATCTTAAATGGTTCTTTATTGTCTTTTCTCAGCCTTATGGCAAGATAGAACAGTTTGAGTCACTGACAGAGGCAGAGGGAAAGCCTCTTCTAAGCCATAGCTTAGTGAAGCAAAAAAATCTCTCTTTATAGCCTTGGAGAATATTTAAATGGGAAGGACCTTAGAAATCCTTTAGTTAGTTCATGCTTCTCACTTTACAGATGAGGAAACTGAGGCTTAAATTAATAAAATATATAATAAATATCAGATGGGAAGAGGTGGAGGGGAAAAAAGGAAATAAAAGAAAACTGATAAAAATAAAAAAGAAAAAAGTATATAATAAATATTAAAGACTGGTGCTTTAATTCCGGATTTTTTGAGTCTTACTTTCTTGGTAGTGTTAAAGGTAGAATAAGCTCAGAAAACACATGGGCAGCCGAAGGCAAAGTTGCATCTGTGTATCTTTGAAGGAGGCCTTGAGGAGTGAAGTCTCATATACCCAAACCTACTCCCAACTTAAGCCTTCGGAATTAGATCAAACTTGTTCCCTCACCACAATCACTGGGGTTTCAGCTGCCCCCTCCCCCATCCCCATATAGGCTTGAATGCCTGGATATATCGTGTCTATGCCAGTACATTCTGAGGTCTCCATGCCTTTCCCTGAACTGTTGCTTTGCAAGAGTTCACAGTCTAAGGTGATGGGCAGACCTAGAAAAATGATTGTAATATGTTATAACTAAGTTCAGGTAAAGCCCTGGGGGAGGGAGATGCTGAGTCCTGCTGGGGATGAGGTATAAAGGAAGGTTTTTGGAAAATTAAACAATGTTGAACAGCAGTTGACTTTCAACTATAAACCTTTCCTAAGCATCTGCTCAGACAATGGAAAGGCAAAAATGCCTGACATGGCCTTTAAGTGTAGAATCTTGTGGATTAAGCAAGTGCATTCCAGGTCAACAGAAGAGGGACACATTGTGTGCGGGTGGTGTGTGTATGTGAATGTGTGTACTGCCGGGAGCCCACCAATGGATACAGTGGCCATTGGGGTTTAGGGGATGAGTGACAGGGAAAGCTGTAACTTCTAAGTTTTAGGCTTGATCTATTGGTGCATGGTTATTCCATCCTTAGTTTCAGAAAATCCTTGAGGAGGAGGTAATTTTTAAGGGGTAGGGGTTTGGCATGGCAGGATAGAAGGTCAGTTTAATTTATACTTGCTGAAAGTAGAATATATAAACGGCTGAGAGTACTGATCCAGGAAAGGAGGGTGGTCACCTTTTGTTTTGTTTTGTTTTTTGTTTTTTTTAAGATGGAGTCTTGCTCTGTCGCCCAGGCTGGAGTGCAGTGGTGCAGTCTCGGCTCACTGCAACCTCCGCCTCCTGGGTTCACACCATTCTCCTGCCTCAGCCTCCTGAGTAGCTGGGACTATAGGTACCTGCCACCACGCCTGGCTAATTTTTTGTGTTTTTAGTAGAGACGGAGTTTCACCATGTTAGCCAGGAAGGTCTCGATCTCCCGACCTCGTGATCCGCCCACCTCGACCTCGTGATCCGCCCACCTCGGTCTCCCAAAGTGCTGGGATTAAAGGCGTGAGCCACCGCGCCCGGCCATACCTTTTTATTTGCTTTGTAATTCTGAATTTGACTTTGTAGAAAAGCAAGTTTTGAGAGGCTTTATTTAGATTGATACCTTTGGGAGACTTATCAGTCAGTTCAGGCTGGCATAACAAAAAATACAATACTACAGACTGGGAGGCTTAAACAACAGCAATTTATTTTCTCACAGTTCTGGAGGCTGAAGGCTCATGATCAAGGGTTCATCAGGGTTGGTTTTTAGTGAGGCCTCTTTCGTGGCTTGTAGCAGGCTGCCTTCTCACTCTGTCCTCACGTGGTCTTTTTTCTTTAGGGTAGAGTCGAGAGAGCAATCTCTGGGGTCTCTTCCTTTTCTTGTAAGGGTACTAGCCTTATCAGAATAAGATCTCACCTTTATGATTTCATTTAACTTTTATTCACTCCTCATAGGCTCTGTCTCCAAATATAGTCACATTGTGGGGTTAGGGCTTCAACATATACATTTTGGAGGGGGGATACAATTCATTCCCCCCACATTCATGTATTTCTTCTTTTTTCATAAAAGGTTGTGAACAAGCCTGTAGCCTGTAGCGTGGTGGCCTGTAATGGCAGCACTTTGGGAGGCCGATACGCGTGGATCACCTGAGGTCAGGAGTTCGAGACCAGCCTGGCCAAAATGTTGAAACCCCATCTCTACTAAAAATACAAAAATTAGTAGGGCCTGGTGGTGCATGCCTGTAATCCCAGCTACTTGGGAGGCTGAGGCAGGAGAATTGCTTGAATCTGGGAGGTGGAGGTTGCAGTGAGCTGAGATAGTGCCATTGCACTCCAGCCTGGGTGATAGAGTGAGCCTCCATCTCAAAAAAAAGTAAATAAATAAAACATGAAAAAATGAAAGGTTGTGAATATGTGGCAGATCTATAAGACTTAGCCTTTGTATCAAGGTTTCTGTGTTCACACCTGTGTGGGTTTCTTGTGATAACAGTGTAGCTTGGTACGATGATCTGAATATTTATGCCCCCTTCGAATTTATATGTTGAAATCTTAACCACCAAGGTGATGGTATTAGGAAGTAGGGCCTTTGGTTGGCGTTTAGGTCATGAGAGTGGAGCCCTCATGAATATGATTAATGTCCTTATAAAAGGGACCCCAGAGAGCTAGCTAGTCCCCTTTACCATGTCAGGATATAGCAAGAAGGCACTGTCTAGGAGCCAGAAATCGAGCCCTCATCAGACACTGACTTTGCTTTGATCTCGTACTTTCCAGCCTCCAGAACCGTGAAAAATAAATTTCTGTTATTTATAAGTTACCCAGTTTATGATATTTTATTATAGCAGCCCGAACAGATGAAGATACATGGCATCCTAAAGCTTCCACCCCCGTGACCAGGACTTTTCTGGATGTGTGAATCTTGTAGAAGTCACTTTATCCTTCTAAGCCCTGTATTCCTTGTTTGTGAAATGGAGATCATATTATATCTATCAATCATCTATGTGTTTTAGCTGATTAATATTTCACTAGACTTTAACATAATCAGATTTATTATTAATTGTACTGTGGTTTTATTGTGTGCGTAGCTGCTAAGTACAGCATAGAAAGCCTTTCTTAGTAAGGTAACTAAATATGGCTTAGAGCCATGTTGAAGCGAACTTATTTATCATAAGGTTATCAGGTTTAGTAAAAAATCGCAAATTAATTTTGTATGTATAAAAATGCGGAATACAGGCAAGTATAAAGATAGGCAAAATCATCTATAAGCTTACCACATAATGAGAGCCACACTTATTTTGCTTTTTATGCTTCCAGACTTTCTTTGATGTACACATATACACCACAAAATGAGTTAATGATCATGGAGCATGATCATAAAATCTTTTCAGATCAATAAATATAACTTCATAACATTATTTTTAATGGCTACAGAGTTTTCTGTTGCCTGAATGTACCACAGTTTCTTCAACTATCCTCTATTGTTGGACATTTAAGATGCTTTCAGTTTGATGCTTTCAATAATGTTGCCCTTAATATCCTTGGCCAAAGTTTTAAAATGTAGCCTTAATTATTTTCAAATAATTGCCAAGTTGAAAAATATGCATTTTTTAGAAAAGCTTCAGTACATACTGAAAAAGGCTCAGTTTTGAGACACATGCTTCCTGAGCTTGAAACAAACATAACGAGAAAGAGCATACATATAGGATCATTATATGTTAATTTCCATGCAATACTCATTAATGAAATGAACTCCAAAGTGGAGGTAGTTTTACTCATTAGCACTTGCATGTGAGAAAACTTCTTTTAAAGTTTTACTTTCTCAAGGTTTTTTGCCATCAAAGCCTTTCTTTTCATTCTAAAAAATCAATTAATTTTAACACTTGTTTTAAACAAATGTAGGATTCTTTGGCTACATCTGTTGGCAGCTACCCTTTAACATAAAGGGTTATGTATTTTAGTCTCCTGATGCAAATTATCGCCTCTAACTCTACTGCAAGTTTTCCTTCCCACTATTTCAGGAACATCATTGCTTTCGAAACCCAAAGCAAAACTCCCTTTCAAAAAGGCATTGTTAAAGTGAGCTTGATGAGGCTGATTGTTTTTATATAATGGCTTGGACACTGTAGTCTTACAATTTTACAGAATGCCTTTAGGGTTTCACCAACTGGAAAGGAAAATGACTTCATGGATGAAGTATGGACTTTAAAATATTTCCCCATACAGAACCAGGAGTTCAAATCCTTGTAGAGTTGCCTAATTCCCTTTCTTTATGAGTTCAATGCATTGATTGCTGTGTAATCAATTGTTTCTGTGACCTTGAAATTCATCTTGTTAGACTCCTGAGCTCTATCACCTTGAAACTGGGTCATCTAAATGCCTGTACTAGCAGTCCATAAACTTGTTTCCCAGCTGTAACTTATACACCATGGACTATTATTAATAATTATCCAGTTAAGTTTTGCACCTTCTTCTTAAAAAATATTTTTGGCAAGTTATTTTTCCAATTGTTTGCACAGATTGTTGAACAATGCTTCACTCTTTCTTTCTCACCTTTTCCTAGTCCTTTTGCCTCTCCCTTCTCTCCTGCCTACCCTGGCCTCTGGTCTGGAAGACATTGTCATTTAGAAACAGAGTAGACTTTCCAAGGTCAGTGAAACCAGGGATGTATTTTCTTGAAACTAAAGCATTCATTCTGCTTTCTGTAACTCTTCTCTTCAGCAATAAGAGTATAAAATCATATTTTTTTGATTTTTTTCTATTTATTTTATTTATGAAACAAATACTGTTTATTGTAGAACATTTGGAAAATGCAGAGAAAGAAATGCTGCTGCATGCAAAGTAAACCTGAAATCACATTTGGTAACGTCTGGGTGCCTATCCCCTGTCTCATTGCTGTACTTGTAATGTACAAAGTATAAATGCAATGTACAAAATATAAAGAGTATTACTCTGTTTGGGTGGTGGTGCTCCCCTTTTCCTCTCTACTGCTGGTCCAGACCAAGGAAAGTGGTTTGTTGGTAACGTCAGAATCACCTACCTTGCTGGGTAAAGCATTCATTTGCTGTTTTAGATTGCATTTCTGTTTTGCTTGGGTTGAGTACTGTCATCTGTATGCCTGTGGAGTTACAGCTTCCCACACACTTTATTGGCCCACAAACTACAGCTACTTCTGTCCGCCTCCCCGGCTCAACATTCCAGTTCCCCATTAGGACTGGCACCTTCGGCTGTAACTCTGAAATCCTCTATGAATGAGCTCTTGCCATTCCCTTCCCTTAGGGTGCTGCACCCTGTTTCTCAATCCCACAGAATCTTGTTCTGAATCACCAGGAGCTTGAATTTGGCTTACTGATCTGACTCTAATATGGTACCTTCTTAGGGGATCCCCTCGCTGCTTCGGTTCTCTGCCCTCTGCCTAGATGTCCTGAGAGCTTGATGTCATCCCACAGCAAGACTTAGTTCTCAGTCCAGGCAAAGTGGCATATGCCTGTAATCCCAGCACTTTGAGAGGCTGAGATGTGATGATTGCTTAAATCCAGGAGTTCAAGGCCACCCTAAGCAACATAGCAAGACTTTGTCTCTACAGCAAATAAAAAAGTAATTAGTGATGCGTGGTAGTGCATACCTGTGGTCCCAGCTACTCAGGAGGCTGAGGCGGGAGGCTCACCTGAACCCAGGAGTTTGAGGTGGCAGTGAGCTATGATTGTGTCACTGCACTCCAGCCTGGAAGACAGAGTAAGACTCTCTCCCCGCCATACCCTCAAAAAAAAAAAAAAAAAAAAGACAGTTTTCCACAACATTTTGGACACTGAATTGGCCCTACATCAGTTTCTTTTAATGTAATCCCCCGAATTCCAGCTTCTTCCCATCTCCCTCTGTTGCCTATGTCAGTGAGGTTTCGACAAGCCTGTACAGCTCTCCCGTCAAAGATAAACAGTAAGGTCTATGTCATGGAAAGATGAGTCCTTAATAAAAGGGAGTCCTTAGTAGAGGGAATCCTTAATAAAAGAAGCTTCAGCTGTTACCCCTGGCTGGTTATCCAGTTGCAGGGACTGGAATAACTCCTGGTCCCTTATAATTCTGAGGTTATTGCAATTCAACAGTGATTGCCTTTCCTACTTCACAGGCAATGAAAAGTTTCTTACTATGTTCCCAGTCCCGTGCAGAGCATGACTTGGTACAGGTTTTGTGGTGTATTCATCTCTTGAAAAAGGTTGTATCAGTACAGAAAGAGGGGAAAAAATGAGTTGATCAAAACTGGCGTATTTGATCATTTAAGTTGTATTGGCCAAATTATTTGTTACATAGTAATCCTGTTTCCTTCTGTGAGATGTTATGACAACTGAGGACATGCTTTGATTCACTGGCTGCAGTGCAGACTAGTTGGGTGTTCATTTGTTTTGTTTTGCACGTGGAAATTTAAGTAACCACAACAGCAGCAACTGGATATTGTTCTTTGAATAGAGAGAATTCATTGAATTAAATAAGAAAACTGGGCTGGGCGCGGTGGCTCCTGCCTGTAATCTCAGCATTTTGGGAGGACGAGGCGGGCAGATCACTTGAGGTCAGGATTTCGAGACCAGCCTGGCCAACATGGTGAAATTCCATCTCTAGTAAAAATACAAAAAATAGCTGGGCATGGTGGCACACACCTGTAATTCCAGCTACTCAGGAGTCTGTGGTGAGAGGATTGCTTGAACCCAGGAGGCAAAGGTTGCAGTGAGTGGAGATCGTGGTATATTGCACTCCAGCCTGGGCAACAGAGTGAGACTCCATCTCAGAAAAAACAAAAAGAAAAAAGAAAACTGGCTTGTAAAGATGCACAAGTGCCAAGTGCCAATAAATGAGTGTACCAACACATCTTTCTTCTTCTATCTGCTCCCCTCCTCCACACCCTTCCAGCCTTCATTGTATTGGGGGATTACAAGTCTTCCTAAATCTGAGTGTTGATCCTGTGATCACTCCTACTCTGAAACCACCATTGGCTTTTAAATATTAGCTCTTATTTCTACCACTACTACTCCCGTGACTACTCCGCGTTACTGGGGCCCTGTGTCAAAGCTCTAACGTCGGTGAGAGGAGTTTACGCTGTATTTTAGGATAGGTCTCCAAGCTCTTTCTTCAAAGCTCCTTCACTATTCTAAGAATCTAGCTGCTGTGCCTTTTTCTACACAATTTACCCTGCCCCAAAGGCCCTCCTGCTGGTCACAATTTTGCACATTCCACAAGGTTCTACAGAAGCATCATTTTTTTCTTCTCTCTCCTAACTCCCACCAGCATTTTGATTGCGTTCCTTCATGTCACTTATGCTGTGTAATGCCATCTTATCGGACTTGTTAGGGCACAGAGTACAGTATTACTCAGTGAGTAATTGTTCTGCCATTTATTAGCTATTTGACTTCAGGCAAATTAATAATTTTTCTCTGTACTTGGTTTTCTCATATATAAAATGCAAGTAGTAATAGTTCCTACAACATCAGCTTGTCGTCATAAGTAAATACGTGAAACACACATGAACCGTGGCTGGGACGCAGAAATCCTGCAATCAATATTAGCGCTTACTCCTACTCCTGCTACTGCTGCTACTACTCCTGGATTGTCATGGCCCTGTGTCAGGACCTTGAACTTGGTAAAAGGAGTGTAGGCTGGGCTCTAGACCCCACTTTCCCCTTCAGTTGGATACTCTTTTTCAGTGAACAACCTGTACAACTATATATGGCAGTTCTGTACCAGAATCTATGCACTTCCCAGGCTAAGTCTGTATTTATCTTTGCATTCACTATAGCACCTAAAACAATACAGTACATAGAGTCCTATTCAGTCATTGCACGCCACGTGTGATCATTGAAATGAACGAAGAAACAAATGTAAAAAGGAAAATGTAAAAATGTCAATATGGTTTTATTTGTAAGCAGCCCATTGATTTTTGAAGCATACTCACCGAATACATCATGTATTTTCAGTGAGAAAGCAGTATTTGTCACAATACTAGAAATGTCATAAATTTAAAGAGTAATTGAGTCTGAATTTTCTGCAGGTTTATTTACTAGATCAAAGAGTGACTTCAACTTTCAGTGCTTATTTTATTTGCCAGCATAAACTTACAGGTTCAGTCAAATGCCAAGAAAATAAGTTAATAATCTAAATTATGCAGATTCTGGCAAATTCTCTTTCTTTTGGGGGAGAAAAAAAGAGAGAGCTTTGAGTTTTTATCTCACTTCAGCAAATCCAACTGACTATAATAGTAAGAATAAAACTCTAGCAATTAATCTAATAGCTCTAGGCTGCTAGTCATTCCAGAAAAGTGACATTACACAGAATATACTAGTTACTCTCATTGCATGTCATTGATATATAATTCAATTGATTTTCACATTTTTTACACTCCAAAATGAAATACAACTTTTGTCATGTCACCAGATTGGAATTCATTGACAATACATTAACATGCCAAAAATAATATTACACACAAGAATAATGTAGAAATAAATTACAGGTAGAGCAGTATCCCTAAGGAGATTTTCATTTGTGTCCTATAACAGAAGACTTATAACCCTACTCATACATCTGTTTCATCCCACTACGTTTTAGACTCTTCGTTCAATTCAATAAATTACTCATTTTGCCACACACTCAGCACTCTGTCAGTTTTGCTGGGCAGTATACTTACACAAAAGAGTCTGTATAATTCTAAAGTATAACCCCCCCTTTTTTTTTAGCAAACAAATACAGAGACTTTCATGCAAATGAATCCTTGAAAAAGATAGTCTGGATAACTGTAAGGCTGCCACAACTTTTGTGGAAATGTTTTGGAACTGTCTTCTTCAAAATGTCTGGGACCTTCTTTTTATTGATAATCTCCTCCTCCTCCTTCTTCGTCATCGTCATCTTTGTCTTTCTTCTTCCTTCTTTCTTCTTCTTCTTTTCGATGGAATCTCACTCTATTGCCTAGGCTAGAGTGCAATGGCACCATCATAGCTCATTGCAGCCTCCAACTCTTAGGTTCAAATGATCCTCCGGCCTCAGCCTCCTGAGTAGCTAGGGCTACAGGTGTGCACCACTGCACCTTGCTAAATTTTTAATTTTTTGTAGAGATGAGTGGTCTTATTTTGTGGCCCTGGCTAGTCCTAAACTCCTGGCTTCAAGCACTGTTCACCTCCTTGGCCTCCCAAAGTACTTGCATTACAGATGTGAGCCACTGTGCCAGGCCTGGGGCCTTCTTTTTAAATGTGCTTAGTTCTGAACAATTTTGTCCCTTAAGGTGGATTTAATTTTTGGAAATCAAATAATTCACTGACCAGGCTATTGATAAATGAGATCAGCCATACTGGGTAATATTGGGTTTTACTCAAGAACAATGAGTGATTGCAAAGTAACAGACTATTTTTAGGAGTGACTTTTAAATTGCTT
This sequence comes from Homo sapiens, assembly GCF_000001405.40. Taxonomy (NCBI): domain Eukaryota; kingdom Metazoa; phylum Chordata; class Mammalia; order Primates; family Hominidae; genus Homo; species Homo sapiens. The sequence goes on along the minus strand of NC_000002.12, from coordinate 221,537,304 downwards.
TGAGTGTACTTTCAAGAGAAGTATTTGGAGCACTGAGAACATAAGTGGAAGAAGAATGTGGAAGATCTCCAGCATCCTTGGATTTAGCTGTCAATTACAATGCTACTTCCATGAGAGAAGGCTTTGTTTTTTGGGCCTTGCTTGTTTTTTGCAGGACTCTCAGAGCCTAAAACTGAGCCTGACACACAGTTGTTATTGAAAGGAATGAATGAATGGATTAAATGCAACAGTTCACAAATGCATTCAAAGTCCCACGGCATAGAGATTTCTCTCTCTCTCTTTGTTTTAGCCTTTATGGCATTAATTTAAAATAATTTATGTTAAGGTCGCTATGTATTTACCTGATGAGAACTTGGCTTTGTGCTAAGCACTTTATTTTCAGTATTTCATTGTGTCACCATGACTTGGTGAAATAGTGACTGTCATTATCCTCTTTTCATAGATGAGGAAACTAAAGCCCAGAGAAGCTAAGCAGCTTGCCCAAAGTCACACAGCTAATAGGTGAGGAGTCTGGATTCAACCTGCAAAGTCTGGCCACTGACCAAGCCTTCACCCTTAACTACAAATCTGGGCTGCTTTTCAGCACATCTTTGTTGTCCTGATTTGGTCATATTCTCACATTATGTTTCAATCATTCTAAACTGGGTATATAATAACCCCCTTTGAGAGACAAGGGAATTGACCAAAGTACATTGTTTAGAGGGATTTTCTGAAGAATGACTTCATGGATGAAGCATGGACTTATTATTACCTCCTTATGGCCTCTGTCTCCAAATGTAATCACATTGGGGGTTAGGGCTTAATTATTGGGAATTAATGAGGATTTGGGGAAACATCTTTCAAGAATGCCAGGGTCTAGTGCAGAGCATCGTAAGGCCGGTAATCTGGAGGGCAGCCTTCAGTGAGCAGGTTCGCATTCTAGTACAGGGATTAAAAACCATTTCTCATTTAAAGCCCACATTTCCAAAAGGCTTATAATCTTTAGAGGAATACAATACAAGAGGGTGGGAGACTGTTTCTAATTTTTATTCTGAATAATTATCTGATCTGATCATGGACAAGTTCCTTAGGCTGCCACATTAGTTTCCTCATCTAGAAAATAGCTAACTGGACAAGGTCATCCACAGGGTGCCCGGTAGCTCTTAAGTGTCAAAATGAGTGATAAGATAAAGTGCTCTTTTGCCAAAGATAAGAAGGACTATCTTTGTTGACAGTTATCTAGAAAGGCTTCCAAGAATAGGAACTTGGTAAACTGTAGTTAAATAAAGCTGGTAAAAGAGGAATGAATATCCCTTGAGCCAAGAACAGGAGTTAGCTGCCACACCCTGGGGTTGAAGAGACTGGGTAGGTAGGTGGAGCTGAGTTTTGAAAGATTTTTGAAGAGCAGAGGAAGAGTTTGGTCTCTACCCCTGGCTCGTTCATCAGATATTTCTTGATTGCCATCTATCTTCCAGCCATTGAGAGCCATTGATCATGTAAGATTCTTTCCCTACTGGAGTTGGGAAAGATATTTCATCCAACCAAAGGGAATGTGCCCTTGATATGAAGATTTGTAATGTTTACCAAAAAATCTTTGTTCTACCACTTTAGGCATAGAAGAAGAAGATAAGAAAAGCCTCACAGTAAAGTTGACTTGCAGGTTATATTTAAAGGATGATTGTCTTTATTTGAACAAAAGGAGAAAATAACAAATCCGTTGTTTGAAGAGGAAAAAAAACAGAAAAAAAGAAGTGCCTTTGATTTGGCATAATTGATGCTTTATTGCTTTGTAGATAGGTGGTTTAGGGCATTGGACAAAAGACGATAATGTTTATTTAGATTTGGGATTTGGGACTGTTCTAGAAAGTCAATATATGGTTGTTACTTTTAGTAGCTGTAAGAATGGCATAAGATAACTTAGTGGAAGGTAAGTGCTTTCTGAGCTTTTCTGTCTGATGATGAACCCTAGTGGTTGCAAAAATGAGTTTATACCTTAGAATCATTTGAGGTACTGATTACAAATGTACACTTTTAACATCAATCCTCAAGACTTTAGAGTTTGGAGTCTGTGATCTGAATTTTTCACAAGCTCCTAGGTGGTTCTGATTAATTTAGGTTGAGGAACAGCATTTTGGAAGCCACAGGTAAACTTGTGTATTGCCCACACCACTAAGGCTGACTCTGGATGACACCCAGTTGAAAGTGATTTCCAGGTTCCCTTGCTAAGTAAAAGATCCAAGAGAGAGAATAGTGCTGCTTATTTCTTTTTAACTGGATAAGATTGAAAAGGTCTGTGGATCCAATAGCGATGGAGAACGTGCAGAAGCTGCACCCCGAATTGCCGATGAAGTTAATCCCAGACAGCTAGAAATTAGCCAGTATAGCACATATGCTTAGATTGGATGCTGTGAATATATGCTTTCTGGTCAACAAAAAAGTTAAATCATGTAGATGCTCAAGTGAAGAGCACCTCTGTCGACTGGAAAGAGTTGAGTTATTTACCTTTTTTCCCCCAGAAACTGTTTCTTGAGGTGGAAAAGCAACTGGAAGTACAACTACACAGAACTGAAAGGCTATTGAGTTTGATTATGGGCATAAAATTAAATTTTCAGCTAAATGTGACAGCCCTAGTAGAACAAAGAAGAACCAATCAAAAAGTTATTGACTATTGAGACTTTTAGACAGAGCTAACAAATTGACCATGGGTTCCAGGGATAGTCACAGCCTGGAAGTTGCTTATTCTCTTTCTTCTAAAAGGTAGGGAAGTTCACACAACCACAGCCACTGTAGCCAGGCCAGGGAAGAAGGCCAATTTAGGCATTTACCAGCATGTGCAAGATGCAGTTTTTCATCTGAGGGGGTGAGACCTTTTCTAGGTGCCTGTGTTAGAACTTGGAGCACTTGCAGGTAATGAGAACGCATTCCAATACAAGAAAAACCTATTTAGGGCAGTACTGGATATGGATTAGCCAAGAAGATCCACAGATCAAAATAGAATCCAGGGCAGAAACAGAGCAGAGAAATTTCCCAGAGCCACTTATGGGTAAGTGGAACACCAATGATTTACTAATTACAGGCATGTTTTTGCACAAATTCATTTTTTAGTAAACAAGATATGCTTTATGCTACTTGCAGGCCATTCTTAAATCATTCTTTTGGGAATCCTTATAAAGACATCAGTTAAAAATCTCATCTGTTATCCTTCAAGAGAAGTAGTTGGCATGATTTTTGAAATTGAGTCCCTGCCTACCTAGATTCAACAGATTAAATATGAATTATCAGTGGATAATTACCTAGGGCTGTTCTTATATGTATATTTTATTTCCTTAAGTGTGAAGCACATGGAGTGTCACGCAGATGTGGGAAAAGGTAACTCACAAGGATCTTTTGCCCAGAACTCTTCTGGTAGGGCGCTGCTGGCTCTTCCAGTATGCACCCAAGGTGGCAAAGAGTCTGCCTGTCAATGGTATCCAGAAGTGACAGTGGGGATAGCCCTGGAGAAGGTTGTTTGGATTTTCATAAGGGAGAGATTCTCTCTCTGATCTTTATAATCTGAATCCTACCCTCACAGGCTTTTTTTTTTTTTTTTTTTTTTTTTTTGACACTAGTCACAAAATTAACAGTCAGGATGCTTTTGAAATCAGAACAATTTCCCTGGAGGAGGCACAGCCCCCGGTACCATCATTATTATATATGTTTTGAAACTCCATAGACTGGAACTCGTTCAGCGTGCTGTAATCTGTGTGTTTAGAAGCTGTATTGACTTTAGGAGTCACACAGATGGGTGTAGACCCATGTTTCAACATTTTTCTTTCAGGGACACACCTTTGAAATTCTGCTTGGAACATATCAGCTTCCTCCTCCCTCCGAGTCATCAGCCATCTCAGTGAATAGCGCATCTGCATCCTTTATTGATACATACGGGGGCAGGGGTGAGGGCAGTTACTGCCTCTGCCTCTGTTTTCTCATTCAAATATTAGCAAAGGTCCACAAACAGAAATAGAGAAACCAGATTAAAGAGGACAGATTGTATTTATGGTAGGCTGTAACACATTTTGATCAACAACAACAAAAAAGTTTTTGGAGCTATGGGGCTGCCTGATGGTAGGATACATACTGGGTTTATTATAATGCATGTACATTGTTCAATGTAACTTTCCCATCATTTTTATGCCAAGGCCATATGTATGGCTCAGATGAAATGTAACTGGCAATTTTTCATTGTTGTTGTTCTTTATTTACCTTTCTCTTTTAATCATCTCCCTGTTCCAACTAAACAAATCACCCCCAAAAGCCAGTGATTAAACACAAGTGAGTTCAAAGAGCCAAGGCAAGTCTGCCCAAGAGTGGCCGACTCCCCCTACAGAAGGCCAAGTCTGCCAATTGCAGTCTTCACTCAGAGCCTGGTAGTAAAACTGCTGAGAATAAGGTGGTTTCAGAGGCAAACAGTCACCTGGCCCAGAGGGCTTCTGCAATGGAGCCCCCTCAGAAGGGCTAGGCTATGTGAGAAGTGGTGGGTGTTGGCCGTGTCAAACAGCTCCTTCCAGTAGGCATCCAGGAACTGAGTGGTGTGCACCCCTTAGGAGGCCAAGCCTAAGGCACCAGCTACAGACAAGGTGCCCAGGTGGCAGAATGCAGCCCCTGGCCCGGCCAAGGCTGTGTGGATCTATAACAGACAATTTTGGCATGACTGCATTGACTTTCACTCTGGTCTTCTGGGTTCTAAAATGTTGGTTCCTTAAGTAGGAACTAAAAGTTAATATCTGCCCTTGTGATGACTAGGAATTTGGTTAATTCATGTGCCTGCTTAGCAAATTAAAATGGCCAGTAATCAGAACTAGAATGTTAAATCTCAACTGATCTGAGTTTTTCTCATCTTTTGATAGAATAAATTGAACTATCTGGCTGGGCACAGTGGCTCACACCTGTCATCCCAGCAGTTTGGGAGGCTAAGGCAGTCAGATTACCTGAGTTCAGGAGTTTTAGACCAGTCTGGCCATTATGGTGAAACCCCGTCTCTACTAAAAATACAAAAATTAGCCACGCATGGCAGCACGTGCCTATAATCCCAGCTACTCTGGAGGCTGAGGCAGGAGAATTGCTTGAACCCTGGAGGCAGAGCTTGCAGTGAGCCAAGATCATGCCACTGCACTCCAGCCTGGGCGACAGAGTGAGACCCTGTCTCAAAAAAAAAAAAAAGAATAAATTGAAATATCTGTGTGACAATTGCCTGGTGTTTGAAATTCCCCTTTTCAAACATCCCAGCATATTTGGTTTGTCTCAGTGAGCTCTCCTTTGAAAGAGCACTGGCTACTCCCTTGGTAAAAGAAAGGGGTCAGTGATGGGGCTGCAGGTCCTTGTTCCTGACACGTTTTCCTTGGGAAATTCAGTACAAGGTATTTCGTCTCTCATTCAGTCATCCCTTTGCTCAGCAAATATTTGTCTTTAAAGACTCTCACGTTCTCTGAGAAAAAAATCATGGCCTTCGCACAAAAACAAGAAGATTCTATTTAGATTTGAATAACTAATGTAAACAATAAAAATAAAATAGACATTTACATATTTTATCTATATCTAGATACATAGAAATTAGGCCGAATGTATGTGTGAGACAGATAGATGAGTATAACTGTTTTCATCCTATTTATATTGGCTTTGTTCTTCAAAGAAAAAAAAAGCTTTTTAGATACTACACCAATGAAGAAAAAGGTATCATCTAGAATCAGCCCTGAGATGAAAAAGAAGTGTGCTTATTTATATAGGAAGTAGCTTTGCATACTTTTCCTTTCTGTTATTGTTCAATCTTGAATTAAACTGTCTTTTATTTTTCTACTTCCATTTGTGATTACTATGAAATTTCTGCCTAAGGGCTGCCAGGAATTTTGTAAAAATTAAACAATACAAAATTCTTTGAAAGAGGATTTTGAGTCCCAGGCATGCTGACTTTTTAAGCTCAAAAAGTACGCGTGGCTTTTGCAAGCAGAAGCAAGTCCTAATGCTTTGAAGAATGTAAAATATAATCAGTATTTCAGAGGCATTGAGGTGGTTAATCTATTAATCTATACTAGGGTAATAAACCTACCAGTATAAACATCTGCTAACTAGAATTTGGAGCTCTCACCTTACCTTAGAGAGAAAGTTTAACCTAATTCTGCAGTTTCAATACTAATCATGGGTTAGATTTTTTTCATTGTAGATCTCACTTGTCCTTGCTTTCTTGAGTAGTCTTAGAGCGTATTTGTTTGCTGCAATTAAAGCAGCCGTAGTCTGATTATTTTCTTAACTTGATTGTAACTGGGTACACTTGGCTGATCATGTGACTCTCTAAATTAGCTGTTATAAGTTAATTCCCAAGCCTTTGAGGTGTCAACTCTGTCCTCAGCCACTTAGAGCTAATATTTGAAGGACCTCCAGGGTACTTGGAGGGGGAGGTGGTGGTGCTTCAAGAATCCCATTTGCCCACAGCACAGTGGAGGAGTACGATCTGGGCTGTGTAGGAGGTGCTGATTTTTGGACTGAAAAAGCACTGACCCCCTGCAGACCACGATGTCCTGCTGTGATTCTTCCCTTGTTTGAGGCAGGGCTACAGATACACCCCATGGAGCCAGAGAACAGAATTCCATGTGTCCCCCAAACCCAAATCATATACCCAAAGCCCTCAGCCCTCAGATTTAAGAATTCCTAGCCTAGTAGCTTTTTCGGGTGGTTTCTCTGCTCCCAAGAAGGATGTCCAGGAGGTCCATGGGCCCCCAGTCCCCCTACTTCTTGCAGGGTGCTGCCCTGTGGCAGAGCCACCTCTACCTTCATGCCTGCTGCAGGGATTCACCCATCCTTAAGTCCTCCAGCCCGTTGCTGGTTTGCTCCATTCTAGAATTTGCTTCCTACTGCGCGCAAATGTTTCATGTTAGAGAATGGTAACTGCCATCTCTATAATGGTTAATGCCGAACATGACTGCAGATGAAAGTAACAGTGTGATCACATCCTTTCTCTTCCTGTTCTGTGGCATGAGTCAGTCTCTTTGCCTTAATGTTTATACAGATCCTTAATAACAAATAACAGCTGATGGCGACTTGCTGAGACATGTACAATAAGGAAAGAAATTACATCGTAAAAGATTTGGGCTTTGTCCCAATTTTTTTTTTAAGAGAAAAAAAAAAAAGCAGGGAGAGAGAACCTTGTTCTAATAACCAGTTTGTGCAACAATGTTCCTTTTTTCAAATCTAATGAGATCTGATCCCCACAAGTATTATGATTTATTACCTGCCCCTACTGGACTGTTTGCGTTGGGTGTTTATTATTTGGATATTCGGTTAACATAACACTTGAAATAATTTCGCTTTCTGAATCTGCTCTTCTCTCTTTTTCTTGGGTGGTTTTGTGGTAGGTCGGACATCCTCAGATGAAAATAACTCACAAGAGAGCCCTTTTTCTGTTATCAGTGTTCTGTCTTCATGTCCAGGAAAATAGACTCGTGGGTTTCCTCAAATGTAGGGGAAAAACAAAAGTTGTTTGCTTTGTGTCTAAAAGTTCCATGGTGTCACACCTAGAAACCCTCGGTGTTGGAGACTGGTGCTTCATACTCCATTGTCAGCAACTTTGCAGAAAGTGTTGTACTAAAGCTACTACAGTGAGCAAGCTTATGCCCTTCAGCGTTGTCTCAAATTTTGTTTTTAAGTCCAGGCGTAAAGATAACATGTGATAATGACCTCTCCATTTATTTGGAGTCACAGATTTGATACTGGAGGATCTCAAAGCATTAGGTCAAAATAATTAGCTCTGTCTGTAGAATAATCAACTCCCTCTCTGCCTGGATGCAACAGATTTGTAACCTTGTTTTAAAAGCTAGGCGTTTCCATTGGTACAAGTCAGCGTGTTTAGGTGTGGAGAGAGTTGGCAGCCTGCAGGGAGGGGTGGCTGTTTCCCAGAAGTCACAATTCCTGGTGGAGAGAGGAAGCTGTCTACTCAGTTTCCCTCCTGTGCTTTGTGAATGGTGACCGCCCCTTCTCCCAGCCTCTCCAGCCTTCCTCAAGGTGGGGCAAAATCAGCCCCCTGCAGCAAAGTCCCTTTCCTTCCTTCCTGTGGAGACCTGGAATTTTTCAGTGCTTTCACTACTGAACATTTCTGAAATCTTTTTTTTTCTGATGTCAAGCAACAGTGTCATGTATGTAAATTATAGAAAATTTAGAAAGAATAGACTATTGCAGTAAAGGAAACCATGCACAATCCTCTTACTCATGGAAAACATCTATTACTATATTGTATGTACTCTTGGAGTGGTTTTTAAAATTTTTCTTTAAAACTTTTTTTGGCATATACGTAGTTTTTTGTTGTTGTTGTTGTTGTTTTGTTTTGTTTTAATGATCCATGCATTTGATGTATTTGAGACCTGTAAATGCCACTTTGATCTTTATCTGGTTGTGTTAGAGAGTATGTCGGACAGAGGATAAGAGCATGCCTTTAGTTGTGTGGGCCATTTATTTATTTGAAATCTGGAATGTAGCCTATTTGGTGATGGCACAGGAGGGCATGGAACCCAGAAGCCAAGGCTAAAAAATGTATAGAAGTGGCATCAGAGGATGGGGAAATGGTGTCAGGGAAGCAGCACAGGACCTAGAATCAGAAAAGCCAGTTTCTGCTCCTGCTGGCTGGGTAATCTCCCTGAAACTCAGTTTCCTAATCTGGGAAAAAGGAGAACTCCTACCTTACCAGTTGTATTGATGATTCAGTTAATTAAATGAGGTACTGTTTAGGAAAATGCTTTCTAAACAAGCACTGCAAGACTCAGATAATAATATTATAATGAAAAAGTTGTTCAGACTTGGCTGTGGTGATTCAAAGGGAATAAGATTAAGGTGAGCAGTTGGTGGCTGGGATTTATAGTCTTATGTCCATGAGCAGAGAAAACGTTGAATTGGCTGCTCGAATTTTGTTGTTATTGCTGTTGCTGATGCATCTAATGGTTAATATACACTTCCTGTTTAAATGGTTACCGAGCCTGGATTATTACTAGGGAGGCAGCGTAGCAAGGCTAGTATTTGCTATTTTATGCTGGTCACCCTGTCTTCTTGAGTCTGTGTATTTTTTACTCAATGAGTACATTCTCCCACAATGCTAATATGTTTGCTCTTTCACCTAAGAGACGCTTATCAGACTTTTACTATGGATTACAGGCCTTTGTATCAGGAATCTTGCTGCATTTACACAAGAGAGAATGAGACAGGCATAACTCTATGTTTTAAACAACAGATAAGGTTTGTCTGCTGTGTGCACAGAGAAGGAAGGGGAGGGGAAACGGCGGGGTTGGGGGTGGTTAGGTAGGGGTGGGGCCTGGGAAAGATGTATAAACACTTTTAACTTGTGAAAGAATGTCTTTGTCTCTGCTCATGAGCCTCAGAAATTGGCGAAATATTAAAAGGAGGGGTTTGCAGGGCAGCTTGTGAGCTCTGGAGTCAGATTGCCTTGGACTCCACCCTGCTCCGACAGTTCCTTAGCCATGTGACAGATAAGTTCCCTCATCTCTTTGTTCCTCAATTTCCTCTTCTGTAAAATGGTAATAATAATACAATGAACCTCATCGGGCTATTGTGAGATAAATATAAACCGCTGATATCTTCAGAACTGATCCAGGCCAATGTTATGTTGAATCCTTAAGAAGGATTTGAGAAGGTGGCCCTGAGGAAGCACAGACACACGCTCTTGCCCCATTGTCTGTAACTGCCCAGTGTCGGGCAGACCCCGGTGGACCTCCCCGGTTGCTGGGGCTGGGGCCTCCATACTCAGCTGTAAATGACCAGGTGACAATGAGAGTGGACTCTCAGTGGGCCTCACCACAGGAGCCTCTGTCATATGGGGCTGAATCATTGTCCTGTATCTGGAGATTGTGAAGGTCTGTCCAGGGCATCTTTTGAGGAACTGTATCTATTTCAGCTACCTCTTTAGTTTTCTATTTCTCTTTTTCTCTCCCCTTCTTCTTAATATTTTCTGATGAGAGACTCGGCAGGTGAATATGTGCACGTGGACATTAATCAGAGGCACTTGTCATTCTGAAGAGGCCTCAAGAGCCGAACAGGGTTATTAATAAGAATCCTCTAAACCAAGAGAACATGGAGCATGTTGAATTTATCCAATTTCCACAACGTTCTAGTTTATTCCTATGTTGTTGTAAGGACAAAGTAGTAGATTCAGATTCTTTTTTTTCCTTTAGACAGAGTCTCACTCTGTTGCCCAGGATGGAGTGCAGTGGCGCGATCTCGGCTCACTGCAAGCTCCGCCCGGGTTCACGCCATTCTCCTGCCTTAGCCTCCTGAGTAGCTGGGACTACAGGTGCCTACCACCACGCCCGGCTTAATTTTTTTTTTGTATTTTTAGTAGAGACGGGGGTAGATTCAGATTTTAATACTGCTCATTTTAAACGTGTTTGTGTGTCAATTTTTTTTTTTTTTTTTTTTTTTTTTTTTTTTTTTTTTTTTTTTGAGGCCGAGTCTGGCTATATTGCCCAGGCTGGAATGCAATGGCGCGATCTCGATCTCGGCCCACTGCAACCTCTGCCTCCCGGGTTCGAGCAATTCTCCTGCCTCAGCCTCCCGAGTAGCTGGGATTATAGGCCCTCGCCACTGCGCCTGGCTAATTTTTGTATTTCTAGTAGAGAGCGGGTTTCACCAAGTTGGCTAGGCTGGTCTGGAACTCCTGACCTCAAGAGACCCGCCCACCTCGGCCTCCCAAAGTGCTGGGATTACAGGCGTGAACCGCTGCACCCAGCCATGAATTTTTTTTTTTTTTTTTACACTAGATTGTGTTGTTTCCTGAGCACACAGGAGAAAGGTGGAGACCTTTGAGACGTGTATATCAGGCTCATGACCTTCGAGGGACACATGTATCCTGCCTGCAACCTTCGAGGCACACGTGTATTGTGGCTGTGACCTGGAATTACACTGCCTTACTTCAAATCCTGACACTGTCACTTATTAGCCAAATTTACTCAAGCAACTGCTTAACTGTATATGCCCCAGTTTCCGTAGCTTAAAATGGGGATAATGTGTTTCCTTATTCATAAGTGTCTTATATATTTAGTATGATTATGTATATAAAGTGCCGGAATTACACTGCCTTGCTTCAAATCCTGACACTGTCACTTATTAGCCATATTTACTCAAGCAACTGCTTAACTGTATATGCCCCAGTTTCCTTAGCTTAAAATGGGAATAATGTGTTTCCTTATTCATAAGAGTGTCTTATATATTTAGTATGATTATGTATATAAAGTGCTGAGCCATAATTCTTCAATAAATATTAGTTATAATTATTTTTGAAATGTGATAAACCTCAATTGGACTCCTGCTTTGGCTATGTAACCAGTTGGACCTTTGCTAAACCTCAATTTTTTTTATCTAGAAAATAAAATGGGAAACACAGTATCTAATAGAGAGTTATAAAAGAATTATACATTATTTCTATCACTCTGGAGACACAGTCCCTAAAAGTACTTGGTAGACCCTTTCCTATCCTCCCAGCTTCTTTTCTTGGCAACGTTTTATTTTTTTTCAGAGAATCTCAGTTCTTCCCTGTAAGGGATATAGGCTCCAACTTTGTTTCCTGGAGAGGACTCAGGTAGTGGTGTATTGAGTGCTGGTGCCAAGTACTTTGTGGGCAGTTTCTTATTATTATTCCTCACTTAATATCAACCCCATTTTGCTGAGGAAGCCACAGCTGAGAGTTAAGAGCCACATCTCGCCTGCTCTCTCAAGTGGCAGCAACATCATTCAATGTGTTTGTCTGACTGTCGAGCCTGTGTCTAACCACTGAGTCGTTCGTCCTCCATCAGATCAAACCTGGGAAAGGCGTGACAGTGAGCATCCTCACTGCCGGAACTAATGGCACGGAATCAAGGACATATCTCTCTCTCTTTCCCTCATCTTTTTTAACCGAAAGGAAATTTACGGAGCATATGGTAACTCGTTTTCCTCCACAGCTCTACTATCCAGACCACGAGTCAGAAAATTAACCTTTTAACTTAATCTACATGTTGTGCATTGAGTCTCACGCCTGTTTTCATCTGCCTAAATGGGGAGTTCCACGCAGCGTGATGGGTGTCCTCTCTGTGCTCACATTGCCGGGGACAGATGATTTGCAGCTGCTCTGTCCTGAGGCCATTGTGAACACTGAGGTCCCTGACAGGTTGGTCTAGTCTGCATCGTCAATTTTTATCACATTCTTTTATGAAATAGAAATTTCTATCATGGGCATGTAATTTGGTGAGCATTGCAAATAGTAAACTCTTTCAAAAGGCTATAAAATTACATATTTATAGATTTATAAAAATTGCCTCTTTTTTTCTCTCTCCAGCACTCCTTCCAGGTAAATAAGACAATAGGATACTTTTGAGAACTTAGGAGTTATAAAAATATAATTGTTACTTGGAAAACTTCATTTTAAATCTCTGAATTGGGAAACACATACCTTAAGTATGAGCATGTCCATTTTAATTCATGAGCAGTAGCCGTGCCGTAGCCATCACATCAAGCTTTTGGGTGCTAATAAGCATCAATTGTGTGGCAACTAATCCAGCTGGTGTTTAGTAATGTAAATGGAGACGTGAGATGTTTTTATATGTTGTATCTTCCCAGGTTAAGTCAAGCCGTTAAAGCATATTTGCACCTTATGTAGATGATTAAGCATTTGGTAAATTCTGAAAGGTCACTAAGTACAATGTACTTCCTTGTCTTCCCCAATTTGCCTTTTCATTTGACATAGGCTTTGTTAGGAAATTACAGCCGCTTTTCCCAGGTGACATTCATCCCCATGTAACACTGATTGTAAGTCTAACTAGGTGGGTTCTAATGACTTCTACTAAGATGTAACATGGACCAACCACTGCCTACATCCTCATTCTCATTCTCATTTCAGCAAAAAGTCCTGAAAAGATAGGCAAACACTGGAGGAACCATAGAGACGTGTCATTTACCACTTTCCCTCTTGACTGTATATAGGTGATTATGCTTTCTCAAGTTTCACTTGTTCTTTCTTTTACCCCGAAGCCTAGCATTAAAGGGTGCTCAGGCAGTACCTGATGGGTTGGATACTGGTGCTAAGAAGTGGAGTTAGCATCCGGCAGGAGAGGAGGCAGCACACGGACGTGGCTGGACATCTTTGCTCTGGAGTTTTCTCTTGGCATCTGACTTCTGCTCCGCTACTTCATGAACTTTGCATTGCCCTCTGCAAGTCCAGCATGATTTGGGTGCCTCAGTTTTCTCCATTGGAATATATGTCATTTTTTTCCTCTCCTTCAGAACGTTTCTCACCACAAGGCATTTTATATATATATTTGTTTTGCTTTGTTTGTTTCTTTCCACTCCCCTCTTTTTCCATCAATTTAACAAAAGGGGTTTGAATTTATCCCAGCACCTAGGACATACCAGGTGCTCAAAAAATATTCTACTGAGGGCCGGGCACGGTGGCTCATGCCTGTAATCCCAGCACTTTGGGAGGCTGTCATTTGAGTTCAGGAGTTTGAGACCAGCCTGACCAACATGATGAAACCTTGTCTCTCTTAAAAATGCAAAAAATATTAGCCAGGCATGGTGGCACACGTCTGTAATCTCAGCTACCCAGAAGGCTGAAGCAGGAGAATTTCTGGAACCTCAGAGATGGAGGTTGCAGTGAGCCGGGATCACACCACTGCACTCCAGCCTGGGTGACAGAGGGAGGCTCTGTCTCAAAAAAAGTTACTAAAAAATATTCTGGCCAGGCACGGTGGCTCATGCTTGTAATCTCAACAATTTGGGAGGCCGACATGGGCAGATCACCTGAGGTTGGGAGTTCAAGACCAGCCTGACCAACATGGAGAAACCCCATCTCTACTAAAAATACAAAATTAGCTGGGCGTGGTGGCACATGCTTGTAATCCCAGCTACTCGGGAGGCTGAGGCAGGAGAATTGCTTGAACTTGGGAGGCGGAGGTTGTGGTGAGCCGAGATCGTGCCATTGCACTCCAGCCTGGGCAACAAGAGGGAAACTGCGTCTCAAAAAAAAAAAATTATTGACTAAATATATTAGTTAGCCAATTAAAAATAGCCCCTACTTCTTAGCGTTGTTGGGGGTATCAAAGGAATTAATGAAAGTGCACATAGAGAGCCCCAGTAACTACTTGCTATTCTTATTACCCAACTGATCGCCAGTGTTCTCTTTTGTAAGTGAGGAAGGTATATTGGAAGTACTGGGGTTTTCAAATGCTGCATAAGGACAGACAGTTTAAAAAAATCTTTTGGCTGGGCGTGGTGGCTCACACCTGTAATCCCAGCACTTTGGGAGGCCGACGCAGGCGGATCACCTGAGGTCAGGAATTCGAGACCAATTCGAGACCAGCCTGGCGAACATGGTGAAACCCCGTCAAAAATTAGGTGGATGGTGGCACGCACCTGTAATCCCAGCTACTCATGAGGCTGAGGCAAAAGAATCACTTGAACCTGGGAGGCAGAGGTTGGGTTGCAGTGAGCCGAGATTGCACCACTGCACTCCAGCCTGGGCAACTGAGGGAGACTCCGTCTCAAAAAAATAATAATAATAATAATAATAATAATAATAATAATAATAGGATTTTATTTTTATTGTTGCCTTTGATTTATGGCAAGTTGCTTTTGACATATCAAGAACATAATTGAACTCTCAGAAGGTAAAACTCATAAAAATGAAGCATAAGTAAATGAAGTGTGGGAAACCTTGTTTGAAACACATTTTGGGGTGAGAGTGGGAATTTATTAGGTAAGCCAGTTCGGTTTCAGAGACACCAGTTTCACTTAGTGTTCAAATCCCTGTAATAATGAGTGGTGTCGTGTCAAGAATCTGTTACCGTATATCATTTATAGGTTGGTCATTGAACAGGTGTTTTTAGCTAAGTTTTGATTAATTGTGCCTTTATGCACTGGACCAATCCTACAGCTTAACTTCGTCTTTGTCACTTCCCTGTGCAGTTCTCAAAGAATTCAAACGTGTGATATTGACAATCCAAGACTCTTTTTCCAAGCCTCATTTTCCTTGATACCCTATCTGATGGCTGGAAATTCTGCTTTCTCTTGGGTTTCTTCATGCACCTTCCCCGTTCTTCAACGATGAATGTAGCATTATCTGTAACACTGGGCCTCAAATTTATCTGGTGCCTCACATGTATGGGCATAACTGGCAATGTCTATATCAAGGGAAAATGGTGAGAATTAAATGAGAATGCATATTTGAAGTGCCTGGCCTAGTCCCAGGCAGTGCTCAGTAAATGCTAGTTCCCTTTTGCTCTGTATTTCCGGCCTATTTTGGGTTTTTTGTTTATTTGTTTTTTTGTTTGTTTGTTTTTAATTTATTGAGATGGAGTCTTGCTCTGTCACCCAGGCTGGAATGCAGTGGCACAATCTTGGCTCACTGCAACGTCTGCCACCTGGGTTCAAGCGATTCTCATGCCTCAGCCTCCCGAGTAGCTGGGACTACAGGCGTGTGCCATCATGCCCACCTAATTTTTTTCTATTTTTGGTAGAGACTGGGCTTTGCCATGTTGGCCAGGCTGGTCTCAAACTCTTGATCTTAGGTGATCTGCCTGCCTCAGCCTCCCAAAACGCTGAGATTATAGGTGTGAGTCATTGCTCCTGGCTTTGTTTGTTTGTTTTGTTTTTTTAATTCCATATTCTCCAATTACCTCTGACATATGGTATTTACAAGGTTCTTCCTTAAACTTTTTCTGAATCTACAGTTCATGAACTCCTGTGACACTTACGCTTTTGGCAGATATTTTCCAAATCTCTGCCTCTAGTAGTGCTGACCTCCAGACCTGTCTCTCCAATTGCTTCCTGAACATCTCAACTCAAACATATCATGACCCACTAGCTGACCTCATGCCCTTCCTTTTGAAACTGACATGTCTTCCTGTCTTCCCTATTTTGGCTATAGCATCTCTACTGTCTCTGGCATTTGGTCTGGGAAACTTAAGTCCAGTTTCAATTCTACTTTTTAAAATATCCTGTAACATCTAAATGGAAATGAGATCCTCCCGTTGCACTGGTCTTAGATAGAGCTTTCTTCCTTTCCTTACTCAAGGGCAGGTTTGGAATGAAGTTGGATTCTAGAAGTTAGGCCAAGCAATAATTAGTTCATTGACATTCACAACAGTAGGTAATAGAGTCCGAGGGTTGAGAATAGGGAAGAATTCTTACAAGAATTATCCTTGGGTTAACACTATATGGTCCAAGCCTTGTTGTGTATGAAATAATCAGAATTTCATAATTTCTGTTTCTTCAAAAAGTAGTTTTAAATGTTGTTTTCTAAAAAGCGTCAAAGGGGGCGCAATATAACAAAACATAAGTTATAGCCAATTTCAAATGCATGCAGATCCTACCATGGTTAACAAAATGCAAATATATTTTAAAGACTTATTGAATGTGTAGTAGCCTTTTGTCATTCTATACTTTTTCTAAAAATTCATGCTAAAAGTGCAACTGGCAGAGGAGTTTCATGAAACTCTTACGATGTTACCTTATGAAATATGAATTTCAAGAATGATTGATGATTTTCATTTGTTCAGCGTCACCAGCTCATAGAAAACAAAATCAGAGATTACATGAATTTTCAAAAATAGGATGTGGGGGAAGAGAAAGTAAAATTGAAAGTCTCTAAACACTTGGCTACTCAGTTTAAAACTTCTGCTTCCTAAAGATACATCTATTATATTTAAGATAAGATAATAGGCACTGTCTGTGTTTCTCTCTCTCTCTCTCTCCCCCCTCTTGCTCTCTCTCTCTCTCTCTGTGTGTGTGTGTGTGTGTGTGTGTGTGTGTGTGTGTGGTTAGAGGAAATAAGTCTTACACTCTGGGTCTACCAGTTGCCTACTGGATAATAAAGTAAATAAATATATGTTCAAAGACACATATATGTGTTTGTATACAGAAGTGCTGTGTATACAGAAAACATTTGAATTCTGATTCCCCAGTGTAGCAATGCTTGATAGAAAAGGTACTGGCTGATTTTAGGCTGTGAAGAGAAGATAAAATTTCATTATTTGTAGGTGATGGGAAGTGTTTAAAGAACAATCCAAGTGAGAACAACTGGTACTCTGTCTGGTTTGATTGAAGTGCAGGATGTTTGAGGGACAAATTGGGGCTGGCTATGAGAGGCTTTGAGCTTCTCTGTTCTTCTGGTTGAATCCTGTGGTATATACAGTGGGGATCATTGAGAGATTTTCAATACAGGAATGACATGATCAGCATGAACATCATACTTTTTAAAAATTACACAAAATGGGTGTTTAAAAGTTAATTTTAAATTTTGATAATGGTCAGTAAACGAAATGGGAGAGGAAGCAAAAGAGAAAAGAAGAGACACCGAGAAACTACAGAGGAAATAAAGAGGTCTCAGTCCAGAGGGAGAGAAAGGGCGAGGCTAGGACTCTAGGTTGCATTGGAGGTAAACTGCTTTTGTTTATTTGGGCTGTGAGTATAGAATGCTTCTTTGCCTTGCATTTGAAAGGCTGATTTGGTTATTCTACCACTATGTACAGGCCTTTTTAATGTTCTTTGTTTCTAAACCCTGAGTAGCTCCCTTGCTAGGGGATAGTAACTTGTAGGGCTGACTTTGAGTGGCAGAGGCAGAAACATTAATATCATCCATGAGCAGAGTCTCCCAGGTAGCATGTCCTTACATTAGGTTGGTTGTTGCAAAGGTAATTGCGGTTTTTGCCATTGAAAGTAATGGCAAAGATCGCAATGACTTTTGTACCAACCTAATAACTGGAGCAGAGGAAAAGAAGTTCTGTTGGATTCGTCTGAAGAGCTGAAGGAAAGGAACTGGGTTTTCTCACTGTTAATTGCCCCTTTCTCATCTCAACCTGGCTCCTTTCCTCAGATTCTTGCTTTGGAATCACCATCTGTTTTCCACTCCACAGAGCTTTGGGAGGAATGTCAGCTCTGTTGTCTCCGACTTAAGGTCCAAATGCCCCTTTTCAGAAACTGTCCATCATTTAAAGTTCGACGAGAAAACTTGGACTTGCTTTGTGGCCATAAGACCCTATATTTTCAGATTTCCTATAGACGATGTTTTGTTATATCCTGCTTTAAAAAAAAAGTGTTTAAAACTACATTTATAGCCACCCTAGCTGTTGCACTGCACTGTTTTTTGGTTAAAACATGCACCTGCTTTGTTAGTAAAGGAACCTTTGCCAAGTGAATTGTATGTGGGAGGGTGTGACTAACTCTGCAAAGGGACTTATCTCTTATCCTATCTGCCTGAGCTCCCAAGGCTGCCTTTGATAAGATTTATTTCTTCTTGCACCAGCCCCACCCCTCCAACCTTTACTGCTATCTTTCCTCTGAAAATTATTCATATCTAAATATTTTAACTTTTCAAAACTACTCTGCTCTCTGGTTTCATATTTTGTTGAGTGATCTAACCCTTCCTCTGGGAGACAAGTGCTCCCAAGCAAGAGAGCATTACAATTCTGCCTCCCCTGCTCCTCCCACCTTTTAAGTATTATCAGCAGACCTGCTTGCTTACCCGTGTTAGGATTGTGCTGTTTCCTTTTTGGCAAGCTTCAGCCAAGCCCATAATGTTGCAAGGCTGTTTGAAGGGAAATGTAAGTCACAATGGCAAGAAACATAGAAACAGAAAACATAGGAACAGAAAAAGAAAAGTAAATCTGAAATGATCTTCGTACAGCTTGGTTCACAGCAAGGAGTGGTCTGAGTTGCTTTCTGTGTCTAGACATTTAGATGCTAAAGGCAACTGTGTCATCATTCATTCATTCATTCGTATACTTAGTCTACATATTTGTGGTGAGTAGCCATCGTTACAGGTTACAGGTTACCAAATGTTAGAGATGTAATAGTAAACAGGATGGGCGTATTTGCAGCTGCTATGGATCTGAGAGTGTGTTCTGCAAAGGGTGATAGACATGAAACCTCAAAACACACAGTTCATGACTGGATTACAGTTGTGCAGCAGGAGCGGGTAAAGAGCGGGGTCTAGGGAAGAGAGATTTCCTAACCTAGACTACAGGCATCAGGAGAGGATTCTTGTTTCTTACAAGCTGGAGGTGAGGACCATTTTGCATTGGAGGATAAGGACTGAGCTCTTAACCACAGAAGCCATGGAGTGGGGAGGGGGAAGCATGAACAGTTTCAGATCTGAATAAATCCACTCAATTTCTCAGTTTTCCTGAAAACCAGCTACCTATTTTCTGCCTCCCAATTAGATGAAATTCTGTTCTGGGAGGAAACAGGAAAGTAAAGACCTCAGTTGTAAAACAACACTGCGCTGCCCACACCAGCAGCTACCTAATGTCAACCTGAAACCTCATAACTCACTTACTTCAATGGCTGTTGACAAACTCTTGTCAGCTGCACCCTTAGTTCCGGTTTGAATCACGCTCAGGAAGCTGGCCCCTCGGCTGGCTTCCTCAAGTTAGTGGGTGCTGTCATGCAGCTGCTATCAAGGTGTGGCCCACTTGCAAGTGGTCAGGACCCAGGGCCTGGTGGCCAAGCCTCATCAAAGCTGTTGTGATAGCACATGCGGGTGGCATTCTTGAGCTGGGAAGTGGTGTCCCAGTCTGCTTAAGTAGATGCAGACATGACTCATTTGGAAGGATACAGCCAAGGGGAAAATCAAAATTTGCTTTGTATGTCACTTGTTTGGAATCTTAAGTCCACTTAAAAAAAAAAAATGCCCTGCAACTGTGAGGAAGAGCAGAGTTAGTCCTTTATGTCACTTACTTGGAACTCTCGACTCCCGGCTCGCCCTCCTCCACCCTGGTCCAGGTGGCCATGCCCTCTCTGCTGGATCTCAAGGGCCTCCTTACAGGTCCCCTGCTTCTAATCATACTTCCTGTCATCCACGTTCTACCAGCAGCCAAATGAATCTTTTGACAATTTGTATCAAATCATATTGCCAGACTGAGAATAAAAACTAAACTCCTCACTGAGTTAAGGGCCTGTGGGCTCAGGATGACCACTCTGATCTCAATCTTGGCATGCCTCTTGCAACATTTCCTAGCATCAGTAATCTTCTGTCTGTCTAATACATGCCTACTGTAGGCCTTCTGCAACTTTCTCTTCTTCCTGGCATGCTTTCCCATGTAATGTTCACAATTGCTGGCCCTTTATTAATTGAGATCCCCTATGAACCACCTTCCCAGCCCCATCCTCAGTCTCTCATATTACCAGGTTTATTCTCCTGTACAGTTCTATCCCTGCCAGTAGAATATGTGCTCTGTGGAAACACAGGCCGTGCCAGTCATCCCTTCCCTATGTCAGGCACACGTAGGAGCGCTCAGCAATACATGTGGATGAATGAACCTTCACACCATAGAGCAAAGACATTTGTTTCCCTCTTTTTTCTGATCTGATTTTTAATAAGTGACAAAAAGAGCACAGGAGTGCTTGGGAATCTCTGCTAAGACAGGTAAGAGAAATTTCAATAAACAGTTTGGAGGGGTGGATTTATTTGGGGAAAAAAAAGGACCTTGCTCACAGTCCTAGGGCTGAGAAAGTGTTGGAGCTCAGTTCCTGAGCTCCATAAATGAGTCTGCACCAGTCCTGGAAGGAAAGATAAACGTGCTGGACTAATGTGCTCAATGGCATTTGAACTGAATTGTAAGTGACTTTGGGGTTTATCAGAGCATCCTAGGTTATTTGAGAATCACTGAATCTAGGTCGGGCATGGTGGCTCACCCCTGTGATCCCAGCACTTTGGGCCGAGGCGGGCCGATCACCTGAGGTCAGGAGTTCAAGACCAGCCTGACCAACATGGTAAAACCCCATTTCTACTAAAAATACAAATATTAACCAGGGGTCGCGGCGGACGCCTCTAATCCCAGCTACTTGGGAGGCAGAGGCAAGAGAATCACTTGAACCTGAGAGGCGGAGGTTGCAGTGAGCCGAGATCGTGCCTCTGCACTCCAGCCTACAGGACAGAGCAAGACTGCGTCTCAAAAAAAAAAAAAAAAAAAATCATTGAATCTATCAGATCATGGGAACCGTATAGACTTGGAATTTTTGAGGATTAAAAAGAGATATTTTAAATTATTTAGTCTGGTACTCTTAGAGGAAACTGACCCCTAGAAACCTTAAATTGTTAAATGTTAGGAATGGAATCCAGGTCCCCTTTTCACAGAGCCTGGCCTCTTCTCAGTCATTGTATTTCAGCCATTCACTTCCTCCACTTCTACATAGCAGGGAACGGATTCCTGGTTGTGTTTTTGACAGGAGAAATGTAACCTTAACACAGCCTTGAGGAAAACATGAAGGTGATCATCCATCTGCCAAAATTTTTAATGCTATGTTTTGTTTTTCTTTCTTTTCCTGGGGGAAGGATTTATGACTTCATCTTTTTTTTTTTTTTTCCCTTCAAATCTGAGCCTCTTTAGAAATGATCCTGCCTCAAGGCTAGGGGGAAAAAATCCTATTTTAAAAAATAAAATGTAGATCTTCTTATGGTCTGCTTTCCAGACACAAAAGAGATCTATGTCTTTTATTATTATTATTTTTGAGACAGGGTCTTGCTCCGTTGCCCAGGCTGAGTGCAGTGGCACAATCACGGCTCACTGAGGCCTTGACCTCCTGGGCTCAAAGGATCCTCCCACCTCAGCCTCCCCAGTAGCTGGGACTACAGGTGCATGCCACTATGCCCAGCTAATTTTTAAAAACTTCTCGTAGAGACAGAGTCTCACTATGTTGCCCAGGCTGGTCTCAAACTGCTGGATGTAAGCAGTGTTCCTGTCTTAGCCTCCCAAAGTGCTGGGATTACAGGCATGGTAAGCCACCCACCGTGTGTGATGTGGCCAGGATCTAATTTTGATTGTTGATTAAGAGTACTTTTTAAGTAATTTTCAACTGTTTTGTGATATATGAAAAAGAAGACTAATTAATAATGAGATATCAAATAATGTTTCTTAAATTGAGGTAGCTTGGCTGGCCGTGGTGGCTCATGCCTGTAATTCCAGCTCTTTGGGAGGTCGAGGTGGGAAGATCACCTGAGGTTGGGAGTTCGAGACCAGCCTGACCAACATGGAGAAACCCCGTCTCTACTAAAAATACAAAATTAGCCATGCATGGTGGCGCATGCCTGTAGTCCCAGCTACTTGGGAGGCTGAGGGAGGAGAATCGCTTGAACCCAGGAGGCAGAGGTTGCAGTGAGCCAAGATCGTGCCATTGTACTCCAGCCTGGCCAACAAGAGCAAAACTTCGTCTCAAACAAACAAACAAAAATTGAGGTAGCATCTTGTAAATAGAATCCTAGAAAAGGTTTTCAACTTCCCATGCCTTTTATAGTCATTTTTGAATGTTGGTCTAGAGATCTGCTTGGGATGAGTAAGATTTTTTTGTACATCTGAGATAAATTTAGGTTGTTAGTGACATGCTGTTCTTTTGTATTTGATAATAAGCCTGATCTGTTTCTCTTGCTTTCTTTAAATGGGTCAGTTCTGGCTTCCAGCTCATCCATGTTTTACAAAGAACAGTTGTTCCACTTTTTCTTCTCTCATGACCAAACACTTTGGGAGCATGTCAACATCATGGTCTTGTTTTTATTATGATTAATATCAATTTTTCACCCATCGTTTGTGTTTAATATTTGGGATGAGAAACGGACAAACAAATGAGCAGATTCTGACTTGGTATTTCTCCTGCATGCCATTTGTGATTTATAATTTATACATGGAAGGATTTACTGACCTACCTGATAGTCCCTCCCAACAAAGATAAACACACTTACACGTCATCAGGGTAAGTAAGATGCACTTGAAAGGGACAAATAATTCACCTGCAAGCACTTTTGGCTTCATGCCTTTTCCCATGAATTTGAACTGTTGACAGAGAATGCTCAGGCTGCCAAAACACTTCCCACAGAACCTCCCAAAATCCCCGAGGTTGGGACCAGCTCCACTTGCCATGCTGTGAGAAGGACTAAACACTAACCTTTTGTGCCCTACAAGAGTGCATCACACGAAAGCAAGAAAATGGTCCACTTCCTTTGGGATTCAGGTCTGGGGATGTGCTGCTCTCCTCTGTTCCCTTTTGTGGATGTGGTCCTATGAAAGGCTCACCTGTAAGGCTGGACAAACTGCCAAGTCGTCCTTGTCAAACTGGGTGCAGAGGACCTTCCACTGTCACACTGTGTATTTCGGCTGCCGATTCAAACCGATTTCTTGGGACAATGACCCATCAAGCTGAAGAGTTCAAAATGCATTAAGTAGATTTTCAAACCCCCTCCCCCCGGCTTACAGGAGTATAACTGAGTCCGTGGGAAAGGGTGGGTTGTTGCCAGCACCCTTTTGTACTTTTAAGAGGAAGATCATCGTCTGTTATCCCAAGCTTTTGGGGCTCTCATCTTTGCTACCATCCCTGGGACTTCTCTGTACTGTACCAAAAACAGACAGTGCAAATTCTCCATAAATTTCACTTAGTCTAGACTAGGTCTCTTCAGGGAGCTCCTTGAGAATTTTTATTTTGTGCTCCTCAGACATAAGCAATGTTGAAAGAGTCAAACACATATGATATTAAATGCTGGCAGAAAGTTGTGTAAAATCATTAGTCCACTACATGCAATACCAAAAATAGATGTTTAACCTGATCGTATCTGTTAAATATAAAACACTTTTTAAAAATCTTGTGTGCTCAAAAACTTTCAGAAAATTTTTAATATATACACTCATTTTTTTTAAAGGTGACCCATCAGAGGAGCCAGGATTAAAAACCTCAGCAGAGAATCGTAATACGTTGCTAATAACTGTAGCATTGGGGAATTCAGTCTTTTAAAGGTTCTGCTTCTTGTGTGTGTGATTCTCAGGCCCCATCAACATAACAAAAAAGAAGAGGTGCACTGAGCACTTATTACTGCAGTCATTTCAGCTGCATAAATCATGATTCCTGACAACTCAGGCTGTAAAGTCGTTTGGATGACAATGACTAGCAATGCTGCTGCCGGAGTTAATCAAATAATTATTTAACATGTGTTTCTCTTGGTCTGGCCCTGGCTTCAGAACATATTTCATTCGTTCCCAGGCCTCTGTAGTGCCTTTACTTTTAAATAAATGGAGGAGCTGAGCAAGTGTAAGATATGCATAAAGTTAATG
Source organism: Homo sapiens (assembly GCF_000001405.40). Classification (NCBI taxonomy): domain Eukaryota; kingdom Metazoa; phylum Chordata; class Mammalia; order Primates; family Hominidae; genus Homo; species Homo sapiens. The sequence goes on along the minus strand of NC_000002.12, from coordinate 221,513,230 downwards.
ACAGAATCACTTATGTCTCCTATTGGACTGTGCTCTCCCTCAAAAGAGGATTCTTGTCTAAATTAGTTTGGGTGATACCCACAGTACCCACCTCAGTGTTTTGTTCCAGGCTAGCAGTCACTATTATTTTAGCTTCTTCTGGGTGAAGCCAGCTTCCTGGTTAAACTCTTTTTCTCCAGGTGATACTCAGGGGGCACCTTTTCTTTCGGGTGGTTTTTCTATTCCATTACCTCTGCAAGCAGACAGCCTGGGTTAGGTGCATGGGTGAGGTCCCCAGGAAAGTCTCAAAGCACCTCTGCCAGAGATCACTCCTTAAAATGTGAGAGGAAGCAGTGGTCTGCTTCCTTCCTGAAGGGAACAGCCTCATATTCCCAGCCTTTTAGCTCTTAGTATGTGCTCAATAAATAGTTGCTCTCATTATTGCCATTACTGTTATTATGTAAAGGCTTAATAAATGTTTGCTAAAACATAAATGGCCCAATGAATGAATAAATGCACATACCTAATAAGGGATGAAATTTCTACATAATGACGCTAATCTGCATAGACCCGTGTATTAAATTCAGACGGGCTAGTGTGAGGAGAGGAAGAAGAAAAGAACAGCTGCTTCCTTTATTCAGTGCCCTGACCTGTTATCTGTAATCAGGGGATGTATAATGAGCCACTCATCTTTATGTACCCCAAATATCAAAGGGTGAAGAAAACAATAGCAACTCATCAAAAAGCTTGATCCTCTGTGAAATGTCCTGGGCAATCAAGTTAGGTGTTAGTGTCTCCTGATTTGCATTTCATGGCTGCGATGTGCTAGCGGTGGTGAGGATTGATAGTTTATATGGCAGCACTTATTTAAATCTTTCAAAAGTATTTTCAGATATTTTCAGTAATTTTAATTCAAATTAATGGCAGGGGTTTTCTTACAAAATATGATTACTTACTTTCTACATTTAGTTCATCTAAAATATACGCTTTTCTTGATTTTTTCTTACATGGTGGTCATTTTAATTTTTAGCATCCATTTGTTTCTATTCCTAATATAAACTTCAGCATATTAGGCAAACAAGTTTACTTGGCTTTTGTGACTTAAAAATATTATTATAGAGTCATTCAATTAAGTTCTGCTTAATCTACTTGAATTTATATCTCCAATAGAATTAATTTATTGAAAATCAAATTAATATTTCTTTAATCTCAAAATTTACTAAAGTCATAATCATTTTTATTTCAGGCATGAGGGGAAAAAAAGGAAAATACCCTAAAAATTTGTAGAGCCCTAGGTATTAGTTTGTTTCCTTCAGCTGTTTTATAAGGCAATATTGAAAACCATATTTTGTTTTTCAGATAGCAAATTTTCAGTGCTCTAATGGAAGAATTAGAACAAAGGTTAGAATAAGAATAAGGGATCTTTAAGGAAATAACATGTTTTTTAAAAAAGGAATTATTGTGATTATAGGTTGCTGTACTGCCTTCTATTTTTAAATTGTCATCTCTTATCAAATTGAAATAACATATTTGTTTGTTTCTAACAATGCTCTATTGTGATTAATCAAAAATTCCTATTAGCAACTTCAGCCAAATTAAATTTAAAGGAGCTTAATTGAGCAATGAATGATATGTGAATTGGCAGCCCCCAGAATCACAGCAGATTCAGACAGACTCCCGCAGACATGTGGTGGAAGAAGATTTATAGACAAAAAAGGGAAGTGACATACAGAAATCGGAAGTGAGGTACAGAAATCGGAAGTGAGGTACAGAAATCGGAAGTGAGGTACAGAAACAGCTGGATTGGTTACAGGTTGGTGTTTGCCTTATTTGAACACAGTTTGAACAGTTAGCAGTGTATGAGAGGTTGAAGCATGGCTGCCGGGATTGGCCAAGACTCAGCCATTGTTATAGGTGCATACTCCTAAATTAGATTGTCAATTTTGTCTACCTACTAAGTTAGGTTACAGTTCTCCCACAAGGACTCAAATATAGAAGTACAGAGTCGTTCTGAGGCCGTTTTTAGTTCACTTTAACAGGGAAAACTGCAATGATCAAACTAAGTAAAAGTTTCTAAGAGTATTTTTATCAAACCTGGCAGCAACATCTACACTTTAAAACAGAATGCATTATGTTTTTTTCCAAAAATACAGAAGCCTATCACTTGTCTTACCAGTTACTTCCATGGAAATTTGGTGGCCTCATTGCTTTTGTATGGAGCCCTGATGAGAGAGAACCCCAGGATTATCAACTAGAGATTGGAGCTAGCAATCTTTATTCCCATTCCCTTTATACATATATGAAGCAGAGCTGTTTTTAAGTAGAGTTTATGACAGTGGAAGTTACTCTTCAGAGAAGTAAATTAGAGAGTTTAGTTGAATGTGTTTAGTTTACTTACTTTGGAACTTTTACTGTTTAAGCTTACTCCTTCCAAACTCACCAAAGAGAAATAGCTCCTCAAATAATCAGATGATCTGTTCTAAAGGCAAGAAGGGAAAATAATAAGTCATCTCCCCCACTGCATTCTTTTTGTTTGTGTTTAATATTTTTTATAGAGTTAATTTAGATTTAGCAGGCTTTATGTAAAGTTTCTTCTGGAAGATTTAGTGAATCTTTTGTGAAAACCATCTTCATCTGACATTTTAGAATTACTCACCTATTTATGGGATTATACTGCATTCTGTTCTTGAAAGAGCAAATCCATTTTCAGCATAGTTTTTTTCTGTCACTTTTTTTCGTTGTCTGTTTTTCTGAAAACTACCTCCAAGGTAAGAGGGGAAAAATGGGAGGAGATGGAACGTAGAAAATAGGATAGAACTGTGTCTTGCCAGAGGAGATGATCTGAATTAGAAACTATTGGTTGAAGGAAGAAACCTCCAAAGCCAATACAATAATTTATTTAACTTTAGGAATGGTGTTTAAATTGTCTAAATAAAAATAAATTTTTACATACTTCCAATCTTGTCTATAGTTACTAAACTGCAGATGCTATGAGTTAGACTTCAATCTTGGGTTTTCTACCCCATGTTAATAACAGAAGAAATAAAAACAATAATGAAGAAGTTATCCCATAGTGTTTTAGAAATTATATCCAATCTTATTTTAAAACAAAACAAAAAACTTGAAGTTTTATGAAAATCCATTGGTCATTTCCATCTTCCCCTCTTGCAGCCATGCACTGTGCTATAGGAATAATGAGTTACTCTTAGTGAGTAGCTTATACACAGAACACACTGTCTTTTATCCTCCTGTGTATTATCTCATTTCATCATCATTTCAGCCCTACAGATGAAAAAATTGAAGTTCAGAGTAGTTACATAGTTTGTTCAAGTTCACACATCTAATAAGGGGCAGAGCTAAAAACCAAGTTCAGGCCTTTCCCGTTATGTCTCCCACTGCCCTTGCTATCAATTATTCTGCAGGGCAAAAAGAGACCACCAGACAGTGAATATGAATGTCAGACAGAAAATCACCTTTGATTTGTTTGTAGTTTATTTTTTGCTTTTGTCATTCTTTACTTACATTCTTGCTGTTGTTGTCTGTGAAACATCTCTGTCCTAAATATTTTAACCTTTCTAAATGGATGTCTGGTATATTCCTTTATACACTTGATTAAGGTAACCAAAATTAAATATTTCAATTTTATTTCAACATTTACATATCTACTATCTCCCCTACAGCCATTTTAAAATAATATTCTAAAGCAACCAAAGACCAGGATTAGGTCAGAGCCAAGCAACTCAGTACATCTTTTCTGAATTCTCAGAGGTTTACTAGAGAAAGTAGAACTTTGTATGAATGAAATAAACTTGAATTTCTGGTGATGCAATCATGTTTTGGAGTTTAGTCTCCTCAGAGTGCACAAAAAAATCTCGAAATAACTAAGTTTAAGTTTTTAGTAATTGTTGTTGTTGTGGTTTTTTGAGGCAGAGTTTTGCTCTTGTTGCCCAGGCTGGAGTGCAATGGCACGATCTCGGCTCACTGCAACCTCCGCCTCCCGGGTTCAAGTGATTCTCCTACCTCAGCCTCCTGAATAGCTGGGATTACAGGCAGGGGCCACCACGCCTGGCTAATTTTGTATTTTTAGTAAAGACAGGTTTTCTCCATGTTGGTCAGGCTGGTCTCAAACTCCTGACCTAAGGTAATCAGTCCACCTAGGCCTCCCAAAGTGGTGGGATTACAGGTGTGAGCCACTGGGCCCAGCCTTAATTCTTTAGTAATTTTTAACAACAATCAGGTTGTACTATTCTGATTTTACTATCCAGAAAACAGAAGAGTATCAAATAAACAAATACTTGAAATAAAATAAGTAAGAATTAACTGTGTTATTTAATACTTGTGAAACAGTATCAAAAAACAACAATGATCAGTTCACAATATTGATGTGAGAGGATAACTACTTACTTGAGACAGTATTAGTTTGGTAAGTTTCCTTTGAATTTCATGGTGTAATTTTTAGCATAACAGAGTTCTGTGTGAGAGCTTCATCTCTTTTCCTTTCTCTTTGGCAGCTACCCATTTCTATAAGGATATTTCACTCCAGGCTCTGTCCCATAATTTGGGGGGCAATACAGGGCACATTCATACTGGTTTGAGAAATAATTTAAATTTTATATTTCAAACATGTCAGATTTCTTTTCTTTCTTACTCTTTTTTTTTTTTTTTCCTGTTTTGAGACAGAGTCTCACTCTGTTGCCCAGGCTGGAGTGCAGTGGCATGATCTTGGCTCCCTGCAACCTCAGTCTCCCGGGTTCAAGTGATTCTCCTGCCTCAGCCTCCAGAATAGCTGGAACTACAGGCATGCACAATGCCTCCTGGCTAATTTTTGTATTTTTCAGCAGAGACAGGGTTCACCATGTTGGAGAGGCTGGTCTCAAGCTTCTGACCTCAGGTGATCAGTCTGCCTTGACCTCCCAAAGTGCTGGGATTACAGGCGTGAGCCACCACGCCCGGCCTCAAACATGTCAGATTTCTGGCATGCCCTCTCCCCACTCCAAAATGAATTCCAAAACCAATTATTCTTCTCCTGATAATGATTTGTCCCTTTAGCATCCGGGTATTAGAGAAAGGATGAGGTGGTTTGAACCTATTTAAGATGAACTGCATTGTTAAGAGTTTACTTAGACACGGGTCTATTTACAGTTAAGCAGTGGTTCTCAAAACATGTCCCTGGACCAGCAATGTTGTCATCGGGTCCAGGGACACATTTTGCCTGGGAGTATATAAGAAATGCAAATTCTCAGGACTCACCAGACCATCATAAACTAGGAGTGAGGACCAGCAATTGGTCTTTTAACAAGTCCTTTGTTAAGGTCATTCTGATACATGCTAGACTCTGAGAAGAAAGATTAGAAACTACTGATCTTCCAAGATTAGAAGCTTCTGAGATGAGAAGTTTGGTATTCTTGCTGAATTTGGATTCAGGTAATCTCCAGTTTAAAAACTTTTTTTTAGTTAGCTAATGTCCAGACTAGAGCTTAGGCCGCACCTGAGAGACCTGTTACATCTTTCAAAGCTCTTGAACACTTTCTGTTGTCTCTGTCTTTATCTCAGTCTTGGGATTGAGAGTAAACCCTTTTCACAGGCAAAAGATTAAGGCATTATTTCTCTACATCAGTCATCAACACAAAGCATTTCAATTGCTATTGTAGTTGTTTCATGAACTTAGTGGCTCAGAAATTAAAAAAAAAAATCAGTATCATTCTTTCATTTCATAGACAAAAACAGTTTAAGCCCAGGATCCTCAGGGAAGAAAAACCCTAAAACAATGTAAATGTAAAATTAATCATAATATATAATTGCAGAAATTTGAACTGATTCAAAGAAATTGTCCCCACAATGGTATAGGAATAGCTTCCAAATCAGGCCATACCATTTAATCAAAAAAAGAAAATCAATTGAAAAGTGGTTTTACTTATAATGATACTGAGTAAAATCAGCTTTTCCAGTAAGACAGTTGATGAAAAGTTTACTCATTTGCAGCGATGACAAGAACATGCACTTTATTATGCTTTGTCATTCAAAACTTGGGGAGGCACTGCAGAGTAACAGACGAACCATGGAGTAGAGGCTCAATCCTAGTATGCTCCAGAAAGGACCCGTGGACAAGTTATTCATCTCAAAAATGAACATGTCCTACAAGATCACTGGTTGGCAAAGTATGACCCATGGGCAAAATCTGGCCTGCCACCAGTTTTTATATGATCTGACAGCTAAGAATGTTTTTTAATAGATGACATTTGGAATTGAATTGGTAATAATGAACATTTTCCTTGAAACCAAATTAAGTGAAATGTTCTCTCTCCAACAAAGAATTCCATTCCCCTCACTAATAACTCTATATTGCAAAAAAGTACTTAATGATTTACTATTATATTTTGAATTCTATCACTAAAAAAATAATTGTAAAAATTTGTTTTCTATCTTATTACATAAATACCTTCATCATATCCTTGGTCTTCCTCTTGGCCTCTGGCTCTTTACAGAAATGTTTGCCCATTCCTGGATGAGATGATTTTGAAGGTCCCTTCAACAATCTAATTTTTAACTATGCTCAACAGATAGCAGTCAAACCACTTGTAGAATGCAGGTGATTTGGACAATATGGATTTGCCAGCGTTTGGCTGTTCATGAATGGAAGAGAGTCAGATGGGTCCAATAACAGTTCCAATTGTCCATCTTCACCCTGCATGTTTGAAAAGAGAAAGCAGAGATCTATAGCGTATTAGTTTAAGCCATATTGTCTGTGTTAGAAAATCCACCCTGCCTTGGGCAAACCCTTAACCTTTGTGCCTTAATATTCCATCTGTACTGTGGGGAATTAATTGGTTAATGTTCACACCTTCCCCAAAGATGGCTGGGGCTTGCACATATTCACAAAAACTTCAAAAGCTGTAATGCTTTTTGACAGATATTTTTTCTTTCCCATCATTTTTTCTTATATTATTAACATAAGAAATAGTTTAACAAATGAAAAATTTATTGAAGAACTAATTTAATAATGGCCATTAAGAGACTTTGATATTTCTAACATAGATGCCTAAGCATACTGGATATATTATGTATCCAGTGCACAAAAGGCAGAGTTCCCATGGAAACTTTTTGGTCATGTGTGCCTAGTATCATGCCCACAAGATAGGGTTGGAGAGACCTATAAGCCTCTCTTTGCCAAATATTGTATGGAGACCAGCGTGCATAAAGGGTTCAGATTCTCCTTAGAATCAGTGTTGGAATTTCTAGACCCTCAAGCGACTCTATATTAAGGTGCAAATTTGTTACCTGGGAAGGTAATTTTTAACCCCCCATTAATGTCCATTTGTTAGTACTTTAGCCCAAATTAGGTTTTTAAAATTACCTAGCTGGTTGAGAGCAGTTCTTCAGGAAGTGTATCAGATTCTTCTAAGTAGGTTCAGGGTAAGTTTTGAAAACAGGTCCTTGGGGGATTGTGATACATCCTCCTTCACTTTCAGCACCCTGCGTTTGCAAGAGTAGCATGTGTGTGCACACGGCAGCACACACGCAATACTTAATACTCTAGCTTCTAGAGCAGCATTGTCTGATAGAGATATAATGCAAGCCACATAGATAATTTTAAGTGTTTCAGTAGCCACATTGAAAAATAAATTTTAGCCCAGGTGTGATGGCTCATTCCTGTAATCCTGGCACTTTGGGAGGCCGAGGCGGGCGGATCACGAGGTCAGGAGTTCAAAACCAGCCTGACTAACATGGTGAAACTCCATCTCTACTAAAAATATAAAAATTAGCCGGGCGTAGTGGCAGGCGCCTGTAATCCCAGCTACTCAGGAGGTTGAGGCAGGGGAATCGCTTGAACCCAGAAGGCGGAGGTTGCAGTGAGCTGAGGCCACACCATTGCACTCCAACCTGAGCAACAAGAGCAAAACTCTTGTCTCAAAAAAATAAATAAATAAATAAATTTTAAAGGTGAAATTAAATTTAATAATTTAAGTATACATTCAAAACATTATTGCTTTCAACATGTAATCCATATACAAATTATTAGTGATGTTTTACTTTTGGGATACTAAGTGTTTGGTATCTGGTGTATATTTTATACTCACAGCCAGTATTCATTGACCGGCCATATCTCAAGTGCTCAGTAACCACATGGGGTGAGCAGTTATTTTAATGGACAGTGTAGCTCTGAGGGACCTTGAACTGGAAAGTGGGTCACAGAGAGCAAAGTGTGGCTGCCTTTGTGGCTGATAAAGGCAGCAAGAGGATGGGCTGGGGGAACAAATAGAAGTTGGGACCAGCCCAGATCCTTACCCCTCCATTATACCCAAGTCATATTTTTGCTGAAGGTCAGACCTAACTCTAGGTAACTTAACCTTTTTCACTAAAAACTTTTAGAAAAACATAAGCACTGGAGTTAAATGCTTGGCCTTACCACTTAACTGTATGACCCTGGACAAGTTACTGAAAACCCTGTTTCTTCATCTGCAAAGTGGGAACAGTGATAATGCCTCAAGCTCACAGAATTATTGTGACAATTAAATGATCAATGAGCATATAAACAATGAATACTCAATGAATACTTGATATTTATTTTCACAATTGCTATTATTAGCTACTCTTAGGCACTAATTTAGTTTTAAAATGAACTATAAAGACAATCAGATACTATCAATTATTCTACATTTCTTAAAAAGCAGAAAAATGACATAGCCATATATATATATATATATATATATAAAATTTTCAAATAGTAGGTGTAATCAGCTCATTAAATTGGGCATTATACTGTCACGTACACACATCAATGCATCAAAAATCCAGAAGATACTACGTTACCAAGACTATCTTAAAATTCGACTTTGTTATGGTAGTGGGTGAGCCAATGAAAGAAGAGTTGGTTCTTCTTTTTCCTCCTCCTCCTTCTCCTCCTCCATCTTTTTTTATTCAAAGCCAGCAGAAAGAGATAATTAAAGCAAAGCTAAAGGAATTGAATGCAAAGTTTGCATCATACGTGTGAACTAATCTTTTCTCCATGGCATATCTAGAAGATCAAGTAAGACACCCATTCAGATGGTTCATTAACTAGTGAAACTTCGGTGGAAATAGGGCAGGAGGAAGTAGTTTCTTGCTCACAAAGTCATTAGTATTCAAAAATACAGCATAGCAGTTCTCACCTAAAATAGAAGGATAAAAAATACTAACAGTCAATGCTTGTTATGCCAAGTACATCTTTCACAGGGGTTTTGTTTAGAATAAAAGAGATAGTGAAAGTTTTCAGATGCTAGTAAGTAGTGAATAAATGCAGAATGTACTTACACATTTATGTACCAAATGCTGGAAGGCTGTGCACCACATAGAGCAAAGAAATGTACTAAACCATCAATTTACTAGGTCATTTTAAATGTAGGCAGCAAAATGGCTATGTGCGTGAAAAGCCACTACTATATTTTGAGAGAGCCTTTCTAAGAATCCTGAAATATTAATAACATGGTCTTAATGTAGTTGGAGACAAAAGAAGGTGTTAAGGGTAGCAAGGCTGCCGAGAATAGCACAATGACAATTTTGTATTTTCTGCCTGTGTTTTATAAAAGCAAAAGGAAAAGAGTGTCTGTTTAAAGAACAGCAGCCTTCAATTTTCCAAACTGGTATAAAATTGGTATTTCCCAAATGAATTCACATATATTTATTCCTGGTGACATATTAATACCAGCTTCGAGGAAAAATAGGAAAAAATGTAAACTTGCAAATGCACTTTTTTCTTAAATTCACATAATATATAAAACAGGTTTTTGCACTGTAAGAAATTTAATGAAATTGAAGGCAACATTTTCCATTTTGATTTTTGCAAAAGATGAGTTTAATTTTTTAGCTGGAAGTAGTCTTATCAGAATAGCTTTTCAAATATGCCATTTGGACTTTGTGATGATCAGTCACTGGACAGTTTCTTGTCCTTGTCGATCTTCCACTCCCACTGTGAGTTTTTCGTTTTTGATGCTTGTTGAAATTGAGGGGTGCATGAGAATCAGTCAGTAATATGCAGTTTTCTGCAAACATTCAGATGTGAAAAAAATGAAAGCATTTTGTGCCTTCTTTGCAGTCCTGAGTTGCCACAAGTTGCTTTTGTCGACTGCGACTGACTGAGTGACAGGCGGGACCCAGTGGGTTTGTGTTCCTGTTCAGAGGCTCATTGTGTTTGATGTGAGAAAGCTGGGCTTGACCCCCAGTCCTTCTTCCTGCTAAAGTCAGGGTTTCTGATTTTAATCAAAACCCTAGGGCCATCTTAAGCATGACCAAAAAAGCACCTTGCAAGTTGAACCTTATCTAATTATGCAATGTGTATAAACTTGAGACACATAAATCTCAGTCATTGGAGCAACTTGTTTTTCTAAGATGCTCCGGTCCAGTGAAAGACGAAAGCAAATAAGGGAGAGATTGATCTCCCAGCACTTTTATTGTCAGTGCTCCACACGTCATAAAGTTTTGGCTTGTTAAAGGAAATTCCATAAACAACTTCAGTTAGTAAGAGTGAAGTAACTGTGTGCCTTCCTGAGCCCCTGCTAAATTCCCTTTCCGCTTGCCATTACAAGAGTATGATTAAGAAAATGCCAACAGGATATGCGAGTGGGTGGAACAGACTTCAGCTGGAAGCCATACAGATGCTTGATGGATGAGTAGTGACAGTGAGATGATGGCCCTATCTCCAGAGAGAATCAAGCAGTTTCATGGATCTCTTTCTAGTACTCATTTCAGTAAGATCTGCTGCGTTGCTGCATGGTTGTTCCGTTTTGGCTGCCAGGCTGATGGAAAATGGCTGATAGGTCCTTCTCCCCACTGCTGTTTCTGATAGTATAGACAAGTCCTAAGGACATGATGAATGAAAAGAAACGAGAGTGAATCATGCTGGAAAGATTGTGGGTTACTGGCACATTTTCTTTGAACCTCTGGTGTTATGAAATAACTTTACTCTTAATGGCCTTGTCTCTGTGGGTTTAATGCTGATGGTGTTGGTCAATTTTTATCTGGGGTTGAGACAGATTTGAGAGGCGATCATGAAAGGCCATGGGGGAAGGAAAAAGAGTGGGGAGCAAGTAGTCATTATTTTTTATTATGAGTTTTCCCAGAATTAGTGAGTTTTTCCACACTACTAAAAGTGGTCCTTAGTGTCAGTATGATGACAGTGTCAGTGTGATGTTTATGAAGATGAAGTCATGGAAAGGATGTCAGGTGTATAAAAAACTATATGGCCCGTGTTCTCTACACCAGGCTCTCGGGAGGTGTGTGCATTGCAGGGGAAGGGTGCTGGAAAAATGGAAAGAGGGAAAAACAGGAGGGTTTTATGAACTTGAAAATAGACACAAAATATTCGCTGATCAAAAAACAAATCTTAGCATACTATATTCCAAAATCTCCAGTTGATAGTTTTTGTTATTTCACCCTGAAACTGTGACCCGTGCCTTACAAGCTCGTCTTTTTTACTTGCTTGCCTTTGTTGATCTTTCGATTTGGTTCTTTCTGTAGTTGTAATTGGGAAATAATCACCACCCGGTTTTTTTGTCAGCACTTGGATACACTTCCCACTGGTTGGCTAAAGGCTACACTCTGAAATTCCATAGCATGTGACTAAGCATACAGGCTTTGAGGGCAGAACACTTGGGGTCAAAGCTGGGTGCTGACACTTAGCAGATGTATGGTCTTGTGCCCTCAATTAACTGCTCAAAGCTGAAATTCCTCACTTCTAAGGTAGAGATAATGCCTGTCGAAAAGGGGTGCTGTAAGAATTAAGCAGCATAATGTGTATAAAGGGTATCTGGCACATAGAAAGGCGTTCGGTAAACTTTGCTGTGCTTTTCCTTGATTCTGCCAGGTTTAAGAAAATTTCTTCCTTTGGACTTCTTGACACCTGACCAGGAATGTTAATGGCCCTTAAAGAGCGACTATACTCAATGAATGCTTTTGGTTGCATGACCTGCATTTCAAGCCACATGATCGCTAATGATTAGCAAGAACGTCTCCCTTCTTCTGAAACAAGGAGGTGGCTTTGCATTTTTGCTTTGGTCTATTTGCAGTGGTTTCTATTTGTTTGTTTTTTTCTTCTTCCCTGCAGCTTGCAAAATTGGATATTACAAGGCTCTCTCCACGGATGCCACCTGTGCCAAGTGCCCACCCCACAGCTACTCTGTCTGGGAAGGAGCCACCTCGTGCACCTGTGACCGAGGCTTTTTCAGAGCTGACAACGATGCTGCCTCTATGCCCTGCACCCGTAAGTTGTATGCTTGTCTCTCATTCCTGTGATGCCAACAGCTTTCATTACCACCTAGCAAGGCACTGCCAGGTCTTCTCCTGGGATAATCATTCAGGGGGCACTTGAGATCAAACATTCATCCTTTCTCAATCATAGCAGGGGAAATGCTTGTAAAAAGAAAGGGTCTTTCCCACTGCTTCTGGTTGCCTTCAGTGTGCACAGCTGCCTACAGACTACTTGGTGGAGAAGAGATTGAGTGTTCAGAGGTTGTCTGACAGTGTAATTAGAGCTGAGATTGGAATTTATTAGTGGCTTTGCCATTGCACTGAGGACTCAGGGAAGCTTGACAACTGGCAGGAGAAACAGGTAGACGGCAGGGTTTGGGAATGTGGTTTCAGTCTGTAAAGGACAGCTCAGTGTGCACTGAGATCATTGCTTAGGTTGTCATTACACCTCTTCCTTCTCTACTCATAGTTTTGTGTTCATAAGACTTAGGCCCCAATCCTAATAAATGCTTGTTTAATGATTGCATTTAATAAATGCTGGGTTAATGAATGGATGAGGCTGGGAAGCTTGGTATGAAGAGCAGGAGTGAAGAAATATTTTCTCACACTTTATATGGACAGTGTTCCTAGGTGTTACCATTCCTTTCATGTACACTTGGGCCTTCACAGACCCTACAATGGCTGTGACCTTGATCGGAATGGGGAGCACTGGGCCCATGAATTTCCATTAGGTGAATCTGTGCTTGGAGGGCTAGCCTCATGGCTCAGGTCAGACACCTTCCACAGATTTTGAGTTTGTTTCCCAGCCTGTTGTGTAGCTGGGTGGCTGTTGAGTCTCTTCAGTCTGTTTCCTCACCTGGAGAATGGAGTTAATAACAGTGCCTCCTAATGGTTGTTGGTATTAAACAGCCTCATGTTGTTTATGTGCTATGTACATCGCATAGGATGATGCCATTTCATATATTTTAGCTTTGGCCGGGAGCGGTGGCTCACGCCTGTAATCCCAGCACTTTGGGAGGCTGAGGTGGACGGATCACCTGAGGTCAGGAGTTCGAGACTAGCCTGGTCAACATGGTGAAACCCCGTCTCTACTAAAAATACAAAAATTAGCTGGCATGGTGGGTGGTGCCTATAATCCCAGCTGCTTGGGAGGCTGAGGCTGGAGAATCACTTGAACCCAGGAGGCAGAGGTTGCAGAGAGGCGAGATCGCACCATTACATTCCAGCCTGGGTGACAATAGCAAAACTCTGTCTCAAAAAAAAAAAAAAAAAATATATATATATATATATATATATATATATATATATATATATTAGTTTTAGTTATCATTATGACTATTATTATTTTGTTTCCTAACTACTATAAATGGTATTTTGGCCAATCTGGAGCTAACAACCCTGCAAATAAAAGGTTTTTGGGTATTTGAGCACTTTGGGCCACTGGGCAATCAAGTCCTGTCTTTAAAATGAGTGGAGTGAGTCTCCAGGTCTCTCTGACTTTATATTCAAATTGCTGTAACCTCCAGAGTTTCTTTCATAATGAGAGATAATAATGATGATGATGACAATTTTATAATTATGCCCAGGTAATGTATTAGGTACTTGAAAAAAATCTTAATACGTGGTTTATAAGAAATCTGTTAGGTAGGTATAATCTTTATTTTATAGAAAAGGTAACTGCAAGCTCAGAGATGTTAAGGAACATGCTCAAGATCACACCCTACCTTGGACAGAGTTGTACAACCTGAAGACTCACCTAGTTTCTATTTTATATTATTATTATATTTATATTATTATATTTATATTTTATATTATTTCTATTTTATATTATTCTATTATAGAGAATCTGGGAGATTCTCTTGCTGGCTCTCCCAAGTCAAGCATAAACATTCAGAGTTAGGGAGAATCCTAGGGTCAGTCTCAGATGTAACTGTTAAAAAGGTTAGATGCAGTAGCTCAGGCCTATAATCCCAGCACTTTGGGAGGCCGAGGCAGGCGGATTATTGAGGTCAGGAGTTCAAGACCAGCCTGGGCAACATAGCAAAACTCCGTCTCCACTAAAAATACAAAAATTAGACAGGCGTGGTGGTGTGAGCCTGTAATCCCAGCTGCTCAGGAGGCTGAAGCAAGAGAATTGCTTGAACCGGAAGGCAGAGGTTGCAGTGAGCCGAGATTGCACCACTGGACTCCACCCTAGATGACAGAGGAAACTCTGTCGTCTCAAAAAAAAAAAAAAAAAGAAAAAAAAAATAGCCAGGACTGGTGCCTTTCACCTGTGGTCCCAGCTACTTGGGAGGCTGAGGCAGGAGGATCACTTGAGCCTGGGAGGTCAAGGCTGCAGTGAGCTGCATTCACATCACTGCACTCCAGCCTGGGTGACAAAAAAAGACCCTGTCTTAGAAAAAAAAAAACGAAAACAGAAAAACTGTAAATAGGCAAGGATTGTTTTTGCTTTCTTTCTTTCCTGTTCCTCCATAGACTAAGAACTTTCTCTGCGTGGCCACTTTTGTTTGAACTCTTCAGTCCCAACCTTTTTCTTTTCCAATGTAAATATTTTCATGCTATGTTCCATTTGTGTGATTAGTTTAATAATAAACTCCCCATCTTTATCCACACCTGCTACCAACAATTTTCTTGTAGGAATCTGGGGCACAATAGTAAACTCAAGGGGAAGTGTTTGAGGCTGACATTTTGAGGATGGCCCTCAATTTGCATCATGTACTCCCCCACTTACTTTCCATGCAGATAAAGCCTTCTCTAGGTTGAGATTTGATTGTATTATGAGTGTCATGAAATGTATCTCTGATGGCAGGAGGTCCTGGCTCTTTCTCCCAGGTATTTTTCAGTCTCATGATGCTGACCTGTTTAGCATTTAAGGGGACCATGTGCCCATCACTTTATTACCAAGTCTTGCTACTTGGGAGTTTAGGAAACCTCCAAAGATGGCCATATGTCTGTGTTGCTGGAACATTTGATGTATGTGTAATAAGGCTGTGGTAGTTGAGCCCTTGGAATTGTATTTTTAACTGTTAGCTTTATCTTAAGGATGCAAAGGGGAAGAAGAGAAAATTTGATTTTAGCATATGGATGGACCAAAAAGTCTAAAAATTAAAGTAACATTTGCATGTTTCAGAAGTCATTTTCCACAAGGTGAAGGGAAGGAAGGCTGGTGGCTTTTTGTGTCATTGTTAAAAGGTCCATGAAAATACCTGCTCTTGGAACTCCTTCTCCTACACTTTACTACTTCAAGGTCTTGTGCATTACTTTACTTACTTATTTTTTCATTTTTTTTTTGAGATGGAGTCTCACTCTGTCACCCAGGCTGGAGTGCAGTGGTGTGATCTCGGCTCACTGCAACCTCCACCTCCCGGGTTTGTGATTCTCCTGCCTCAGCCTCCCGAGTAGCTGGGACTACAGGCGCCCACCACCACACCTGTTTTTGTTTTTGTTTTTAGTAGAGACAGAGTTTCACCCTATCGGCCAGACTGGTCTTGAACTCGTCACCTCATGTGATCCATGGACCTCAGCTTCTCAAAGTGCTGGGATTACAGGCGTGAGCCATTGCACTCAGCCTTGTGCATTACTTTAATGGTTATCACATCCCACTTACTTTATATGCAGCACTTCAGTTAAGAGGAAACAAAGTGCTGATGGCGACGCCATCAACTTGCTGATCGGATCGCCTTGGCTGTAACCACTGACCAACACTGTGATATTCAGAGAGAGTTTACCCTCACCAGGCCCCAATTTCCTCATCTGTAAGTTGGAATTCTCACCATCTACCTCTGGGGCTGTTTTAAGAATGAAATAAAAAAAATTTGCAAAGTTCTGGCACCTGGTAGGGATCTAATCAATGTTTGTTCTCTTCCTCTTTTATTTCCAGCTGGTCACTTCCTTCCCCAAACTGCCTCCACAGCAGGTTGACAGCTATCTCACTGCCTCTCTATCAGTGATTTTTTACCCTTGCGTGCATAATTAAATTACTTGATGGCTGCCCTGTACCCCAGGATTTCTGGTGGGGGGGTAGGACTCAGGCATCAGTATTTTCAAAAATCAGTCTGTTAATTTATTGTACAGTTAAGGTTCAGACCCCTCCAATGGAACTAAATTTTTTTTTTTTGAGACCGAGTTTTGCTCTTGTCACCCTGGCCGGAGTGCAATGACACAATCTTGGCTCACTGCAACCTCTGCCTCCTGGGTTCAAGTGATTCTCCTGCCTCAGCCTCCCAAGTAGCTGGGATTACAGGCACACGCCACCACATCTAGCTAATTTTTTGTATTTTTAGTAGAGATAGGGTTTCACCATGTTGGCCAGGCTGGTCTTGAATTCCGGACCTCAGGTGATCCACCCACCTCGGCCTCCCAAAGTGCTGGGATTACAGGCATGAGCCACCACACCCGGCCAACAGAACTAAACTTGTAAGTATTTTTTTAAACTTAAACATTAACTGCATAAGCCTCTGAAGACTTCCTCTGAGATAGGGATAATCAGGGAAGTGACTATACTTTGCTGATAATAGATATAGTCGTAAGTCAGGCAGCAGAACTGGATTCTAATTCTTAGCCTATGGCTCTTCCTTTCGACATCTCCCTTCCTAGTGAATATAATGGACCTGTATTGTCTAGTACTGTAGACACTTGACACGTGGCTATTTAACCTTAAAGTCATTAAATTGAAATTTAGGTTCTTATTTAAACTTGGCACATTTTGAGTGCTCAATAGCCATATATGGCTAGTGGAGACTATACCGGACGGCAGACCCAGAGAACGTTTCTATCACCACAGAAAGTTCTATTGGACAATACTGTAGTAGACGTTCCAACAGAGAAGACAGTAGGAGTTTCTCAAAGAACCTCTTGTTCAGATGATCCACAGAGTAACTCTCCCCACTCGCACGCTGCCCCCAGCTTTATCGGATTCTCTTGACAAGATGTGGGGATGGGAAGCAGCATAAACATCAGGGGTCCTTTCAAACTGATTCCAGCCTCTAATCAGTTCTTCCCAGTTGGTTAAGCCAGGTGACAAACCCAATTCCCTTGTGCTGACAGCCATGATAATCAGGCACCTTCTTTGTTCATTATGCTGTCTTTAACCCCAGCATTCTTATGCAGCCTCGCATTTAGTGATCGCTCACTGTGACGGCACACTAATGAAGAAATAAAACACACTATCTGAGCCTCATTCTTCTAGCCAAAGAGAGACTGTGCTCCACTGGCTTGTAAAATCAGGTTTTTGTTCACTTGGAGAACAATTAGACCAGGTGAATAAAAGTAGCATTGGCTAATTTAGAAGGAAACTGCCTAGGAAGTTTGCACCATTGACGCTGCTGGAGAGCTTAAGAGAATTTAATCGTAAACAAACTTTACCTTTGGGAATACTTTTGCTGGAGCCTCTGGTTAGGTTAACATAAATGGCTGCCTGTGAGATGTGCTGAGATGTTTCTATGGAAGCACCATCGGAACATTTTCTGGAAAATAGCCCATAACTATTTAGAACAGGGAGTTTAGAACAGAGCTTTTTAAACATCCACATGCACAAAAATCACATGGAAATCACCTGCGGATTAGGAGGAGCGAGGTTAGGCCTGAGAGTCTGTTTCTGACAAGTTCCCAGGTGAGGCTGAAGCTACTGATCTGTAAAACCGTCTTTAGGCAGCAAGGATTTAGATTCCCAGCCCCACGGCTGTCAGGAGACAGGAGATTCTGTTTTGATGCCTGTAACTTTCAGACCTGTTCTTCAGCTCAGTGGTGACTCTAGAAAGGTATTTCATGGATTCTGATCATTCTCCCTTCATGGAAATGGAATACTTCATCTGTCTCCTGTATGAAGAAAATCCAGCCTGGGTAGAATCATACAACCAAATGCACTCACTGTGGAATTATTTTTCTTTTTAATTTTGCTGTTGTTTGTTTGTTTCTTCCAGAATCCTCACCAAGTTATTGCCAGAGAGTAGAAATGTAAATGTTCACCTTAGACACCTGTATCAGTCAAGAGAGGCAAGAAGTTTTTTTTTTTTTTTTTTTTTTTGGCAACATTGCCAGGACAAGCACCATTATTTCTGCACATTCAGGGCTGCCATTAAAGCTGATGTCAGGATTTTGATTTTATGAATCTTTTCTTAACAGGGATTTTGATGTGATTTTTATTAATGAAATTAAAGTCCTTTAACTCTACGAATGACTAGCTCTTTCCCTTCTCCAGATCTGTTTCTCCTTGTTTCCCTGCCCCTTCTGGAATGCAGTCTGGTTATCAGCAGGACTGGGCGTGGTCAACCTCACACCCCTGCAGGAAGACTTCTGATGGTCTTAGTCATGTACTTGCTTGTTCAATGATTGTAGTGAGCAAGATCTTCTTTTCCCCCACTGGGAAGCTAAATCAATGTTATATTTAAAGTAACTTTCTTTTTTTGTTTTCCCTTTTTTGAGATAGAGTCTCACTGTGTTGCCCAGGCTGGAGTACAGTGGCGCTATCTCAGCTCACTGTAACTGCCACCTCCCGAGTTAAAACAATTCTCCTGCCTCAGCCTCCCAAGTAGCTGGGATTTACAGACATGCACCACCATGCCCAGCTAATATTTTTGTATTTTTAGTAGAGCCTGGGTTTCGCTATGTTGACCAGGCTGGTCTCGAACTCCTGACCTCAAGCGATCCGCCCGCCTAGGCCTCCCAGAGTGCTGGGATTACAGGCGTGAGTCACTGCACCCGGCATTAAGGTAACTTTCTTTTCCAACCCCTTATTGTATTTCAAAATGTGCTAGAAAAGTACCTTGTAAAGGTAGTAAATTGGCTTTGCATATCTAGAAAAATGTAGCTCATCTGTCATTTTGCCACCTTGACTTCTGAGCACTGTTACCAGAGTAGTTTTTCGTATTTTTCAATTGGAAATCTGTCCCTGTGCTTTTGGGTGCTCTTTATTTAACTTGTTTGATGAAACTTCTTAGAGCCTGGTGATTGGGAACACTCTGTAAATGAGAGATTATTATTTTAGATTGCCAACTTGAAGGGCCTTTACGAATCTGTCTCCAAGTAAACAGCCTCGAATGTGCCAAACAAACAAAGAGTGATTGATTGATACTTAGACGTGGCCGAAAATATTCCAAAATTGCAGCTTTCAAGACATTTTATACTAGGAGAGCTCAGAGCTAATGAGGGCAGATTTCCTAAGATCTATGACCAGAGGTCCTGATTTGAAAAAACTTTCTCCAGGTTTACGTTATCAAGAAATTGAAACAGCCAAGTTCCAAACAACAAACATCACTTACTTTGTCTCTACATTTGCCTTTTCTAATTGAATTTAGTGCGCTGCTGTATTTCCTCCCAGAAAGTGTATTGTTTTAAAATTACCATTTCAGTTCTATTACTCAAAGCCCTCGCTGCTAATGCTTTCTGACAGTTATCAACATAATGAGCCATAATGAAATGATGAGCAATCTTCGGTGGAAACCCAATGTCGATTCGACCGGTGCTGTGTGACTGTGTTGTGAAAATTTGAATGCAAATTAAAATAACATCGTCCTTACTTGTTTCCAAGGTCAGGAGAAGGGAGGGACTCTTTTCCTTTTTTATTTTTTTATTTTTTATTTTTTTAAGGGCTTTAATTTTGGGAATCTCACATCCATTTTCAAACAAGCTCTTGAAGGTGCCCCTGTTATTCTGTTCAATTCTCTACCCCAAAGATTTACATGCTTAGCAGTCTGGCTAAGGGATTTGGGGAGGGATGTCTAGAGCGAGGCTTTGATGTATAAACCATAGGATAAAATGCAGCCTTCAGTTTCAAGTAAACTATATATTTTTTTATCTACCCGAAAGCATATTTCTTTTTGCTTTAGAGCTGCAAGTAACTAATCATATAATGATGGGGGAGGCATACATTCTGTGAAATAGGTCAGTGAGGGTGCAGTTAGCTCTAGTGAAAGACTAGTTAGAAAAGTGAGAACAAAGGCCAAAGATTCCCAAAGTGTCGTAAATGAAAGTGTTTCAGAAGATTCATTGGTTGATCTCTAGCCATTTTATCATTCATGCAATCAATCATTTTCGTGAACATATTTTTATGAAAAATCTCAAATCCAAGTTTTCCAGGGGAATTTCTCATTCCATGTCATTTATCAAATTTGCAATGTAATAGTATAGTTTCATACTGCATTCCATTTGTCATAGGACAAAAACTCAGATTGAGACACCAACTCCTCCACTGCCAGATTACATAGTTGGTTTTTAGTTCAGAACATATGGTCCTGCTGCCTGTTAGTTGGTAAGCCAGCTAATGTGTCTGTCCCATGGACTGTACAAACTGATCAAAGCAACCAAAGACATTTGGACGATTCAGATGCAGCCGTCAACGTATGCTGCTGCTTCAGTTAGAGCTTAGTAGTTCAACATCTGATGTTAGCTAGTGAGTATACCACATTTTTGTTTCTTCCTTTCGGATTGCCTTTCAGCATTTTAGCTACTAAAAGGAAAAAGTACCTCTAGACAACCAAGTGGATGGTTTTTGTTTGAAGAAAATTAAAGATAAAGGGAGAAAGATCACCAGGTGAGCTTCAACGAAGGCACTAGATAGACCCCAGACTGATCATTTGCCATTTGGTTGTTTGCAAAATTTTAAGAGCCTCATGATATTTCATAAAGATCAGGTATCATCTCACTGAATTCTTTTTAAAAAAATGCTGTTTTAGCTTCCTCTTTTTTTTCCCCACATACTCCCCATTTTATAGTCATAAACAGCCCATTATGGATTCCACTGGAAAATGCAAAGATTCGAGGGACACTAATATATGCCCAAGTGGAAGGCTTGAATAATCTGCCAATGCCATTTAGCCAGGTTATTACAATTTTTCTACCACCCTGAATAATTAAGAGTGGCTTGTCATTGACCGAGTCCTGTCATTTCTGGATGCCATTTTTGACACTATGCATGGAAGTCATACAGTGGTTATTCACAGCATGCTTCTATGAAACAAGGTTAATTACACATTTTTCTGAGATCCCCTGGGGTGAGAACGGGGTATCTTCTTTTTTTCTTTTTTTAAGACAGAGTCTCACTCTGTCTCCCAGTGGTGCAATCTCAGCTCACTGCAACTTCCACCTCCCAGCTCAAGCAGTTCTCCCACCTCAGCCTCCCAGGGTGCTAGGATTACAGAAACGAGCCACCACACTCAGCCCAGGGTATCTTCTTTGCTATCAACATTTAGATTTATGAGAGATTCTGCTATAGAGATATAATTGCCCCTCGCCCTATTCCTATGATCTTCCACCTAGAAAAAGAACCTTTAATAGAAACTCCTAGCCACTCTCTTGCACAGAAGGTAGGAACAAGGCAGAAAAGATAATCCCCATGAAAATGATAAAAGAGGATCATCTGGGAAGTAGTACTAGCTAGCCATCATCATCATGAAGGGCAGGGAAGTGAGGTGAAATTGAACTCTGGGGTGAACTGAGAAAGTTGGAAACTTTCTATCCAATTCTCAAAAAGAATTTGTAATTATGGGTTATTATTTTCTTTATATTATTTGTATCTCTATGAAAGGGAAGCAGGGTTGTTTAGCCTTGGAGTCAGGGTTTCTGATCACAGCTTTGCGCATGTTGGCTGTCTTAATTTTGGCAATTTGCTTAACTTATCTTAGTTTTTGGCGATCAGATTGTTGTGAACAATAAATACTTTTCTGTCAGATTTGATTGCAGCTGTTAAATAAGATACAAAAAAGTGCTTTGCAAGGAAAGTAAATTAATGCACAGGCTAGATAATTTTAAAAATGAAATACTCAATTCTACTTTTCTTGGTCTTTGGCGTGGTAGCTTTCTTGTGTATAACTGAGAATTTATAAGGCACTTCAGCCATAAACAAGTCATCCTAATAAAAAGAAACCAAACCCCTAATTAACCCAGTAAAAAAAAGACAAAGATCACTGGAGAGGAGAATGGGAAAGGAGATAGAACCAGAAAAATAGGTTATGGGAAAGTCTCACAACAAGAAATGAACCTCTATAGGAAGCCAAGAATTTTTCATGACAGCAGCAAGTGATTGATGCATCCAAAAGGTTCTGGTTTAATCATGGACAGCCCTGCTTGGCTGTCTTTGTTGTAAAAACACATAAACCACCATGATAAGAGGTTATGCACTGTTCATATATGTCAGGAGGGATGTCTTTAAAACAGCCATCTTTATGTAAACTAACCCACAGCAGATAGGACTGGGAGAAAGCAATTAGTGGTGGCAACATATACAAATGTCAGGGGAAGCATGGGCTTTATTTCAGAGTCAAAACGTAATGCATCCCAACTGTTGACTCTTCCTTATAACCTGTCTTTCAGCTGGAGAGAGATTAACAACAAAGGCTTATCTGAAGGGTTGAAGGGTTTTACAGCTAAGACGCTGAAGTGCTATTGACAGTCCAAAAGTTGTACATGATTAATGAAGCCTTAGGAAATGGAACTACAGACCCAAGGTGCTGCTTCCTCCAAGATATGTGTTGGACTGGTTGCCTTAGCATTTTAGTGAGGTGACAGCAGTGCTTAAATACATCGATCATGGGAGAGTTACCTTTCTGCCCATGCTCTTGGGGGATGCTCCATTTCCCATCCAGAATGAATTTCATAGCCCAGGCATTGAATTTTAAAATGGCGATTAAAAATCAGTTAAGTATTAGATGTCTGTGATAGCTCTGGAAACTACTCTATCACATGAGACCAGAGACTTTGGTTTTTCTATCAACTGTCTTCTTGCCTTGGTTGCAGACTTGATTTTCTTTCTTTCTTTTCTTTTTTTTTTTTTACATTTTAGCATGTGATTGCCATTTTTTCTCTCTTTATTATTATTATTATTATTTTG
Organism: Homo sapiens; assembly: GCF_000001405.40. Lineage (NCBI taxonomy): Eukaryota > Metazoa > Chordata > Mammalia > Primates > Hominidae > Homo > Homo sapiens. The sequence continues at coordinate 221,490,201 of NC_000002.12, read as the reverse complement.
CTTAGCTTTTGTGACATACAAAAGTGCTATGGCAGTGGGTTTTTTTTTTTTTTTTTGAGACAGGGTCTCAATTCATCACTCAGGCTAGAGTACAGTGGCATGATCCCAGCTTATTGCAACCTCCACCTGCCAGGTTCAAGCAATCCTCCCACCTCAGCTTCCCAAGTAGCTGGGACTACAGGAACATGCCACTACACCTGGCTAATTTTTATAATTTTTGCAGGGACAGGGTTTCACCATGTTTCCCAGGCTGATCTTGAACTCTTAGGCTTGTCAAGCCTTCCACCTACCATGGCCTCCCAAAGTTCTGGGATTACAGTCATGAGCCACTGTGCTCAGCCATAGTGCTATGGTAGTGATGCTTCTGATTAGTGAGCTGGACTGGGCTAAAGCATCATCATTCATTCATTTGTTCATTTAGCAGATATTTATTGAGTTTCTACCAGATGTCAGGCATTACTCTGAAGGCTGTAGATATTCTCATAAACCTGAAAAAGAGAAGATTCCTTTTCTCCTGGAGCTTATGTTCTAATGGGAATATAAACAAACAAATGAATAAGATAATTGAAGGTTCTCCTAAGAAGGAAATTTTTAAAAATGTGATGCAATTGGGTGCATTGGGACAGGGAAAGGGAGGATTTCAGTTTGTATGGAGTAGTCAGGAATGAGAACTATTCCAGGGATAAGAAGTCAGTCAGTCAAAGGGCCGGGAGTGAGAATTCCAAGCAGAACTACCAGCTCCAAGGTATTTTGAGTTGCATGTGCAAAATTTTGCTAACAATGTGAGTTTTAAAGTTGACTTACTTTTTTCCACAGTTTTGCATTCTGTTGGCACTTTAATTCCAGTCGTTACGAGAAATAGAACTTTTAGGTTTATATGGCACGTTACACCGTATATCCACATATATTTAAGCCCTTTGGCAGAACCCATTTCTGCCAAACCCATTTCAAAACGCAATTATCATAGCAGGTTTTCATCTTTTACTGAAGTTTCAGTTGCTTCCTGTAAGAATAAAGAAATGCATTTTCTCTGACTTTGGGTGTGAGGTAGAGTACATAGGGTACCTGGACTTTCCATGGAATGGTTTATACCAAACTTATAGACACACTGGAGACATTTCTGACTTTAGGTTTAGTGTTGGCTGACGGCTTTTAAATGACATTATTAAGGCTCACACAGATTTCATGTGGATATGTAAATACTGGCTTGTCCTAAAGGGGCTACTTTAAATCTTGACATAAGCCAGCAACTGTGTTCTCTAAACTACTCAAGAATTAAATTTTAGTCTAATCCATGGGAGGAAAGAATTAAGATATGTGGAATTACTGGAATTTTCTTTTATGCTTGGAATATTGCCGTTCTTAAATGTCACATTGACAGTATGTGGTTCATTTCCAGAAGCTTGTTTTTTTCCCCAGAGAAGAGCACATGGTTGGTAAAGGAAGATCAAGATTCCTTTTATAATACAACATGATATGATGTGATATTTTATAATATGATATGATAGCCCTTTGTATCTACTATCATGTGGCTATAGTTTCTTTGGGGCTTAATGCTGTCAAACTCCTGTCAACTGAATGTGAGGTGACATCCCACTAGAAAATAATAATTACCCATTGTAGCACCTTTCTCTGGTACTTGCTGTGTGATGCAGAAAGTATTTCACACCAGTGAAGTGAATGGATGTTCATTAAATGTATCTATAATGGCAAGAAATTCAGTGCCCGTTTCTTTCAGAGCAATGAGAAACTCAAGAAATAAGCCATATGTCTCATTTTATTCCCTCCTTAGTCAATAAAGGTAGGTCTAACTTGGACTTTAGCAGCCAGAGTTGTCACCTGGGCTATATACATAGGTTAATCAGGGGTTCCTGGACTGAGCTTTTTAGATAGGCTTTTTAGTTCCTGGAATTACATGCAGAATTCTGAGGGTGCCAGAGAGCATCTTCCTAAAAAGAAGATGCCTTGCTTTCATCATATTTTCAATAGCACGAAATGGTCTGAAGGTCAATTTTAACGGCCACCTATTTTTGCAAATAAGTTTTCTTGGAGCACAGCCATGATCATTTGTTAAGGTATTGTCTATGGCTTCTTTGGAGATAGAATTACAGAGTTGAGTAGTTGCTGCAGGGAGCAGATGGCCCATAAAGCCTAAAATATTTATTTTCTGGCCAGATCATAAAATTTCTTTACAGAGAAATTATGCCGGCCCCTGTGCAAAAGATTTATAAACTAAAGATTATTGCATTTGACTTCTATTTCTGGGATTACCATTAATATCTGGGCCACTAAGTTATATTACAAATGTAAAGGGCATACTAAATATGAAAACTTTAAAATAGTTGAACATGCTATTTTCATTTTTGGGTGCAGGCACAGAGAGAATCCTGGGCTTATATGTGAATTTCATGGGAAATTTACAAATACAACCAAAAACGTGAAGGAAGGGTGTTTATGTTCCCTTAAATACACCTCAGCATTTGATTAATTTATATGAGGTTGGTACAAAAGTAGTTGCCATTAAAAGTAATGACAAAAACCACCATTACTTTTGTACCAATCTAATATTTTAGAATGTCTTGATTTGGGTGAAAAAATTAAAATTAAAGGCAAAAGCTGTTGTTCCATAAAGACTAATATGGAAAATACCTGTCTACCTTTAGAAATGTTAAAATTAAGCTTCTTCAGAGATAAAGTTTTCCCCAGAGATAAAGCTTTCATGTCTGAGTAAATCACCTCCTGAAATCAAGGTGGAGGAAGAAAAGTGTAATAACCAATCCCAATTTGATAAAACCTTATTTGATAGAACCCACATTTCAAATTCCCAGCCGTCGCTGGTTACACAGCTGTAAAAACAGGACAAGGCAGGTGCTTGCTCTGACATCCACTGCACATATAATCCCTATTTAGTTTCCTTGAGTCTCTGCCTTTTTCCCTAGGTTCCCTATCCATTCCTGCAACTATCTAGGCAACTATCAGGAAGTTATCAAAATGAATAAGAATATTTTTCCTCTCTCCTCTAAAGCAGGTGATAAACACTAGATACACCATAAATGTTTTTTGAATAAATGAATGATTCACAATCTCTCCCAGCAGAAGTAACCACTAATATTTTATATATAGCCCTTTCTACTTTTTCCAAAGTAATTCTAAACCATGAAAAAAAGAGGCAATTGAAACAAACTAGTTACACTGAGTTACTACTTCACAGGTATAAAGCTAATGAATCTGTATGTGAAAAGTTGACTAGTACAGCTTTGGCTCGGAGAAGGCTGCATAGTTCACACACTTCATAACACTGGGTATAAGATGCATTAAAGGACTTCATTAGTTTTTAATTCATTCATTCATTGACTTATCAAACATTTTTTGAAATTTCTGAACGAGGAACCATGGTAGAAAACAGGAAGTGATAAAGACATCAATTATTATTATTATTATTATTATTATTATTATTATTATTATTTTGAGACAGAGTCTCACTCTGTTACCCAGGCTGGAGTGCAATGGCGCGATCTCAGCTCACTGCAACCTCCGCCTCCCAGGTTCAAGAGATTCTCCTGCCTCAGCCTCCCAAGTAGCTGGGACTACAGACGTGTGCCAGCACACCTGGCTAATTTTTTTTTATGTATTTTTAGTAGAGACGGGGGTTTCACCATATTGGCCAGGCTGGTCTTAAACTCCTGACCTCAGGTGATCCACTTTGGCCTCCCAAAGTGCTGGGATTATAGGCGTGAGCCACTGTGCCCGGCCAAGACATCAATTCTTGAGGAGCACATATACTGGTGATAGAAACAGACATGGAATGGTGTCTAAGTAGCAAGACACCATTATATGTTACAAACAAAGCAGGAAAGGAAATAAGGAACTGAAATGTCAAACAATGACATAAGCATAAGGACTGGTGTTATGCCAGTCCTGTATTGAGGCTAGTAGTGGGTAGTTTTGAAAACAAAATCTTGCCATTCACAATGACCCTCAAGCTACCCGATGGGTGTATGTACTCAGTAGGTCGATTCAGATGTGGAGACTAGAAAATTAGAACAAGTACAACAGTTAGCCCTTTTTTGTTATAAACCTCATATTTGTAATTGGAGACTTACTCGCAGGTGGACATATTTCTGATGACAAAGGCAATCACTCTGTCAGAAATTTAATTGCTTCTAAATAGCCAGACACAATACTTACATAAATGAAAGAGAAAATAATCGGAGTTAGGTTTTTTACTTCTGGATGCCTTGTATTTATTAAAAGAGAGCTCAGATTACTCAGAATACCAGTTTTCTCTTCTTTTTAGCCATCTCTGTAGGTAATTGTTTACCAAGATGCTGCAGTTCGGTATTAACTACAGGCCCAGATTGGCTTTTGGCTATATTCAAGCCCATATTTGTTTCTCAATGTCTTGAGAATAGAATACTTTTATTCTCCTCCTCCTAAAGAGGAGATGGGCCCTCCCTTTAAATGAGAAACACACTTATATATTTGTAATCTTTTAATTGGCAGGGAAACAAAAAAAAAGAAACCACAATCCCACAAGCACAGCATACCACATTATGATTTTAATTTGTAAAGCGTGTGTCCTCTCCCAGGTTTTTTTCCAGACCAACATCATAGTCATATTGGATGGATTTTCTATACTTTGTTTTCCCCTCTATCATATGACTTCGTTATACTCCAATTTCGAGGCAGCGACAGTGTCCCCACAAAGCTGTCACTCTCTATGATAGCAAAGCATAAAACATACGCAGTACGATTTACCAGCACTGAACTTGAATTTGCCTAATTCTCAGTCTTGAGCATCCAACCCAGAGCCTTCCTTCAGAATCGCTGCCCACAGGAAGAAGGCTGCCCTAGCTTAGCACGTGTTTTCGTGCCAGCCCTCCATTTTGAAATCCTGCAGCATCTTTGTCATTTTTTTTTCCACGTGGAAGTGCTATATCTCTGAGTCCTGAAACCATTTAGTTTTCTGCTCCATTTCTTCTCTGTTTAGACACTGCCGTGCCCCGTCCTACATACTAATTACTGACTTTTTGCTTCTGTGGTGCTTGATTCATTGTGTCACATTTTCCCATGTGAAAGTGGACCAGGAACCTTGGCAAGGAGGTTAATGGATTTCAGAGTCACTCTTATTTAACCCTGGAAGTCACAGCAAAAGAAGAACCAATGACTGACCCATTTGATAAACCAAGCCCTGGTCAGCTTCAGCTGCAGACTAGTAATGGATTTCACTATGGTGGCAAGCATTACAGAATTAAAACAGGGCTGAAGATAGCTCACTGCCACCTCCATGTTTGCCTTCTCAAACTGGCTGAAATTTTTCCTTTTGTTATCATTATACCTTTAGTGAGGAACACATGGTGGAATAAAAATAACTCCAAATGGCAGATAGTACTTTTGGATTTCAGTCAAATTCTGTCACTAATTAGATTGCATGAACTTTCAGTATTATTAGATTTACTTTCCAGATCTCAGCTTCCTCGTCTTTAAAATAAGGGTATTTGTCCAAATGATTTTAACATCCTATGTAGCTCTTAGAGTCGGTGATTTTATGTACTTCATTTATTCAAAAAGCATTCATTTGTCATTATATTCCAGTTACCATGCTAAAAACTGTAAATGCAGTTTTGAAATCTAAACAAGAAAGAAATTTGTATTTTCTCTCTGAGGACTTATGTGAAGTAATCTTCCCTTTAATACAAATTTTACAATACTTTTGTGAAATGTTTTAAAGGTTTGCATTTTTCTAAGTTTCACAGGATGGGGAGCTGATCTTAATGCTTAAAGAGGTTGTTGGTAATTAGTCCTGAGGGGAGTTTGGGAAGTCCTGCTTACCTTGTTAAAATAAAGTCTTCAATAAGTGGGATAAAGAGAAAAGGAGAGTGAATTACCCTTATTAAATGTTACCACTAAAAAATAATTGGCCATTAATCACTGCAAGCTATGTAATAAATATTGAATATGATTTCTTATTTATAGGTTACCTCTTCCAATTCTATCTCGACAGCCATTTTGAACAGTATGTTTCATTGTGGTAGACTAGGTAAAGCTCATCCAAGTTCATGCAAGCCTCCTGTTAACTTTCTTTTCCTGAGAAACTTGTACTAATTTCCTGCAAAGTAGCCATCTCAATTACATTAGAAGTAGTATAGATAACAGTGATCTAGAAACCTCAAATTTTTCTTAAAACTCATTTTGCTCATCTCTTGGAAGACTGAAATGGGAAAGAAATAGCTTTCCAACTGTCAAACTGAGTAGCTATGTCTCGTTTGAGTGTGGCAGCTACCTTTTAAGCCTTTGGAACTGGTTCAGACCAAGAAAATTCCCTCTCCCTTCTCCCAGCCTGATTCTTCCACTTGAAAGCAGTTTGTGTCACAATTTTTTTGCCCTATTAAGACCAATCATGGCCGGGCATGGTGGCTCACACCTGTAATCCCAGCACTTTGGGAGGCCAAGGTAGGCCGATCACTTGAAATCAGGAGTTCAAGACTGGCCTGGCCAACATGGCCAAACTCCGCCAAAGATAGCAGGTGTGGTGGCACACACCTGTATTTTCAGCTACTTGGGAGGCTGAGGCATGATAATCGCTTGAACCTGGGAGGTGAAAGTTGCAGTGAGCTGAGATCACACCACTGCACTCCAGCCTGGGTGACAGAGCGAGACTCCATCACACACACACACACACACACACACACACACACACAAATCTACATCAAGAAACAAGAGTTTCATCATGATCTATAGTCTTATTTTTTATTATTAATATTATTTTTTAACCAACCAGTATGTTGTCGGTAATCAGTTGTTCTGTTTCATAACAACCACTGCCATCACCCATATTTCAGAAACTCTTTGATGTTGCTGGGAATGCACGAGTTAAAGGGCAGGAGGAGGGGTCTGGGAGCCTTGAACAAAACCCCTGCCATCTCGCCACAGCTGTATCTTCAACATCTCTGCAACCGCGTTAAACCAGTTCGTACTAATTACCCATAAACAGCTTAACCCTCCGCTGCCATGTTGAACTGCAGAGGCACATTTCTACAGTTCTGTTAATTTTATTTGCTATTGATGACATGCTGTACTTAGGAATTATAATTTACCTTCAGAAGTGGTATATAACTATTAATTTATCAGAGTCTCACAACGGCCCTGGGAACTAGAATCACTTTCATTTTTTTAGATGATAAGATGGAACAGATAAATTATGATATTTTTCTGCCACTTCATAGGGAAAGCCTGGGCTTGGAGCCCATTTGCTGGAGAGTTGCTTCACATCTCAAAGTGACAACCGATGCCTTGTTTGTTTGCGTGGGAAAGAGAATGACACTCACGTAACAGCCTTCTATTATATTGTTCTTTTAAAAGATCTTTTATGCTGGCTTGATTTGCTTTTTGCTTTCTTTGCCAAGTGGGTTTGCCTTGCTTTGGAGAGCTGCAGAAAATAATACAAACTCTGAGAGATTCCAAAAGGGTATTTCGGTTCTTGGTGTGATGATGTGGTTTTCTTTCTCCAGGTCCACCATCTGCTCCCCTGAACTTGATTTCAAATGTCAACGAGACATCTGTGAACTTGGAATGGAGTAGCCCTCAGAATACAGGTGGCCGCCAGGACATTTCCTATAATGTGGTATGCAAGAAATGTGGAGCTGGTGACCCCAGCAAGTGCCGACCCTGTGGAAGTGGGGTCCACTACACCCCACAGCAGAATGGCTTGAAGACCACCAAAGTCTCCATCACTGACCTCCTAGCTCATACCAATTACACCTTTGAAATCTGGGCTGTGAATGGAGTGTCCAAATATAACCCTAACCCAGACCAATCAGTTTCTGTCACTGTGACCACCAACCAAGCAGGTAGGAATTGAATCTACTTTATTGTATGATCTGAATGTATACAGAGAAAAGGCTTAAAATAATGAATTATAATAAATTGCTATAATTGAAATAGAATCAATCAAGCCTGGGAGCTGCGTTATAATGTAAAAGATACTTAGGGGCTGGGCACGGTGGCTTACACGTGTAATCCCAGCACTTTGGGAGGCCAGGGCAGGTGGATCACTTGAGCCTGAGAGTTTGATCAAGACCAGACTGGGCAACACGATGACACCCCATCTCTACAAAAAAAATACAAAAATTAGCTAGGCATGGTGGTACAAACCTGTAGTCCCAGCTACTCAGGAGGCTCAGGTGGGAGGATTGCTTGAGCCCAGCAGTCAGAGGTTGCAGTGAGCTGAGTCACTCCATGCTGGATGGGATTCATCTCAGTCATTTGAATTATGATGTCCATGGCTGGACATCAGAGCACTTATAGATTATGTACAATTATAAAATTGATTTTTACCAATGCAGAGTGCTCTTTTGGTATTTGTTATATTTTCTAACAAAAGCATTAGCAGCAATAGTTTTGATCTTATGCTTTAATGTAAAATATTATAAATGATCTAGGTGGACCTATACTAGAACCTCCATGTACATCTTTGTGTCTATAGTTAACGAAGTTTACTTTAAGACACTTAATAGTTTTGCAGCTACTTTTTTCTTTTTTTCTTTTTGAGACAGAGTTTCACTCTGTCGCCCAAGCTGGAATGCAGTGGCGTGATCTCGGCTCACTGCAACCTCCATCTCTGGAGTTCAACCAATTCTTCTGCCTCAGCCTCCCGAGTAGCTGGGACTACAGGCGGGTGCCACCATACCTGGCTAATTTTTATTTGTATTTTTAGTAGAAATGGGGTTTCACCATATTGACCAGGCTGGTCTCGAACTCCTGACCTCGTGATCCGCCCACCTTGGCCTCCCAAAGGGCTGGGATTACAGGCGTGATTGCAGCTACTTTTATAGTTGATTTCTTGATTGACGTGGGGGCTGGGAGGGTGGGGCGGAGGGTGGGGCGGCCAGTCTCCTCCAATTCCTACATCACTTTCTGCTAATACAGATGACTAGAAAACATTTCCTGTTCATGAAGTGTTTCTACTGAGTTAATCGCAGAACTGTCATGAAATCTTGAATATCAAATATTTTGAAAATCTAGGTTTCTAGGCTTTCGCTTCTGACTTACTCATCTGTACTCCTTCCCTGAAAAAGTTACCACCCCTCCAGGAGTTTTACATTGCCGGCTTTTTTATTTCTGGAGAGTTAGAGAGGAGAAGGGAAACAGAGTTAGAGTGGCTTATTCTTTGTGAGGCTCTTGGGATAGAAAACATAGCCAGAAAAGGATTATAAATTGCCAACAATCCTATCGCCTCTAACTGCACTTTTCTTTTAAATGAATGTTTCAGTAAGTGCACTCAATAGTTTAGTAAAATATCTGTACTAATTGATCCTATAAGTGAAAACTATTCCAGTGTCCCAATCCAAAGCCATTATTTTTCCATTTTGCCCTGAACTCTTTGGAATAAATAAAAAGTTAAGACTTGGGGAAGGTTTTGAGCAGGGGCTAGAATGGCAAGTCTTACCGGAATGTATCTTCAGCTCTGCAAATGTGAACAGTCTTTTAAAATATCTAATGTGAACGGGTCATCCAGCTAGGCCTTTGTCTTTTAATTCTGAATTTTTAGGTTGTGAACACTGTTCGCAGTCATTAGTTTTATTTTTCTACAAAGACTAGTATGATTTAGGAGTTTTTGATAGAAACATGAGTACTCTGTGATTGCCAACAGTTTATTAGTTCTCTTTTGGAAGAATGCAATGGAAATATTACATACAGATCCTGGGAACACGCATCGGTGCTGCTGGTCTCTCTGAATTAGGAGCTGATGCAATGCAGAACGATTTCTGCACCATCTGGAGAATCTGGTTGATGATCCAATCAGTATTCTTACATGCAGCCCCCTTCTACCTTTTTGGCTATTCATTCGCAAGCACTACATCATTTTCTTAACCGAATTATAAGTAGGGATGGACTTTTGGAGCCTCATCTGTAAAAGGTGAAGTCATTCTCCTTGGCAGAGAAAAGCCTGTGGGAGATGCGCTGAGGACAGGCTTGGCTCCCACAGATTTTGGGGGAGACTTCTATGACCCCCTGTACACGTAGGGATTTGAGCCAAGAAGTTATGTCAACACCTACTGGGGCAAAAGGTCCAGAGAGCACAAAGAAGACACACTAAAATCCTCCAAAAGAAGAAAATGCAAAAACATTTCCGGGGGTGGGGTGGGGTGGGGTGGGATGAAGTTTTATTTTAAATGTAGGTATAATTCTTCTAGATTTAGGAGAAAAGCAGACAGAGAATTACTCTGACACAATAAGGTTTTCTTTGCCATGGCATGTAGTCCTGCCAAGGAGGTTTGCTGAACAGGACAAAATTCCAGCTCCTTATTTTAATTTTCATGAAGGGTAATGCTGGGAAGCTGTTCAAAATTAAAAATAAATCTTTCAATAAGGAGACCTCCTATGTGGCCAGCCAGAAAGCTTTCACTTAGTAGAGAATTGTATATGTGCAGAGCACTGCTTCATTATCCTATCATAATTTGAAGTTCTCTAATTCAAGTCATCAGGATAGTTTATCTTTGATTAACAAACCCTTTCTTCATAGTAGTGCAAATTAATAATGTAGGCCAAAATTCGGGTGAATGTAGCAACCGTAAACTCTATCGAAGCTCCCCTAAGCATATTTACATACACACAATTATGTTCTAATTGCAATTGCTCCTATCATTTCATTAAATTAAATTCCTTGAGGACCACTATAGGCAATGGTGTCTCACTCTATAAGGAATACATAGAATTAATGAACGTTAGCATTTAGCACCTGGAGGCTACAAAAGTTAGTGGTTCTCCATCTTTGCTCTGTTTTCACAGGGTTCTTTCTCTCATCAGTAATATGTTAGAAATGATAAATCAAATCAATCACGCAAAACCTGCTAGAATTCTTGGGTCCTATGTTCACCACCTTTGAGACTTTAAGAGTTGAGGAGCAGCTCCATGAAGGTGAGGTGACTCACCCATGCTAATGTCAGAGCCAGTACTAAAAAGCAGGGAGAATCCTACTCCTGAAAGTAGAAAGTTGCTTTCCTTTAAAATTAGGAGATAATGAATGGCATTCATGTATTCAGCTTGGCATTCTCCCCATTTATGAGACCAGATTATGTGAGTATCTGGGCATGGACATGGAGATTGAACTGGGCTTTGATCATTTAATTGTAGAATGTGGTGTGAATGGGCCTGTGTTCTCACAAGGTTATTTAAACAATCCTAACCCAAATCTTACTCCTGGGGTCTTAGGGGGTTAATAAACACCCTTTTGCTCCCCTTCTGGGTTGAAAACCAGTTGACACAGAAGACAAAGGAAATCTGAATGTCTGTCAGCTTTTTGCTGATAAGCTGATGGAAGGATGTGAGCTTTATATCTGTGGCCAAAAGGGCTTGCTTCAGTGACACTTGCAGCCCAGCTGGCTACCTGCAGCCTCTCCGCCTGCCCTGCTAAGGTTGTTGGAAGGACACTCTGTGCAGGCAGACAGGTAGGCAGATAGGCAGATAGGCAGATAGACAGGTCTGAGAGTGGGTGGAGCTGAGGACAGAGTACTTTTCCCAAATTCTCTAATGAGATGAGTCACTCCCAGCCTCACCCCCATGCCAGAAACAATGAAGGGAAGAGGTGGGAAAAGAGTAAGGGTGGGGGTGTTACTTTTCCAGCTGAAGTCGTACCCAGTAAAATTGGAGAAGAGGAAGCTCTTGGAGCTCCCCCAATAGTTACTTTTCTACATTACAGGCCAAAAGGAGGAAAATGAGATTCCAGTTTCCTTCATCTTTCATCCTGTAGCGACTGTTTTGTCTTTTGTTTAGAAGCAGGTAGTCCTGATGTTTATGAAAAATGGATAAGCAAACTGCTGGGTGATTTGTTTTCTGGATGGCTTTCCTTTGGTTTACTTTCACTTAAGTGGACCATCTCAGGCAAATGAATACAGGATGTGTCACTAGGAGGGAGAAATACTGTATAAATGAAACAAGGTTTTCTGGCCAAGCAACAGACCTGTGAATATTTTTTTTTTGTTAAAAAGGCTGTGATGGCAGCCAGCAGTAGCTTAATATCTCTGAACGGTTTTTTGCCGTTCATCTCCCATCGCCTTTGCTTGGTTTTCTAGCTGTGAGGCTGGACCATATTCTGGCGTTTTAAATCATTATGGTCCCAACCCCCATGAATGGTGTTCCCTCCTCACCCCAAATTGCACCCAGGGCCGGTGTTGTCCATTTTTTATTTTTACTTTGCATGTGATGCTATTCTAGATACTTCATAATGGAAAGATCTGGTCATCTCTCTCTAGCACAGCTATGGTGTCCTAGTGACAAACAAACATCTGTAGCATGCTTAGTTTGGAGGAGTTAAAATATTTGATGCATTACGTAATTATTTAAACCAGCTAATCTCTAAGATCTTTTCCGTTTCAAAATTCTATGATTCTAAGTATGTAACCCTGAGCTGTGGGCTATGAACCTGAAGAAGTAAGGCTTATTCTTCTAACATGTTTAGAAATGGTCTCTCAATGCAATTCTAAGAGTGGGAAAACATTCTCCAAATGCTTCAGCAGAATTATCACCTGAATTCTGCCTGCCCTCCTTCTCTCTAATTCCTTGCCTTGCCAAGGGATTTACGTTGCGGGGGGAAAACAGTAAGATAGTGAACAGTTGTTCTAAATTGGGGGTGATTTCTGCTCCTACCCCTAATGGGCAATGTTTAGAGGCAATTTTTGGTGCAGTTGCATCTAGTGGGTAGAAGCCAGGCAGGCTGATAAACATCTTATAATTCACAACACAGCATCCCCAATCCTCCGCAATGAAGAATTTTCTGGTCCAAAATGTCCATAGGGCTAAGGCTGAAAAACTCTGTTCTAGCAATAGTTTTTAAGAACAGACTTCATAGCAGTGCCCACCATTTCAGGGTTCCATAGCCATGTGGCCTTTGCTTGAGCTGGCCTGTGGCTGAACACATAGGGAAGATTCCACATTTCTCTGGCTCCATTGCCCCATGCTGAAAGCATGATGCTCCCGTTACTGTTCTCAGAGAACAGGCAGTTGTAAAGGGCCTTTCAAGGCCCCTCATGAATCCTGTTGTAGCTGTTTTGCCATCAGATGAACGGGCGCTGCTTGTTAGGCTGACCTTGTTCTCTAGGGTTGGACAATTAAGCATTAACTGCAAAATAATAATAATAATAATAATAATAATAAAATAAAGTGGCATTACACCTCATTATAATGCCACTGTGCCACATGTAGTCATTGTACAGTTCCATCTGTTTGTTGATTAACATTTATTTACAGTAAAATCAAATCAGTTAACTCTCTTTGTCAAGTAATGATAAATTTAATAAAACCAAAATAATGAATAAAGAAAAGAAATAACTAAGTGTAAGAGGCACACTGTCTTTTATTATTCAACTGGTAAGTTCCCATTCTTTCTCTCTCTGCCATCTTTTAATTAGACATATTATGTTATTTGAGTGGGATAATGGAGAACAGTGGGAATTCTCATCCCCACTGGGTATAATTGCTACCTGTCTTCTAGATAGTAAGAGGAAAGCTTCAAGAAAATGGTGGGAGAAAGGGGAAAATCTTACAGCAATCAATTTAGGTAATATGCTGTAGGCATGGCAGAGCCAGACTTTGTGGAGTTTAAAGCTTAAACAACTATTGTGTGATTAAGGGTGAAAACATAAAACCCTACAAAATTACAAATGTCAGACTAGTAACAGAGCTTCAGAAAGGGTCCATACAAACTTCTTTAGCTTCGGTAAATAAAAATCTGCCTCTGACTATGTTGAGATAAATGCAATTGTCAGACAACAAGACTATTGCATAATCATCCCTAAAAACAGAAAGGACAAGGGAGAAAGATGAGATGTTGGGAAGTCCAGTTTGGCCTGAAATGAAGGTGTTGAAAGACAGGTTGTGACAGTGAGTGGTTCTGGCCCACAGTTAGGTATGAGGGGCACCTCTGGAGTGGACCTGAGTTGTGGTCTGAGATCAAAGGGACAAGCAGAAAGCACATTCCTGCTGATTCTGAGAATTGTTTTGGAATACTAAACCTAAATGAGATGATGTGATCTCGGTTCATGCAACCACTGCCTCCCAGGTTCCAGCGATTCTCATGCCTCAGCTTCCTGAGTAGCTGGGATTACAGGCGGGCGCCACCACATCCAGCTAAGTTTTCTATTTTTTAGTAGAGATGGGGTTTTCCATGTTGCCCAGGCTGGTCTCAAATACCTGGCCTCAAGTGCATCCATCTGCTTCAGCCTCCCAAAGTTCTGGGATTACAGGTGTGAGCCACCTCACCTGGCCAAATGATGATATTTTTAAGACACAAATGTTTGCTTCCTTTAGTGCCCTAAAGCAGGGGTCAGCAAGCTATGGCCCAAGGGCCAAATCGAATCCTCCAGATTGGGACAACCCACGAATATTGGCTTTTATATTTCTAATGGGTTCAACATAATAAAAAACAGAATAATATTTTGTGACATTTGGAAATTATATAAAATTCAAGTATTGGCATTCATAAATAAAGTTTTACTGGAACAAATTCCCACTCATGTGTTTATATATTGTGTAAGAGTGTTTTCACGTGACAATGGCATAGTTGAGTAGCTGCAACAGAGGGCAAATGTCCGGCAAAGCGAACATGGGCACTATCTCACTGCTGACACAAAATGTTTGCTGATCTGCTCTGGAGTACTAAATCAAGAAAGGAGACCAGTAAGAACAAGGTTGAGAAGCTATTGAAATACTGGTATCATTTGTGGAATATTGTTTTGGCAAAGGATGTGATGGGTAACATTTAGGTAAATCTCACATTTGAAACAATCTTCAAGACACCTTATTTTGTAAAGGTTTTGACTCAGAAAAAAAATTAACTAAAATAATTAGGATTTCAGTCATAACTTTGCTTTCTTGAACCACAAATTTTTTCCCATTGGCACTCAGATTTAAATGGATTATGTGAGACATGCTTCACTGATATTCTGGTTCTCTTTAAAGTATGCATTCTTCACACTATTGCCTAGGTCCTATAGTTGCTGACAGCAATTTTCTTTTTAAATAATTCTATGTTAGCCTGGTGCAGCGGCTCACGCCTGTAATCCCAGTACTTTGGGAGGCTAGGGCGAGTGGATCACTTGAGCCCAAGAGTTCAAGACCAGCCTACCCAACATGGCAAAAACCCATCTCTACTAAAAATACCAAAATTAGACGGGTGTTGTGGTGCACGCCTGTAATCCCAGCTACTCAGGAGACTGAGGCACACGAGAATTGCTTGAACCCAGGAGGTGGAGGCTGCAGTGAGCCAAGATCTTGCCACTGCATTCTAGCCTGGATGACAGAGTGAGACTCGATCTCAAAATAATAATAATTCTATGCTCTGCTCCTGTGCCTTATCTTCTCTCCGAGATGATGTCATGCTTGCCTTTGATCTCCAGTAAATCGTGTTATTTTTCCTTACCCCTAAGAAATTTAAAGGAAAAACAAATGATGGTACTAGTGAAATCGAGAAAATGAAGAACTCCTTCTAGAGATTCATTTTAAAATCCTTCAAACAGACAACAAAGCAATTCCACTGAGAGATTTTGCTGAAACGTTGTTTGCGCATCCTCAGTTGTTAGTAGGGAATCGGTAGCTGGTTGGAGAGTCCTTTCTGTGCCTGGTAATTATAGGCCCAAGCAAGCACACAATGAGCTTCAGAGGAGCCAGGCTGTGGTTTTCTCATTAATAGCTCTGGTCTAGCCATGGGATCCTGGTTTACTTCATAAGGCCTATGAAATGCACATTTAAAAACAACATGCGGTACTTTTTTTTTTTTTTTTAAGAAACAGTCTCTTGATTCTAACCTTATACTGAGAAGAATTTCATTTCCAGAATACTGTTGCTACCACTATAATTAATAAGCATACTCACTAATTATGATCGTAATTAAAAATAAAATAAACCAGCAGATATACAATGGCGCAGCCTCTTGTGTGTGGCACCAGTGTCTGTGAATTTGTATTCGGGGTGGGTGCCACAAGTCCTGGTGAGGAGAAAAAAAAATAAAAGCCTGCCAAAAGAGCCTACTAAATTATCCAACTTTTCAAGGTTGACTGAATAGCACAGACAAATAGTATGTCTATAGAACGTAGTGGTAATTATTGCATATAAGCAAAAGTTAGATTGCATTTTTTTAAAAAAGATGTGAATATTCCACTCTAAGAAAATGAAGTCTTTATTTATACACCCAGGACTGAGAACACTATTTTTCCTGAGTCCTTTCCTTTTGCTCCTACAGAAAGATATATGCATGTTCATTTGTAAGAAGAGAAATTCATTCACCAGTAATCACTTGACAGCCTAATTCTGGTTTGTTTCTCATCTCTCAGTGTTGTGCTTGTTCCATCGAACACTAACCACCAACTTTTACACCCTCTGGAGAAGCCATCAAGAGATTTAAAAAATAAGTGCCTGGCTGAGATGAGAAATGGGCAGGGCAGGGCTAGCAAGGGTTTCCAATGGGCTTCTAAATTATCTAGTTGTCACTCCAACTGGCTCAATTAATTACTGTCTCCCCAGAGGAGCCAGATGGGTCTCCAGAAACCAGTCTGCAATTGAACATCAATGAAAAGATCCAGAGAAACTTTATCAAAGCTTCCATTAACCCCCTGCTGATGTCTTTAAATAGTTTTTTTTTTTTTTTTTTTTTTCCTTTAAACACCTTGAAAACCCAAAAGCCATGCACAGGACTTATCTTGCATTAAGAGATCTTAAATCTACAGGGACTAATTGAAATGCCTGTCCATGTCACTCAAATACATAGAGAATTCTTCTGAGTCTCAACATCCCTGTGGCATTTTTGTGATGTGGGTATACAATAAGAGGGTATCCTGTATATTTTCTTCAGGTAAAGACTGGTGAGGATGTTTTTTAGGGTTTACATGTTAATCTGTCAAGATAAGCAAACCTTTGGTCTATCTGTCAGTATTAAAAATATCTCTCTTATTTAATGAACCTTCTTCTGGTGTCCACCTTTCCACCCGCCACCCCCACAACCTGTACTCATGCTTTCTCATTCTTTGCTTCTGCCAAAATTAGAAATGAAAGAGGTTCCCCAGGCTCCCCTGAAACGGCAATGATAAAAACGAGAGATGGTGCCAGTCAGTGTGGTCGCTTGCCTAGTGAACCCCTTGGCTTCCTCATTGGGAAATGTCACTAATGATTGGTTCCATAGGTGAGGGCTGGCACCCAGAGCACTGTGGGAATCTGGCTGAATGGTCATCAAAATGTCCGCCTATATAGACACAGAGTTGAAGAAATCACTCTTAGATTCCATTTCTTCTTTCTCTATTCTGACAAATTGGTAGGCCTGATCTAAACGAACTGTACTGTGGTTCTCCTCTGACCATCTTTTGGGTTTTGTTTTGTTATGAAAAAGTACAGGGACCACTCCCTGAAATCTATCTAAAATACTTTATGTGTAAAATTATAGAGACACGAAATATTTTTTCTATTACTATTCTATTCTTGCTGTTACTCTTGGGAGGGGCAAGGGGAGAAAAGATAAAGAACTATGGTCCATCCCTTTTTGATTCATATCTTCCAGTACACAATTTTTTCAGGCAGTTTGTTTATCACTTTCAAAAAAATCCTTTTAATAAAGGCTGTGGGACAGATAAGTTTTTTAAAAATTCTTGTCTAGGAACCTTTTGTCTGTGACATGTGCATACAAACAAGACTTAAATATGTAGCTTCAACTTCTCAGTGGGTGCTAAATAGTGACCTGCCACCAATAGACTCACAGTGTGTTCCAAGCTTGGGTAAGATCCATCCATTAGCACAAACACTGAAAAGGGGGTAGCTTACAACGGCTCCCTGGAGAATTTGTGTTTTTCTAGATAACATACTGCAAGCTGGAAATCTGCCTCTTGAATCAACCCTAATTTTTTTTTTTTTTTTTTTGTAAAATAAGTGCGTATTTTGAGCATAAACCTGAAGTTAAATAGGAGCACAGTTTCGTTCATGTTTCTTTTTCAAAGCTAGGACCACACATATAAACAAGCCAGGGATTTTTAATATGTAACCAGCAGAAAGCTTGATCAAGTGTTCTCTATACTCTCAAGTGTAATTAAAGACTTCTTTTTATCTAAAGATAAAGAAATAAGATAACCAAAGACTTTTATTTTATCTGAAAATTATTGATGAGGCTCATGTTGAAACCCAATGAATCTAATCCCAATCCTATAGGGTTCCCAGGAGGGTGTGGTTTTAGGAAACTTCTTAGGAGACTTGGAAATCCTTGGAGCTAACATCATCTCATTTCTCTCCATTTACAGTAGGAGTAGGGTTATTATTAAGGTTTGTGATAAAGGTTCTTATTGTTTTGTTTTATATTAGAAGCAAGGAGAACAACTAGCAGAGCCTTACCCCCTCTGAAAGTATCCTTTTGTAGCCATGAACAGTGGACAGAAAATTTAAGAAGCATACACTGTGTTTACAGCCTTCATTGTACACTCCAATACAGAACAGTCAACTAATTCAGGTGCGGCTCCAAGGGGCTGGTAATATATTTAAGAAACCCTTATATTATGTAAAGATGTATTGTTTGGGGAGAAATATCAATGAGAGCCCTTTCTATCTCACTGTAAACTCTTCAAGGATTCACCTTAACTGTACGTGTTTGTTGGAGGGTAGCATTTTCTCTTTCCCTCCACTTCTTTTTCCTCTACCTATTTCAGAAAACACAAAAATAATTTCCATTAACTTCCAATAACTTCCTCCATAGTGTGCAGGAGCTTTCCTCCAGTGTCTTTCTTAGATATCATGCTGTGGAACTATTTCTAGGTAAGATGCAATTCTAATAAACTCCTCCAGTATTTAGGAATGGACTAAATACTGACTTCTTTGGGTGGAGCCAGTTATGCTGAATTTCACACTTCAGCAAATTGAGTTCATGAGAGAGGCCCCTGTGACATGCTGTGAACCCCCTGGTTTTCTTTCTTTCTTCCTTTTTTTAAAAAAATAAAAACAAAAACAAAAAACAAGTCCTAAAACAGTAATAGCTTTCGTAATACATTCTTTATTATTTCTTATGACTACAAAAGTCATCTCAATTCTCAATTCTCAAACACAGATCCAGTTGAAGATATCTACTGACCTTAATAACATTTTAAAATTTAATAGCTCAGTTGTTTCTGCCCCATTCTTATAATGCCTATAGAAATTTAAACTATCTAGCACATAGAACTTAGTTTCTAGCTGATACTCTAAAAATAAAAAATAAAATAAAAATACAATTCTAGGGTTACAGATTTCCAAGCTTAAAACCTCTTCTCCTAAATGATTATCCTGTTCCTAACCTGTACCATAGCTTTTGAGAAAATTGTCAAAAAGACAGATTTTCAAATATGAGGTCTGCAAGAACATAATTGCATGGCCACATTTTCAGAGAGCGTAGCATGTGGTGACCATTTGTGTAAGATGCATTCTCAAAATGTTCTGACTGTAATTTAACCCAAAGGTCTCTATCCCACTTCTTTCCACTCACCAGGTGCTTCCTTACACTTGTCTACATAGCAAGCAAGAAACAGGGCAGGAAAGATTTCTTCTTTATAAAAAAGGTTCCCTAAAGTGATACTTTAGGGAAAAGCAGGTTCCCTAAAGTGATACTTTAGGGAAAAGCAGAGGTTCCCTAAAGTGATACTTTAGGGAAAAGCAGAGGTTCCCTAAAGTGATACTAAAACCCACCTTCTCAGCATTCTATGGGTCATGAATATTGTCCTCAGAATATTTTGATCCCCTGTGTTTGGAACTTCCCTAGACTTCCATCCAGTAGAACCAAACTGGCAATAAGAAACATGAGGAGTCTCAGAACTTCACCCCAATGGCCTTCTTCCTGTTTCTCTCTCTCTCTCTCTCTCTCCCCCCCGCCCTTTCTCTCTCTGTCTCTCTCCCCTATTTGTAACATTCTAGTTTATACTGTCCGTGATCATCACTTCTCAGTCCTTAGACATTGTGCTTTAAGCCAAGCAACACTTGGACTTGGAAAAATTCCAAATAGCACAGAACACATTGATTTACAACTGAATTTTTACCACCATGTTTCCTCTGACTCTCTGGCCTTGTCAGGAATCATTGGTAGCCTATGATTTCATGCTATAATTTATACTTTGTCAATATGTGTCATTTTTTCCTCTGTTCTGCCTGTGTGTTTTAAGTGCAACAAGAGAAAGAAATAGAAGTTGCTAAAAAATAATTTCATAGATCTAAAGGACAGTGGCTGGTAACAATGCTAAAGAGCATCTATCTTCAATTTATGGTCACCATGACATGTTTTGGAGCAGCTCACGTGATCTTTTTAAATGACGATTAAAAAACTAGGTATCCCATTCCAACAGTATATCTGATGGAGAATTGGATGGCTTGGAAGATGACTAATGGGATTCTGGACCTTTCTGTCTTTAGGTCACCTCCTTGAATGGGGACTATATCATAAGTGGTCCAAGGCCCGGCCATTTGGCAGCCGTAGAATGACTATGTTAATGGAATTGGTCTCAGTCCAGGTCTTAGTCGACAGGTGCTCATATCATAAGTGACGTTTATTGACTCCCAACTCTTTCAACTTGGAAGACAGTGGACCATCACTGAGATAGTGATGAAGACGGAGTAATTTATAATATATTCAGGCTCCATTGAAAGCCAAGGAATTCAGCCCCTTGAGCTGGCACCTTGCAAATATTGTACTTGTCTCATGGGTTCTGTTAGTTTGAGAAATAAAAAATAGAAATCTAATTTAAAAGGATTTCTAATAACTCAGAATAGCTAATGTTGGTTTCCTCTGAGGTCATATGAGCCTCTCGTGTTGGTGCTTTTCTCTTCATTGTGTATTATAGTGATTAGATATTGGCTATGAAAATTATTACTTTTCATTTGTTTGTGTGTTTGGAGGTTGATTACCTAGTCACTTGTTTATAACAAAAGCTGTAAATGATACTCTTTGACAGAGTTAAATAAGGCTATCTTCATGCCCTTGTGAAATGGAAATTGATGAAAATGTAACACTGAGTACCTTTTATCAACATAAATTTCAAAACATGGAATTCAGAAGGATTCATCCAACACATACTCTTTTCTATTATCTGGATTAATATACCTCACTTCATTCATTCACTCTAATCAGGTTCATGACCTGAAGATGATTTGGCCCCTGTTGGAAGAGATCGTTAGTATTACTAGTATATTAATGTTTTGCCCATTGATGTTTTCTGGGTTCATCCACTGACTTTTTCTTTAACTTCACAGATGATTTGGATTTCCCTATAGCAAGTGGCAAAGCCACAACACTTCTGAATTAGTTATCACACTTAAAAAGTCAAGATGACAACAACCATAGTGGATCTATTTATTGAAGCAGACAGGCTCTTTTAGCGGAATGATCAATGTCTTACCTCTTTCTGAAAGGCTTTTCAGAGGTAGGAAATCATCAAGCATCTGATATAAAGTAATGAACAAGGCTTTTGATTGGTCAAGTTTCTGGAGCAGGCTTTTAAGTATTTCTGCCTGTAAATGTAGAAATCTGAGTGTGAAAAGTAAAGGCAACAGCAAAGATTTACTGGGTGCATCTATCACCCTGGCTTTTAGAGTCTTTGTGATTAATACCTGTTTAATTGGGGACTGATCTAGATGCTTTGGACGTCAGAAAGCTAAATGTTACAGCATTGTCTCATGGGTTCCTAACACAGCAGGACGATTAGCAGCTGTCTGAGTAACAAAGAGAACCTGAAGCCTACAAGCTTAGCTTTTTATTTTCCAGATTTGGAATGCTTGAAGCTCCCTGGTGGAGTTAACAGCAAAAGGAATAGAAGCCTTGATGCATAGCAGCTAATCCTTTCCTTTCTCTTTTCTGTATTCTGCTCAGTAAAAATGAACCTTTTCCTTACATTGTTCTCCATATTCCAAATTAATTTTGGAGAGCATTTTTTTTGTTGGTTATTTGTTTAAAAAATAATTTTGGGGGGCCTTTTTTTTTTCCTCTGATCTTCCCTAGGAAGTGATTGGAGGGCATTGTAGGTCATGGAGACCCCCATTTGGTGAAGGTTCACCATCCTGTCTAACCAAGTTACACATAAAATAATTTCAACTAAGAGTGGAAACACTAGATAACTGTCAACACTACTTTTAGGCCCAGTGAGAAGATTCATCTCACTAGAAGCATTCAGAGAAAAAAATGTATATTTATTTTTTGTTGTTGTTGCTAGTTTCACCCCATTTTCTTACCTTAAAACAATCATCTTGCTCAGGCAAATTCTTCTAAACTGCCTTCCAGTGGAAAGACTTGTTTTCCTGTTTGCCTCAAACTGGCATTCTTACTTATAACAGGAAACACACACATTGAATCCTGCCATGTTTCTGTTGGCAAGTGTTGAGCTATCCTTGTCAGAACCTGCCAACAAATTTCTTAGTAAGCAAGTAGAAAGTAAAACAAGCAGCTCCCAGACGAAACACAGGACACACTTGAACTGCAGCAAAGACACTTGGGTGCCCCTGAGGTTAGTTCCCTGCTAATTCTGGTGGACATGGGCCTTGGTTTCCAGTTGAGCTGTTACCCACTTATAATTTTATAACCGATCCTATGACTGTACCTGTAATAATGCTAATTCAAGATACTAGCTAACTTGTAAAACAGACATTAAAGTAATGCATTTTATTTACTACAAAGAGTAAGGATTGCTGTATGTTTCAGTATAATGATTAAAAAGTTGCAAAAGCTCTAATTTGCAAAACCTTACATCTTTCATGACATCTTTAGGGCTTAACCCAGGAGGTATACTAAATATTGTGTTTGGATCTTTCTAGTAATAAGTATGATACTTCCTTTTTAATACTCCTAACATTTGTGTTTGTTTTATAACCTTTTTATTGTGAAATATACACGTATGGAAAAGTGGGCAAGATTCGAATGTATAGTCATTGAATTATAGCAAAGTAAACACCTATGTGACCGTCACCCAGGCCAAGGAACAGAACAATAGAACATTGCCAGTCTTCCAGAGGCTTGTCTTGTATCCTTACCCCTTCTCTAATTCCAAAGACTAATTATTTTATTTGGTAATTGAATTTGTTTTGTTTTATTCTTGTCTTAGCTCTTTAGATTAGTTCAAATGTGAGTTCATTCTGCACCAAAAGTTTTAAGGTTTGTCTGTGAGCAGGGATCATATCGAACTTACCCCTGGGTTTCTGACAGCCGACAATGTACACAGATACCCCTGTACCTAACAGAGCAGACTTTAGAAAGATTTACGTTGTTGCTGCTGCCGCTACTGCTGTGGGAAAACAGTCACTTAAACCTTCAAGTCTCCTATTTCTTACCATGGAAAGGAGGGGCAGAGATCAGCCGCTTTCTGTAGATCAGTGGTTGAGAATGAGGGCTCTAGGACCAGATTTTTGAATTATGACCACATATAAGCTATAACTTGGAGCAAGTTATTCAAACTCTCTGTACCTTATCTTCTTGATCTATAAAAATGAGGATAATAATAGTACCTGTCTCATAGAGTTTTTGTGAGGTTTACATGAATTAAGTCCTGCAAGAGATTTAGAACAATGCTCAGCACATCATAATTACTCAATAAATGCTAGTTTCGTGTGTATGTTGTTACAGACATGTGGCATAGAGGGAGGATCACATACTTTTGAGCCAGGTGGACTTGAGTTTTAAATCTCATTTTATGGCTTTGGTCAAATTATTTAATTTCTTTGTACCTGAGTTTCCAAGTCTGAAATGTAAGGGTGATCATTATAACTACTTCAGAGAGTTATAGGGATGAAATGATGTCAGGTGTGCGTGTATGTGCAAGTGCCTTGCCCAGGAGTTTACTGGCATCTGATTTGCTCCTTTCCCCATTCTTTGTTTTGTGGCAATTCACAGGGCCTCAGTTTTCATCTGCTTAAGCAGTTAATAATTCAGTGAAAACTAAATTAACTCTTTTCTACAAAGAAAACTCAACCAAACCATTTTGAGAACCCCAATGTGTTTTCCCATTTAGCATTAGCATAAGATCAGCTGAATCTTTTGGCTCAGTGTTTTGCGATTCTGCCGATTTCATTCACTGTTAGAAGACTAGTGGCCGTGATTGTGGCCGTGATTTTGTCCGTGGGAAGCCACGCGGCCTCTGTCACTGGCTTTGCTGACCTCAGGGCAGCGCATTCCAGTTTCTCACAAATGGGTGGATATCTGCTCATCGTGCATGACCAGCTGGAGTTTCCGGGAGGGAACCCAAAGGCCTTTCAGGAAGCTGCAAAACCACAGACCAATCTTCTGTGGGCCACAGTACTTCTACAGTTTATCTGAGTTAGTTGTGATATGCAAATACCTCTTTTTTGCCAGAAGGCTCCACTTCACTTGAATGAGTACCTGTTTTAACCCCAAATGCCAGTTCAATGGGTTATTGCAATAGAAATTTATTTTCTTGCTGAAATCGCATCCAGTTGGTGGTGATGGGGGTTGTTGGGTGTGGGGCTTCCAAGATGGGCCTGGGTCATTAACCTCCCTCTGGCTTGTGGGTTCAAGAAAATGGAGAGTCACAGGGAGCTATTTATGGGCCAGATCTAGAAGAGGGGAAATCACTTCAACCCACATTCCATTACCCAAAACTCAGTCACATGAACTACCGTAGATACAAAGGAATCTAGGAAGGTAGTCTTTGGCTGGGCAGCTCTATCTAGAAGGGAAGGGATCTCACAGTTTTGGATGCCTTAGCCAAAGAGGCCAACCCAACACCTTCAACTTCCCTATGCAAACAATTAACGTGAAGGCTAAGAATAGCATCACATTCTATCATTTAAAATTTAACCAATAGCTCTCTGTAAAGGATTTGTTGAAAATAATCCGTTGCCCATCTCTCTGGCATAAAGAAAATGACGTGCCCTCCCATCTATCTGGGAAATAAAAAAGGCTTATAAAATTTTCGTCTTCTATTAAACCAAAAGTAAAAACCAAATCACAGACTTTGCAAAGTCTTACTCTGGAATCATTTAGTTCAAGTATTTATAGTGTTCCAAAATCAGACTCTTAAAATCATTGGCAGCATGAGTCAATTGTATCCTTCAGTAAATATTGCTGAAGGATAATGTGGCTGTGCACTGCTTTATTTTATAGTATGTGTTTAAAATAGACTCTGGTCTGACCTTGGAAATCACTTTATGGAAAAAAAAAATGCATCTCTCATACATTCTAAATTTAAGCTTAATAAATATGAATACTTACATATCTAAATATAAATGAACTTCATTTAATTCACAGTCTTCTGAAGATTTTGGCTGAGAATTTGGTTCTATGTTTTTGTGTCAAATAAGGAGAAAAATCAATGTCAATTTCAGAATAATCAAGTTGTTTTTCTGTACCTTTTGCCGGTTTGTTTTAAAAAGTTTCACTTTTTGACTATGAGAAACTGTGCTTGTGTGGATGCATGATGTAGCAACTAAAAGCTGTTGGGGGTGGAGCTGACTTTTTACTTTGATGATGAGTCCAGCGAGGGTGGTTGGGGATTTTAATGATTTTACCTAAAAGATGGCAGAGGAGTTGACCTGGCTGGTCGAATGTACCGCAAACAAAATCATGTGTATGTGAAAGCACTTTATAAACTCTTGTACTATAAAATACTGTAATGATGATAGTAAGAAAAAGGACGTATAAATATTGCTAAGTGATGTTTGATGCCATAGGTATTGCCTAGCTTGAGAGGAGGAATCCTTCTCTCCATCTGGAATGTAGAAGAAAACAATTAATATTAGCACCAGAGCTCTTAGCATCTCAGAGACGCGAAACCCTTAATCACAAGGATATCATTAGTGCTCTGAAGCATTTAATTCTGATGCTTGACAGCATTTTAAAATGCACAAACCTTTGATAAGAAGCAAATCAGAGCTGGGGTATTGAATTGAGAAAGAAATGGGAACAAAAACCACCTTAAGCTCCAAGTAATTAAATTTAAATATGCTATTTGCATTAAGCAGAGATATGTATAAATGGTGGGTTTATATTTTTCTATCAATGAAAGACCCCTTGAGTAAATATCATCTGTTTAAATCCAGATCCTGGGGAGGGGAAAGGTAACCCTGCTGTGGTTAAGAAGCCATCTCTCCTGCAAACACTGGCCATTGTGTACCACTGACATCCATGGCTTCAGGTGTCTTGACTTTCATAAAGGGCTGTTTTCACTCCTCCTTGCCCACAGGCTGGAGACCTTTCATTGCATCTGTTTATTTCCTAGCTCACCTCCTCCACCCTCTAATTTGAACCAGTAATGAAATGCAGTCAGCCTACTTCAGCTGTTTTCTTTTTCCTCCAAAGTTCCCCCCAAACTGTTTTTAATTCACTGCTTGTGATACTGGACTCAAGAAAACAATTTTCTAGCTCAGGAACCATGTGAAGCTTTCCTCTCTTTCTTTTCTCCGTATCTCCTCTTCTCTTCTCCATCCCATTTGGGTGTCACAAGGACCAAACTGCTGCAGTAAAATGACTTGTAGGTGTTTAATGGCAAGTCATTGAGGAAGTGAATAAAAGAAAATTGCAGCATTCACGTCAGTGGGGAGCAAGGAGAACTGCTGAGCTTTGAACCAAAGAAAGTTAAATTTACCATTTTCTTAAAGGGAGCCACCTCTGTTTGACATCAAAGCATCTCCTGTAATTTCTCCTTGTGAAATGCACCACTGTTAGAGAGTCATGATAGAGCCCCCTAATCTGTGCTGTTTCTGTTTATCAAAAACACACACAGAGAGAAAACCCACATGTACCTTCTCAGTGCATTGTGGTCTGCTCTCAAACCAAATGTAACCACAGGTACATAGCAAATGGGGATTCTATTTCGAAAGCATTCTCAGTTTCTCAGGGATTTGTAGAACTGGGAATACAACATTCTTTGGGAGTGAAATTTATCTTGGACCTCTATTGGAAAGCTCAGATCATTCAACTGGAAAGCTTTGGTGAATTTTTTCCTTTCCTCCTCTTTTGGTTTTTGCTTCATCGTTTTTTAAAAATGGTATTTTGCTACAATTTCACTTGTGTCCATTTGGTATGTGGAAAAACAGAGTCTGTTCCTAATAATGCTGCTCGCCCACACTATGACTGCAAAGGGCTCTCCACCCTATTACCCCCATGTTTCAAGTTTATGTCCATTGGTGGCTGTTGCATATGTAGTAACTAATGGCTTCTGCTGGCAGTGACTGGCTTTGCCCTAGTCCATCTTTGGAGGCTTAGGATCCTTTCTGGATTTATCATTATGACTTGGGAGTCTCACCATCACTCCACCTTGGCAGTTAAGAAGTCAGGAGAACTATTTGCATATGCCCTACAGATACAGAGGAGAAATGCAGAGCAAATTGTCAACACCTTCATCAGCCTAAAGAGCAGAAGCTCAAAATGCTGTCTGTAACAGGTGCAGTGATGCCTAGTTTTAATGTTAACTTACATTTGAATGACATTTTACAGCCTGTGTTTGAAAAATGTTCAGAAGCATCACACAGACCTTAGAAACAGAGACTCCATTTATAATTAGAGTTGTCATTTGCTTCACCCCAATTGTCAATATCTCAGTTAACCTAAATAGTAAAACCAACCCCACAAAAGGTCCTTTGAAACAGGTGCAGATGGAAAGTTGTTTTAAGGATGGCTTACTTCTGGTACTTTATGTTTAGAAAATGTTTGATATCTACAGTAAAGATTTTTTAGATAAATTTTAATATGTAAAAACTTTTATTCATTTGACATAATTATTGAGCACCACTGAATGCATGTGTCACCATGATTTGTAGGTTAAAAAGAAGAAGAAATGAGAGACAAGTTTTGGGTTAAAAACTGCTGAAATCTCCTTAGGGGTAATAAAAAATGATGGTCTCGGGGATAGGCACCTTAGACCAGGAAAATTGACATCTATGAGTCATTGGAGATTTTGCTGTAAAGGTTTGAAAATTAAGGACTCCATTGAATTAAATCACACATCTTTTTTAAAGAGCTACCCTTTAGGAGTGCTTGCCTTATGATTTTTACATAGTCATCTTTCTTTAACCATGCTACTGTCAACTAGCATGACCAGCTCTCATTGCTATGTGTCATGTCTGAATTCTAGCCATTAAAGAATGCCTGCATTTGTCTGGAGGCACAAAACTGTCCTTAAAACAAGTATCTCCTCTATGAAAGAAGTCCGTGGGTAGATAGGAATGCTTTTCAATCTATGATGCATCTCTTTCTTGTAGTAAGAATGTAAAAAAAAAAAAAAAAGAATGTGTTCATCAGCCCCCCAGCTTCTTCCTGGCTTTGCTTCTGACACTCAGCAGGTGTATTGAGTGTCTACAGATAGAATGTGTGAGAAAGTGCCCTCTACTTACTCCTCCCCATCACCCATGAGAGAACTTGAATTAGAAGAGGGGCAGTAGGAATCGTCTCCTCTTAAATTCTAGAAAAATGGGCCCTCTGACTTGACATTAGAAAGTGTTTTTTCTTTAAGACTACTATAAAAATTTCCCAATAGTTCTTTTAGTTAAGAAGAGGCTAAAGTATTTGGTGGTACTTAGTCTGATACCAACAATTATTTTCTATCTGGCCATGCTTACCCATTCCCCCTCTCGGCCTTGTTCCATAGGTGCTCATTAAGTATGTGTCTAGTGGCCGAGTTGATGTTGAGGAAGAACCTTGTCTCTATGAGATTTCAGAATGTAAATCAAAGAACTGAGCAGCCACTGAGAATCTTTTTTTCCACTTGGTCTTTTTATGCTGACCAAATTTTCTACTATGATTAGAAACTCTCTTTTGAACTTAGGCATTGATTGGTCAGAGCTCTTATTGAACCATATATTTAAGGGTGGGATGTACAATCTTTTTAAAAAAATTCTATTATCTCCTCTTCTAATTCTGTAAGCAAAAGGCAGAGCCCTGGAATATTGCAAATCAGGATTCAAGACATTTGGGTTAGGCATTGTTTACCAAAGTGTGGAAACATACCAATGGTGGCATCAGAGATGATTTTAGGGAACACACCGATGAGATATTATGTAATATTGAATTGCCCTGTGTACAGTATAGTTCATTTTCAATTCTTTCTCAGTAATTCTGAGTACTCCAAGGTCAGAATCTCAAGCGGGTGCCCATATATCCTTTGTTTCTCTAGCACTGGCTAATCTCCATTTTTAACAATCCTTGGAGAAGTAAGAGTGTCCAGCAAACATTGATAACATTGTTTTATTTACATGCAATGTTCATTTAATTTCAAGTAATTATAGGGTTTCATTGATACCAGTAAATGGGAAATTTCTTTCAAATACAACTGTTGAAGTTAAAGATACTGCATTTATTAAAGAAAATATTACTTAAATCATCTTACAAGCTGCAGAGGGATGTGGCAGCAAATGTGTGGCATGGAAGTCTGATGCTTGGGAAACACTGCGGTAGGGGGAAAATTGCAAAATGTCATTGGCAAATGCCTCATCTAGGGAAATGACCCATAGGCAGGCACACACAGTAGGGTGATGCCTTCTAGATGTAAAGTTGAAGGCTGTTTTGGAAATGGGGTAGAAAGGGTGAGGGAAAAGCCCATATGTGGCTTATGATGTGGAGAACATCCAGGTTGCCTCCTTTCCAAAGTGGCAGTATGGCAAAGCCCAGATTTTCTCAAACTCCTTCTTACTAGAGAAGGTAAGCTCTCCACATACAATGCAGTTGTATGTTTTAGGTACATTTCCCAACCTCACTTGGTCATGGATTGCTTGTGTCATTGTGCCCTGATAACATGCTCTTCTGAAGAACATCTGATCAATAAAGAATTTAGACTTTGCAGCCATACAACACAATACTTTTTGTGAATTAGATCTATGTATTCTACTTTTCCTTGGTTGAATTGATCTCTCCAGTAGGTATGAAAGACAAATGTCAACTCAGCAGTTTTCTGACTGTCCTCAGCCTAGCATTCTATTTTCATTTAATCCTTCGTTCTTGCTTGCATTTCTCTTTCAGTCTCTCCTTATTCTCCATTTTTATGACAGCTGTGTCAAGGTACACTCTGTTGGTTTATTTTCACATTTATGCATATCAGCTTCCCAAGTAGGGCTGCATTAGAAATACTCTATGAGTTAACGTGATTATATTGCTAACTCCCTGCTTGAGATTTTTTGAGCACCTTAGTTGAGTTCATATTCCCTTTAAATGGTCACAGGAACACAGCTACTCAAACTTCTAAAATAGAAATCAAGCTCATTTCCCATATGCAGCAGTTTAATGATAACCCAACCAGAGAGAAGCTGTCTTAGTTCATCAGTGCACTCCAAGGGCAGGCAGGCAATTCTTTCTCAAGGAATCTGTCGATTATCAGGATCTGACCAAGACCATTTCCGAGAGAAAGTTCATTTTATAATTTTATGATTTTTCTCCCTCCTGCTTTCTTTCTAATGACCTCACTTTTCTGTTTCATTTCTCAATCCTGAACATCAGAATTTAAAGAGCTCCTTTTTATGGAGTGTATGCTAAGTGGTCTGTTAGGCAATATATTTATTACCTGGAGTGAAATGACTTTCCACAGCCAGGCAGTTTTCTTAGCCTCCTTGCTACCTCTATATTTTACAAAGTCACTTTTTGCATTTTGTTGGACAATGGCTTTGTGTCAACCAGGAAAGAAAGAGTAAATGTGAGTGTGTGTGTATGTGTGTGTGTGCCTGTGTGTGTGTTGGGAGAAGGGGGCCTTAATGAATGTAATGAGCACATTTCCGTTTTTCATTTTCCTCAGATGTTCAGTGGCTTCCATATGTCTGCCGCATGCAGCTTTGTTCACTGGGGTTGGTATTACTAACCTTGGGATTGCCTTTGATGGAGGACATGTGTATCTACTGTATCTTTCCCTTGTGTTTTTGCCTGAGATCCAATCTGGAATAGCTTTGGGACTGAGAGAGAGGAAAAAAAAATAGAGGGGTGTGTGTGTGTGTGTGTGTGCGCCTGTTACCATCCCTAACAGAGATGCTGGGCTGTCAAATAACCCCCTCCAGGAGACAGTCTCTACCGTACTGGATTTAGCTGGAAGACTCCCTTGTGTGACTATGGTGTGTCTGCTTGGCTTCCCTGCCATCAGTATACTCGTCAGACATGGTCAAGCAGGTTTGAAGCTTTTCCCATACCATTTTCAGTGACAATGTATTTCACTTTTTATCTTTGTTCCTTGGAGTTAGGGGTTGGCATTCATACGCATGTATTGCAAAAGGGCAGGAGGATGACCCAGCACTAATTTATCCTTCCTCAGTGGCCAGTTTTTGACATTTGTTTCCCCAGTTTGGGAATAAAAGAATATATACATTGGAGTTAGGAAGCTCCCTAATCTCTGGTTCTCCAGGGCAGCTTTGTTAGATAAGATTAAGGATTTCATGAATGCTTTCTCTTCTCCCTGGAGATTGTGCATGGGTACCAGCCATTGTCAGTGTCAGCAGAGCCTGATAACAGCTGGCTGGAGATGCGACCACTGCAGCGGAGAAGTGAGCATCGGGCAGCCTGGGTGTATAAATCTAAAGTGTGCCCTCCTTCCACCCCCATAACACACCCACTAGAGGGCTGCCTTTGTGTCCTTCGCAGTGGAAAGAGCAGGCAAAGGCAACATGTCAGCTCTTGTAAAATAGCTGCAAAATGCCACGCATGTTCAGAGAGACCAGCACTGCTTGATTTGTATTCACTATTTACATGGTTGTGTTCAGACTGAACTCTTACTGTGATTAAGCAGTACTTTTATTTATATTGGAAAGTATGTAAATTGTTTCCCTTTTGGCATTCCCTACAGTACTTATTGAAGACTTGTACATTCTCTTGCTTGCATGAAATTAAAGTCCAGTAAGATGGCACTCATAATACTGGGAGGTAGGATTAGATGTAGCTTTACTGAGCTTAAAATGAGGTCTTCCAAAGGCTGTTATGGCTTACAAAAGGTTAAAAACCAGACAGCCTTCTCTGTACCTACAGCCTTTTATGAGAAATGTCTCTACGTGCTGTGGAAATGGTACTACAGGCCTGTGAGCCCACTAGGCTTTTACTTCAGAGATTCTCTTTTTAAGACAAACACATGCAAAAATATACTGGAGAGAAGGATGAAAATGATATGCTTCTATACTGAAGAGTAAAATGGTCAAGGGGGAGACAAGACAATCTTTCACACTTTTCTTAAATAAGATGAAATTATTTCTGGCTACCACCAAAACCATTTATTTTCCTAAAGAAAATATCTTTTGTCTTTTGTTTTTTTCTAACAGCACCATCATCCATTGCTTTGGTCCAGGCTAAAGAAGTCACAAGATACAGTGTGGCACTGGCTTGGCTGGAACCAGATCGGCCCAATGGGGTAATCCTGGAATATGAAGTCAAGTATTATGAGAAGGTATTACTTGAGTGAACAACACTCCTTTCCTTTCTTCCTTCCTTCCTTCCTTCTTTGTTTTCTTCTTTCCTTTCTCCTTCCCTCCCTCCCTCCCTCTCTTCTTTTCTTCCTTCTTTCCTCGACTCCTTCCCATCCTCCTTTGCTCCCTCCCTTCTGTTTAAGGGTTAGCCAGTTGTAAGTCATGGAATACCAGTGAATCCTCAAATCAAATGCATTTTGCTTCCCAATTAAGTATGATTATGAAATTTATCATTTACTTAGTTATCCTGAAAAGTAGAAAATAACAATAATGATAATACATTGTATTGTAATATAACTATATCTTTACTTTCTAGTAATGGAAATCAAGATAGCTAAGAAGTTCTAATCTATGAACCTTCTATCAGGGAGAGTGACTCATAACAGTTGAAATAATGATCTGTTTAAGTAGATCACTGCTATTCAGAATAAAGATGTGGGTTTTGATGACTTTTAATAGAAAGTCAGGGAAGGAAAATCACATTCTTCAGCCTCTTAAAGTTATAGAAAGGCATTATTTTTACAAATAACTTGTCTCTCTTACAGGACAGAATTTTGAAGAGAGCTATTTGCATTCAAGGTTGTCTAGAAAATGAACAGTTGTCTTCTTTTTCTTTTTAAAGATAATCACTTATTGGCTTCCTTATTAAAAGTAGAAAAGGGACAGGATTTTCCCATTGAAACCATGTTACAACACATTTTACATTTTCTAGACAGAAAATAGAAAAAGATAAGGGACCTTCTCACAGTTATTTCTTTTAAATTGCTGGGTGTGGAACTAGAAAAGCCACCAACCATCATTTAATGTTCCTTTCAAAAAAAAAGAGTAGGAGGAAAGATCTGGATATGGTCAGCGTCAATAACAATCATACCTGAATTTGCATTTCTTTCAACAAGTAAGAAGTAACAATAGTACTTATAACATCCAAGAGAATACAGGCTCCAGAGAGTTTATTCATCTCCATTTACTTTCAGTTTCTGAGTTGACTGGCTTGACTCCTTTAATATTGCACCTAGTAAGTAAGCAGGAGATTTATTTTGCCACCTTCCCCAATTTTATCTTGCCATGATGTAGGATCAGAATGAGCGAAGCTATCGTATAGTTCGGACAGCTGCCAGGAACACAGATATCAAAGGCCTGAACCCTCTCACTTCCTATGTTTTCCACGTGCGAGCCAGGACAGCAGCTGGCTATGGAGACTTCAGTGAGCCCTTGGAGGTTACAACCAACACAGGTAACAAGGACCACCCAGACTCAGTCACTTCTGAGGCTATTTTTATAATACAGCTGAATCCCATTACAGTGAAATCTAAGGAGTTGTCTGTAATTTTTGGTTCAGCAGACATTTTGCTGCAATGAATATGTCTTGAAATAAGTTAGCCAATGTCTGTAACTTAGAAAACTTCATGTGATTTAGAGAAAAGCATTTTCGAAATACTGATTTGTCTTTTCCTATGAATGAAAAATGTTGCCTATTTTTCTCTTGTTTTGAGCCTTCTAGAAAGCATGAAAAATGGGATTACTAAACTGACAAATTGAGGGTTACATAGCTACCCTACATTAATATAGGGAATTTTCTCCCTGAGAAGATTAAAGAAGGCGCCAAAAATATTTTTTACCTACTTATTTTTAAGAATCATTTAAATCAAGTTACATAAGCTTTTTTTTTTTTTTAAAGACCCTTTGGACAAACATATCAAATCTTTAAGCATTGCGAGTTGGATTGACTGGTTGACTAAATTTAAAGTGCTTAAGAGGGGTCTACCCATGAACAAGCATTAGTGTCAGATACCTCCATCCCGGTAATCAATGAACCCAAATTGGGCATGTTTGATAAAAAGATGATAGATTTTTGACTTCAAGAAAGAAATTTTGTTCACAAATTATTAAATAAGAATAAAAGGAAAAGCAGAAGAGAAAGTAGAGTTGAATCTGAAGGGGATTGACATCCTTTGAAATTATCCAGCAAGGGTACAAGGAGGAAGTGGCTTTTGAACTAGGCAAAAATAGGCAGGTTTTTGATAGCTCTCGGGGAAGGAGGTACATTCAAAACTGCTGCCCTTTCTGAAATGTTCAAGTGTCTTTCTCTCTCCAAGTGGCTTCAGAACACTGAAAACTGTGACCCATTCAGAAGTTCTACCTCCTAAGACTTTCCCAAAGGTGACCCTTATGCAATTGTCATTCCCAGTGCCTTCCCGGATCATTGGAGATGGGGCTAACTCCACAGTCCTTCTGGTCTCTGTCTCGGGCAGTGTGGTGCTGGTGGTAATTCTCATTGCAGCTTTTGTCATCAGCCGGAGGTAAGCACTGAAGCCACTCACTGTGCAGCCCCCGACCTTCCCAGTGTTTATGATGGTTTTTTTCTCTTCCACACAAAGCTAAGGCTTTTGATTGCGTCATAAACTTGGCATCTGCATCCCAAGTTTCCTCCTTGTTGCTTTGATCTTCCCACACCCCTACCAAAGCTGCTAGCTGTACCCTGGTGGCAGGCTGAGAGGTCCGGAAGGACCCAGCTAATTGTAGGAAACAAAGCTGAAGAGCAAGCCAGTGGGAGATTTCTAGATGCTTTAAGCTGCCAGGTGTTACGTTTATCCCTCTCTTAAGCCTGGACTCACTGCCAAAGGCAAGAAAAAGCCCTATAAAACTTGGGCCCCAATTTTGAGCTCTGCCATTTGCCAGCTACTACTACATAAACCTTTTTGAGTCTTTATTTCTATTCTGTAAAATAGAGATAATTATTATCTGCCTCAAAGGGTTATTGACAGGAGAATTTTGATACACAAAATAGATAATACAGCACACAGGAGGTGCTTCAGCATGATTTTGGTTAACAGTAATGGTCACTAAAGCAAAGAAATGGGTACTTCACACTCAGTCTTCCCCCAGGAAAAGCCATCAGCATTTCCAGACAATCAAGGGATTTCTAGAGATTATCCCTTGAGCAAATCTCGGGCATGGCATTGTCTTGGAAATGAACCTGAAACATCTGAGCCCTTATCCTCTAAGTACTTACAATCTGACTTGATACTTAAAAAATAACCTAAAAAGGAGAGAGAAATAACAACAGATTGGCAGCATCTTCTTTTGAACCAGTTTTTCTTACTGTTTTTGTCTCCATTTACTCACTCCCATCGTCTGCCCAGAGGCTCCAGAGGAGTAGTCATTGATATGTGCCCCACATCTGGGCCTTCTTTGTCTTTGATGTGTAAGAATCTGCCTCTTCCCTGATCGGCATCCCCATATACCATCAACTGTTTCACAAGATGGGGCTGTTGGTGAAAAAAAGGGCTAAGCCTGGGGATGTCAAAAGGATCCTCTTAAATGTAAAGCTTTTCATTCTCTAGAAGAGGGAAGTAGTCCTAGGAAAGAAGTAATTCTTGCCCAAGTTTGTCGCATTGCCATAGTGGTAGGCTGAGCTGCTTCTGGCCCCACCAGTAGCTGTGCTTGGCCCTCAGGCCAGTGTCTGTTGCATTGTCCCTCTCTGCCTACTGATGATCTCACCAATGTCATAGCAATGCCTTTGGCTATTTCCACTGGCCTGGGCAAGCCACTATGCTTTTACTTTCCTCTGATATACATTATAATTAGAGTGGTGACCATATAATCTAGTTTGCCTGGATGGTCCCAGTTGGTACATGTATTTATTTAATTTATTAATTTTTTTCTGAGACGGAGTCTTGCTCTGTCGCCCAGGCTGGAAGTACAGTGGCATGATCTCGGGTCACTACAACGTCTGCCTCCTGGGTTCAAGCAATTCTCCTGTCTCACCCTCCTGAGTAGCTGGGATTACAGGCACACGCCACCACACCTGGCAGCTAATTTTTGTATTTTTAGTAGAGACACGGTTTCACCATGTTGGCCAGGCTGGTCTCAAACTCCTGACCTCAAGTGATCCGCCTGCCTCGGCCTCCCAAAGTGCTGGGATTACAGGCATGAGCCACCATGTCCGGCCATGTATTTCTTAATATCATGCTCCCATCCTCACTCTCTAAAGTGTCCTGGTATACAGGGACCAATTATGTTCACTCTAACATAACACAGTATAGAAAAACACGTTCTGTACAGGCATCTGTTTTACACCGTGTTCATTGCTTTTCATGCACAATCTATGAATAGGTATGTTTGATTAGAGTGATGAGTCAAATCTTGAGATGTTAAATCCACAATAAATTCTCATTTCTGTTTCTTTAATACACACACATACAAAAACATATAGACATTGGCATGCCCTCTATATTCTAAACAGCAGAATATCTCAACCTTTGGAAACTTAAGGTTGACCTGCATAGATTTTGAATTCCCACTGTTCTTTCCTTCCCTGGTATTTGATTTTGAAAGCCAATCAAGATGGCCCTCTTTCTTGTACATTGCCATTTAGTTTTGTATATGTACGCATGCTGTGCATATAACCACCGGGAACTGTAATATCCATCTGATGGTGGGAAGCAAGGAGCATGTGGGGGAGTGTATAGGAATTATATGTGCTTTTTTGATTTTATAATTACATATTTCTATGTCTGAAATGTTCACAGTATACAGAAATAATCTTGGTTGTTAGAAAATAAAGATGTTTAAAGGTTTAAAAACAGATACAATTCATGAAATACCTCCACCTCTAAAAATATTTGATAAAAATTCAGCACCCTAGGATGCTCAGAGCACTTCTCTGCAGAAAGTAGGCCTTGCCTTGTGTCTTGACCATCTCTTTGACTTGACTGGAAACATTCTCTAGTTGTAGTCCAGCTTTGCTTTAGATTTACTTTGCTTTTTTGTTTTTTGGTATAAGTGGCCCTAAATACAGCAGTCAAACTGGAGTAATGAGAAATAAGTTACCTCATTGTAAGTTTCCTTTGGATGTTCTGCTTAAAACATTGGCTTTGATGAAAAGAAAGGAAAAACACATGAAAATGTAATGCGGGGAGACAAGTTTATTAAAAGCCGTGACTACGGAAAATAGCATCCTTAAGCTTGATGACTTAATTTCCTCTCTGCTTTTATTGATCACTTTATTATATAAGGCAGGATTGATAGCAGGATGCATCGGATTTCCAATTATGAGTCCCCACCTTAGAGAATTGAGCCTGTCGAGTTACCTAGCGATGATTCCTGTCCCTTCTCCCCCATTAAAAAAAAAATGTCACTTCCCAAGGCTGATAAACAGTGCTTGGTGATTGGTCCTCAATGGATCACTTTTTAGAAAATGAAATGTCAACCCCTTGCCCTCATATTGATTCTTCTTTAGTGTCGGCCGTAAAGCTGTCATGGGAAAGGCCGCCCGGAGCCAGGTAGCTGACAGGCTTGCAGCGGCTCATGCACACTCAGCCAATTCTTCTCCTCACGCAGGTTGTCTGCTCTGTTATCTTGGACTATAAATGTTTAAATGGGACAAGAACAGGTGAACAGAGAGGAGACAGGTAGTGGGGATGAAAGCCTGGCTGGCCCAGGCTTTTCGTGAGAGGACAAATGAAAGGTGGTACATGGTACTGGCGAAATAATCTTGCCAGACTTCAGCCAGTAGTATGAGAAAGCAACAGATTAAACACCCTAGCCTATGAAATCTGAGTCATGTCCTTTGACGATGGGGCTGCTTTGTGCTTCTTAGAATCACTAAATGTTTATGCTGGAATGGATGCTACAGATAGATCCCTTATGGGGGTCCCCTTGAACTGACTCCCACTCTGCTGATGGCATGCAAGATTCCTAAGGAAGTCAATGGACAGAAACTCACGTAGTGAGAAAGTTTCAGTCCTTCTGATGACCTCAGAGAGAAAATTGTCTTGGTGCTAATTTGTCATTTAAGAAAGAGGAAGCAGCCTCAGGCTCACAGTTGGTATCTTGCTAGATTTTTTTTATAGCAATTGTTTCATTTATTTCATTGTACACATGCAGCTTATAGGGAGAAGCCTGAGCCTAAGGCAAGCCAGAATAATCTACACTTTTTTCAGCGAGATCTACTTTTTTCTTTTGGCCAAATGGAACATGTAAGCATTTAGGGATCGCGGTGAAAGAATCAAACTACTAAATTTATAAAATACCTAAAATGAGATGTTATACTAGGCACATTGATTTAGCTATATTGTATATTTTTACCACCCACATTTATGTTAAGCAACTTAATTTTATATTTTCTGTAGGCATCTTTGATCTGTGTCTTTCTCATCACTCAAGATATAATTTCAGAATTCTTTCAGCTTTCCAGAGCACATAATTGTACTTGTTATCTAGGTTAGTTTAAGGCAGAACACTTCTTGTACCTATATGATGCTGTCCCTATAAATTTTATTTCAAACCACAAACAAATCTCTATTTGTACATTCTCTCCAGCAAATCAACATTTCCACATGTATATATTTATATATTTGTGATCTCCACAACATAACCACTTTTCTATATTGTTTTTTTAAAATGATCTTTAAAAGGACTGTTCACAGTGACATCCTAAAATACAATTATAAGGTCATAACCTCCAAGACTAATGACTGAATCTATGCTAATTTTCTCTGACACCCTCTTCCCTTTTATAGTAATGATTTCATCAGGTTATCTCCAAAAGCATCACAAACTAGTATTAATTCAGATTATTTTAGGGCAGTGTTTTTTCCAAAACAGTATTACCGTATTGATTGATTGATTGAGACAGAGTCTCACTCTGTTGCCCAGGCTGGCATGCAATAACTCAGTCTCAGCTCACTGAGACCTCCGCCTCATGGGTTCAAGTGATTCTCATGCCTCAGCCTCACAAGTAGCTGGGATTACAGGCATGTACTACCACACCCAGCTAATTTTTGTATGTGTAGTAGAGACAGGGTTTCACCATGTTGGCCAGGCTGGTCTCAAACCCCTGACCTCAAGTGAACTGCCCACCTCGGCCTCCCAGAGTGCTGGGATTACAGGCGTGAGCTACCACACCCGGCCCCAAAACAGTATTTTATTATTCAAATGTGAAAAACAATTTTAAGAAAAGTCTAGAATACAAGAATAGCCCCTATTTCTTAAAGGATAACTTGGTAGTGAGGGAAAGTATTACTGATAACCAGGCACATGCTGTTTTTATACGAACCTTCTAATGATTGCTAGTGACAGTGGGTTTCCATTTATGTTAGGGTTATAAAGTACCCCTTTTACCTGGATAAGGAAAAAGAAGTGAATTGATTTTAAGAAAAAAATGAAGTGGTTATGGCAAAATTTATATATATATATTAGGTACTGGAGGCCTAAAGAGATTAAACAAATAAACGAAGGTCACATGGTGAGTTAGTTGCTGATCAGGACAGGAATTCAGCTCTCCTGACTTCCAATACTGGGATAGATATATTATTTTAATATCTTCTTAACTGACAAAGTTGACCTACATAAAAAAGCTGACATTGGCAGTTCTATGGAACCAAAGCTTCAAGACTCTGCTAGTGATGTTGGTAAGATTTGTAATCTGTGAATTAATATGCAAATCTGTTGCACAATATAAAGTCAGAGTTTGCAAGTTAATTTTCTCCTCCTATTGAAGGTTAAGATATTCCACTTTGGAGCTAAGAGTTCACACAATGCTGAAACAGTTATGGTTCAGCCTGTGCTACCACACCTGGTTAATTTTTGTATTTTTAATAGAGATGGGGTTTCACCATGTTGGCCAGGCTGGTCGCGAACCCCTGACCTCAGGTGGTCCGCCTGGGCCCTAATTTCCTTCCCTGGAATATTACAATCATGTGAAAATGAAAACACTTAAATGTTAGCCTAATTCAGCTCTGATGAAGTCATGTAAATTCACACAAGTGGGGGCAGATGATACCTCGGGAACATTTCTAAACAACTTGCGTGCAACCATTTCAACATGCTACTCATGAACACCATTTAGACATCATTCGGTGCAAGAATAATGACAGCTTAAAGAAGGAGAAAAAGAATGGCTGCTGTGAATCTTCATGGGTGATGCCGTTCAGTGCTGGAAAGGGACCTCCTGGAGCCATGCTAGTTACGTTGCTTTATTTTTAATATGCACTTTAGCTGAATAAATTACTTACCTTTTACTAATTAGTTTTGGAACAGTGAACCACATCAATCAAATCTGTCCACTTGACCAGAAAAGTTAGTAATTTAGTAAAAGCATGGTTTATGCTGGGCCCCTGCCTTGCTCCCCGTCTCTATTTTGTTTGTTATATTGAATAGTCAAGGTGCCAGGAACAGCACGTTGGTTGAGAGGGCTCACGCTGTTCTGCAACAATGTCTGCTAATACCCTTATTACCATGTCCCTTGGACTGCAGGAGGGCTTAGTTCACACTCTTTCAAAGTTTCACCTGCAATGTGGGCTCTTTTCTCCAACTCCTGCGGCTGAAAGGGTCCATGTTTCCTTCTGGAGCATTCACTAACAAAACACTCCACTCCTTCCCAGTTTTAATCAGCTTGTCCACATCTCTGTAATTAGAAAACCTTCAACAAAGTTTTCCTTCTGTCATTCAAGTGATCAGCCTGAGATGTCAGTTTTGAGTTAGGACTTCTTCAGGCAGTGTGGCTTCCTGCAGGCTGGCTGCCCCAGTGGTGAACTTCAATGGGCTTTCTTTCCTGGGATGATAATGGGCCACACTGTCCTACACTGAGCCAAGGCAAAAGGGCCATCAGGTGTTAAAGGTAGAACAGGACACAGGCATTTTTGTTTTCCAGGTATTTCTAAAAAGCAAACAGACTACTATTAGCCTTTCAACAGTAATCCTTGTGGTTTTTTTTCAGCCATTTCCTGCAGTCTTAAGGGTCCTCTCCTCCAAATAACACTCCACGTAAAAAAATCTCATTTAAAAACACACCTTCACCACTAATTTAATTCCTCCTTCTATGTTTAGAAGTCTGAGGAAGGGATGGGCGTGTCAACCTTATAATTAATGACCCCTGTCATTTTGTATTTCCTCTGGCTTTGCACATATTTAATGAATGTGCTTGATGTAAAACAGATAAACGCTTTCCCGGGCAGCTTCAGGCCATGGGTTTCTATGGTATATTCCAGGTTTTTGTTTCATTGACAATTTTAAGTTGGTACCAAAGCTTTCTCACTCTATGCATTTGTTTTTCCTTCTTCAAAGGAAAGAAATTCAAATCAGTGTTCGAGATCTTAAGTGGTTTAAAAGAGATACTTGTAATTTTAGATAATGCTTTTAGGAGCTCTGATAAGACACAATGTTTCAGGCTGGCAGGACCCTATCACTCCCTTGGGACCAATCGATGGCATTTTCCTGACATAAAATGTTATTTTAGTAGTCCCTGACCTAACACTCTTATATTCCTTTAAAAGAAGGGAAAGGACGGGGGTGGAGGGAGAGGAAGAAGATTGGAGGAGACTTCATCTTTTATAGAAAGTTGTTTGGCTTCAGGGTATTTAAACCTGTTTAGTTACTTCAATGAAGCAATGGATTTTAAGAGCAATTGAATTCACTTTAAGTGAATGTACTGATATAAAACGTAATACTACTTATAATTAACTCTCACCAGGTATCCTTATGTAACTAATCTCCAGTAAGAGAGGCTCTATGAAGTCGTGGGCTGGATCAGGGCTTTCACAAAGTCCTGTACTTGCTAGGAGAGCACGTGGTGATCCTCTTGCTCCCCACCCCCCACCCCACCCCAGCTCCATGTCCTCATCTACAGGGAATCTGAGCATGTGTGTCTGCCTGGTTGCTTTCAAAGGGTTGTCATGAAGATGCAATTAAATAATAGATTCTGGCTGGGTGCGGTGGTTCATGCCTATAATCCCAGCACTTTGGGAGGCCTATGTGGGCGGATTACTTGAGGTCAAGAGTTTGAGACCAGCTTGGCCAACATGGTGAAACCCTGGCTCTACTAAAAATACAAAATTAGCCGAGCATGGGTGGCGGGTGCCTATAATCCCAGCTACTCAGGAGGCTGAGGCAGGAGGATCGCTTGAGCCCTAGAGGTGGAGGTTGCAGTGAGCTGAGATCATAGCACTGCACTCCGGCCTGAGCAACAGAGTGACACTCTGTCTCAAAAAATAATAAATTAAATAAATAAATAAATAAATAAAAATAGACCCTTTGAAAAGTTAAATGCAAAGGAAAATGCAAGCTTATGATTTGGGACTGAAATACTGTACTTCACAGTTAGCTGTAGTCATTGGGGTCTCTGTTTTGCTAAGTTGGTTCCTGCTTTGCAAACAGTTAGGGAAGGAGATAATATATGAGATGAGAGCACTTTGAAAAGTTAAATGCAGTGTAAAAGTGCAAGGTTTTATTATTTGCCAGGGAATTATCCCCACGGAGAAACATCTGTAGGCTCTGAGGGTCTGATTGCTGAGCTGGTTCTTGCGCTGCTGACAATTAGGAGAGGAATGTGGGAGGGAAGGTTGGAGCATGTGACCGGGATCCGCTGCCTCTCTGGTTGCACTGCCTGGCTCCTTTAGGTTCTCTGTTATTCTCTCTTTTTCGTAATCATCTGCCTTTCTACCTGTTCAAAGTTTAAGAGTTCAGGGTATAGGATTTTGACAGGACCACACTGCCAAGACACCTGGCTTTGCGGGAATTTTTACTTATCTCAGACCGTGTTTCTTTTTCTGTAAGAGTCTTGCCTTACCTTGTCTTTGAAGCTCTAAGAAAACATAGAATGTAAATTCCAGTGTAAATTGTACCTTTCTGACAGAAACATAAATGTATACATTTTATTTACTAATTTGGTCTCAACTTCCCAAGCTTTAGACAGCTGTGATATCAACGGAGTTGACTTTCTGATTCCTTTAAGTGATATATATTCTCCTGACTCACTATGTATATATATTCAAGATTTTTGATTTGCAAGGCTTGAGTTGATTTTCCAGTTTGTATAAGAGAGATATATACATTTCTGATTGAATATTTATGTGTACTGAAGATTTCTAATCCACAAAGCTTTATAACAAAGCCAAATTTAGGCTATTAAAAGTTGTAGGAGCAGAATGCCAGGTTTAAGACAATGCACCATTTTACTGAAAGTGAATTAGGCAAAGCAAAACAAAGCTCATTTTTACCCTTGCTCATTTTTTTACAAATTAGGGAACATAATTCAGTACAAAGCAAATACTTACTTTTAAACATTTTGTTAATAAGTTGGGAATTTGTATGCAGCAACTGAAACCAGTGACCGCAAAAGTATTGTTTCAAGAGTATCATGTAATATGATAATGAAGTTTTGTGGTAGTAGTTATCTGGTTATAGCAATAATATTTACTATTACCTATCACATACTGAACATTACTGCCATTTGATTTACACAGAATTACTCATGGAAATTTAATTTAGAATGTATATATACATATACACACATGTACATATATATACACATGTATATTTATATAAATGGAAAAATAGCCAATAAACTTATCTTCAATAAGATAAATTTTCTCTGAGAGATTTTAAATTATAATTATATTATAAAATATTTGCTTTAACCTATTGTAAGACACCTCAGTTTAAAATTGTGGTTCAGAGGTGTCTGTGACTGCTTGAGCTTAAAACCATGACTCACTACCCAGGTGACAAGTATTTCATCTCTTGTAAGTCTCAGTTTTCTCATCTCTGAAATGTACATAGCATACCTGCCTGACTTACAGTAGCAAAGAATTTGTCTTATGGCATGTGTTAAAGCTTAGGTGTTTGAGGAAAATAATTCTCTTTTTTAAAAAAATTTTAATAGACGGAGTAAATACAGTAAAGCCAAACAAGAAGCGGATGAAGAGAAACATTTGAATCAAGGTACAAAAAATTGGATTAAAAAATTCTATTTTTAGAGCATGTCACACGTTTTCTAGTTTAAACATGTTCAAATAATATTTACGTGGCTATTAATGTTATATAATATAATATATTTATTCCTTATCCCAATAATGTACTTCCTAGGTATCAAACTGAAATGGGTGATTTGGATGGTGAGATTAAAGATGTGGGATGAGGTAGAGAAGTTTCTTTAGATTTTTACTTTTTCTTATTTTATCCTCTACCCTAAGAAAGTTATCAGTCTAGCTGGCTCATTGTTGTAGCTGGGTGGCAAAATTAAATGGGTATTTTTTTTAATCTAAGCTGGAAATTTGAGGAGGAGGAAAAGAATAAGAAATGTAACAGTAATTGCTACTTCCCAGGGAATGGCTATATGTGATATAGAATTAGTGACTGTCAATAAATTTTTAGTGGATTCTAATTTTGATGTTCCAAAGAGGTCAAAGAAGACATTAAAAGTGGCTCTAGAGTGACTTAAGCAAGGTAGAAGACTTTTTTTTTTTTTTTTTTTTCTGACGGAGTCTTGCTCTGTCGGCCAGGCTGGAGTGCACTGGCATGATCTTGGCTCACTGCAAGCTCCGCCTCCCTGGTTCACACCATTCTCCCACCTCAGCCTCCTGAGTAGCTGGGATTACAGGCACCCGCCACGACCCCCGGCTAATTTTTTTGTACTTTTAGTAGAGATGGGATTTCACCGTGTTAGCCAGGATGGTCTCCATCTCCTGACCTCGTGATCCGCCCGCC
This sequence comes from Homo sapiens, assembly GCF_000001405.40. Lineage (NCBI taxonomy): Eukaryota > Metazoa > Chordata > Mammalia > Primates > Hominidae > Homo > Homo sapiens. Next base: position 221,445,357 of record NC_000002.12, on the reverse strand, counting down.
TCGGCCTCCCAAAGCGCTGGGATTACAGGTGTGAGCCACCGCACCCAGCCAGTAGAAGACTTTTAAATGGACAGTGGTTGGTGACTATCCAGGAGAGCTGTCCACTAGAACTTTCTGAGATAACATTGTTCTATATCTGCACTGTCCAAAATGTAAGCCAATAGCCACACAAGCTATTGAATACTTGAAATGTAGCTAATATGACTGAGAAAGTGATTTTTAAATTTAACTTATTTATATTTAGATAGCCTCATGTAACAAGTCACTCACATATTAGTGCAGAAAGATAGAAGAAAGATTGGCCGGGCACAGTGGCTTATGCCTGTAATCCTAGCACTTTGGGAGGCCAAGGAGGGCAGATCACTTGAGATCTGGAGTTCGAGACCAGCCTAGCCAACATGGCAAAACTCCGTCTCTACAAAAAATAACTAAATTAGCCAGGCATGATAATGCACGCCTGTAATCCCAGATACTCAGGAGGCTGAGGCACGAGAATTGCTTGAACCCAGGAGGCGGAGGTTGCAGTGAACCAAGATCCTACCACTGTACTCCAGCCTGAGCGACACAGCCAGACTCTGTCTCCAGAAAAAAAAAAAAAAAAAAAAAAAAAAAAGATAGAAAAAAAGAGAGGGACTGGGAATAACAAGACTCATCTTGAAGATTTTCTTGGCTATAGCATATAAAGTGATGAGGGATATGAAGTGTCTAACAACTTTCCATTTATTCACCTCGTTTCCTCCTAAAATCATGTTTTTTAAATTTTTACATGGAATATATGTTTTTTTAAAAAGCTGATCTATTAAAAAGAAGTAGCAAGAAATTGCCAATTTAAGGAGCTTATTCCTAACCAATGGTGCTGGGATGAGGACAAGACCTACAGGCTTGGAAAGTCGAAGGGACTGGGCCAACTGGTGTCCTTCATACCCTCTGTGCCCCAGTGCCCCAACAGCTCCAGGAGGGAGAGGTGCAAGTGCCAGGACAAAGCTTTTTACAATGACTTCTGCCTCTTGGCCCAGATATCTGTCACTGGGCTGCCGGCAAACACATCTAAATTTAGTTTATGGGTAGTATGAGATATGGCTGAATCATACTTCCTGATGTCTAGGCTACAATGCTTATCTCCAGCTGAAACTTTCTGGCAAACTTGAATATCTTAGCTTATGACACCTTCTTTCCAAACCAGAAAAGAAGTGAGGTCCACTACAGAGTCTGTATTCTCAAATCAACTAGCTGATATTAACCTTATTGTCTACTTTAACTTAGGTTTAATCTAATTTTGTTAATTGTTGGTCACATATTTAATTCATCCAGATATTGGGCAAAATGTGACACCATGTGGAAAGAGCTGTTTGAAATTAAAATGCTTCTATTTCCTTCCCTAAGGGAGGATAACTGAAAGTAGTGGGTAGGACTTCATGCAAAGGCAAGGGAGCTATGAGCAACTGCTTGGGACAATAGTATTTAGCTAACACAATTCAAATTTCCTCCATGGGATGGGTTGTTTTAAAAATCTTGTCCTTGAAGTGTGAAGACATTCCAGGAAGTCAGTAAAGCTGCAGCCTCTTAAGTAGCTAACAATATTTTGTTTACCCACTAATGAAAACCAGAGCAAGAATTTAACCATTTTCATATGTCAAGACCGTACAGCTAACTTGACTTTTCCTATGTTTGGTAATTTTAGACCCAGACTATTTATGTTTATTAGTGGTTCCTTAGAAGTATTCAGCCAACTTATCATGTTTATCACTCAGGTGTAAGAACATATGTGGACCCCTTTACGTACGAAGATCCCAACCAAGCAGTGCGAGAGTTTGCCAAAGAAATTGACGCATCCTGCATTAAGATTGAAAAAGTTATAGGAGTTGGTAAGTGTCTGAGTGTCCGTCTGCTAATGAGTCTGTTTTCTTGGTGGATGTTAAATATGTGTGTGGATTACATAAATGCTTTTGTGAGTATATTATATGTGTGTATATACATGAAATTTCCTTTTTTGAGTATAAAATATCATGTGTTATAAAGAACTCTAGTACAAATTTTGATTTTATTCTTAGAGAGAAACTTAATGCAATCTGAAATCAGATTGATTGCATTCAAAAGATTTACTCTGTTTCTTACTAACTAAGATTTTGTGTAGGTTTTTTGCATTAAGCCTTAGTTTTCTCTAATAAAATGGGGCTAATAGTAGCATCTACTTCAGGGTTGCATGGAGGATTTTGTGAAATAATCTATGCAAAGCACTAGCAAACAGCCTGGCGTGTAACAAGCACTCAAGGAATGTTAGCTGTTATTCTTTCATCTTGAATGTGTTTCTGGTCCATCGTAGATTCTTTTTCTCTCTCAAAGGTGAATTTGGTGAGGTATGCAGTGGGCGTCTCAAAGTGCCTGGCAAGAGAGAGATCTGTGTGGCTATCAAGACTCTGAAAGCTGGTTATACAGACAAACAGAGGAGAGACTTCCTGAGTGAGGCCAGCATCATGGGACAGTTTGACCATCCGAACATCATTCACTTGGAAGGCGTGGTCACTAAATGTACGTGGGTCACCCCCTTTACAAAGCCAAGCTAGAAGTTACTGGGAAATTAAACACACATTTTCTTTCCAGGGAAATGACAGATGGCGCAGACCCACTGATTGCTAATAGGAGGAAATCAGTGCAGGACAAGTCATTAATCTTGTAGTCAGCTCTAAATGGGTCTTTGGTTTTGGCTGGATACCCTATCTCCAAGGCAGCTTGTGTGAGATTTTAGAGAAATTAATATTGCAGATTTGTGGTATGCCATGCCATCCTTCAGATATTTGCTAGGCCAAACTGATTGTCATAGGGTGGGCTCAAGCAGATGGTAAGCAAAATAAAATTTAAGTACTTTTCCTATAAAGCACAACAAAACCTGGCCACACCTTGTGCTGGAATCTTTGGTTCCAGATGCAGAGAGTGAAGCTTGGGAATCTTGAATATATTGCGGGATTTGCTTGTCTGCTCTGCCTGATTTATGGCTGTTGCAGTTCAGCACCTATTTACAGTAACACCTGGTTGAACTTTCCTTTTTTAGTCCATTAGCATTCGCTGAGCCTATGAACCACGCTTCAGTTAAAATGCGACACAGCTCAACAGATGCATTTTGTGAAGCAAATCCTGAGTAAATCTGTAAGGCTGGCTAAGACCAACTTATAAAGTGCCACATAGACAGCACAGCTGAGGCAGTCCCTGTTTAAGGTGGCTGTGTTCCAAGAGCCCTCATACACACTACAGTTACTACAAGTCAAGGATCTCATAAGCCTGGGGCTGTGTCCCCTGGAAAGCCAAGGCTTTTCTTCTTTGATTCAAGGTGTCTGTGGAAAGCATCTTCAGTCAGCGTGTGCAGAGTAATGGCAATATAGCCACCCCAGTGTGGGGGAGCAGTCGGAGGAGGGTAGGTTAAAGAGAAAAACTGATGCTGGGTGTAATCACTCATACCTGTAGTCTTAGCTACTTAGGAGGCTGAGGCAGGAGGATCACTTGAGCCCAGGAGTTTGAGGCTGCAGTTGAGATGGGTAAGTTTCCTGGACCCCTCGTGGGACTTGTAATGGGGTGTGACTTGTTTTGCTTGGCCACCGAGCTCAAACTTCTTGTAGGAGGGGGAGCACACAGTTTAGCACCTGCAGGAGCCTGGGCGAGTGGTTGCCAGTGACCTCTGGAGCCCCAGGTGTATGTTACAAATAATGCTCTTTTAGCAGTTGTCATCCACGGATGGCTAAGTGTTAACCAGCTCAGTGGAGAGTCGGGGTGACAGCCTTTTTCACCCTCCCGTCTTGGTACCTGGGTTCCTGTCTGGTGTCCAGGAAGAATCAGGTCACATGGACTTGAAGGATGGTGAATGTGTAGGTTTTATTGGGTGATGGAGGTGGCTCTCAGCGGGATGGGGAGCTGGAAAGGGGAAGGAATAGGAAGATAATCTTCCCCTGGAGTTTGACTATTCCTAAGGTAATGCCCACGGTTTCCAGTGTTGAAGGTGGGGCCTTTGCAGGGAACCACCCTCTTCTACCCAGTATTTCCCTGCCGCCTGTCCATATCATTCCTAGTGAGCTACGATAGTACCACTGCACCCCAGTCCAGGTGACAGAGGCACCTGGACTCTATTTTTTTAATAGAAACCTGTCTCTACTTAAAAAAAAAAAAAAAAAGAAAAGAAAAGAAAAAATGAGACATTAGGCCTGGGGCAGGTGGCTAGTAGGACACAAAGTACAAAATCTTTAGGAAGAAGAAATGAGGTGGTTACTAAAATGGGAGAGAAAGTACACACTATACAGTTCAGGGGTCCTCAAACATAAGAATCTTCTGGAAAGCTTGTTAGGACAGTTTCTTGGGCCTCCTGCTCAGAGGTTTGATTCAGCAGGTGGTGTGCGGCCCGTAAGTTTGGAGTGCAAGAGAGCTCACCACAGGTGAAGCCAATGCTGCTGGTATGGGAATCACGCTTTGAGAACCATTGGCCTGGGGACAAACGACCGCATACCACCTCTGCTGCTTCTAAAGCTTGTGACCTTGGACTACTTGTTCAATCTTTCTCTTTCAGTTTTCTCATCTGTAAAATGGAGGTAAAAAGAGCATTTGCCTTATAAGGTTATTTTGGGGATGAAATAGAATACTTAGAGTGGTTACCACAATAGCAAATTTTTTCAGAAAAAACCTCGTACGTGTTCAGTGGTGCTATTATGTCTTAAGAAGTAGGTACATCTTTCCCCATCTTCAGAATCTTTCAAAAAAAAAAAAAAAGGAACCTTGGTGAGAAGGATATATAATTTTCCGCATAAGGTGAAGGCTATAATTAGCATAGAATAGCTCTATTTGCTTTTTGAGATTAGTTTTACAGACAGGATATTTTTCTGTTGCCTGTGGCCTTCAGGGCCGCCCAGAGCCCTTCACTACTTTAATTAAAAGATAACATTCCCTTTAAATACTTTTGCAGGTCCGTTTTCTAAAAAGGAGGCTCTGTTCAGCTTAGGGTGTTTTTCCTGTCGCAGACAGTGATTTTCCTAGCACCTCTGCAGAAGAGAGAAGAAACAGGGGATCTTTGTATTAAAGTCCCACCGCGCCTCTAAAACACGTAGCTATTACAGCTGTAACTGTTATAAACGACTGGATGCATTTGCATAATGCAGTTGTCACTGAATTAAAATGATTTAAAATTTCTATTGGAGAAGCTATTCCCTTCCCCCACCCCTTTCCTCCCCACTGCATCCCTGCCTACTGCAGGGAAGGAGACTCCTCTATCCAAGAGCCCAGCCCAGGCCTATTTTATAAGCCCCTTTGCTTATGGAGACATTCATCTTTGTTTCCCTTGTAGAGCTCATAAAGGATCTGACAAATGGATACTTTTAATAAACAGAAAATGGAATGCAGAAAATTTGTGAAGATGGTGCCAAGAGTCCGACTAGGGAGGTGTGAGGGTGAAAGGGTAGAGTGGAAGCGTGTGAATTCATTACCAGCAGTTACTTGAGTAACTTTTTAAATTGGCAGGAGGACCATAAATTCTCCGCATGACCCTCACTTTTGGATCCTCTCCTGTCGTCTCCACAGCTCCAGAGGGATCTGGTGAAATGCAAGGAGGTGTTAATGCACAGCCATGAGAGGCTGCCCTTTCTCGTTAGTTGACAAAGTATCTTTTGATTGAGGCAGGTTGATTAAAACTCATTTAGGCACATTTGTTCTGTCAGAAGACTATGGTCACAAGCTGGGCTCGGTGGCTAGTGCCTGGAATCCCAGCTACTCAAGAGGCTGAGGCAGGAGGATCCCTTGAGCCCAGGAGTTCAAGGCTGCAGTGAGTTATGATCATGTCACTGTACTCTAGCTTGGGCCACAGAGCCAGACCCTGTCTCTTAAAAAAAAAAAAGAAAAGAAAAGAAATTCACCCAGGCTTGAGTGCAGTGGCACGATCTTGGCTCACTGTAACCTCCGCCTCCTGGGCTCAAGTGATTCTCCTGTCTCAGCCTCCCGAGTAGCTGGGACTACAGGTGTGCACCACTGCATCCGGCAATTTTTTTTTTTTTTTTTGAGTAGAAAACCCTGGTCACATATGTAGAGGGTAAATGAATCTGAGAACTAAGCATTTCCTATTTGTATTGATAGAGAATGTGCAGACACACCCCTGCCAGCGTAGAGAAAAGACTTAAAAGTGGTTTTATGCACCTTTGGTCTGCACCAAGATTCCCACTTTTTCTACCAGCCTTCTTTCCTCACTTGAAAATAAAATGTCCATGGTACCATTTTCTAATGCAAAAGTGTTTGCCTCTGAGTAATTTCTTAGACACAACACCAAAAACTCAAGCAATCAAGAAATATCACAAATTGATATATTGGACTTCATGGAATTAAAAACCCACTCTTCAACACTTTTGCCCCTAAGGTGAAAAATTTCCCCATGCCCTATATGCCAGAAATTATAAGCTGATGGAATCACTGGGTGGAAAATGTATTTCTTTAGAATAATTATGGGTGCTTTTCAGCGGTGAAATAGTTCAGCCCATTTTTCTAGACTGAAGTCTAAATAATCAGCCAATGCAGCAATAAAAAGTGTGATTTTTTTTATTTTTATTTTTTTAGAATGACTCTCACTCTGTCACCCAGGCTTCAGTGCAGTGGCATGATCTCGGCTCACTGCAACCTCTGCCTCCTGGGCTCAAGTGATTCTCTTGTCTCAGCCTCCCGAGAAGCTGGGACTGCAAGTGCGTACTGCACCCGGCAAATTTTTGTATTTTTAGTAGACACGAGGTTTCACCATGTTGGCTAGGCTGGTCTCAAACCCCTTGCCTCAAGTGACCCACCTGCCTCGGCCTCCCAAAGTGCTGGAATTGCAGGTGTGAGCCACCGTGCCCTGCCAGTGTGAATATTTTTGGTATATCAAACTGACATTTTATTTTCTTCCAAAGGAATATTTTAGGGACCTGTTTTATCCTGCTCTTAGAAAAAACAAAACAAAGCAAAAAAAAACACCTCATGATTCCCACCCTCCACTTGCCAACAATAAATACCCTTTAGAAAGAAGGAATTTCAGACCTTGAGCCTATTGCCTGTGATCAAGAAGGTAAAGAATGGTTCTTATGTCCTAAAGTCCTCAGAAAGCGGACTTTTGTGAAAATCTTATTTACACCTCATTCTGCTCAGAGCTTAAAATCATTTTTATTTCTTTGCAGAAAAAAAAAATAGGTAGGGGGAATGGGGGAAATAAGGATGTTCTAGTATTGAATTTAAATTCCTGTCTCAGATGAAATAATTTTCTGAACCTTTCCTGTGACTGTTCTGGGGTTTTTGTTTGTTTGTTTTTTGAGGTAGGCAGTTTAAGGAATCAGACCAAAGCAAGTTTATTCATAGCTAGGGAAAGTGAAGAGAAAGACAGAGGCCCTGAGCTGAGCAAGACAGTGGAGAGAAGTCGCATGCTTGTTTTTTTGTTTGTTTTTTGAGACGGAGTCTCTGTATCGTCGCCCCCCAGGCTGGAGTGTAATGACGCAATCTCGGCTCACTACAACCTTGGCCTCCCGAGTTCAAGCAATTCTCCTGCCTCAGCCTCCTGAGTAGCTGGGATTACAGGCGCCTGCCACCATGCTTGGCAAATTTTTTTTTTTTTTTTGTATTTTTAGTAGAAACGGGGTTTCACCATGTTGGCCAGGCTTGTCTCGAACTCCTGACCTGAGGCAATCCGACTGTCTTGGCCTCCCAAAGTGCTGAGATTACAGGCATGAGCCACCGAACCCGCCTGCGTGCTTGGTTTTAAGGCTTGTCTGGGTAAGGAAGGATTCAACATAGCTACTGCTCCCTGAAACATGGATTTCTCTAAATAAAGAAGTTTATTGCCTATTGACCTCCTTAGCTTCTTACAAGTGGCTCTTCTGAGGACAAAATAAATTAATTATCCTAAAGATTATTTCTGCATTGAAACAGGCCTCCCCATTTATCATTTTCCCCTTTTGCTTGAGAGAGCAATTATCCATTCATATGCTCCCTGGATACCAGAGGCCACTTTAGTTAAAGACCTTGTCAACAAGCCACCCAAAGGTTTAACTATCCAGATGGAATTTAAACCTACTCGTCCTTTTAATATTTCATTCCTAGCTCCCCACAGCTGAGGCATAAGCTTGGCTTGTTTTAATTAAATTAGATCACACAAGACAGGTATCTTGGCAGTAAAATTGTGCGCAGCCCATTTTTATCTCATTAAGTGCAGCGCTCATCAAAGGTTTGTGTTTTTCTTTCTGAAAACTCTAGGTAAACCAGTAATGATCATAACAGAGTACATGGAGAATGGCTCCTTGGATGCATTCCTCAGGGTATGTGACTACTTTATATTAAACCCAAGAATGTTGGTATTTAGAAAACTCCTAACAGAGTCCTTGTGTTTGTTGTGTTCGGTGGTATTCGTGGATTTCTTTTAATGGGCAAAGAAAGAAGAGGAGAAATGGAGAATGATGTGATTTTTAAGGCTATTAAATAATCCATGTTCAACGAGGGTAGTTTTTGATTTATTCCTGTAATGTGGAGCTGTTGGAGCCGTAGATTCATTACAGTTGGATAATTTCCATCTATCACAGGAAGCAAACCCAGCTCCTAGGGTACAGTCTACTAGTGAATTAGCGACTTTGGTCAGAAAGGCCTGGAAATAATGTTGAGTTTCATTGCATACCGGATACAGATACCCAAAAAGATTCAAGTAATAAATGCTTGGTGAGAATTAACTTGGCCTAATGCTAATGAGATTGTTCCTCACTCCTTTTCTATGCAGAAAAATGATGGCAGATTTACAGTCATTCAGCTGGTGGGCATGCTTCGTGGCATTGGGTCTGGGATGAAGTATTTATCTGATATGAGCTATGTGCATCGTGATCTGGCCGCACGGAACATCCTGGTGAACAGCAACTTGGTCTGCAAAGTGTCTGATTTTGGCATGTCCCGAGTGCTTGAGGATGATCCGGAAGCAGCTTACACCACCAGGGTAAGAAAGATCGGTGACATCTGGGCTTTCACTCTGGTGAAACTGTTCCTCTCTTCTCACTTTGAGATTGAAGCCCTTTGTAATTTTTTTATTTTTTAAGTTTTCTCATCCCTTGAAGCCTCCTCATATTCCTGCATCCATTTTTAAACCATGTTTCCAATAAAAGAGGGATTTTGAAGCTGACTGTAGATGTATGACCATATTAACAGCCACAAACTAGAAGCAAAATGAATTATCTTTCCCTCTATGTTTTTTTTTGGGAGGGCAGGGGGAAGAAAGTGCTAATGAACAATAAGACGGTGTCTTAAATAAAAATGAGCTGAGAAGCAAGCATTAAGGATCAGTTTACACAACAAATGATCAATTACTGAGAAAATCAGGAGGTAGCTTCACTTATTTATTTTTTTGCACTTGTATTTGCCTGCCTGTCTTCCTGCCTCTTTCTTCCTTTTTTTTTTTTTGTTGTTGTTTTAGGTTTTGTATTTGCCTTTTTTCTATTCTTTAAAAAAAATCCTTATTCTAAATGAGACAAAGCAATGTTTCTAGTTGGTTGGCTACCAAATCTCAGAATGTATATACAGGATTTATAAAACATTTATACCATGCAAGGTTTTCCAGTATCTAATGGCCTTCATTTTACCACTGGTAGATAAGCGGGGATTAGGACACAGTGAAGAGTTTTAAGTACACAGTTAATGGCTGTGCTATCTTAGCTCGACTATCTGAATATAAAATACTAATGGAATAAACACAGAATCATAAAACAGTTATTGGCCATTAACACTGACACTGTTAAAATCAACACGAAGCTGACAGTTACCAGCCATTTTCCCCTTTTAACACTCTTCATTTTGCATCTGCAATCCCAAGCAATGGGGGTTTTTTGTTGTTGGTTGGTTGGCTGAGCTTTTTTTGGAGGGGGGCAGGGGGGTATAGTATTCTATTTCTTTGGCTCCAGTTTTGATTCTTATGCTTGTCCTCTTTTGAATTCCAAGTCCATTCGTTTAGAAAAGAATAGATCTTTGTGAATGTTGAAGATCTTTTATTTTTTCCCAGTAGTTGGAGAAAGAAAAGTTAAAGGAGGCTTCTAGAATGATACATTTACATAGATAAAACCTTAGCCAAATATTTAAGCAGGGGGGAATGCAGTACAAGTGTCCTTCTGTGCGTAACAAGGATGAATGCAATACACTGGGTTTTCAGAGTTTACTGCAATGTATCAAAGCAATTTCCAGTACAATTTATTGTCCTGTTTCGTAGCCCTACCTAAGAAAGCAAAGAAACCTTTTAAATGATAGCCCTGGGGATACCTCAGGGGTCTGAATTAGACTTGAATTAATTTCCCCAGGTGGAACCCTAGGACATTGAAAACCTGACTGAAAATACCTTATACCTAAGCATAAACAAACAAGACATTTGAGGCAGAAAAAAAAGTGTGTTTTGCAACTTTTCCTGGGTAATATTCACTTGCTTTACCATTTTACAAGTCTTTTTTTTTTAATTTAATAACAACTAATATCCTGCCCTTACTCCATTAAAGTCATTAATAGCTCTAGTATCTGGTATTATTTGGCTTTCTCTAAAGGCCTATTTATCATATCATCCCCTAGCTATTGGACATATTTCTCATGCTGTATAAGGGGAGGTAGACTTGTGTGATGGATAGAAATGTTCATATTTAAATTCCTTCATTCATGATTTTTGAAGCAGTGTAAGCATTGCCTTCCTTTGTGCTCCTGGGTGAGAGAATCCAACAAAAAATCAAACAAATGTCAGCTACATATCACTGATACCCCGTAGATAACACGTATTTTGTAAAACCTGAGATTTCTTTTTTTCTAGAATATTGCCTTAAGCAGAGCTCAGATAATAGGTAGGCTTTAAAAACATAATTAGATTACTTAGTCACTTCCCTGTGAGTAAAGAAAACATAAGAGAACTGTGTTAACCTGGAAGACTTGCGTTAAAATGAACAAGTGTCTTATTGTTTTGAGAGCTATCTCAAGAATGCTGTTGTCCTGCTTGGCTAGCAGGAACTACATTCAGAATCTAAAATGGCACATCAGTGATGTACTTAAGGAATAACTTATGGCTCAAATGTTCACAGGGTGGCAAGATTCCTATCCGGTGGACTGCGCCAGAAGCAATTGCCTATCGTAAATTCACATCAGCAAGTGATGTATGGAGCTATGGAATCGTTATGTGGGAAGTGATGTCGTACGGGGAGAGGCCCTATTGGGATATGTCCAATCAAGATGTAAGTCTCTATGTTCTGAAATATATTTTTTCACATTGAGATTCAGGAAGTTCTGCATTACTGTATGATGGAGTGGGCACGGGGTTTGAAATGATACATTAAACTCAAATTTCTTAATACAGATATATCTAGCAAGCTAGTTCAACATTACAACCAATGACTATTGATTTCAAGGACAAGAATTAAATGGCCTACATGGTACAGTATGGGAGATAGATACATACGCACATAGATTCATGGATAAAAAATATGGGATAGTATTTTTACTTGGTGAACTTTCAAAACCAGAGTAAAACAAAATTAAACTTTGACTTTTAAGAAAATGCAAAGATTATGAAAAAATAAATTTCACATATGATAAAACGGACATGAAAGGCTTATTGAAAGAAAACTAGTGAATATTTTAAAGCTGGCATCGTTGTAATTAGAGCTCACCCCTTGAGGACTCTAAAATAAAGCTTCACTCAATGACCCTTGGTAAATTATGCACATCCCTTTAAATGTACCATCTGGACTACTTCGTAAGGGAGTATCCACAATGACTGCAATTTCAGAAAAGGATTCAATAATGACACTAATAAGATTCCAGAGTAATAGAATTTAATTACAAACATCTCCAGTGAGAAAGAAAGAAAAAAAAATAAAAGAAAGCATTGATCAAGGGGTCTTCCTAGAACACGTTTTAGCTAATTCTGGAAAAGTTTACATTAGTTCTGGTAAGATTGGGAATCATATTAAAATTAAATGGCCACCTATACTTTTCGAACTTTCCTAATTTTTTATGTATGTGGTAGTCCATTATCAGAGAGTGTTTACAAATGCAAGGTATTCAGTTTATCAGTTATAATTATATTTTGGAAACTTCTTTTCAAAAATTCTCTCTGTGGTGGAATGTTACCTATCCATCTGCCTTGTCTTCCTCCAACAACAGGCAGTTGCACAGCCTTGACAGTTAGAGCCACGTGCACTTAAGAAATGGGATGCAGGTTGCCTTATCAATTAAAGAATGTTCAATGCAGGCCGGGCCCTGTGGCTCACGCCTGTAATCCCAGCACTTTGGGAGGCCGAGGCGGGTGGATCACAAGGTCAGGAGTTCGAGACCAGCCTGAGCAACATGGTGAAACCCCGTCTCTACTAAAAATACAAAAAATTAGCCGGGCATAGTGGTGGGTGCCTGGAATCCCAGCTACTCAGGAGGCTGAGGCAGGAGAATCGCTAGAACCTAAGAGGCAGAGATTGCAGTGAGCAGAGATCACGCCACTGCACTCCAGCCTGGGCGAAAGAGTAAGACTCCGTCTCAAAAAAAAAAAAAAAAAAAAAAAATACAAAGATTTGCTGGGCGTGGTGGTGTGCGCCTGTAGTCCCAGCTACTCGGGACGCTGAGGTAGGCTAATCGCTTGAACCTGGGAGGCGGAGGTTGCAGTGAGCCAAGATGACACCACTGTAATTCAGCCTGGGCCACAGAATGAGACTCTGTCTCAAAAAAAAAAAAAAATGTTCGGTGCAATAGAGAAATGCACTCCATGTCTGGTGGGGCAAAAAGAATTCTCTATGCTGACCAACCAGATTAAGGGGAATGGTAGTGTTCACACTGTATTATCTGTGGATTATAACAGAAGATTCATAGCAGATGGGAAGAAAGCAGCTAGCCTAAGTGATAGTAATTACAGGTTGGAAGAAGACTATGGAGGGGAATAGCATGTAATCTATTGTTTATGTGATTATGCTGTGCAGACAGCTTCTAGTAGCTTCTTGTAGCCACATTTGGATTCAGGTTAGAGACTCTCACAGGGACAAAGACAAAAAACCTAAATGAGCAAATAGTAAATGTAGTTACTGTAATTATTCGATACTTAAGCTTTCTTTTTCTTCCGTTGAAATCATGGCCAAATGTTCGTAAGAGCAGAGTATCTAAAGATGTCAGTTTTTCTACCCTAAATATGTTCAGATCTGTAATTTTGGCAGTTTATATATATGTATTTTATATATATATACACACATATATATAAAAAAACAATATATATATATAAAGAATTCTGTTGTTTTGAACTTTCAGTTCTCTGGCTTTATCCACGAAAAGGCATCTGAAGCCATTTCTTGCTCACAAATAATATTGATCTATTATTTGTCTCTGTGTTGGATTCTATGTAGAACAGGAATCAATAGGAAATGTATCTGGGGAATTACTTTGATGCATAGAATTAATTTGGCATATGGTAAATGGAGTGAAAGTAACTGTTGAAAATATGTCAAACTTAGCAAGTTTTTTGTTTAGTTTAATCCTCTGCCCCCCAAAATATTTAGTAGTAAACTGAGAAAATATGCTTTGCTAACCTATGAGCCATCTTCCAAGCTGGCAGTGGATAGGGAGCTTATGAAAGAGCATTAATCAGTCTGAGGGGTTATAACAATTTATGTTCCGCTGGCATCAGCCCAGTGTTGCTTTCATTCTCCTCAATTCAGTGCAAAATGTTCTCATCAAGTCTAGAGTCAACACGATGCACCTGGGAAGATAAAAGAAACCCAGGTGATCAAACTGACGTAGTGTAATTGCTAGAAACAAATAGAATAAGGTTCAATAAGACAGCATAGAGAAGTCTGCTTTACAAAGAAAAGTAGGTGATACTGATACATGATATTGGCAAAATACATAGGAGAAAAAGGATCAGAGGGCTTAATAAATCACAAGATGATTTGTTAAACTGAAACGGTGCTCTTATTAAAAAGATCACAGTCATACTAATCCATGGACCCTGGACCCAACAGACTCTTTTCTTTCGAAGGCCAATTTCTGAGCAGTCAATAGACCCACCACAGGGTGAGTCCAGTGAAGTCATTGGGATGGCTCAACCACTGCTTATTTCTCTGGCAGCTATCATGTTGATAGAAAGAAAAATAAATGGAGTGATTTAAAGCAAATAAAACTTTTAGACTCCCAAACAAATAAAAGCACCTCCAGAATCTCAGAGGATATCCATAAACAAAGGTAATGAGTAGCCAAAAAACTGTGAAGTAGTTCTCCTCTATAAATTTGGCATGTCCTACCATATTATTTTCTTGGAATTTATACCCCAAAGCAGGGGGAGGATGTTAGAGAAAAGGCTATAAGAAAATAATTTAATGCCTGTGAAGACAGATTAGAAAAATTAGAATTAGCAAAGAGACTGTTGAATGAGTTATTTATGACTTACTAGGCAAGGAGACCACTCTGGGCACTCTGGATGGTCTTGGCCAATAAGACAATTATCATGTACCATTATAACTTCCTTCTTTAGATGTGCGAGGGTCTCCTTTAAAATGTAAATGCCCCAAAAGAAGGAATTTTTTTAATTGTTTTTTACTTTTTTAAAAAAAATCTACTTACTAACACCTTTAACAGGGTCGACTGACAGCCAACTGAGACCAAGAAAGAAATTCAGAGTTGGTGTCTAGGGGTAGAGTAATCCAAAAGAAAAAATGGCTGGGCGTCTGGACTTGGACTCTGGTGTTGACACACTGGCTGTCTATGTAAGAGGACAGGGCCTTAAAAGGAGGCAAAGAAAATTCCATTTTGGAGACAGCTATTAATTGCTTCCCAAGGGAGGTCTTTGGCACTAAGTCAGAGTCTCTTTTGCGAAGAGTGTTTAGGTGTGCTAATAGCAGAATGGAGCGGGGCAGGGGACTGGAGGCAGGGGGCAGGGGGCAGGGCCACATGATCTCTGAGGGCCGTCACCAAAACTGACACCACATTGTGGATTTGACTGGGCTCTAGCCACTTGAGAACATTGATGCATCTTCCCTTTAGAGTACACCTCAGTGCAACAGCTGGCTTCCCTCTCCTGTTGCCAGTGATACTCAGGTCTAGCTTTGGCTCATGTGAAGGAGTTGGAGCTGTTCCCAGGCTCCAGCTTGCTGGCAGCTTCATGCACAAGAAACATGCCAGTCGGAAGGGTGAACCTTGAACAGCAGCTTGCCTGGCAGCTTAACATACCATCCTGTTGTCTTCCATAGGTGATTAAAGCCATTGAGGAAGGCTATCGGTTACCCCCTCCAATGGACTGCCCCATTGCGCTCCACCAGCTGATGCTAGACTGCTGGCAGAAGGAGAGGAGCGACAGGCCTAAATTTGGGCAGATTGTCAACATGTTGGACAAACTCATCCGCAACCCCAACAGCTTGAAGAGGACAGGGACGGAGAGCTCCAGGTCAGCCATGCTTACTTAATAGTGATGTATGAAAGAACACATTAGAGGAGGCAGGCAAGTGGTGACTCACTTAAATTCCTGCCTTTTCATCAGAGGCCACTTCATGGCTCTCTGCAACCTGGGTGGCTTCTTTCTCAATTAGTAGAGTATTTCAGGTAGTTCTATTCAGCATTTTGAATAACTAATACCTGTCAGGCATCAAATAGTTATAAGGAAAAAACTTTAAAAAATAATAATAGTAGGAAAGAAATAACTGAAGTGCCTATTTTAGGATGCCAGGCCTGAAATTTAGGAAGAGGGGTGAAATGTACTTTTAGAAGACGTTCAGATCAGTAGGTGCTATATTTTGAAATGGGGCAGGAACACTGGAATAGTAAGAAATAAAGATTAGAAAACAGGTCTTTAAGCACGGCAATTTTAAGTTGATTTATAAAGTGTTAATTGTAAGAAAGAGATTCATTAGGTTTCAGTTCTTCTGGTTTCCCTTTTCTGAGTCTTTCAGAGTAGGAGGAAACAGGGCCAAGATAGGAAATGATTGAGTTATAAAGCATGCAGATGAATGTTTGGGAAGGATTTTAAAGACCAAAATGATTGGACCACCTGAAAGAGGTAGTTATTTTCTTGGAATGAGCAAAATGAAGAAGTATATCAGTCTGTAGAGAACATAAAGATACTATAAGTCCTACAAGTTCAGTGAGAACTTTCTACATGGAGAATGGACTTTACTGGTATAAGACTCAGGATACCTACATATCAGTAGTCTCATCTGAAAGGGTGTGGACCATCTTTATCAGTTAAATTATTTTAGAATACAGGCATAATAGACCAGGTGACTCAGGCCTGCGAGAGGTGAGACACTCACTCATCTCCAAGTCTGAGCTTCTCACAGGCTTCTGTTTCATCATGATCCTGTGTTAAAAATAGGAGGACATTTTCTCCCGTAATATTTAAGCCCTTCCAGTCTTTGCAGGCCCTGTGGTGTTCTCCTCTCATCTTTCTCCTGAAAACTTGGACTAAAGATTCTAGAAAAGAAGGAAAACACATTACATGAAAAAAAAGAGAACTGTGGAATAGATAGTAGAGATACCCTATATTCTCCACCAGGTTTTCAAATCCCTGTCATTAGCCACTACACAAAATGCTCAATGGTCTATCCAGCTCTTTTCAAATAACACTGAAAAGGGCTGAATTAACATTTCACCTCTGCCACTTGGTCACTATGTGAACTAAAAAAAATTAAAAGTCTCCTACTATTGTGAGGCTATTTCTTGTTCTTCTGTTCTCCAGGAGGGTGAAATAGATGACTATAAGGCCTCCTTTCCAGATCTAGCTGACTTCTCTTCCACCTTTTAGATCTTCAGCACCAGAGCCCATGTATTTTGTCTGAGGGTCCATTCAAGGCCAGTTTTTTGGTGTTTGGTACTTCTTCTGTTAGCATAAGTCATTCAACCACTACTATCACATAGCATCTGCTTTGCCCCAAGGTACAGAACAAGTTGAGGTATTAGATACACTATTATCAGTTCTAAATTCTTTTTGCTGATGGTACTTAAATAGCTTTGAAGCTTATTATGGCTTACCTATAATGAGATGTAGTATAACATGGTATGTGATTCAGCACAAAATTAGGCTAACATCATGGTGTGCTACCAAGAGCACAGAGGCTTCCAGAACAAGCTTAAGAACCACCCTTAAAGTTAATTGACATCGAGTGAAGATATTTTCATTGTAAGGTCATTTTGACCTTGTCGGTGCTCAGAGCCTACATCTTCCTCATTAATGCTTTTGGCTTAAAGTCAGAAGTAAATGCAAACTATTGGCTTTTGTCTAATAACAAATATTATTGCTATATATCCACACTCAATTAAATGTCCAAAATTCTATGTGGTAACATTTGTTGTTGACTCAAAATTGAAAGAATAATTATATCTTGATTATTTTTGCTGTAAACATTTACAGAATTGTACTTAGAAAATCAAACTTATATTGAAATAATGGACACAAAAGACAGGTTACAATGGCAAGGTATTATTTGGACACAAAACTGACTGATAAAACAAATCTTTGTTAAAATATTTATATAAAAAAGAAATAATACAAGTCAAGTCAATTTAGATAAAAATGAAAATTTTAAAAATCGAATTGGATTAATTCTGCTATGTAGAAAAGTAAAGCATTATATCGACTTAATTTTGTTTTTACAAGGAAAGAGTTTTTTGGTTGAAAATTTAGTAGTAATGATATAATTGTGATTTAAATGTTTGTACTTAAACATAGTATCACGTTGAAAATCAGGTCAAAATGTTAAGATCAAACACATTCTGTGAGTTTTAGGAAAAACAGAAGTTCAAAAACTATGACTTAACAAGTAGCAGTATTTTTCTACAGGTTATTATAAGTAAAGGTAGTATAAAATAACCCCATGAAGGCCTGCTCTATGGTTATTCAGCAATTGGGTGATGAAGATAACTAACTATAATTCTCTTAATAGTTTTTATTAGTAAATGATTTTTTATATGTCAATATCATTAGGAAAGGCAGAATTCCAGCCTGTAATTGCTTGTGACAGTGACCTAATAGAAAACACCTGGCCTAAGAAATGAGTAAACTAATAAATAAGTTAATAAGAAGTGCTTTGAATTTGTTGAAATCATTATTCAGGAACCCCAGCAAGGGAATACGAGAAGCACATTCCACAATCCAAACAGTGATCAAAGTGGCCGTTCTTCTGCCAGCCTTGGCACTCGTGCTGGTCAGGCATGGATTGATTAAAGAGGGGATTAACTCCCTGCTGTCCCAAGTTTGTTTGAATGCCCCAAGCCTGCCTGTAGACTAGGCTGGAAGCATGCTGGACTTGAATTCTTGCTGTTTTCTCTGCTTCCATCCAGTCTGGCAGGTGGCAAGCTCGCAGTTTTCCTTACTCATCCTTCACTAGGGTTTCCATAGTTGCTGAACGAAAGTCTGTAATATTCAGTACTGGCAGAGACTGGACTCTTTCTGCAAAGATTGAACAGGTTTCGGCCATGAGGGCTCTCCCAGTCTTCACCCCAGGCTAGGGTGTTAAAAGACCTGCTATGAGCATGAATGCCCTCAGAGGGCCACATAAAACAAGCGCAGGAAATAGAATTAAGAAAAAATAGGATGATTGATACATGCTTTAGCAGCTTTGTGAAGTTAAGAGCAAAATATTGCATAGTTACATTTAACAACAATTGTTCCATTTAAAACCTTCCCTTAGCTTTTCAGTTCTCCTTGCCTATTTGAGGCAATCAGATTTCTGAGTCTTCTTGTCTCACTGGTAGCTCCGTTCTGCTTATATTTTCTTGTTCTCTTTCTAGACCTAACACTGCCTTGTTGGATCCAAGCTCCCCTGAATTCTCTGCTGTGGTATCAGTGGGCGATTGGCTCCAGGCCATTAAAATGGACCGGTATAAGGATAACTTCACAGCTGCTGGTTATACCACACTAGAGGCTGTGGTGCACGTGAACCAGGAGTAAGTACTCAACGATGTAACACGAAAGGGTAAATCTAGATTTAATAGTATTTTCTTTTTTTGCTTTGAGCTGCGTAATCATCCTACTCATTTAAAAAAAATCTGGAATGCCTCTCATTTTGATTGAGTATAATTTTACACAGCCTCTATAAAGTATCTACATTCTTGCATTAAATTGCTTAATGAAACATTTTAATACACCTGCCTTGTTGTGCTGTATTAATTGTGGCTGATTCAAACGTGTGTCTGCATGAAGCCCAAGAAAAGAGATTGTCAGTCCCTGTGACTTCTTCTGTCCCTTTTTTGTCGCCCTATGTACAGGGACCTGGCAAGAATTGGTATCACAGCCATCACGCACCAGAATAAGATTTTGAGCAGTGTCCAGGCAATGCGAACCCAAATGCAGCAGATGCACGGCAGAATGGTTCCCGTCTGAGCCAGTACTGAATAAACTCAAAACTCTTGAAATTAGTTTACCTCATCCATGCACTTTAATTGAAGAACTGCACTTTTTTTACTTCGTCTTCGCCCTCTGAAATTAAAGAAATGAAAAAAAAAAACAATATCTGCAGCGTTGCTTGGTGCACAGATTGCTGAAACTGTGGGGCTTACAGAAATGACTGCCGGTCATTTGAATGAGACCTGGAACAAATCGTTTCTCAGAAGTACTTTTCTGTTCATCACCAGTCTGTAAAATACATGTACCTATAGAAATAGAACACTGCCTCTGAGTTTTGATGCTGTATTTGCTGCCAGACACTGAGCTTCTGAGACATCCCTGATTCTCTCTCCATTTGGAATTACAACCATTGTATTTTGTTTGTGGCATAAATTACAGTCATCTGTCTTTCACTGGAATGAAGACCATGCCTAGGAACATTTTTTAAGGACTCAGCTGTGGCTTTTAGGGCTTGGTTCATACCATGGGGGAAAAAAAAGTCCTAGGAGAAAGCGACGTGGCTCATTAGTGTTGCCTCTTCAGTGCTCAAGCCGCCTGGTGGATTCCTATGACACAGGGGGCCTGGAAAGAAAGGGAAAGTGGATTTAAAATATATATATACGTAACCCAAGCCCCATAACCCCTAACTGGACAAATGAGGTCTGTTTCTTTGGGCCTGAGGCTGTGCCATATAAAGTCTTATTTTGGGACTTTACAAACTTGTCCTAACTATCTTGTGGATAGTGGGCTGTGACAATCTGGAATAGAGAACGTTCACACTTCGCTCCTTTAAAGAAGCGACCCCAGATCTGCAAGGTAAGTCCAACAACCAAGAATGATTTTTTCTCCAGTGAAAACTCCTTTTGTGCTTTAAACTTGATCTCATTCGAAATACTGAAAACAGAAAAATACTCTCTCATGTCTCTCAGGTTGTGTTGATGTTTTTCAGGATTTCAGTCCTTTTTTGACAGCGAAAGAGGAGACCAAACACAGTGTGGTTTCCCTGCTATTCTTCCGGGGAGAAGTGACATATGACCCAGATGAGGTCAGGCTCTGAGGGATGGTCCTAGATGCTCACTGGCTGTTGGCTGTGTGCTTTCCATCACGAAGGGCTCCTCCTGTCCTTTGGTGCCATTCATTCATGGTACACATATTTATTATCTTCTGGGCACCAGGCAGCAAGCACAGGAGGCTTTCTCTCTAACCTTGTTAGGTCATGGGTCCCGTCCTTTGGAGAGTTTACCTCAATGGAGAAGTACTGGCGAGACTTTTCCATTAGCCTCATTTTCTGTCCTGCTCCAGGAAACTCCATCCCCAAACAGGGCCAAAGAGGATTCACCAAGATGCCAGTGGTGAGACTTGGAACTCGCCTCGGCTTTCTCATGATCAGAAAGTTGAACTACTGAAAAATGCACTGCTCATCCATAAACCTATTAGCTTTCAATGCTTCTATTTTTATATACCAGCATTGAGTTTGTTCATTCCTAGAAACAAAGGACATAACTTTGGACTGGACACATTTTAACTTTTCATTCTTTTTTTTTTTTTGAGTTATTTCATTTTTATCACTTTTAAACAAGAGTTGCTGATTTTAACGACCTTTCTTTCCCCTTGGTTGTATCCTGAAAGCTATTTCTTATAGAGCAAGGAATGTTAAATTTGATGCTGTCAAATCATGACAGTTTAGTGAAAACCTTTTTTGCAACATAAGTTGTAAAAGCTTTTCTGTTCAGAAGGAATGTGAAATTTGTTTTTAAAACTACTCCAACAATTTTTGTTTTATCACCACTTTTGCAGAAGTCTAGGAGTTCTGGATATTCACGTTAAAAGCTGACAAATGTAGGACTTTTTTGTTTCTTTTGCTTGCTTGGTAAAAAAAAAAAATTATTATTATTATTATTATTACTATTTGAGACAAAGTCTCACTCTGTTGCCCAGGCTGGAGTGCAGTGGTGCAATCTTGGCTCACTGCAACCTTGGCCTCCTGGGCTCAAGCAATTCTGCCTCAGCCTCCCAAGTAGCTGGGATTACAGGCACCCACCACCCAGGCCTGGCTAATTTTTGTATTTTTAGTGGAGACGGGGTTTCACCATGTTGACCAGGCTGGTCTCGAACTCTTGATCTCAGACAGTCCACCTGCCTCAGCCTCCCAAAGTGTTGGGATTACAGGCGTCGGTCACTGCGCCCAGGTGGCATTGTATTTTAACTAACAACAGAATGTTACCTTGTGTACATTGAATAATTAAAAGTTTTTTTTTTTTTTCTTAAAGTCTACAACTTAAGACAAGGTATTTTCTAAACACTGAACATATTAAAAGCAGACCATTTCAACAGAGAACATGTCCATTCTGAAATAGCCTAACAACATTATATACTATGCTGGTGTTGTTTTGTTCCTGCTCAGCAGGTATTTCTGTAAATGAAGTAATCAGGGAAGGATCAAAGGAGAGGTGAAGTATGAAATCTTATTTTATTCAAAGGTCACCGTCTGAATCTTCAAAATTTCAACATATGCATATATTAGAGTCAAGGCTGATGCAAAGGCCAAAAAAGGACTTTCCAAGTGCCTAAAATAATATCCAGCAACAGTAAAAGTGTTAACTCTCTCCACTACCTCCATGAAGTTTTAGAAGAGAAATGTGAGAACAATAGGAATGATGCATTGTTTCCCAGGGCGCAGAGCCAGACTCTGGCATCCGGACAGCTATGGATTCTAAAGCCAACTGAAATGTTGACACTGGGAAATTCACTCCACTTTTCTTTATAACTCAGTTCCTCCACCTGGAAATTAGAGAGATAATGATACCTTAATAATAACACCTTTCCTAATGCATGGTGTTGTTGCAAGTGTGTATGAAATATTCTTAAGTAAAACACGGTGAGCTCCACAGAAGAAAGGTACGCTTCTTCCTCCAACATTGTCCAAGTATTATTCATCTGTCTTTCACTTGTAACCCCAATTGTTTTATTACAACATGCCAGAGTGGGGTGAAATGAAGTTCAGTGGTAGGGGGGTCACACAGTGAAGCTTCTTCACTTAAATGGATTTATGAGAGTTTGGAGGTAAATACATATTTATACAATGGTGGTAGACCTTTCAAGTTATGCTGGCAGGATAAACATGCATTATTTAGCCTTGACATTTATAAAATTATTGTTTTGTAATGGGGAAGACAGTGATACAAAAGTAAAATTCTATTGCAATGAAAAGAACTGGATGGTAAAGACATTTTGATGTCATCACGACTGACTCAAAGGAACAAGCCTTTGTTTATTTAGTCACAATGAATTCTCCTTAACTCATGACCCTACATAGACCACATGCTTTGTCTGGTCTCTGTTTAAGAAATTTCCCATGATAAAGGAGTTGCCTGAATTCAATGGTGAGGAGAAGGCTTATTTCACTCAACTCGTATCCTGGCATTAAGTAGATACAAGTCTTCACATTCCCTTACATCTCAATTCAAATGTCCAATCATTTCTGCATACACACCAAGTCCCCAAATTGCCCACTTAATATTACAAATATATTTATGTAATATCTATTGATATCCAGATGTTAAGTGGAGAAGGAATTGGCAGACTGAAAGGCAACACGTGTTTATGAGACCATTCTTTCTCCTTTAAGAATTTCTAGTAGCAAAAGAAACCATTACCAACCTTGTGTGTCCGCAGGACGTGGAATACACTCTAGCGTTTTAAGATCATATTCATGTTCTCCTCATACTTCACATAAATACCTGCCCACCTGATGAAATCCCTTCACATTCAGGTTTCAAAAACTACATTTGATGGATTTGACCGATTTCCAGAGAGGAAATAGTTAGAAGGTAGATTTGATGACTTTTCTGTCATTTTTACGTAATTGTCAACATAACATTCATGTTCATGTCGACCCAGGGACCACAGGTGTGCACAACCATGCCTGGCTAATTTTTTTTTTTTTTTTTAAAGATGGGGTCTTGCTCTTTTGCCCAGGCTGGTCTCAAACTCTTGGGCTCAAGCAGTCTTCCCTCCTTGGGCTCCCAAAGTGCTGGAATTACAGGTATGAGCTACAAGACCTGGCCAGAAAACGATTTCTCTCTCTTTAAATAGACTAAAGTGTTTTCTACAATTTTAAATATGGTCGTTTACTACAAAAAATTAAATTTTATTCTCTACACGATAAATGTACACATATGCAAAACAGACAAGTGATTTGATAAAATAGGCAAAATAATCTATAAAAGTGCATTTTGGTCTTAATTACTGCCCTTTGCTTGAGGCCACCAGCTGCTAAACATGGTCACCGTGGTGGGAGGCATAGTCCAATAAGTAATCTGGATAGTTGGTTGTTATAAATGAAAGAAGGGAACTTACTTCCTTTGGTTTGAGTTGATTATGTGACAAATATATGGACAATGAGGAGCCATGAGGAGTCCATTGCTGTGTGCCAGCCTTGTTCGATTCCAGGCTGATGTCTAGAATTCCAGCCTGCGGCTGATTAGTTCTTGATATGTGGAAGGAGGCTTGAACCTAGAAGACCTCTGTCGTTCATAGAGCAAGTATCTCCCTGTGTCCCATGTTCCCTCTCTCCTGCCTGTTTACATGTAGAGAGTATGGCTCTTTCGCCATGTTAGATTAGATACTTCTATTTATCAGGAGTTACTCTCTTGTTAAGAAAAACCACCACTTTTTTTCACTTCTTAGTTTGCATTTTTCTTTTTTTTCTTTTCTTTTTTTTTTGAGACAGAGTCTCGCTCTGTCACCCAGGCTGGAGAGCAGTGGCGCTGTCTCGGCTCACTGCAAGCTCCGCCTCCCAGGTTCACGCCATTCTCCTCCTGCCTCAGCCTCCCGAGTAGCCGGGACTACAGGCGCCCGCCACCACGCCTGGCTAATTTTTTGTATTTTTAGTAGAGACGGGGTTTCACCACGTTAGCCAGGATGGTCTCAATCTCCTGACCTCGTGATCCGCCCACCTCGGCTCCCAAAACGCTGGGATTACAGGCGTGAGCCACCGCGCCCGGCCCTTAGTTTGCATTTTTCAATCATTATTGTTGACTATGGGTGGATTGTGAACTGAAACAAGTCAGGATTTTCATTTCATAGACAGGCTGTTCAACACGGTGGTTAAAGCATAAATATCAATTAGAACTTTGTGGGGTCTAATCCCAGCCTTGCCACTCCAGAGGGTATGGCATTGGGCAGGGTACTTAGTCTCCTTATGCTCAATTTCCTCATCCATATAATGGAGATAAGAATAGTACCTATCTCGGAGTTGTAATTAAGCTGTTAGTAAACAGGTTTTTTTTGCTCTTATAATTGCTATTTTTCAGAAAAGGAAAGTATAATTCGTGATCTCACCACTGAACTACTTTTACTGAAGGATACCAACTTCTACGAACCTATATATTCTTTCTTACAATAGTGGTTGACAGTTGGCTCGCAATATGGGTCGACGTTTTGTCTAAAGTCTTGCTCTTTTATCTACAGGGAGTAGATTCTGCTATCTTGGCCTCACAGCCCTTCCTGTTGATTACAAAGCCCGTGGAAGAAAACAGAACACACCCTCCTCAGTTCCGTCTAAATGTGTTTCTTCTGCTTCAATTACACCAGTTCTGGGGCAAAGACACTGATGAAACAACACCCATACCTGAAAAGAATAAATGTGTGACTTTCAAATCCCCTTTCGCAGTGAAAGAAACAGCAAACACTTAAGATTCAGCATCTGTTCTCCAGTTGCACTGAGGAATGCACTGTCTCGCAGCACCAGCTCTGCAGAGCCCTTGCCCCAGACTCTTTGCGGTTTTATTTATATGTATTTCCATATTTCATTCCTGTGTGTCACTGCTGCATTGGTGTGGCAGCAAGTGACCAAATGCTACAGGTCTTACTATGGACACCAGGTCAGGTGCAACCACACAAAACAAAGCCAGTTCCATGAGCTGCCTATGATATGCATTGCGGAAGTAACATTTTACCCAGGGTGTGCCATTGCAGTGATATAAATATATTTTTTTCTTAGACTAAATATGAGCTGACTATCTCTTTTGATGTGTGTACATAGGTGTGAGTGTGTCTGTATGCGTGCCTGTCTGTGTGCGGGTGTGTGTATGTGCGTAGCCTCATGCTTAGGACTACCCATGAATGTTGTGGAATGCTACACCTGGAGAGTTCTGGTTTTCCACCAGTTTCAAGATGAAGAACTACATGATACAGTGGACCTGGAGACCATCCCCTTGGAAAGACAACCCAGAGATGTTCAGCATCCTGTATCTACACGCATCCTGTATCTACACGTGTATTTTGTAGCTGTCACACTAACCTTAATAAGAATTCTACAGCTTTGGACAGAGGCATTTTCACCTTAATGGTGAAGTAATTTAAAATATAAATCCATTCAGGTGACAACCCATCATCAAAATTACAAATTTTCTGATTGAACTCATCTGAATCATCAGTTCCTTGATGGAGAGAGAGAAGGAGATGGAATGTGTCTGGTAACCCCAAATGGAGTACAAGTAGCCTTTGTTTTCCTGCATAAATGGACTTGTTGAATGCGAACGAATATATGCAATTCATATACTTTTGGAGATGAACGTAGATATGTGTGTCAGCTTTGAGATGGTGTGTCCTGGATTAATACTTTGTCTCCCAATATCACAGAAAAATACATGCCAGTGACTCTTGAGGTTAAGGTAGTTGGGATGAAATGGCCTCAGGCAATTTCACATTCCCTAATTACCTGGAAAGTTCTACAGTAATTAATATGCAGCTAACTCCTGTTGCCCTCACAAGAGCATCAGCCTTCTAGAATCGGAGCTC
Source organism: Homo sapiens (assembly GCF_000001405.40). Taxonomy (NCBI): domain Eukaryota; kingdom Metazoa; phylum Chordata; class Mammalia; order Primates; family Hominidae; genus Homo; species Homo sapiens. The sequence continues at coordinate 221,419,220 of NC_000002.12, read as the reverse complement.
CGGAGTGTGAAGATTCAGTATTGATATGATATGTATACCAAACTCCAGCCAACTTACTGCCATTTTTCATAATCTGAGTGGCTGCCTTGCTTATCCTAAGCTGTGGTTGCAGAAACCGTGGCCATTTATATAAGCTATAACATCAAATCAGGGAAAAATGAGGAAAAAAAATAGATTCTGAACCATTTATTGTTGAATAAGTAGAGAAAATCATCAATAAATATTTATTACATTCTGACAGGGTGTGTGGCATTGTGTTCTATGCCAGAGTGACAAAGTTGATTCACCCCTTTTTGGGGACCTTAATATATTTTTTAAGGGATGTGCCTATGCATTGATGCCTGAAAAATATGTATAAAGAAATGAGGTTGACTCTTCTGAGCAGTTCATCTTTTCCAGAGGTAAGGGTAGGAGGCCAACTTCAGGGTCTGGGTCTGAGCCCGTGGGCAAGCCCTGGCCGAGTGAGCTCCAATGCTAACTCATGTGCCGATCTCTAGAGCAGTGGGAAACTACCCCGCTGCACCAAATCAAGTAGCTTCACCTTGTGTATGCAGGCCCCAAGTTATTTTTTAGCAATCTTACGAGTGAAATGTTCTGGTGGGTTGAAAAACGTTCTTATTTTAAAGAAAGGTTGTGCTCGCTACACTGCTGGTGTGTGCATTCTGAGACCTCTTGTATTCAATCTGTGAAGGATATGTGTATTAATCCGTACACCCGTATAGCCTCAATATTTGTCTGAAGACACTTAAATTCTGACCCATAAAGGAAAGTTCTAGAAGCAATATTTTCACTTATTTAACATTCTCCAAACAACATCAAGCATTGATACACACTGAAGAGTGCGTTTATTTTTTGTATCACTCTAAGTATGTTGGAATATGCAAGGACTGTGGTTCAAATTAGAATGTATAAGGCATATTATAATTTAGTTCATACTGAATAAGAAATTAACAGAACATTGTTCGGTTCACACGTTCCAAACTTTGAGTGATTTCTGGAGTTAGACATAGATTTTCTATTTTGTTTTAATTTGTCAAGGTATTTTTCTTCCCTTCATGAACTTTAGGTACACATAACTTATGTCATTTATTTATGGTCTTTTATACCTAGTTTGTAAAATTGTAAAATAGCAAACTAAATGCAAAGAGTTTGCATTTGAAAATAATAAAGTAGTTGCCGTATACAACCCTGCAATCTGGTTGTCTCTTTCAATAACTTTTGCTATATATATGGTGTGCCTAAATGAATTAATTATTTGTTGTCATTTAATTAAAACAAAAAATCTTAAATTCCAACTGAGCATACTTAGAGGTTAAAAAATTATTATCTTCTAAAGATTCTTCACCCTTCAGAACAATGCATTTGAAAAATCTGACTTAGACCATCGTAATTAAGACTGTAGACTATGGTTGGCATTCAGGCTTCACCACTTACTAATTATACAGTCTAGGGCAAGTCTCTTAACTTCTCTCTGCCCATTTCCTTGCTTGTAGGATAATTACAATGCAAGAGCTTTAAAAAGATTAAATATATTGAAACATTTAGCACAGTGTATAACATCCAGCCAGAACTCAACAAATGGTGGTGATACTCAGTAGCTTTTTTGATGATATAAACTTTCTTCTTCAATACCCCCAGTTCCCTCTCTTACATCCTTGTCACTGATCCAAGCAACCAGCTACCCATCCTTGCCAGGTGCTTTCAACCTAGGATCCACGGATCCTCGAGGGTACATTGGTGCTCCAGCAGGTCCAACAGCATCCCTAAAACTGAACAAATGTCAGTTATTACATTTGTATATGTGTTTTGATGGGGAGGTTTGCAAAATTTCATCAAATTCTAAATTGCTATGGGATATAAAAATATTAAGGATCACTGTTTTAAAGCTGAATGATCTCCTCGTGATGCTATTTCATTAAATTATCAATTGGCAAAGTCCCTATTGATTGAACATCAGATTTAAGTTTTATTTTAGTATCTCAGCTAAAGCCCCTAAGAACAGCTGGCTTCAGAGGGCAGGGGTGTGCCTTTAGTGTTACCGGCAACATTGTAAAACATGGGTCTTGTCTGGTTACTTTGTGTTTATGCCTTACTTAAGCTGCTCTCTAGTGTCAACTATATTAATATGTATGGTAGTTGGCAGCATATTTGTGATTCGAAAGGGATTAGGTTTGGCATTTTCTCCCTCACTTGTTTAGCAAGAGAGAATGTCAACCCACAAAGCATTTTTCCCTAAATGTTCTAAAATGAGCTGGTAGGGTGGTATCAAAATTGCCACTTGTAATTTTTAAATATACTATTATTATTTTTTTTTTTTTTGAGATGGAGTCTCGCTCTCTGGCCCAGGCTGGAGTGCACTGGCATGATCTCAGCTCACTGCAACCTCCACCTCCCGGGTCCAAGCTATTCTCCTGCCTCAGCCTCCCAAGTAGCTGGAACTATAGGCGCATACCACCACGCCCAGCTAATTTTTGTATTTTTAGTAGAGACAGGGTCTCGCCACATTGGCCAGGCTGTTCTTAAGCTCCTGACCTCAGGTGATCCACCCACCTCAGCTTCCCAAAGTGCTGGGATTACAGGCATGAGCTGCCACACCCCGCCTAAATGTACAAATGTAAGGAGTACAAGTGCAGTTTTGTTACATAGATACATTGCATAGTGGTGAAGTTTGAGCTTTTTGTTTAACCATCACCTGAAGAATGTACATTGCACCTGTTAAGTAATTTCTCATCCCTCAGCCCCTTCTCACCCTCCTACCTTTCAAAGTCTCCAATGTCTATTTTTCTGCACTCAATGTCCAGCCACATGTAAACTTAACAGTAATTTTGAGATTGATTTTAGTGTAGTATAACATCACATTTCATAGTATTTGTGCTAATGAATGCAAGCTTCTAATAACTGACCCCACATTCTCAGTGGTTTCACAGACAAAATTTATTTCTAACTTACTTCACAGTGTGATGAAGATCCAGAGGATTTTCCTGGCAACTGTTTTCCATGCAGTGACTCATGGATCCAAGCTCCTTCCCAACTGCGATCTGCCATGTTCATTACGTGACCAAGGGCACCACATAAGGGGAAGAGAATGTGGACAATTCTCTTGAAAGCTTTATGACCAGGCTTAGAAAGGGCTTGTGTTTCAACTCCTTTTATCTCATTGGCCAGAACCCAATCACATGAACCAAACATAACCTCCTGAGGGGTGGGGAATTTGTTTTCTTGTAAGCATTGGAAGAGGAACTGAAAGTGTTGGGTGGCTGGAGAGTCTCTACAAGTACAAAGGAAAATCATGCACCTAGAGAAAGTCAGGGAAAGTGTCTTGGAGAAGTGAATGCATCTGCAAGCTTTGAGTATGATCTCCCACAAGCGTCAAATGGTCATTTCCCCAAGATGCCGAGAAGCACGAACAACATTCAGACTTGCTATAACATTTGCGTTCGCATCCTCATTTATCCAGATGCTTTAGAAATTGCATTTTCCTTTCTGCATTGCAGATCTCTACACTTTCTCTAGGCACAATCTTTTGTTTATACATGAAAGTGCCTGCCTTTCATGGTTTAAATTCCCTTAGCCACTCAGTCTCCCTAGGAGGAAGGAGGTGGTTGGGGAGCATAAATTAAAAACCCTAATGCCAGGCAAGAGATGTAAAACATTCTTTTTCCTTTGAAAAATAAAAATGCAACTAAAATGTGCAAGAACACACCACCCTAGCCCCTTGACATTTATCAGCTGAGCTAGACCTTAAAACCTTGATCTAGGGCTTCATAAGAATTGGAGTTAGTGCCCACACATATAAGATTTCATTTTTTTAACATATTTGAACACTCACTGAATACCAGACATGGTACTAAGCTCTAAATTTTCACAACAGCCTATGTTAAAATTACTCTTATCCCCACTTTATAGGTGAGAACACTAAGGCATACAGCAAGTCCAAAGCTACCCTGCTAATAAGGATTAGAATTTGTGATTTAAACACAAGCTGCTGGACTCCAGCTATTTGCTCCTAACCTCTATACCATCCTGGCGTACTCAGTGATGAGCCCAAGCTGCTCCATCCTATCTCATCAAACAGTTTATCAGGTGGGTATGTTTCAGTTTGATGACAGCGCTATATGCCATTGTTAGCAGGTTTATATGCCATTGCACTCTTCCCTAAACACTGCTTGACTATCCTGTTGCCGAATAGCTTATTGTTTTACTGATTTGTCATGTTGCTTGTTTGTTTTTGGTAAGTTCTAGTGGAAAAGAACTGTAACATAAATACAATGTTCATCTAACACACTGTGTTTTGTAAGAATTGATCTCCATATTCTACTTTTTACTAAAAGCAGAGTATAATCTGTTATCACTAAGATACAGCCATCTGATATATAACTGGGGAGAAGGTAGTGATTTTCCTTAATTATCATTTTTGTGTTCTAAGCATAAAAGCCATGGATAGCACTTGTCAAATGCCATTCTTCGCTTTGATGATGGCCTGTGACAAAGAGAGACTAGTTATTAACTAAATAGAAGCAAAAAATGGATCCCAAGACAAGAGGAAAATTAACTGAGGTACAGACTGAGCAAGATGTAATAAAATACTTCATGTAAATTCCGCTTTGGCTACTTTTTGGTTGTGTGACCTCGGGAAAATCACTTAACCTCCCTGAAATTCTGTTTACTCATTTTTAAAATGTCAGAAAGTGCTCCCTACTTTGTCAGGATGTTCTGAGAACTCAGTTTAATCAATTCTATGGAAAACTACTATAGAAAGCACAACTATACAAACTACTATACAAACACAGATGTCTATATGGACCAGTCAGGCCATGTGAATGAGTCCATTTGCAGGAGATACCGTCCAAATGTAGCACAACAGAGAGTGAGTATTTAGATATGACATTAGGATGATAAGATGTCAATGAGTATTATTCAGCGGAAGATAGGTTAGGGCAGGGAAGTCTCTATGGCCTAATAAGATTGAGTAACAATAATGTATTTCACAACCCTTTTCTGTAGATTCATAAGGCACATTGATATATCATAGACTCTGAGAAGCCCTATAGTAAAGAAACCAATTTTTGCCAATTTACCGTAACCTTTTGCAAATCTATTTGGAAATGAATCCCTTTTAACATCTCCATGGAATAAAAATTCTCTGAAATACATTTTGGAAATCTATTCTTTGGAGTGTCAGATGAAAAATCTGAAAGAGCAGCAATCAGATTCACTCCACGTTGCATAGCTTATGGCTCTACAGTCGATACAAAAGCTCAAGTCTCTTGAATCCTCTACCTCTACACCCCAAGGCATATTCCAAGTATTTAGCTAGGTTTGCAGCTGAGTGGAGTTTGGCTTTTTTACATTGCTGGGCTAGGTGGCTGTAGTACTGGCGGGGATAGGGCATGTATGGTGTAGAGCAAGTGTTGGAGAGATTGTGCTACTGGAAAGTGGGAATGTTGAAGTCCTGCTTTCAGAGCTCACATAGGTGATTTTAAATCATGTAGGGCACAGTGTGCACCAAAATCGTGACCTGGGCTAAGATGTTTGCATTCTTCCAGCTACAGTAAAGAGCCAAATGGGTTTTGACAATGAAAAAATGCATGACACAAATCAACAAGCAAATTAAGACATGGAGCTATAGTGGGCTTTAACCTCAGTTATTTTACCCTTTCCTTTTGGAGGAAGTGCCTTGAGCCACTGATGGCTCCCAGTTGAGTGGGTAATAGACGCCTGACATATCTTATTTCTGGCAATTGCTCTGGACATAATTCTTTGTTTATAGCACTGCTGTAGAAAACTTGATGAATACTCAGAAGAAAATAGAATTAGGACCTACGGACCCCAGTTAAAATCAACTTAGTGGAACATAGGCATTTCTTTGTGTAGAGCTGGAAAAGATAGCCATGAGAGAAAGTGGCTTTAACATACACCCAGAGAAGCTATATATTATACACATAATATGTAAGAGGCAATTATGGCCTAGTAATCTGCAGTGTATCACTACCTAGCAATCAGATTGACATATTCTAATGAGACCCATGTTGTTTGTAATCAGACTGGCACTACGTATTCAGAGCTCTATTCCATAAGATGCACTTTTAAATGGCTCAGATTGCACCAGATGCTATAAGAAATAGCATTCCATTTTATTCCATTACCAGCATTTTCTCCTCTTCCAATTAGCATAATTTAAAATCAGCCAGAGGCAAATGTAAGGGGGCTAAAAAGTTGCAAAGAAGTTCAAGAAATACATGATAAAAAAAGGCAAGAAGACACTCAAGCAACCATTTTTTTTTAAATGGGAAAGAGAATACTGCAATTAATAGAATTCTTCTTTAAATTGCTCAGAATTTATTTCTGTGACTTATCAAAATATTAGAATCTCTCAAGAGGCTAATTGCCCCCAGGTTCTTCTTGCTTATGCATTATCTTGTGGATGACATAATAAAATCACCACCTCATTTACCATTCAGTTAAGGTTTAATTGAGTCCATCTTTTTCCCCCCTCAAAATATGCAGGAACTTAGAGAATCAAAACAAATTTTCATCTGTAAAATAAGAGGATCTTCATAAATTGCCTCTTTATAAGTTAGGTCCTATTTATAAAATTCTTGAAGTTAAAACCTGAGCTAGCATAATAAACATTTTTCCTTGATGTGAACTCTCATGATGTTAGAAATAGTGCTTGTTTTTTTTTGTTTTGTTTTTTGTTTTTGTTTTTGTTTTTGTTTTTTGTTTTTTTTCTTTTTTGAGATGGAGTCTCGCTCTGTTGCCCAGGCTGGAGTGCAGTGGCGCCATCTCGGCTCACTGCAAGCTCTGCCTTCTGGGCTCACGCCATTCTCCTGCCTCAGCCTCCCGAGTAGCTGGGACTACAGGCACCCACCACCACGCCCAGCTAATTTTTTGTGTTTTTAGTAGAGATAGGGTTTCACCATGTTAGCCAGAATGCTCTCGATCTCCTGACCTCGTGATCCACCCACCTCGGCCTCCCAAAGTGCTGGGATTACAGGCTTGAGCCACCATACCCGGCTGAAATAGTGCTTGCTTTTAAAGCAAGGATTGGCATCTGATACAGGGAGAGTAATTTTCCAAGGATGCACATACCCCAAATCCTTATGTTATCTTCCCAGTAAAGCATAAACTCCCTAGGCGGTATCTCAGGCTTTTGCCAGTAGCTCACCTAGTATTCACGCCCCTTTGATTCTCTTCCTAATGGCAGCTAACAGATTTTGAGAACCCATGTTCTCTCTTTATTTCATTTGAGTGAGACTGGCCCATCCCCAGCTATAAGTTACCCTAAAGGGTCTGAACCATAGTAAGCCCTTGATCAAGTGACTGGCTCAGAGGTCCAATCAGAGTGAAACTTGAGTCTTCTTTCCCATGATGTGAGAAGCATTTTTTTTTTTTTTTTGCCCCTTTCCTCATTCCCATAGAAACATGACACCATTTCCTCCAGCAACCATTTTGGGATCATGTGAAAAGCCATTCTCAGGATGAAGGTGACATGGAGGTGAGGAGAAACTCAGGGAAACAGCTGGACCCAGTGGGATACTGGAGCCACCTTGTTCCACCTCATGAGAGCTGAGTATTAAGATTTCAGGAGTTTTATGAGCCCATTAAGGTCATCTTGGCAGCTCAAAATTGGCCATGGTAGGATATTTACACCACAGAATTTTGCAAAAACTAAAAATCAGAGCTGCTATTTCTTTTTCTCCTCTCCTTTCTCCTTCCCTTTTCTCTTCCTCCCTGTCCCCCCAGAGCTGGTTTTTAACAATTTGCCAGCTTACCTCAGGATGTGTCTCTCAGAGAGCCATGCCTGAAGTTTGGCTTATTCATTCACCTTTCACATTAGAAATCCAGAAACCATTGTTTAAGTCAATTTGACTGAGACTTTCTGTATTTCTGTTGCTGTTAACCAAAAGCAAATCCACCATGGCCAACAATGTTCTACATAATTATAACAGTTAACCTTCATGGAGCTTTTTATCAAGGACCAAGAACTGTGCCAAGAACTAAGTCACTTTAGGGAAAACAAACCATTCACCTCTACGAAGAAGGTACTTTACAATGTCTAACTCAAAGATGAGGAAACTAAGCCTTAGAGTGCTGACATGGTTTGGCTCTGTGTCCCCACCCAAACCTCATCTTGAATTGTAATCCCCATGTGTTGAGGGAGGGACCTCACAGGAGGTGATTGGATCATGGCAGTGGTGTCCCCCATGCTTTTCTCATGATAGTGAGGGAGTTCTCACAAGATCTGATGGTTTAAAAGTGGCAGTTTCCCCTGTGTGCGCTCTCTCTCTCCTGCCACCTTGTAAAGAAGGTACTTGCTTCTTCTCCACCTTCTGCCATGATTGGAAGTTTCCTGAGACCTCCCCAGCCATTCAGAACCGTGAGTCGATCAATCCTCTTTCCTGTATAAATTACCCAACCTCAGGCAGTTCTTTACAGCAATGTGAAAACAGACTAATACAAGTGCAAACATTACTTATCCAAGCTTCAAAGAGACCTACTTAGAATTTTCCAAAGGCATAAAGCCTTTTCACACCTCAGTGCCTGACCCATGCTGTTTCCTGTTTTTATAGCCCATGTCCACCTAGTTAGTGCCTATTCCTCCTTCAGGATCCTGAGTCAGTGCCTCGCGGAGGTTTTCTTCATTCTCTGAGCTGGGTGACTACCCACATCACCTTGCCCTTATCTTATTTAGAGTGCTTTCAACAATGTAGAGTACTTAGTGATTTTATTGCTGGCTTCCCCCATTAGACTGCAAGATTAACAAAAGCAAGAGTCTTCTCTTTTGCATATCTTCATGCCTAAGATGATGACTGCCACATGGTAGCTGCTCAATCAGTGTTGGCTGAATTATGTGAATGAATGAATGAATGAATGAATGAATTCATCCTTGTGATTTGTTTCTATTATATTAAAACTCAAGAAAAAAATTAATGCTGAGGCCGGGAATGGTGGGTAACACCTGTAATTCCAACACTTTGGGAGGCCCTGGTGGGTAGATCATTTGAGCTCAGGAGTTCGAGACCAGCCTGGGCAACATAGCATGACCCTATCTCTACGAAAAAACCCACAAAAATTAGCCAGATGGCAGGTGCCTGTAGTCCCAGCTACTCAGAAGGCTGAGGTGGGAGGATCGTTTGGGCCTGGAAAGTGGAGGTTGCAATGAGCTGATACCATGCCACTGCACTCTAGTCTGGGTGACAGAGCAAGATCCTATCTCAAATGATAATAATTTAAAAAAAGAATAAATGCTGTCATTCTGCTTGACAAGTATTCGTACATTAAAGATGTGAATCATCATAAAATATCAAAAGTCCTTGTCTTCTTTCTTTTTATTTCTTATCTTCAACATCACCATCTTCTTCAACATCATGTACTGTTTGTCCAGGTATGACGCAGATGGAAGAATTTATTGAGAGATATTAGGAAGGTCACTGACCTTTGTGTCAAATAGATCAGGCAAGGACTGTAGTTCCACAAATTACTGGCTGGGTCATTTTAGGCAAATTGCTTCATACATAAAATGGGGATAATGCCTAACATTTAAGGTTACTGTGTAAAGTAAATAGTTGGTAAAGTGGCCATGGTATGTAGCAATAAGTAGGTAAGAAATGGTAGCTCTGTATCTTCATGCTCTGCGACTTTAGCCATAGTTTGCTTTTTTTTTTTTTTTTTCTGAGGACTACCACTTAAGATTTAGTATCTGATCTCCATTTACTTAGTTTGGTTATTACAAATTACTACTACTGTGTCCTACTTATCCAAATAATAATAACAAATTACAATAGCCATAAATATTACTAGATGCCTTAGGGGATTGGAGGTCAAAAAAATGTTTTAAGCTGAAACCACATCAACTGTGCATTTCTAGGAAGTTTCTGATTTGCGGGGTTACGTTATCATTTGTCTTTGGACCTCCTCCATTTTTTTCTCTTAGATCTCTCGCATGTGCACATGTTTATGCATGAGTGTTTGTATGTATGCAAATGGGTGTGTGTATGTGTGTATATGTGTGTGTCTGTGTGTCTGTGTGTGGGGGACTGACCCTTTATTCACAGGAGATCAAAATAGGAGACCAGAACAATACAAGAGCAATGCATAATTTTTCATGTTTTTGTATTTCATTCCAGAAGAATCACTTTGAGGAAAAATAAACAAAATATTGGGCTGGTCTTAGTGATGTGGACTGAGCTACCCTTGTCCTACATAAGGCATAATTGAATATTGAATAAACTAGATTTTAGGAAATCTCCCATTGGCTCTGGTAGTTGCTATATTTGAGCCATTGGGCCAGACCATTAGCAATGAGGTATGATTTTGCCCTGAATGGAAGATAAATCACTGTCAATCATCCTAGAAGGAAGGGGCTACACATCTGGCCCTTGGATCACTGAAGAGAAAGAAAATTTTCTTCTCTTGGGCCCCAGGTAGGGAAGAAGAGTTAGTCCTGGACTCTAAGCATGAGAGTGTTAGGAGTACTCTAGAGGTGAGAGTTAGTGGGCCCCCATGCAAGGAGGCAGGCTGGGAGATAGGCAGGGCATTCACCTACTGAGGAGATTTAAGGTAGAATTTGGGTATCTGGGATGGAAGCAGCTATAAAGTACTCTCTGAATTTCTAAGCCTCAGTCAAGTTTGGGGCAAACCACATCCTCCATAGTCATCTCCCAATTATGATTTAGGAAATTGGATTGAGCAGCAAGCTCACAAAAAGCCCAGGGAGAAGGCAGTGGGGTGGGGAAGAGGGGGCTGTTCTAAAAAATAGGTGTTCAGAAGAGCAATGCTATCATGACGATGGTCCACAGCATAGGGGAGGCAAGGGGAAGAATCTGACAGATTTGTTCTGGACTACATGGGAGGCAGGATGCTGGGATGCTGGAATGCTGGAAAACACTTGGAAAACTTTGAGGAGGAGATTCGCCAGAAGTTTGCTGGAAAGAATTTGAATGATGATAGTTTAGACCTGAAAAGAAAATGTAACATTATTTTGTGGCCACAGGCAGGTGAAGTTTGTGATTTACGGGTGACACATAGATTTCTCATCTTATGTCTTATAACAACCAGGTTGTAAGTATTATTAGGCCTATTCTATAAATCTAGGAAATGAGAAATATATAGATTAAGCATTTGCCCAAGTTTTAACTGCTGGCAAAATCTCCAGGCTGAGATTTGTGCCGTATTTGTCTGCTACCAAAGATGACGCACTTTCTAGAATAACACGATGCCTCTTAAAGTGCAGTGAATATAGAACTGGAGAGAAATGTGGTCTGCTAGTTAATTTCCTGTGGCGTTTCCACAAACTAGACCTGTGAAGTTATTGGTTTCCATAAGTTTCAGTAGTCCTTTTTGTATAAGTTGCCTATCATTACTTTCTGTCCAAATGTCTTGATGGAGGAGCGGGATGTAGAGAAGATTTGTGTTTTCATGAGAACCAGTAACATTTAACAACTTAAGTAAGACTTTTAATTCTCTGGTCGATCGCCTGAAATTGATTTTCCTCCAGCTGAAGACCAATGTGATAGAAAATCTACTTAGTGTAATAGGCACTCTCTGCTTGATGTTGTTGAAAAAGAATATGGCACATTTAGAAGACATTGGATCTGGCCTGAACTCTGCTGCACAAAGCTTTGTGAGTGTATGTCACACATGACTCTTTATTCTAAAACAAGGACTTGGGATTTGTAATCTCTAAATATTTTTAGCTCTCAAATTCAACATATACTCTAAATTCTTTGGTTCCTAGGTGTGAGTTTCTGAATGCAAGAATGTTTATACATGGACACAGAAAAGAAAGGCAACACTGATACTTGGCAGACACACACTGGTACTGCTGTAGCTGTTGTTACAATATCTAAGTAATTCCATGATAGCTGGTACATGGCTGTGGTCCTGAAGCATCCTGAGTGGCTCCCATTACCTCACCTGTCCTAACTATTTCTGGATGTGGCCTCACAATCACTAAGTCACGGTATTTGATAGAAGTATATTTATTATTTTTGGAGTGGTTTAAAACTATTTTCACACATATAAAGCAACTATAATCCTGAGTAAAGACTTGATCTGCGAATAAAGAGACATTGAAGATAGAAGTCAGAGAGAGAAAAAAATACAATGAGGCAATGTGTGTGGGGAAGCGGAAGAAAGAAGAAATGACTGCCACTGGAAAGCAGCAAGTCAGCATGAAACCAACACCATATAGATATAGAAAGTCACCTCCTGGTCAGGTGCCATGTCTCATGCCTGTAATCCCAGCACTTTGGGGGGCTGAAGCGGGTGGATCACGAGGTCAAGAGATAGAGGCCATCCTGGCCAACATGGTGAAACCCTGTCTCTACTAAAAATGCAAAAATTAGCTGGGCCTGGTGGTGTGTGGCTGTAGTCCTAGCTACTCGGGAGGCTGAGGCAGGAGAATCACTTGAACCCAGGAGGCAGACTTTGCAGTGAGCCAAGATTGTGCCACTGCACTGCAGCCTGGCAACAGAGCAAGACTACACCTCAAAATGCATAAATGTTATTCTGTATCTTTTCTCTCTTTTTGTCTTCTTCCTCTTCCCCCTCCTCCTCCTCTTCTTCTTCTTCCTCTTCCTCTTCCTCTTCTTCTTCTTCCTCTTCTTCTTGTTTTTATCTAAGGGTTAAAGGAAAGAAAGTTCTGTTTTCAGGTTTTTCTTGAATCTATTACCTAAGACTGTCAGCAGAATAGAGCTTTGAGTAGGTAGATAGATATCTTTCATTAAAAAATTAGACTTCCAGTGAAGAATGTCATTGGTATTTTGATAGGGTTTGCCTTGAATTTGTAGGTCACCTTGGGTAGGATAGACATTTTAACAATATTAAGCTTTGCAATTCATGAGGGTAGGATAGCTCTTCATTTTTTGTGTATTTCTTCTTCAGTTTTTTTTTCATCAGTGTTGTATAGTTTTCCTTGTAGAGATCCGTCATTTCACAAAAATAGGAAAAAAAAATCCTAAAGTTTGTATGGAACCACAAAACACCCAAAATAGCTAAAGAAATCCTGAACAAAAACAGCAAAAGCAGAGGCACCACATTACCTTATTTTGAATTATATTATAAAGTTATAGTAATCAAAACAGCATGGTACTGGTATAAAACAGACATAGTGACATAGAACAATGGCACAGAATAGAGAACCGAGAAATAAATTCATTCACTTACAACGAACTCATTGTTGACCAAGGTGCCAAGAACATACATTGAAGAAAGGACAGTCTCTTTAATAAATGGTGCTGGGAAAACTGGATATCTATATGTAGAAAAATGAAACTAGATTTCTTCTTTCACCATATGCAAAATGAACACAAAATGGAGTGAAGATGTACATGTAAGACCTGAAGCTAGAAAACTACTAAAAGAAAACACTGGAGAAATGTTACAGAACATTGATCTGGGCAAAGATTAGTTGGGTAAGATCTCAAAAGCTCTGGCAACAAAAGTAAAAATAGATAAATGTGATTATGTCAAGCTAAAAAGTGCCTGCACAGCAAAAAAAAAAAAAAAAAACAAAAACAAAAACAAAAATCATCAACAGAGTGAAAAGACAACTTACAGAATGGGAGAAAATATGTGCAAATGTCCCTCTGACAAGACCTTAATAATCAGAATATGTAAGAAACTCAAACAACTCAATAGCAAAAAGAAAGATCCCAATTAAAAAATAAACAAAAGTCCTAAATTGACATTTCTCAAAAGAAGACATGCAAATGGCCAACAGGTATATGAATACATGCTCTACATTACTAATCATAAGGAAAATGCAAATCAAAGCCTCAATGAGGTGTCATCTCACCCCAGTTACAATGGCTATTATCGAAAGGATAAAAAATAACTTCTGGTGAGGATGCAGAGAAAGAGAAACTCTTACATACTGTGTGGGAATGTAAATTAGCAGAGCCATTATGAAAAATAGTATGGAGAGTCCTCAAAAAACTGAAAATAGAACTACCACATGATTCAACAATTCTACTACTGGGTATACATCCAAGGAAAATCAATCAGTATATAAAAGAGATATCTGCACTTTCATGTTTAAGACCACTATTAACAATATCCAAAATGTGGATTTAACCTGTGTCCATCAATGAATGAACAGATAAAGAAAATGTGGTGTATATGTATACACAATAGAATATTGTTCAGTCATAAAAAGAAAAAAATCCCATCACAGATGGAACGGGAGGTCATTATGTTAAATGAAATAAGCCAGGCTTTCTGTGACAAATATTGCATGTTCTCACTTGTATATGGGAGTTTAAAAAGTGGATCTCATGGAGGTAGAGAGTAGAATGATGGTTACCAGAGACTGGGAAGGAGATGGAGGAGTGGGGAATGAAGAGAAGTTGGTTAAGGGGTACAAAATACAGTCAGATAAAAAATAAGAAACAAACAAAAAATAACAAATACAACGGGGCACTAAGTGCTTTCATATCTTGTCATTTATTGTCATACATTTGTATGATTATCATATACTTTAGAAATTTTTATCTTACAAAAAAAGAGAAATTAGACTTACAGTACTTTGGGAATGAAAATACATTGAAAGAAAGCATTTCTAGTGCCGTGGAATGAACCAAAGTGATTTTTTTTATTCCTCACTCTATTCAAAAATGAACAAAATGTTCTGTGGTGCTTTGGAGAACAAAGAGAACGAAGCACTCGTGATGCAAGGTCTTTTACTGATCTGCAGACAGTGGTCCTTGCAAAAGGTAATCTAATAATCCTCTCTTTTATTTAAGGACTATGTGTGATTGTACATTTCTAGACATTTAAAATGATTTGTCCAACGACCCTTCAAGCCCTTTGATCCAAGCATTGTTATTACTCTTGCTTAATGCGTATTTGGGTGGACTGAAGCCAAGTGAGACGTTGGATGCTAATATATGCTCCGCTGGTGTGTGTTTCCCTTTCTTTTCAGTCAGATACATTGTCCAAAAATGTTCCCCAAAATTATGAGCATGTGGTCCTGAGGGTTTTGTTCTTCTGATTGACTTGAGTAACTTTGGGAAAGCTCTCTGAAGTTCTTTGACAATCTATTGCTATTCTTGACAGAGTTTTGCAGTTGATTGCTTTGAAGCCCACTTATCTTCCTAAGCTGATTGAAGATGTCTCTGATGTGCTTTTTTAATTAGTTTGTGAAGTGGGTGGAGTTGGAGCAAAGTCAATTCCATCTTGCTAAAATCTAATCAATGCTAGTTGACTGAATGACTAGTTTATTTAGCTGATTGACCCTGGATTTCTTCAGAAGTTGTTTTCTCTTATTTTCAATTTTGATGATTAAAAATATGATTTAATTACAGAAGTCACTTCTATGTTGCTTAATATGTTTGCATGAAATTCTATTCCACTTTTCCACCTTATGTATAACCCATGAAGCACACAATATGGTTCTGCTTAATTCAGTAACATTTGCTGTTCCCAACTATAAATGAGACAACACAATTTTCTCCTTTGACTTTTCGTTTCCTTTGTTGTGCAGACAAGTATTTATAGAAAGAAAAGATTGCCCAAATCTTTGCAAAAATATTTACAGTGTACTAAGTTTTGTTGCAATTTACTTCAGGATTTTTATGATGCAGTTTTTTGACAATCCTTTCACCGGCTAAACTTTTCTTATTGAAGTAATGAATAGAAAAATGGTGGCTCCCATTTATTTGAAGAAGAAATATTGTGACTGCCTGCCTGGGCATCAAGCTGAAATGCTTACAAAACCATTTCACATCCCAAACAACAACCAACCAAATTTTGTTTCTGTCAACATAATAGAAACAAATCGTTCTAAAGCAGAAATGCTGCTAGTAAACATTTTCATCAGAATCAAGCACTGTGGCTATGAAAATTCATCCAAATTAAATGTTTATTTCTGAGACAAATGCCTTCTTTGTAAAATATTTGCCAGAAAAGATACCACTAACCCTGCAGGGTAAGTTCACTTATGTGAAAGATCTGTGATTCACAAGAGCCTAATTAAATAGAAAAAAATCACTTTAGTAAACTTCTCTGTAAAAGGAAATGTTAAGCCTGCATCTTTGGGTGGTAGTGAAAACTTGTTCTGAAGCTTAATTTCCAAATGCTATTTTTAAAGAAATTCTACAAGAGGACTCATGTGGAACATGGGCTGGTCACTATTAGTCAAATATGCCAAGATATCCTAGATGAGTCCCATACTGGATTCAGGTCGTTGTTTCATTTCGATTGGTTTGGTCCTGGAGTGTCTGAAGGGCACAGAGGGGAAGGAAAAGCTTTGGAATGGAGAGACTGATGTTTACTCCCACGTCTCAGCCTGAGGGACTGATTTTGAGACCAAGGTAGAATATAACAGTCAGATATTGCCACATAAACACTGCATACAAACCACCCTAAAATGGAGTGGATACAGCAATAAGCATTTATTTCTCTCTCACACACCCATGGCTTGACTGGAGTTCAGGTGATGTAGGCTGGGTTTGTCTGACTTAGCTCTGCAGGTTAAGTCCAGGTGTATATCATGTGTTTCTTAACCTTTTTCGACCAGATGCTCCATGAGGTGTGTTCTTCTCATGGCAAAAGTAGGCGAGTGATAGACTAAGCTGAAACACACATGCACATTTCTAGCTCCTGTGTATGTCATATCAACTAATATCCTATTGGTGAAAACAAGTCAAGGGTCATGCTCAAGTTCAAGGGGTGAGGGAGGTATTTTCTGCCCACTGTGAGGTCAAAGCAAGTCACATGTATAAGACCAACATCAATGGGTGAGAACATATTCTCCTGTCAGGAGGGAGGGAGGAGTTAATATTGCCTGAACAATATTATTATCTACCCAAAGTGCTGAAACCAGAAAAAAAGTACTACATGTGTTTATGAAATACTTCATGAGTTTGAGAGTTCAAATAGTAGACCCATGACTAGAATGCTTTGGCATTCTCAGGGATTAGGGTAGCTGTCAGTGGAGAGCTGATGAGCACAGTGGAACCGCATTCCTCCAGAGGTTGCTTGCTTACAGTCAGTGGCTTGGTGCCTTGGTGAGAGGTTGGGTCAGTGGAGTGGGAGTATACTTGTTGCTGAGCACAACAAGATGCTACCACCCCTGAGAATCTAAGAGATACTTGGGGGAGACTTTGCAGGGTGCTCAACTCCAGAGCAAACAGGAGAACTGGCACAGATTCATTTGTATCCAGAGGTTTTGGACATTGTGGTTTGTAAGATGAAGTGGAAGATTGGATTCATTTTCTAGGTAATTCTAAAGTAAAGCTCCAAATGAACCTAATTTCCATGTTACGATGAAAAATCCCATATATATATATATATGATTATATATTGGATGTCCTACAAAACATATCTTTAGGCATATAATGGAATAAATATGTGTATCCAGCGGTGGTTTCAATCAACAAACAGATGAATAACAATAAAAAGCATAGAAGCAATCTGAATGTATGATACTGTTTTGCCATTTTATCTTAAAAAGTCACAAAACTTCTATTTGTGAAAGTTGCTGGTGATCCTACCTGCACTTCCATCTGACACACTTTCCTCATGAACACATAAATATCCATATTTTCACATCACAGTGGCTATTAGTACGAGCATGGGATTTGTGTGTGGCCTGAGACTACTAAATTCCCACCAAACCTATTTCCTCTTCTCCTTAAGCACACCGCTAGTGTACATTTTCTAACGTTCCCTGCAGGTAGTTGTAGCCATGTGACTGAGCTCTAGCCCGTGGAATTTGAGCAGAAATAATATTTTGTCATTCCAAAGCCTGACCTATAAAAACTTCACATGTTCAATTCTTCATATTTTTCCCTTCCGGGGCTTGATGTAGACAAAAATTTCAACCTTGAAAGCCACGGACTGAAGATAGTAGATCCAAAAAAATGGACGCATACTGAGTCTTTGAGCTGCTACTTGAAGTATCCACTGATCAGGACTTTACACGGCAAGATAAAAAATTCCTTCGTGTTTGAGACTGCTTGACCACAGCCAAGTTATTGGACCCCCAGGTACATACATTTTCTTATCTGTAAAATGGTGTGCTTCTCCTAAATATGTACACAAACTCCCTGACACTCCCGTCTTCAAAAGGTGGAGACTGATTTTTCTCCTTTTGAGTGTACACTGAACTTAATGACTTTCTTTCTTTTATTTATTTATTTATGTTTAGACATTTATTTTTGTTTGCCCAGGCTGCAGTGCAGTGGTGCAATCTCAGCTCACTTGCAACCTCTGCCTCACGGGTTCAAGTGACTCCCCTTTCTGCCTCAGCCTCCTGAGTAGCTGGAATTATAAGCACTCACCACCATGCCTTGCTAATTTTTGTATTTTTAGTAGAGATGGGGTTTCACCATGTTGGCCAGGCTGGTCTCAAACCCCTGACCTCAAGTGATCCGCCAGCCTCAACCTCCCAAAGTGCTGGGATTACAGGCGTGAGCCACCACGCCCAGCCTTAATGACATGCTTTCTAACAAATAGAATATGGTAGATGTGGTGATGTGTGGCTTCCAAGACTAGGGCATAAAAGGCATTGTAGTTTCCTGCTTTCTCTTCTTCTTGGATCACTCACTCTGGGGGAGGTCAACTGCCCTTTTGTGGAGACACTCAGGCAGCGTCATGAAGAGGTCCACATGGTGAGAAAATGAAGACTCCTGCCAACAGCCATGTGACTGAGCCAACTTGGAAACATCCTCCAGTCCCAGTCCAAACTTCAGATGACTGTAGTTCTCACTGACATCTTTTCTACAACTTCATGAGAGACCAAAAGGAGAACTATCCAACCTCTCTCCAATTCCTGATCCATTAAAAACTATGTGATCTACGGAATCTACGTTAGGTAAGGAAAGATATGAGGACACTAGGAGGACTGACAGGTATGTCAAAGTCAATAGATTTAGAGTTCCAATGAAGATCAAAGAAATGTTAGAACGGGAGAAGTGTTAGGATATGTGAGCTGGAAAGATAGAGCTGGTGGTCAGATAGTACAATACTTGAAATCAAGATAAAGGAGGTAATACAGTTATGGGTAATTATGTGAACCAAGCTGTTAAGATTATGAGAGTTGATGGCTAAAGTGAACTAAAAGAACTGTAGCTAAAAGTGATAGGCCAGGGTAATAGGTGAATCCTCTTGTCAGATGTTGAAGCTGTGAAGAATGATGACAGGAGGATTCATTTTGGTAAGAAAGGCGGTGACCTGGGTCCTAACATTTTCAATAAATATGGAGGTCTAACTGGACACTTGTTAGACAAGCACCACAAGGAGGGGTAGTGAATGGTGCTGCCTAATAGATGGGGCTCAGAGAAGCCGCGAGTTTGAGAAAGGAGGAGTGGGAAAATGGGTGGAAGTGGCCCAGAGGAGCAAGGAAAATGCTACCTCATGTCCAGGCTCCAGGGAACATGGGAGCAGTAGAAAAACATCATTGCTGGTGAGGGCTGTTGGAGAAGTAGTGCCCTCAGACAGTAGTCAGATTCCACTTGGAGGAAATGTTGAGGTTAAAGAATTTAGCCAATAATAGATTCAACTCCAGAGAAAAGAGCAAATGGGTTTGGGAGGCCAGGGAGTGATAGAAGACCAGGTAGGATTAGGGCCACAGAAGAATAAAAACTCAAGTAGTAAGATAACCTTGAATCTTGAACTCCTGGAAGTAGCTAACATAAACAGAGATATTAAAGCATGATCACATTAGCTGTGATGGCCTTTTAGATAAAGGTACATCATAAATTCTGATTATAGCATTTCTGGGGACTGTTTTAGGTCCGTTTGTAGGAGTGAAGTGGGTGGGGCTCTGGCTACAGACATGGTAATCTAAAAGGGGCACATGGAGCTGCCTGAGCCTTCCTGAATCCCCCTGAGGGTGGCGTCAGGGTTGTAGGAGGGACTCTGGAGGTAGTGAGTGATGCCACAGCTCAAACAACAGGAAGGCTAACGGTTGGCAGTCTCCATAGAATTCTGAAGTCTTAATCCTTTTTGCTGAGTATTACTGCTTGCCCTATTGATAGATTAAAGAACCAAATATCCTCAGGTTCAAAATGACGGGTTCAATACCATCTTGCCTAATCCCCAGTTACCTAAGAAAGGAAAAATTAAGTCAGGACTCAACATTTTATATTTAAATCTTCTTTTTTCTTTTCTCACCTTAAATTACTTTCAAAAAGCTAAAGTCATTTTCCGGAAGGTCTTCAATTATTATTAAGCACAAGTGAGTAGATTCACATCTTTGATGGCTCCTGGAGGCCACACAGTATTTCTTTACCTCTAGCAGGAAAGGCTTAGGAGAGGGCCATGGGGACCTGAGCACAGGAGGGGAAACTATGAGGCCAGTTATCCTTACGCTCTCGGAAGTGCTCTGCAGGCCTGGCAAGGCACTTGATCTTGTTCCGTGTGTTTCCTAGCTTGTGAGGTCTCACCAGAGTGCCTTGAGGAAAAAATAATTAATGGTTGCAAAGCATAAAACCCAAAGTGCTATGGGAATAGAAAAGCAACAATAAAGGGACTTCTCCTGTTGCTCCACTCCTGCATTTGGAGGAACAGTGTCTGGAATTTAACTCCACTCAGGCTCTAGCCTGGTCAGCCTGAGACATGATCTAAGCTTCCCCAGTCTTTGCAGCACACTTACTGATCCTTTCCTTGACTTTTCTGCTACCTCCCTGATGCTCATCCTTCTCTTTTCCCTTTCCTCATCCAGTCAAGAGTAGATCAGATTAAACACCATCGTGTTGGTGTAGTTTAATGTCACACATTTTATCTCTTCACTTATCCATTTCACAATCACTGTATATCTGCTCTGTTTGGGCTCAGTACCTGACCTGGTATTACAAAAGTGGAAGGGTCCCAGCTTGAGTCTAAGTGGCATACATGGCCATGTGTTTACATATCTGTGCATGTGGGAGCAACAGTGGAACAGGCCCCTCAAGAATCTTTGTGCTAGATCCTAAAAAGCCTTGAGAATGGAGGAATATGGGGAGCAGGACACACTTGATTTAGAAGCAAGAGTTTTGTTCTCTGACTCCAGTTTACATTTCACTGTCTCTGGTCTGAATATTGGTATGTTAGTCAGAAGGCTTAAGAATCAGGAGCTCTGATGTTTGAGAGCAGGAGAAGATGGATGTGTCAACTCAATAAAGGAGAGAGAATCCATGCTTTCTCTGCCTTTATCTTCTATCCATGCTCTCAACAGATTGGTTGATGCCAAACATCACTGGTGAGGGCAATTTTCTTTACTAGATCTACTGATTCAAATGCAAGTCTCTTCCATAAACAACTTCACATACACACACACCTACCAGCTGTCTGCAAATCCTTTAGCCAAGTTGACGCACAAAATTAATCATCACAATTGGGGTTTTTGGTATCTTCAAGATTACTCTAAATTTGTAAAATATGGTGGCCCAGAGATCATGCTTGTCATGGCATATATAATATATTTGACACTCAGAGCACAGAGCAGATTACTTTTTAAGATTCCTCTTTCCTATTCTAAAAATTATTGCTAGTCATAATCATGTACTAATAACCATTATTTTCTTGATTCATTCTTTAGTTTAAAAAGAATTTTAAAATTTCAGTTTAATATTAAAATTCAGTAAAATATTCAATGTATGAACTAAAATTTGCACTTACTGAACTGACTCAAAATGTGTACTATGCTTTGCCGTTTTAAAATTTCAAACATAAAACCTCTAAGAGATCATACAGAATGACAGAGTTGAAGTAAGTCAGGTTCTGTCTCTTCATCTTTACAATCAACATGCCATCATTATTTTGAATCTATTGTTTACACTGAGTAATATGTAGTATTCAAGGGATTAGAGACATAAACTCCACCCAAGATGAGTTGGACCTATTCCAAACCATTCCTTTCTCTTCAAAGGAAATTATATAGCTGAGCCTGTATATCTGGAAACTGACTGTACTACTGAGAGTGCTCTGAGTTAACTTCCATGTAGAATGCCATGTATATTAAGGTATAAGTAACAAAACTTGATCATTTGAAGCCTGTATTATTGCTGCTGTTGTTATTAAAAGCTCAGTAACTATAGCAATTGTTTAGAAATTAGATCAACTAAAGGTTTTCTTTTTTCCAGGGAGGGGTAGTTTACTACCATCACTGTTTGATTGATTGATTGGCACATAGTGGTAGTAAAAAGCAGACTGACTTCAAGTTAGTTTTATTATTTTCAAATTCTCTGCAGACACATACCCTCTATTGCCTTCACCTGGGGTGGACCACTCCCATTTTTCCACCATTTGTACTCCACTACTACTTTGGGAAACCCTAGAACAAAGCAAAACACAAACAGAGAAGATTCTTCCACACTTTTTCACAGGATACTGCTCAATTTGGATGCCAAGAGCTGTTCTAGCAGCACTTGGGAGGAGTTACCAGTGGTAGAAAAAGGAAGTGATATCCAGAAAGAGAGGTAGCCATGCCCCACAGACCTTAGCAAGACCACGGTGACGAGCAGATGGAACAGCACTTTGGGGACCCTCAGAAATTCTTTGCAGGGAGAGGAACAGCTCTGCAGAGGTAAGACCCTGTGTCAGCAAGTTAGGGCAAGGGCCAAAAGTCTTAACTGTGTCCAGAGATGGGTAAGACAGAAAGAATTTCTGCCCTCAGAAAGCACGCAGACTAGGTAAGGCAAAAGCCACATAAGTAAACATCATAATATGTTGTTACAGAATAAAGTTTACTTAAATATTGTGTATATTCCGATAAGCAGAATGCTAGACAAACATGTATGGAATATCTAGGAAATATTCTTGGGGAAAATGATGCTTGAACTCATTCTTTAAAAGGCTGTAGGACCTAGTGACTTCTAAGACTGAATTTGTCCTATTGTGACTTCGGGTGTGGCTCTTGAGTAGATACCATATTTGGAGGCAGGGCATGCTCCCAAAGATCGCTTTATATTAAACAGCATCATAATATCCAAGTTTTATTGAGCTTTCATAATGTCCCAGGCAGTGTGCTCACTGATTTCTACTCATCATTTGACTTTATCCGCAATGCAGTCCTGTAGGGTAGATGATGATTGCATCCTCATTTTATCAAGGGGAAACCGAGGCTTTGAGTAGCTAAGAAACCTACCCAAATTCATAATCTAAGAAGTGGCTGAGGTGGGATTCAAATGCAAACAGTCTGACTTCAGAGCTTAAAATTTAATCTTTCAATTGCTTCCTAAAAATGAACACAGAAAGACATTTATATCACCATTCACTGGAAACCCACAATTCTTCCTCTTCCTAAACTGCATGTAAGACTGGTATTGCTGTACTGTGATAGCTCCTGCAGGTATTCAGCTGAGCTGTGGTTGGCAAAGACAAGGATCAACACCAGCAACTACTCCCACGGGAAAGGGTCTGACTTTGTGCTTAAACTTCATCTCTACCACTTCTTGGCAATATGATCTTGGCTAAGTTATTTATCCGTTCTAAGCTCAGTTTCCTTACTTATAACATGAGGCTATTAACAACTAAGGTTCAGAATTTTTCTGATGATTAAATGCAACTAAATAACATAGCACCTGGCACGTAGTAGGCACTTCTTCACCTGCTACTCTGACGCATGTCAGAGTTCACTAAGCAGGAAATAGCAGAATTTATTTATTTTTAATTTAGCTGGCACTCAATCTAGTTATTCCACATTTTTGCATCCTAAGTAAAAGACCCCAGGATTGCTATTTATTTTAAACAACAAGCACCTGTCATTGCTTAAATTAGAAACACTTGCAGAACCATGCTACAAAATATTTATAAATTCACAAATGTGTTTTAATTGCTGCTAAGTAAAATGAATTCAGCTGTAGTTTTTTTTTTTTAAGAAAAATATGGCTTCATTTCTTTCTCCTGATCCTAATTATAGCTGTTGAATATTGAATTTGTGCAGCCAATTGTATAGTATTTGTGCTAAATGGAAGTTTGGGGGTTGGAAGGAAAGGAAGATGAAGGTGTTGGAGACAGATGTCATAATGTGAAAGAAGCACTTCATATTGCAAACAAAAATTAGGCTAAGAAAATATATCTGCATTTGACCTCATAGTTCCTATCCACAGTGGGAAATTCATTGACCTAATTTGTGAGACGTTTTTCTTTTTATTTGATAATGTAAGTATGAATATATCCATGTATATATTCATCATAATTCTTAGTTTTTTTGATGGAGTACAGGGAAATATGATATCAGTTTTATCTAATAGGATAAATAGTGCAGTCAACTTCTACTGTCTATGGATTTTTAAAAAAATTGTTTCTCCACACACAGATGCAGGGAGGGGAATAACACACCCTGGAACCTGTCAGGGAGTAGCGCATCAGGCAAAAGAGCTAATGCGTGCTGGGCTTAATACCTAGGTGATAGGTTGATAGGTGCAACAAACCACCATGGCACACGTTTACCTGTGGAACAAACCTGCACATCCTGCGTATGTATCCCAGAACGTAAAATAGGATAATTGTTTCTCTGACCCAATTTTTTACATGTATGTGTGTATGTGTGTCTGTGTGTACATATAGTACTGGGTTTGAAAACCACTGTACCATTGCAAACCAAATATCCACAATCTTATAAACAGAAATTAAATTTAAAGATCATCACATTTGATGGAAAATAATCCTATTTCCATATGAAGTTTGGGGTGAACCAACTATTAACAAGAAAACAATTTTAAGATGAATATTTTCTTATAATAGAAGCTACAGTGATATAACCTGCAAACAGGTCAGGAATCATGAAGCTACTTTCAGTTTCTTATATGACCTCCACGAATTACAAAAATTGTCAGAGGAAACATTACAATGCCATTTATACTTAAAATTAAATTCACATGTACACAAAACTGCTTTGTACAGAGTTAAACATTTTAGAAAAATTATACCTCAAGAATCATCAGCTATAGATATATCAAAATTTGTATTTCAAAATAATTTATTAAAGATTTCTCCTAATGTTATCATAGTCTATAACATACTCAATAACTCTAGTAACAGTTGCTTCAGAAATATCCTTCTCAAACTTAAAAATTATCAAAAATAATTTATGATCTTTCATTTGCCAAGAACGATTGCTGTCAATTTTATTGAAGATGAAGTTGCTAAAAGCATACATTTAATTGACCTAATAAGTGAATAGGCAGAAGATATAGCCAGCAAAATCTTATGACCAATCAAGTTATCATATTACCTTTATTATTAATAAAGTATTGAGTTTATTAGTATTTATCATATTGCCTGAAATTACAATAGCAGATTTTTTTTCACAATTTATTAAGTTTACAGTAGTACTCATATAGTACCACCAGTCCATTATGTTTTATAGTAAGAAAACATTTTTAAAGGTAAAAGCTTTATATTTTAATATAGCTTCTTTTCTTTTAAGACAGGGTCTTGCCCATCACCCAGGCTGAAGTGCAGTGGCACAATCACAGCTCACTGCAGCCTCAACCTCCTGGGCTCAAGCGATCCTCCTGCCTCACTCTCCCAAGTTGCTGGGACCAGAAGCATGTGACACTATGCTTGGCTAATTTTTTTTAAAATTTTTGTATATATATGGGGTCTTGCCATATTGCCCAGGCTTGTCTTTAACTTCTGAGCTCACATGATTCTTCTACCTCAGCCTCCCAAAGTTCTAGGATTACAAGTGTGAGCCATTGTGCCGTGCCTATTTTAGGATCTTAAATAGCAATTTCCACCTGCCTTTTGAGCAAGAGGCCTTGCCTTTTCATTTTGCACAGCTCCCGTAAATTATATGGCTTATCTTGCCTGTAACATTTGAGGTAGCCGTCCTCAGGTATAGAAACAAATACAAGCAATAACAAAGAAAAACAGAAGATACACTTTTGAAACCCAGTTCTGGGACATTCGGTAAGATTGTTTATGTTTTCACTGCCCTGAAGGTGAAAATGGTGGCAAGACTGTTTCAAAAGTAAAGAAGACTAAAGACACATAAAAACCAGAAGTAATACAGAAATACTAATTGGGTCCTGGATAGGGAGAAAACTATAAAGTTTTGGGGACAATTGGGGAAATTTAAATATAGATTTGATATTAGACAATGTCACTGAATCAACATTTGTCATAATAATGATTATATAGCAGAATGGCCTGCTTTTTGGAAATATATGTAATTTTTAGGAGTGAGGTTAGGAGTGAGGTTAGGAGTAAGGTTATTGTTACCGGTGGAAGGTGTCCAGGTTCTTGGTGCTTTGAACAAAGAATTGAACAGAACGCACAGACAAAGCAAGGAAAGAATGAAGCAACAAAAGCACAGATTTGTTGAAAACGAAATCACACTCCACAGAGTGGCAGTGGGCTGAGCAAGTGGCTCAACGGCCTGGTTACAGAATTTCCTGGAGTTTAAATACCCTCTAGAGGTTTCCCATTGGTTACCTGGTGCCCACCCTACGTAAATGAAGTAGTGGCCCACGATCAGTCTGATAGATTGTGGAAAGTGACCAATGAGAGGCTGAAGTGAAGTTACAAAGTCACCCCCTATGGAGACATCTGATTGGTTGTGGAAAGTGACCAATCGGGGCTGAAATTACTCCTATGCAAAGTTAGACTTCTATGTATAGTCTCCTATATGAAGACTTGGCCCACGACCAGCCTGATTTGTTATGGGAGGAGACCAATCAGAGGTACTTTCAATTTTTCATCTGTCATGCAGAAAAGGGGTGGGTTGCAAAGGGAAGAGCCTCTGGTCCTTTTGTTACTTGGCATGGAAAGTTGGGGTTTTCCTTTTGATTTAGTTCTAGGAAGTCAGTGTGAATCAGCCTTAGGTTCTCTGCCTCCAGATCCTACTCTCTTGTCTCATTATGGTACTTTTCAAGTACTTCAACAGGAGCGAGAGAGCAGGGAAGGGGACCACAAGAGTTAGCAACTGTGGCCAAATATTAGTAATTGATGACTAACTAAAAGGTGTGCAGGTGTTTATTGTGCTGTTTCAACTTTTTTGAAGGGTTGAAGTTTTTCAAATAAAACATTTGAGAAGATACACAAATGACAGCACAGCAGGGCTTTCTGGGAGTTGGTAATGATCTAGATTTAGACATGAGTGGGAGTTACAAGAGTGTCTTCAATTTGTAATAATCCAGTTAGCTATTCACATATGGTTTATGTACTCTTTTGAGTATACGCTATTTGTCAATTAGAATGCTTTAAAATAGTGCTGTATAATTGAATGAGGAATACCTAAATGTGATCTATTGTTATTCCCGAGTGCACAGTGGTTTTGGAGCGCAAAGGGTTTTTCAGTTCGTCAGGCAATCTCATTTCTTTTGTTTGCTTTGCACATCAGATTCCGGATTCCACATTCAAAATTTGAACCAAAACTTCAGTATGGAAAGGGAACAGAAATAAGATGAGGTTACTTAATTAGAGATAATTTTTTGCAGGGTGGATCTTGGTGTTGTATAAGTGACTAGAAGCTTATATGATTTTGAGGGCCCTCCTTCAGGGAAAATGATATACGCTTAAGCCTGAAAGTAGTATACTGATTTGGAGGAGTCTAGGAAGTGAGGGTTTAGAAACTTAAGTATCGTTGTATTCATGAGAAATCTGCTTCTAGCATTTTTTTTTCTTATTTTAAGGTGGGACAAAGGAAAAACTCAAAATATTATTGTTTTGATGTCTCCTATTTCAGCTAATACTATACTGTATTTACTATATTCCTATTGTGTCTCTCAGGCATCTCCAATAAGTTTTTTTATGACTTAAGGGGACAAATCCCCTCTATTTGCTTCTAAACAATAGCTGGAAGAGGAGCACAAGATCTATGGACTAGTCTTATGGAAAAGAGGATTAGAGGAGAATCTCTAATTTGCTCCCATGTGAAATGACAGAAAACAATACATGCCTCGCTGCTGTCTCTGAAATCAGAGCCTAGAGAAGGCCCCTGTATCAGGCACCATGTAACAGCTCACAAGTGATGAAATCAAACCTCATTTAGTCTTCCCAGTGGCTTTCTGAGATGAGAGTGATTATTCCCATTTTGCAGCTGAACAGTTTCCTGCAGTCAACCAGAAAGTAATGCCTGAGCCCGAATTTAAATTAGGGCTTTTGCTCCCAAAGCCTATGCTCTATCTGTGACACTCTGCTGCACTAGCCAACTGCAGCCCTTTCACAAGGTGGGACTTATAAACGATCATGATCTTAACTTCAGGGATCTGGTGTCTGCTTTTTATGCCTCTAATAAAAGAGATGAAATACAGAAGGGTTGAATTTTAAAGAGAATGTCTTAGGCAAGCGGGCAAAGAGAATAAACCTATCACAGAGAACTTAGACTCTCACTTCTAACAAGGTCAGCCCTTCCTGCTTAACCCTTGTAAACTCTCCAGATTTCAAAAGAGAAAACGAGAAAGTTGTATATTTTATGAATAAAAAAATTTATCTAGCTGATGTATATTTTTTCTCTTTGAAAAAAATTTTTTATTATACGTTAAGCCCTGGGATACATGTGCAGAATGTACAGGTTTCTCTTTAATTTTCATACTTAAGTCAGTAAATTAATGCAATTTCCTAGTTCCTTTTCCTAATTAAGTTATTTTCTTCATGCCAGCCAACTAAACTTACCAATATCATATAGAGACTTAAACATTTTTGTTTTGTTTTTGTTTTTGTTGGAAACAACTCATTTTGCTCCATTTTAGAGTGGTTTTATGAAACTGGGCAGCAAAGACAATAAACTTCTCTCTCTCTTTCTCTTTAAGGAATTGACAAACATAAATAAATAAACCTCAAGATTTCACTTATAAATGAACTTATCCAGGGTCAGATGTTTTTCCGTAAAAAAAAAATAATCATGTGGAAAATTGTGCACTCTTCCTGCTTTGTTTGCATAAACCCCAAATCAGCGTCAATCAGCTTGTCTTGATTCGGTATCAAGCCCCAGCAAGGGGACTGGCAAAGCTTAAATAGGTTTCAGGACCAGCTAAAAAGGGGCAATCTGCTGGTGGATACAAAACAGTTAATCTTTTGAAGGCAGGCATCTGAGAGCATTTGGTAAAATCAGGCAACCCTCGGTTCTCATTAGGCCTTTCCAGCATGAAAGGCTTCTGCCTTCATTTAGTGACACTGTCCATGGACCAGTTTTCTTCAGTACACAAAACAGATATGTTTGCCTTATAGGTCTGGCAAACAAGTCTTGTCTTTCATTATAAGGACAAGTTTATTGATATTGAGACAAGCTGTGTTCCCACTTCCACTTGTGTTTGAATTCCTGGACTGCGGCTGAGGCTCTCTGGAAGGCAGCATAAAATCACTATTGGCTGCTAGTTGAGGCCTGATTCTTTACAGAGAAAACTTCTAACACCTCAAAACATAGAGCAAATATTAAGTCCTTCAACTTTTGGCAAAATGGTTTTATAATCTGGGGGGCAGTGGCTCGGGATAAGATATCCACCCATCAAATATTTTTAAAAGTGTAACGTTAGAAATATATGTAGTATTTCTTCTCTCTCCCTCTTTCTCCTTTAGGGAGGACTCTAGCTTCAGGTTTCTTGAGAGTAGAAAAGGCAATTCTTTTGGACTGACACCATGAGCCACGTTGAGGATGGGCGGGACTAACGTTTCCTGAGGGTCATCCTTCCATGCAGCTCTTGAGGATACTTTAAATTGTTCTGAGAACACTGGACAGACCCTTCCCCTCCAGTGTGCAGCCACCATGCTGTGTCTACCAGCTCAAAGTCCACTCAGGAACTCTTTGGACAGGCTGAGGGGTGTTCTCCTAGTAAAAGAAGTTTTTTGAGAGTCGATTTCACAATTTCCTCTCAGATTTACAAAGGCCAGTTGGAGACAAGAAGGTAAAAGTTTGGCCCAATTATGAACAGTAATTCATTGCAGCTGATAGTAAAAGAACTATAAATGCTATATTAATCTTTATTATGTCAATGCAATGGTAGTTAATATAAACAGGTAAAATTTAATTTCTGTTAAATTTAATAGACACCATAAACTCTACATGAGTCTATACTTTTTTCCTCTCTCAAAAAATGCAGTCTTTTTTTCAACAAATATTTGTTCAGAGCATCAACATGAAGAAACCTGACCTAAAGTTTGGCTGAAACCTTGCCCCGGTGGCCAAACACCCTCATCAGCGGTAACACTGAGCAGTGATAGACAGCGAAACGTTGAGTACAAGAAGCAGATGGTGGTAGTAGGGAGGCCTGACGCTTACAAATAAACAGTGGCTAATTAATCCGAAGTGATTGCAAGGAGGCCACCTGGCTATTTTCAAGGTTATGAAATGGGAGCAGAGGGGTGGTAAAAAAAAAAAAAAAAAAAAAAGGATGAATTCAACAATTTCAAAGAGCTAAGTGTGAGATTTTGTTTAGGGAACCATCGTAGGGTTGATGAACTATGCTTGGAAATCATTTAGAGATACCAGGAGCTGGAGCACAAGTAAGAGAATGTGGCCGTGAAACTAACTGTCTTTTGACTTTTTGGCTAATCATGTAAATAACTACAGGTGATTGGTGACAACAAAAAAGAAACTTATCTTTGGGGTCTTGACTGCTGGTGGTGGAAGGAAGATTGAAGATTACCTGGCATCCTAGGTAATCTTATCTCCTAGCTTCCTCTTATCTCAACATATATAGAAGTAGAAACTGTGATTCAAGATGTCCTGCCTAAGGTTGTGTATCAAGTAAGTAGCAGACTCAGAACCCATCCCTCTTTAATTTTCCTTTTAGAATCCAATAATCCAGAGACACTAAGACTTGGTGCAAATGGAAATGCTAAACGTCTACACATGTAGCCTCAGACACAAAGACTAGAAATATTTGTGAGTGTATAGTTACCCTGGCGTCACCAGGGTTCCACTTGATCACACTGTTGATGAATTATAGGCAGATATATGATTATATGAGACAAATGAGATTAAATAAAAGGAGGAAATGCATGAGACCGGTGTAATTCTTTGCAACTTTTCTAAAATTTCAAACTCAGTTTTTGACAATGGAAACATAATGAGAAATCCTCCAATTTTTCAGAAAGGAGGGTTTTTTCCCTCCTCAATCTTGTAGCCAAAACACTGAAGATGATAGAATTGATTCTGTAAAAGCTGTTAAAAATGTAGTCAATTAAAAACATACTCTTGAGTGAGTAGAAAAATTAGACATCATTACTAATGTGGATTGGTCAGGTCAATCTGGTACTGGTTAGGTTATCCTGTGTAGCAGCACTGGATGTGATATCCGCTTTAGATAGAGAGATGAACTGTGGAGGCATAGAATGTATTCCTTAATGTGGTATCTTGCTCACTCATCTTACACCATTTTTTTTTTCTTTTTTAAAGTTGAGCCTGCCATTCCACCTCCAAAATGATGGGGTTAGTTTTACATTAGGATATTTTAAAAAGACCATGCTAACACAGTTTTTATCTGATATTAATACATCGATTTTGGCTTATTCATTTTTAATCAGTCAGATGGGTAGATTCATTCAGAAAATGTAGAATAACTGAGTTATTGATTGATGGGGTCACTGGCTGGGTGAGGGTTGGTAACATCAAATAATACTAAAAAGGGGCATTAACAATGTCTGACTTTTGGAGTTTTTAAAGTTATTATGAGATTCTTGACCAAGTGTATGTAATTACAGAGGGCCTAATGAAGATAAGGTGGCTCAAAGATTTGTTGCCAAATGTTTCTCTCTTTCATATTGCTTCTAGCTACTTAAAGGTAGAAAATAAGGGTGATTGAAAAATTGATCTTGGCGGCCAATCAGCAGATTTCTGTTGGAAAATTTTCCTCTGAACTCTAAATAAAGGTAGATTTGATTATGTATCAAAAAACTTACCACCCACAGGGATTTATACACATACCATGCGGGGCATCACCATGTGGCTCTGTGACAATTGTGTCCGCATGAGCCAAGCATTTTATAGCTGTTTCAAAGTTCTACATCTGGTTTGTTAGTGCTTTTCTCTTTCAAAAATCTTTTTTTCTTGTAATTTCTCATTTTTACTTTTTTTGATAGCAAAGAAGAAAATAGAGCACGAAAAACTGTTACCTCAAATTAGATGGTGAGATCCAATTCAAGTTATTGAGTACACCTTAAGTAACTATGTAAAAGGCCCTGTGCTACATTCAGGAATTTTGAGTCTAATCATTTTCATAGACTTTGTTTATGTATTTCTCAGAGTCCTGATCCTGGGAATATCTATATTCTAGCAGCTCCCTCTCTTCAAATCCATCAAGAAAAAGTAGCCCTGAGAAGGGTACTTAGTCTGTATGAAGGGTTTTGGGCGGCTGCTGGGCTGTGTTGAGAAAAGCAGCAGCTTGTCTCCCTAGAAGTGAACTGTGCTTGAGTGGCTTCACTGATTCACATCACACTGAACTTGAATCCTTGTTTTTATGGGAAATAACAGTGTAGGAACCAAGGTTTACATTGAAAATATTATTGAGAAAAACTTATTAAGGCACCTCCCTTCACTGTCTGTATGCATGGTGTCTACATGAGATAATTTTTTCAAACATTCTTCCGTAGAGAATAATTTAGGAAATTTAGAACCATGAATAACCCAGGATTGAAGCTCCAAAGGGCTAGTTAAGGTAGGAAGGATGCGACTGTGAAAGAAATGAGTTGAGATTGACTGGATATAAGGGACAAAGTAGAGTCTGCATGAAGGTTAGTTGAAGACTATTTCAAGAGCCTCCCAACTAGTTCCCCTTAAGTTATCCTATACAGTGCTGTCAAATTGTCCCTCTTCAAGACTAGTTTTAAATTGTATATTATAAACTTGAAAGCCTCCAATGAATAAAATGTAAACACTTTCTGTACAATACCCCATGCACGTTGTCATAACAGCAATTTCCTCATTTTCACCTCCACACTTCTGCAAAGCTCACCTCTTCCCCAATTTTCCTGTGTTCACTTTTAGGCTACTGCAAAATCCACTTTAAGAGAATGGAAAACAAGGGACTGGATCCACAGCCAGATTTAATTTCTTGCTGGTCTCTCAGCACCATCTCCCTCTGTACTTTTCTCCTCTCCACCCTCTCTGCCTTGGCAATTTTCAGAATATATCCTTGCATTAAATCCCAAATTATACCCCCTTTTCATTATCATTATTAATTAGCCCACAGACGGTTCAGCCCAAGAATTAGATATGCAAATGCCAATTTGACTTTCAAGTTTAGCTACTTGTGTAATCCCATTATGGTATAGATTGTCAACATATATTGAGATACATTGTTATTTCTTACAAATGTCCTTTAGACAGCAAGCCTGGGTTTGTACTATAATTTGTAGGTACACTACCTTGCTGGGATAATCCAGTTCTACTTCAAAAACACCACACACACACCTGCATCAACATGACTGATTCCTGGCAAATAGGGGTGTTGCTTCCAAGTAGGTGATTCACTCTCCATTAACAGCTTCCTCTCCAGCACTACCCACCCAAATGAGTTTGCTCCTTCTGAGAGAGAAATCATGTCTACAATTAGGTTGGGATGACCAAAAATGAGGGGAAAAGAAACATGTCGAAGGAGTGAGTTTAATCTTCCTTAGAGCATAGATTCTCTAGCACTTAGAACAGAGTGGGGAGTCAGAAGAAATTTTTAGTAAAGGTATAAAGTAGATTCTCAGAGGAAGAAAATAAAAAATAAATATTTGTTTTTTTAAAAATGATGATGAGCTCCTACTGCACTTATTAGGATGACTTAAAAAAAATACTGCCAATACCAGATGGTGGTTAAGATGTGGAATATGGAGCAACTGAAACTCTTCTCCATTGCTGCTGGGAGTGTAAAATGGTATGGCCATTCTAGAAAATTATTTTTGCAGTTTCCTGTAAAGCAAAATATACACTTGCCATATGACTAGGTATCCCATTTTTAGGTATTTACTCAAGTGAAATTAAAACTTATGTTCACACAAAAACCTGTGCATGAGTGTTGACAGCAGTTCTATTTATCATCATCAGAAACTGCAAGAAAAACAAATGTCTGTCAATGGTGATTAGATTACAAACCATGCTACAGCAATATAATGGAAAACTACTCACCAATAGAAAGGAATAAACTATTAATATGTGGAGTAGCTTGGATGGATCTCAAAGGCATTACTCTGAGTGAAAAAAGGCAGTTTCAAAATATTGCATACTGTATGCTTCTATTTAAATGAAAGTCTCAAAAGACAAAACTAGAGTGACAGAGAACAGATCAGAGGTTGCCATGGGTTAGAGGTGGAGGAAGGGGACTATAAAGGGGCAACAGGAAGAATTTGGGGGAAGGACAGAACCATTTTCTATCCTGAATCTTCTAGTATTTAAGGTATCTATACATGTGTTAAAATCATAGAATTATACATAATATTAACTCTGTTGTATATTAATTTTAAAAGTTAGGCTTACAACTGTAATCTCAGCACTTTGGGAGGCCGAGGCAGATGGATCAACTGAGGTCAGGAGTTCGAGACCTGCCTGGCCAACATGGCAAAACCCCATCTCTACTAAAAATACAAAAACTACCCAGGCATGGTGGCACGTGCCTGTAATCCCAGCTACTTGGGAGGCTGAGGCAGGAGAATCGCTTGAACCCGGGAGGTGGATGTTGCAGTGAGCCGAGATTGTGCTATTGAACTCCAGTCTGGGTGACAGAGACTCCATCTCAAAAAGAAAAAAAAAAACATTAAATCTAAAAAAAAACAGGTAAGAAGCATGGGCAGAAAAGAGTGTCTGATACAAATTAGTCTTTCTTTAAAACTTAAGTACATTTTTTTACAAAAACAAACAACAGCAAAAAAACAAACAAAAAACAAAACCAGTGTGGAAGGAAATTCTTTCTAACTACACAAGGAAGTTGCGGAAACCACTGAATACCTACCAGGTAAGCTACTAGGAATTTATCATTTGATTTTTCAAGTTTGAATAAAATTAGTTTTTTGATATGCAAAATGGAGAATTACATGAGGAATTTATGTTTCTATTATGATAGAAACTATGGAAAAACCACACTTTTTCCCTTGCATGTTTGTTGCTTGAAAAAGAGACTTCACTAAAATGTGAGGCTATAAAAAATATGTCCTGTGGATGAACAGACACTTCTCAAAAGAAGACATTTATGCAGCCAAAAAACACATGAAAAAATGCTCATCATCACTAGCCATCAGAGAAATGCAAATCAAAACCACTATGAGATACCATCTCACACCAGTTAGAATGGCAATCATTAAAAAGTCAGGAAACAACAGGTGCTGGAGAGGATGTGGAGAAATAGGAACACTTTGACACTGTTGGTGGGACTGTAAACTAGTTCAACCATTGTGGAAGTCAGTGTGGCGATTCCTCAGGGATCTAGAACTAGAAATACCATTTGACCCAGCCATCCCATTACTGGGTATATACCCAAATGACTGTAAATCATGCTGCTATAAAGACACATGCACACGTATGTTTATTGCGGCATTATTCACAATAGCAAAGACTTGGAACCAACCCAAATGTCCAACAATGATAGACTGGATTAAGAAAATGTGGCACATATACACCATGGAATATATGCAGCCATAAAAAATGATGAGTTCATGTCCTTTGTAGGGACATGGATGAAATTGGAAATCATCATTCTCAGTAAACTATCGCAAGAACAAAAAACCAAACACTGCATATACTCACTCATAGGTGGGAATTGAACAATGAGATCACATGGACACAGGAAGGGGAATATCACACTCTGGGGACTGTGGTGGGGTGGGGGGAGGGGGGAGGGATAGCACTGGGAGATATACCTAATGCTAGATGACGAGTTAGTGGGTGCAGCGCACCAGCATGGCACATGTATACATATGTAACTAACCTGCACAATGTGCACATGTACCCTAAAACTTAAAGTATAATTAAAAAAATATATATATATATGTCCTGTGGAAAGTTTAAGTCAACATATTATCTTTGAAATTGACATTTGCTCAGGAAAAATCATTGGCTTCTTTAATAGCCAAGTTTTTCTCTCCAACTTGTATGGCTTCTTTTTTTTTTTCTTCTTTTTTTTGAGACAGAGTCTTGCTCAGTCACCAGGCTGGAGTGCAGTGGCACAATCTCTGCTCACTGCAACCTCCACCTCCCAGGTTCAAGCGATTCTCTTGCCTCAACCTCCAGAGTAGCTGGGACTACAGATGTATACCACCATGTCCAGCTAATTTTTTTGTATTTTCAGTAGAGACGGGATTTCACCAAGTTGGTCAGGATGGTCTTGATCTCCTGACCTCGTGATCCGCCCACCTCAGCCTCCCAAAGTGCTGGGATTACAGGCGTGAGCCACCGTGCCCGGCCTCCAACTTGTATGGCTTTGAGGGTGGTTGTCATGGACAGAGATCACGGCAAAATGAGGTGAGTTCCATTTTTTGTTCTATTTTGTTTCTCTCTTTGGCTTTACCTGTTTATGTCTATCATTTTCAAAATGTATGGACTTAATCAGCAATCAAGAGACACAGCTTTGTTGCTTACATGTGGAGATGTGACTTTATTGTAGCTATGCATTTCAAATATTCAGCAATTCACATAATAATGTGCTTCCTTTATTGTTCCTGTACAGCATCACCCTTTTCACTGTGTGTCTGCGTGTGATTTTATAATTAGGCTACATATTTACCAGATCTTTATTTTACATTTCTAATACCAAGAATTTACGTTAGTATATATTTTCACCTTTGCGATTTTGACATGAGGAAATATTTGTTTTCTAAATAATTTAGTTTTTTGCTGTTATTGTTTAGCAATCTCGTGCTTTTGCACAGAGAGAAGCATTTCACAATTCTAATGGCTGCACACTCATCTTCTGAAATCTATTGTCACTACTCATCACTTATAATTTCAAAGACACCTACCACTGTTTAAGGCACAACAAAACAAAACAAAGGCACCTGTGTCAGAATATAAGGGCCTGAAACAGGTGTAAATAAACTATAGCCTATGGGCCATGTGTCTGCTTTTGCAAATAAAGTTTTATTGAAATACAGCCACATCCATTTGTTTATGTTTTATTTACAGCTGCTTGTATGGTTCCATAGCAGAGTGACAGAGACTCTGTGGTCCACAAATCCAAAAATATTGACTCTCTGACTTGTTCAAAGAGTGTTTGCCAAGCCCTAGTCAGAATGCTTATCTCACCAATACTTCATTTGTGTTATGCCAAATTTTATCTTAAATATATTTATTTAAATATAACGAGTTATATTTAATATATATTACAATATAATAAATACAATATATTATATTTAATATATATTTTAATATATAATATATTAAATATATTATTTTTAATATATAATATATTAAATATATTATATTTAATATATAAAAATATAATATAATAAATACAATATATTAAATGTACAATATAATAAATACGATATATTATATTAAATGTACAATATAATAAATACGATATATTATATTTAATGTACAATATAATAAATACGATATATTATATTAAATGTACAATATAATAAATACGATATATTTAATGTACAATATAATAAATACGATATATTATATTAAATGTACAATATAATAAATACGATATATTATATTTAATGTACAATATAATAAATACGATATATTATATTTAATGTACAATATAAAAAATACGATATATTATATTTAATGTACAATATAATAAATAAGATATATTATATTTAATGTACAATATAATAAATACGATATGTTATATTTAATGTACAATATAATAAATACGATATATTATATTTAATGTACAATATAATAAATACGATATATTATATTTAATGTACAATATAATAAATACGATATGTTATATTTAATGTACAATATAATAAATACGATATGTTATATTTAATGTACAATATAATAAATACGATATGTTATATTTAATGTACAATATAATAAATACGATATGTTATATTTAATGTACAATATAATAAATACGATATATTATATTTAATGTACAATATAATAAATACGATATGTTATATTTAATGTACAATATAATAAATACGATATATTATATTTAATGTACAATATAATAAATATGATATATTATATTTAATGTACAATATAATAAATACGATATATTATATTTAATATACAATATTATAATAAATACGATATATTATATTTAATGTACAATATAATAATATAATATATATTTAATAAATAAATATAACACTCAAGTTATATTTAAATAAAACCTCAGTTCATTTATTTACTCTGAAACCACCTTGAAGGGATGTTAAATGGAATTTGAAATAAAGCATTGGACAAAATCCACTGAGGTTCTGCTTTTCAAAACCTGAATGTGGGAAGGCTAGGGCTGGGCCTCCACAATGAAATACACATGTAACATCCACAAAGCTGTTAGACATCAAAGCTCCCTGACATGCCAGCCTTGCTAAGTGGTAGGAAAGGCCCAGCCACAAGAATGGGCATTTGAGTAATGAGAGAGTGTGCTGGGTAACATGTTACCTGGAAGAAGTTTATATTTTTTTCACCCTCAATCCTAGCATATCTTTAAAAGAAACAGCCCTTCCATCTCTGAGGCATAGATGGAGACTATTAACAAAAGGAATTTTGAGCATTCAAACGTAGTCACTCAGAGGAGTTAAGTCTTCAGCATTTCCTTTGTTGAGTGGATTTTGGTCATAGTCAACAGGAAAAAAAACCCCTGCAAATGGAACCAGTCCACCTATCCTTCCCTATTGGGGAGTACAAATGGGTTACATTTACTTTAGTGTACAATTTCTTTGGCTTTGAAAACCTCACCTGATTGATATCAGGAGATACAGTCTGTTTAAGCCTCCCATTCTCCTAACATTGCGGAGTTTTCCCAGGTTTGTTTATAGAGTCCCCACTAAGCTGCAATACCCATCGCCAGCTCCCTAGAGCTCAAACCTGGCTAATGCTGTGAACTTGCCTCATTGAGGCAGGGCTTAACCTCCTTTCATCTTGTTGCTGTTGCTGTTACACGGGGATGTTTGGGAGGCCCGCCACTGTGGTTTAGGAGAGTGGCTGCTGCTGCTTTCTCTCCCAGCCTATGGTGCACGTGCTGCCTGATTGGCTGTGCCAGGCTGGATTCCAGGACCTGCTGCATGCTGTACCAGCAGCATTTCAGTTCTCTCTTCCTATGGTCCTTAGATCTGGATGTTGTATCTGGCTAGTGTACAGTCTCCCTGTTTCTGGTGAGCTCACTCTCAGAGCCACTCTTGTCTTTCCTATAATCTACCCACCTCAAGGTTCTTCTAAAAACCCAGGAATGCATATTTGAATCTCTAGCAGGAACAGAAGATAGTCTTGTTTTTCTCAAGCGGGACTCCTTTACACCTGTGTAAATTTAGAAGCAATTAGATTCTTAAGAGGAAAGACCTAACCAATTCTGCTGTCATCAAAATCTAAACCTTAAACACCAGTGGATTCTTTGGGGAGGAGCTGTTGTTATCAGGGCCTTTGACCACCGTGCTTAGGCCCCATATCCTCTCTACCTGAGCATGAGTGGAGTAAAAATTATGCTGTTGAACTCTAGTTAGTGGAGGCAGAAAAACTTTACTCACTTTTGAACTTTGCAATGATCAAAGCTGAGGGCTACATCAAAAACATGCTCTCAGGCTATCTATAGGGAAATCACCTGGGCATTCTAAAAGTACCAATCTCTGCCTTTTCCCCCAGCAACCCAGGGTGGGACCTGGAAATGTGTTAATGAGAACGTTGGTACTAAACAAAGATACATCTATAAAGTCGGAACTTCCCATCTGTAGACTTCAATTATAGGTCAAAAATATTAAAAAGAATAACAAAATACAAATTAAAAGCCCAGTAGATCAACTACATAGCATTTACACTGTATTAGGTATTATAACTAATCTAGAGATGATGTAAAGTACACAGGAGGATGTGCTTAGGTTATATGCAAATACTACACCACTTTATATAAGAGACTTGATCATTCATGGATTTTGGTATCTCAGGGGATCTTGAAACCAATGCCCTGAGAATACTGAGGGTTGACTACGTATTATTAACAATTTTCTATACATATACATGTTTGCTAGAAAACTGCACATAGTTAATCCTATAGGATAGGCCTGATACTTTTTAACCAATCCTTTAGTTATCTATGAAACGATGATCCTAAGGGGTCTCTCCTGACCTTAATTAACCTTCTTGAAGCATTTATTTTAGCAAAATTCATATCAAAAGGAGTATTTTAAATTGAAGCCCACAACCAGATATATATATCGAAAAACACCAAAATGTTTTAAAAATACCTACCTAAGGGAGTGCATTCTTCAGATTTTATCTGACTGGTTGATACCATGTAGATAGTGTGTACGAGGCTCACCCACACACAGAGAAATTGCCCATAATAGTAAACAAAACTTCAAATAGTACTTTTCTGCTGAACCACTTTTTAAAACTGGTGGGACTCTGGGTCCGGCTGAAAGCTGCAATACAGACTAGCTACTAACCCCAGGCAATGCCACAGTCTGCTTTCTCTTTCCTCTAGTTTTTTGGGGGTCGCTGATGTTGTCTCTTAAGCCCAAAGACATTGAGATTAAAAAGCAAAATTTGAGACCATCTCCATGTCAAAAGTAAAGGCACAGATTTAAGAAGATCCACTGAGGCCGGGCACGGTGGCTTATGCCAGTAATCCCAACACTTTGGGAGGCTGAGGCAGGTGGATCACCTGAGGTCAGGAGTTCGAGACCAGCCTGACCAACATGGTGAAACCCTGTCCCTACTAAAAATACAAAATTAGCCGGACATGGTGGCTTGTGCCTGTAATTCCAGCTACTCGGGAGGCTGAGGCAGGAGAATCACTTGAATCCGGGAGGCAGAGGTTCCAGGGAGCCGAGATTGTGCCACTGCACTCCGGCCTAGGAGACACAGCGAGACTCTGTCTCAAAAAAAAAAAAAAGAAAGAAAAAGAAAAAGAAAAGAAAAAAGGAGATCCACTGACCACAAACTCCAGATTAGAGTCCTGGGGATTCATCTTCTCCAATGTGATGTCTACCCATAGAGGAACACAGAAATTGAAAGAAATCTACAGATGTTGGTGGTGCCTAGTGTTAGCTATTTTAGCTGAAAAAATTAACATAAAACTTATCTCCCCTCTTGCAGTTTTCTCCAGCTTGTCATTTTAGTGGACAGAGCATTAGTCACTCTTGTATTACAAAATGTAAATTTATATTTACAAATATAATAATTTTCAAATGTATACTATTCATTCTCTACGTACTGATCCCACCTACCAAAGAACACCTTTAAGACCATCAGTCTACCTGCCATATTCTGGTATAGTATTTTATTCTTAATTGTTTCCTGATGCCTTTTATTCTCCTCATTCCACCACATCACCCTCTTTCTCTTTTTCTTGTTTTACTCCGGATCCTTAAGTCTACCTCTCTTTCTTCCTCTTTTGTCATTCGTGTATAGCTCTGTGCCTGAAACTAGGTCATGAGGCTGTCAAGATGTCAGCTTCAAATTTAGTTTTCAATTCCCTGTCTTTAAACCACTTTATACTTTGGGGATGATTTGTTCTTCTCTGTGGTTAGATGAAACAATCTGAATACCCT
The DNA here is from genome assembly GCF_000001405.40 of Homo sapiens. Classification (NCBI taxonomy): domain Eukaryota; kingdom Metazoa; phylum Chordata; class Mammalia; order Primates; family Hominidae; genus Homo; species Homo sapiens. Next base: position 221,377,691 of record NC_000002.12, on the reverse strand, counting down.
TTATATTGCACATGAGTTTTTCTATATATATATCTGCTTAAATGGCTTCTTATAAGTCATTGTGCACTGGTATTCACATGTTACAGAATCCAGGTTGGTTTAAAAACCTTCTGGTCTTGATAAATTTAAAAAAATGATAAAGCATCTTATAAAAGACACATGAAGTTAATTTTTGTCACCATATTCATAAAACAATTCCAGTAACCAAATGTTGCCCACTTTTCAAAATGCAATTATGGTTATACCTCATCGAGAGAAAAGATTTTTAAATATTAAGAATAAAATAAGCCACAGAAAACTCAAATATCCTGCCCTAGGAACAAATGGTAAAATCTGGTATTCATTAAAATAGTTGAATGTTAATGGAAGAGAAAAATGTAAGCTCTCTGTGTCTGTTTTTTTGGACCAAGACAGTGTGGTTTCTCAGTTTTCTCAAGGCCTGGCCAACTTAGGATCTGGTGAGACTCTTTGGAGACAGGAAATGGGAGGTTGGATGTAGAGGAGAAATGGGTGAAATGGTTTGGGGTTGCTTTGCGCTGCACATCATCCTGACCTTCCCCATGGAGAGGCACTTTCAGGCACAAGGAGCTCAGTCCTCTTGCTAATGCTCTTCTACTGACAGAACCTCACTGTCACCAACATGGGAAAATGGTCTCAAAACAAAACAAAACAGGACAAAATGGAAAGATCTTAGAGGATCTGTTGGTTTTGAGGTTTTAGAAAAGGATAAAGCTATGAAAATCAAGAGCATCACAAACAAAAGGAATTTACCTTCTCTCACCTTCCTTGTCCTGATACCCGCCTTCCTGCCTCCACCTTCAGGTAGACCATTAGCCACAGCAAGACTGTCCAAGGATATCTGCATGGATTGGCTCACTTCAGTTGGCATACTAGTTAATATTCCACCAATGACAGCCATTTGGGTTTTGGAGTTTTCTACCCTTTACATCTTAATTTTATTTTCAATGCAAGTAACTCTAGCAAGGTCAGAGGACTGTCAGTTATTAATACTTCAGAATAAATTAATTGAATCCAATTGCCTTCCCCATAATTTCTAGATTAGACCAGCTGCGCAAAGGAAATAAGACTTCTCACTGCTAGTAGAGAGGGGATTTGTTGATGAGAACTCTGGACTGGGGAGGAGAAGGGGGTCTATTGAGTTTCTGGGGGTCTATTGAGCATCTGAGGTTGAGGGAAATCAGCTGTTTCTGGATATCTACAGTATGAAGAATGGAGCAAAAAGGCAAGAGGGAGGCTGTCAAAGTCAATACTGAATTGTTTAAATGTTTGCCCCTGGCCATGAAAGGGAGGAAAGCTCCCAGCCTGATAGCCTCCAGGAAGAGAGCTGAACAGTTTTATAAAAGGCAGTCAACAGCCAAATTTCTGACTTGCCAATTAGATGAAGGGCAGTGATAACTTTATTATGTATCTGTTGAAGTACATGTTACCAGTTCTCTACTCTTTTGTATTGATGTATGCTTGTGACAAATTCTGGCACACAGTATGTACTAAACAAATGTTAGTCATCATTATTTGTAGTATACATGTTAAAAATCATAAGTGATCAGTTATTAATGTTTATAAAATTTAATTAATTTCTTGAATAGGCAATATATGAAGAGAATATAAAAGCTTAAGAGTTAATTGGGAGATAAGATACACATAAATAAAATGTTTACTCCTTTATTACAGAAAGAAACAGCAATAGAGAAAAATATAGTTGTTAATATGGAAACAGTTTTCCAAAAAGGAAATTTTTCTATAATTATATTTTATATTATTTTGTCACTAAATGTATAATAGAGGTGGTTCAATGTTGGTAAATAGAGGCACATTTTTAATGGCTGCAAAGCACTCTATTATGTAAAGTTACATATTTAACAAATCAATTATTGATCTATGCTCAGGCTATTTCTAGTTTTTATAAAAATTACTATTATAAATAATGCTGTAATAAACTTCTGGGTTGCTAGGATTTTGTTCTAAAACGTTGGTAGTGGGCAAGGACTTTCTAAACTTTATACCAAAAGCAAAATTATGAAGGAAAAGTCTAAATTTCTTTACAAAACAAAGAAGGAAGGATACTACCCAAAGAAGGAAGGATACAGACTCACTCTTACAAGAATTTTAAAAGATAAGTGACAAATATTATTATTTTGTAATAACTCTTAGGTCAGTGATGGGATGGAGAAATTAGAATTTTTAGCATGTTTTGATCTCTTCTTTCTACAGGGTTTCCATATGGTTGCATCTGTCCTCATGTTTGAATAACATGTATATTTCCACTGCTCCCAGTGATGTACATTTAGGCCACCTCTTTTCTTTGGGCCTCAGATCCATATACACATCTGCCTAGTTGAGTTAGCCACTTTATTATCTGACAAATATCTGAAATTTTACATACCAGACAGCACTTTTAATCTTCTCAAGCCTAGGTCTCTCCCAGTCTTTGTGTATTCAGGAGTCCAAATCTTAGAGTATTGAATTACTCTTGATACCTCCCTTTCTTCCTCCTCACACTCAGTATCACCAAGACCCATTGGCACCATCTCCAAATACATCCTTAGTCCATCCATTTCTCTTTAGCTCCACCAAGATCACTCTGGTCCGCATCACTACCCACTCTTCCTTAAACTACAGCTAGAGTTTCCTATTTGGCTGTCCATGGTGTGGCCACTATCCACTGGTGGGACTCACTTTGGGGCAATCCTCTGCCCTCTCTCTTCCTTTCTTCCTCTCTCCTTCCGCTTTCATCTTTCCCCAGGGTCCTCCAATGTGCGCAGTCCTTGCTGGGTCAGGATATTTACACCCGCACTTCCCCTTATCCTGGAGGGTCCTTATCTACTTCTCCAGGGCTGTCTCCTCCTGGGGGTTTGGGACACAGTGTGTAGGTGCTGTCTCCTCTGAGGCCTTTTCCAAATGCCTAGTCTAAGGAGACTCACCCTGGGATTCCCTTTCACACTACCCTGCATTGTTTTCCTCCACATAATATATCAGAGTTTGTATCTATGTATCTAATTGTGAAATAATTTGATCACAAGACCTCTAGGGCAATGTCAGTGACAGTATTTGGCTCATGATTGTGTCCTCCGTGTTTCTCACAGTAGTGCAAATTATGAACCAAAAACGTAGCTGGAGAGGGAAAATCATACCAGCTAACAACACATTTTGAAAACTTGCTTGATGCCAGGCACTCCGCCTTGACAAAAATGATACATGTAAATGCATACGTGGGATTGGAAGAGAGCATGACGTTGCGCAAGCCACACTGGTATTTGTAAGCATACACTCTCTCTTGAATCCTCACATTTGCCCCACACAAATCTCGACTTCTCATTTTAGATGCGACAAAACTGGGGCTCAGAGAGGTTAAGTAAATGCCACGGTCTGGACCCAAACCTAAATCTGTCTGACCCAATAACCACCCTTCTGTCTCCATTTGGGAGTGGCTTCAGTGTCACACCACTTGAGGAGGAGTCTCCATCTTTGTGGGGCTGACTTTGACCTCAGATGCTGCCCAGTTGGGGTAGAATCTTCTATTCCTTTTGTGGACCGCAGAGTTGGATGGGGAAAGAAGCCTAGATGTTCTTTAGGGGAAAGAAGGGCTAAAATGGTGCCACTCCCGTTTTCTCTCCTGACATTGTCCATAACTACAGTGATGCCTCCATCCTGGTTTGCCAGGACAGTCCCAGTCTACTCTAATTATACAGCTTTATTTATTTATTTATTTGTTTATTTATTTAGACAGAGTCTTGTTCTGTAGCCCAGGCTGGAGTACAGTGGTGTGATCTCTGCTCACTGCAATCTTCGCCTCCTGAGTTCAAGTGATTCTCATACTTCACTTCCTAAGTATCTGGGACTACAGGTGCACACCACCATGCCCACTAATTTTTTTTGTATTTTTAGTACAGATGGGGCTTTGCTATGTTGGCCAGGCTGGTCTTGAACTCCTGGCCTCAAGTGATCTGCCCGCCTCGGCCTCCCAAATTGCTGGGATTACAGGCATGAGCCACCGCGCCCAGTCTAATTATTACCAGAAAGATCCCTGGATGGAGAAGAAGTCACATGGTTGCCCTGTCCATTGCTGTGCAGTATGGTTGATGGCCGCTTTGCTGGCTTTACTCTCAGCTTTCTTCCTTCTTCGCCTTGAGCAACTTGCTCTCTCTGCTGTAACACATTGGCTCTTGCAGGTGGCAGCTGACTCTTGCCAGCTTCCGGATCATCTGCCCTGCTAATCCACCTTGCAGCAAGCTCATGGACTAGCTATGGTTGGAGACTACTGTGAGGTGCCAGGACTGGGTTTCAGGATCCATTGCCCTGCTCTGCTCAACATGCAGCTGGCACTCTGCCTGCACACTCATGGCGAGAGGAGCTCATTGTTGTTCCCAGCAGCCCCTCCAATCCTGACCATCTTTCCTCTGGGTTCTTCCACAGTTGACTAGCCTCAAAAACACATTGGAAATTTCAGGGAGAGCAACTAGAGTCCCCTACTCCCTTGCCCACTGGGGGCTGCTTTGTGTCTTCAATGGGGCTGATTTGTGTCTTCAATGGGGCTGATTTATTTCGCTCTGTCAAGCTCTTACAGGGAGAACACGTGTCCTTGCGTTCTCATCTCCGCTTCTTCTATTCCCTGCACAAACCCCTGCTCAGTTTTTGAGATGATAATGAGCTGCTGGTTTTCTACCTTGGGTTTGTCAATTTGTTTCTAACAGAGTGAATATTTTGTCTCTTGATTCATCATCATAGAAAGATGAATGCCATGCGCCGTAACTATACAACGCCTTCCTGTCTGCCTCCTTGCTCCCACATAACCATCAGCGGAGAGATGCTGGGCAGCCTGGATTTATTTTTCTCTGCATTCAGTCAGGCACATGACACCATGTAGGGAATGTCAGTTTATTCCAGCTCAAGGTGAATTTCTTTCTCCTCAAGGCAATGACACAAAAGTTCCCTAGGGGGCAGCCCCTTGGAGACTGCTTGATTGTATTTTTCCGTAAATGAGTTTTCAGGGGAGGGTCAGGCTTCTGGTGGGGTAGAGCTGGCAGGACCGGTGATGGGATTGGATGTTGTCACCCCACGCTGTCATCTGAGGCAGGGCTGGATTGATTGCATCATTTAAAGTAAGCAAAACCCCGAAAAAGCAAAGTGCTTGATTTCCAGGCTTTTCTTTCAAAAGGGGACAGCGGAAAGCAATTTCATTTAAAAAGGGGGCTGTGACTCCAGAAAATTTGTCTCATGTCTGTTCTAGGTGAACTTTATTTTTACTTATTGTTCCATCTAATTGCATTCATTTGCAATGCTGAGTGCTTGCACTTGCCGGGATGGCTGGGTTCTGTGGGTGGGAGGCTGGCTACATACCTAAGAAAGAGCAGGAGGCCAGTGCAGCAGTGGTTTTTAACTAGCACTCCAAGGAAACCGGAGGTTTTTGTAGGAGGTCGGCAGAGGAGCCTGGAAAATAATTTTGGAATGTCTGATATTTTACTTTTCTAGCCATTGCAGTTCTTTGTTGTTTCTTTTATTGCTAACCAGACTTGTCAGTAGAAGGATCATCTAAGTCTTAGTTTAACTAAAGCATGAAGGGCGTCCCGAACTTCAAATTTTGAATATATTTTGAAAAGGAAAAAAAAATTGTCCATATAGTGCCTAGTATTTTCACTGGAAGCAATGTATGGTATAATACTTTGGGATAGTAATAGGAAAAAAAAAAGGTTTTTAAGTAACTCTTGCAAATATAGTTGAACTATTAACAGATTTAGACCTAAGAGTAAGGCGTTGGCACCCTAGCTGGCCTCTTTCCCTCAACCCTCACCTGAGAAAGTCTTTGTGGCACAGAGAGCTCCTTAGACCATGGTCCTACAGTATCAAGCAACAGATGGTAGGGGCTAGGCACAGTGGCTCACACCTGTAATTCCAGCATTATGGGAGGCCAAGGTATGAGGATTGCTTGAGCTCAGGAGATTGGGGTCAGCCTGGATGACATAGTGAGACTCTGTATCTATAGGAAAAAAAAAATTGTGAGATGTCATGGTGTGTGCCTGTAGTCCCAGCTACTCGGGAGGCTGAGGTGGGAGGATCACTTGAGCCCAGGAGGTTGAGGCTGCAGTGTGCCATGATTGCATCACTGCACTCTAGCCTGGGTGACAGAGTGAGACCCGTCTCCGGGAGGGGTGGTGGGGGGAAAGCAAATGGTAGGCGGGGCCAACTGGCGACGGAGCAGGAGGAAGGATGAGGCTGGGGTGTGGATGAGGCAGGGCTGGTCACTCTACAGCTTTTTTTCTCTGCTCTATTTCCATCTTCTTTCCTCAACTTCAAAGTCATGCACTGAAATGCCTCTCTGGGTCAGGCGGAGTAAGGATGTGTGACGTGGATGTGGAGGGCCTGTGACATGCTGCTCCCGGCCACCCTGCTCTGCTCTTTCTTAGGGAGCAGCTCCTGATGAGCAAGGGAAGACTCTGAGTGTCATAATCCAATTTGTATAAAAATACTCAAGAAGAAGTCTCTCCAAACTTCCCTCAAGGCTCTTTCCCTTACATACGATAGTGGCTTTTTCTTGGCTGAAATTCAAAGAAATCTCCAAAATGAACCAGAAAGCACTTTAAATCACTTTGCAATTCACAGCTTATCTCTCCTGGTTGTATATGTTTATTGTATTATTTTTAGAATGTTTACTTAAACAGCGTGCAGAGCTGGCTGAGAAGAATATCTGAATCTTTTATTAGAACACGTCTGTGTCTTCTATCACGGGGGTCCGCTGGCAGGCGGCTAAAAATAGTTTGCTGAGCCCCTTCCTCCATCAGAAGGTTGTTTATTTGCCAGAAAAAGAGACAAAACAGAACCTCCCCTTTCATTCCCCTCCCTAAATTTCTTCTAGAACAGAGTAAATGCTTTGCCTCAGAAATAAAAGTTATCTGCCTTGATGTGGGAGCCGGTGAGTAGTCGGCCCCTTTAGTCTTTTTCTGTGAATCTGATGATGACATTAGTTTTCTGATTACATCACATACTTGGTCTAAAATTTTAGCAGCTTACCACTGCCTACATGGCAGGGCTCGAATGTCCTATATCTGGTATTCGCGGTTCTTTATAATCAACCTATCTCCTTGGTTTATCCAGCATTAGTCTCCACTGCTGATGAACTTACACTTCCAAACTGACTCTTCAAAGTCCCCCAATACCCTTGGCACCTGCCACACTTCTCTCTACTATTAATAAAATGCCTGACTCTTCTGATAAACAGGTCTGGTCCTGCCCATGTTTTCAGGAACGGCACCAGATTGCTGTCCTGGGGAAGCCTCTTCAGCCTGCCAAAGTTAATTCAAGCTTTCCCACCTCCTAAAATACTCGCCACATCAGTCAGCTCTTTTGGACACTTAGCAAATAGGAGAGTCTTTCATAGTTATTTATCTTTTTATGTGGACAAGTTTTGTTTTGTTAGTATCTCAGACTCCTGGGCCTAAATGACCCTCCCACTTCAGCCTCCCAATTTGCTGGGATTATAGACGCTTGCCACTGTGCCTAGCATATTTTTTAGTGTCCTGAAAAATCCCGGGAATGGTGATAGCAGATTTCACTCTCTGTATCTGCAACAGCAATTGACAAATAATAATGCTTAATTAGTGTTTGATGATTGATTTAGGGATTCTCGCTCTATCCCCACGGGGTGAATTAAGCACTCTTCTCATCCCCACTGGGACCACTCGATGCAGGAGCTGAGCTCTACAGGGTTTTTGTAAAGTAATGCTTGACAAACACTACTCCCTCTAAAATGCTTGCAGGAGGAGGTAGGGAATGTTGTGAAGAGGAAGGTCACCTCTGTGTTAAAAGAAAAAAAAAAAGAAAGAAATAACCTGCTTTGTACAATGTCCTTACTGAGTCAGAGAAGCCTTGGACATATTAAAGGTGCAGAGAAATCCTGCAATAGAGAAAGCTCTATTATTTTGTTGAACCTACCATTTTCTAAATTTATTTTACCACAGAAGTCCCTCTTTTTCCTTCTGTGATATAATAGATTTAACATCCAGAAATAGTAAAAGGTGAAAGATTTATACTCTGAAGAGAAAGAAGACTATCTGGAAATAGTGGGATTGTGTTGAGCACAGTTTGAGAGAGATATTTTCCTGTTTAGTTTCCCATCCATCCTCCCTCTAAGCCACATCTTCAAGGAGATTTTCTAATCTCCGACTGTGGTATGATCTCTTGGATAATTGAACCCCAATGCAATGTAAAGTGTTTATTATTTTATCCAGTTTTTACCAACAAAGTCCTCCTATTTCTACCACTCTGTTGTATATCCTTTTAGGTAAGTCCAAGTGAGGAAGATTAATCTATATTTCTAGTTGCTGAAGTAACCACTAGGCTTAAATAACTAGACTATTTCTAGTACCTCTGCTACTAGCTAGTTATGTGAACATTTTAGGGATTTTCTACTCTAAACAGATTTTATTTTAACACAATAATTAACTAAGGACTTAGAAAGTAAGTAATGTTGGAATGGGGGTGGAGCAGGAGAGGGTTTGGGGTGATCAAACAGGGAGCAAAATTAACTAAATCCAAGCCTGTTGACTTCCAGGTAAGTAAGTGGGCTTTCCATATACCTCTCAGACTTCCCAATCATGTAGAATCTCCAAGTCTTAACTTTTAAAAAATCTCTTGAAGTCAGCTGAGATCACCCCAAACAGAAAAGAAAGCTATATCACGTGTTTTGATGTTTCTGAGTTACACATAACCAGACCCTTCGATTCTCCCTTGCATAGCAGGATTTTCTGTTGCCTCTCCACACTGGTCACCCTCCTCTGGGTGCTTTGAAATCCATGTCCTTTCTAAAATGTGGCCCTTGAGACAAACCCAGTTCTCCAGGGGTAGCCTGACTTGACAAAGTGCACTGGGGGTCCTCTTGTCCCCTTAATCCAGGTACTAGGGGTCCCTTTGTCCCCTTAATCTAGGCATTGGGGGTCTCCTTGTCCCCTTAATCTAGGCACTGTGGGTCCCTTTGTCCCCTTATAGGCACTGGGGGTCCCCTTGTCCTCTTAATCCAGGCACTGGGGGTCCACTTGTCCCCTTAATCTAGGCACTGGGGGTCTCCTTGTCCCCTTAATCCAGGCACTGGGGGTCCCCTTGTCCCTTTAATCCAGGCACTGGGGATCCACTTGTCCCCTTAATCCAGGAACTGGGGGTCCATTTGTCCCCTTAATCTAGGCACTGGGGGTCCTCTTGTCCCCTTAATCCAGGCACTGGGGGTCCCCTTGTCCCCTTAATCCAGGCACTGGGGGTCCTCTTGTCCCCTTAATCCAGGCACTGGGGGTCCCCTTGTCCCCTTAATCTAGGCACTGGGGGTCTCCTTGTCCCCTTAATCTAGGCACTGGGGGTCTCCTTGTCCCCTTAATCCAGGCACTGGGGGTCCCCATGTCCCCTTAATCTAGGCACTGGGGGTCCCCTTGTTCCCTTAATCTAGGCACTGGGGGTCCCCTTGTCCCCTTAATTTAGGCACTGGGGGTCCCCTTGTCCCCTTAATCTAGGCACTGGGGGTCTCCTTGTCCCCTTAATTTAGGCACTGGGGGTCCCCTTGTCCCCTTAATCTAGGCACTGGGGGTCTCCTTGTCCCCTTAATCTAGGCACTGGGGGTCCCTTTGTCCCCTTATTATAGGCACTGGGGGTCCCCTTGTCCTCTTAATCCAGGCACTGGGGGTCCCCTTGTCCCCTTAATCTAGGCACTGGGGGTCTCCTTGTCCCCTTAATCCAGGCACTGGGGGTCCTCTTGTCCCCTTAATCCAGGCACTGGGGATCCTCTTGTCCCCTTAATCTAGGCACTGGGGGTCCCCTTGTCCCCTTAATCCAGGCACTGGGGGTCCCCTTGTCCCCTTAATCTAGGCACTGGGGGTCTCCTTGTCCCCTTAATCCAGGCACTGGGGGTCCCCATGTCCCCTTAATCTAGGCACTGGGGGTCCCCTTGTTCCCTTAATCTAGGCACTGGGGGTCCCCTTGTCCCCTTAATTTAGGCACTGGGGGTCCCCTTGTCCCCTTAATCTAGGCACTGGGGGTCTCCTTGTCCCCTTAATTTAGGCACTGGGGGTCCCCTTGTCCCCTTAATCTAGGCACTGGGGGTCTCCTTGTCCCCTTAATCCAGGCACTGGGGGTCCCCTTGTCCCCTTAATCCAGGCACTGGGGGTCCCCATGTCCCCTTAATCTAGGCACTGGGAGTCCCCTTGTTCCCTTAATCTAGGCACTGGGGGTCCCCTTGTCCCCTTAATCTAGGCACTGGGGGTCTCCTTGTCCCCTTAATCTAGGCACTGTGGGTCCCCTTGTCCCTTTAATCCAGGCACTGGGGATCCACTTGTCCCCTTAATCCAGGAACTGGGGGTCCATTTGTCCCCTTAATCTAGGCACTGGGGGTCCTCTTGTCCCCTTAATCCAGGCACTGGGGGTCCCCTTGTCCCCTTAATCTAGGCACTGGGGGTCTCCTTGTCCCCTTAATCCAGGCACTGGGGGTCCTCTTGTCCCCTTAATCCAGGCACTGGGGGTCCCCTTGTCCCCTTAATCTAGGCACTGGGGGTCTCCTTGTCCCCTTAATCTAGGCACTGGGGGTCTCCTTGTCCCCTTAATCCAGGCACTTGGGGTCTCCTTGTCCCCTTAATCTAGGCACTGGGGGTCCCTTTGTCCCCTTAATCTAGGCACTGGGGGTCCCCATGTCCCCTTAATCCAGGCACTTGGGGTCTCCTTGTCCCCTTAATCTAGGCACTGGGGGTCCCTTTGTCCCCTTAATCTAGGCACTGGGGGTCCCCTTGTCCCCTTAATCCAGGCACTGTGGGTCCCCTTGTCCCTTTAATCCAGGCACTGGGGATCCACTTGTCCCCTTAATCCAGGAACTGGGGGTCCACTTGTCCCCTTAATCTAGGCACTGGGGGTCCTCTTGTCCCCTTAATCCAGGCACTGGGGGTCCCCTTGTCCCCTTAATCTAGGCACTGGGGGTCTCCTTGTCCCCTTAATCCAGGCACTGGGGGTCCTCTTGTCCCCTTAATCCAGGCACTGGGGATCCTCTTGTCCCCTTAATCCAGGCACTGGGGGTCCCCTTGTCCCCTTAATCTAGGCACTGGGGGTCTCCTTGTCCCCTTAATCCAGGCACTTGGGGTCTCCTTGTCCCCTTAATCCAGGCACTGTGGGTCCCCTTGTCCCTTTAATCCAGGCACTGGGGATCCACTTGTCCCCTTAATCCAGGCACTGGGGGTCCCCCTTGTCCCCTTAATCCAGGCACTGGGGGTCCACTTGTCCCCTTAATCCAGGCACTGAGGGTCCCCTTGTCCCCTTAATCCAGGCACTGGGGGTCCCCCTTGTCCCCTTAATCCAGGTACTGGGGATCCTTTTGTCCCCTTAATCCAGGCACTGAGGGTCCCCTTGTCCCCTTAATCCAGGCACTGGGGGTCTCCTTGTCCCCTTAATCCAGGCACTGAGGGTCCCCTTGTCCCCTTAATCCAGGTACTTGGGGAGGTCTCCTTGTCCCCTTAATCCAGGCACTGGGGGTCCCCTTGTCCCCTTAATCCAGGCACTGGGGGTCTCCTTGTCCCCTTAATCCAGGCACTGGGGGTCTCCTTGTCCTGACCTTAATCCAGGCACTGGGGGTCCCCTTGTCCCCTTAATCTAGGCACTGGGGGTCTCCTTGTCCCCTTAATCCAGGCACTGGGGGTCCTCTTGTCCCCTTAATCCAGGCACTGGGGATCCTCTTGTCCCCTTAATCCAGGCACTGGGGGTCCCCTTGTCCCCTTAATCTAGGCACTGGGGGTCCCCTTGTTCCCTTAATCCAGGCACTGGGGGTCCCCATGTCCCCTTAATCTAGGCACTGGGGGTCTCCTTGTCCCCTTAATCCAGGCACTTGGGGTCTCCTTGTCCCCTTAATCTAGGCACTGGGGGTCCCTTTGTCCCCTTAATATAGGCACTGGGGGTCCTCTTGTCCCCTTAATCCAGGCACTGTGGGTCCCCTTGTCCCTTTAATCCAGGCACTGGGGATCCACTTGTCCCCTTAATCCAGGCACTGGGGGTCCCCTTGTCCCCTTAATCCAGGCACTGGGGGTCCACTTGTCCCCTTTTCCCCTTAATCCAGGCACTGGGGGTCCCCTTGTCCCCTTAATCTAGGCACTGGGGGTCCCCTTGTCCCTTTAATCCAGGCACTGGGGGTCCCTTTGTCCCCTTAATCCAGGCATGGCTCTTCTGTTGCTGCAGTAAAATGGTGTTGGGATTTTCAGTGGTCCCGGATGTTCCTTTGTTAATGCCCTTATCTGCCTTCAGAGCTGGCCTCAATCTCCTAGCCTGGGGTTTTAAGCCTTCCCACCATTCAGTTCCTCTCTTGGTTAATTTATTTCATCTCTTGTCACATGGCAAGCTTTTGTCTTGTTGGATGAACCGGCCTGGCATTCCTGCACCTGCTTCACTTTCCTGCATCTCTGATCTCTGGGCAGTGGTTCACCACACCACCCTTCCTTCTTTCCGTATATTAAATGACTCCCCGCTTCTTCAGATCTTTCTTCAAGCCCCATCTTCTCTATGAAAACTTTCTAGACCAAGCCCTTCCAGCTCCTACCCCTCCACAAGTATATGCCCTCTTCCCTATTTTCTCTCTAAATGCTCAGCACTTGGAGACTATTGTTTGTATCCTCCAGTAAGGCTTGGTGTAGATTTCTACCACTTGTCTCTGTAAGTCATCTCTCTAGCTTTTTTGCAACAGTAGTGATTGTAATAGCGAGCATTTGTGTATCAATTAACATGTCACAGAGGACTTACACAGGCAGTGGCTCATCAGACTCGCCTCAGCCTTTACAGCAGTAGGCAAGTATAAGCATCTTTATTACCTTCAGATAAGAATAGATAGCCTTTATGAGATTACATAACTTGTTCAAGGCCTAGTGAACAGTGCCATAGGGATTTCCAATGCAGAGATCATGCTCCTTTGAATTTTCTACATTGGCTAATATATTAAAGTCTGTTGTGCACTGAGAGCAAGATCAGAAAATCTCTAATCGTATGCAGCAACTTTTTGATTTTGAAGTTTTCAGAAAGAGAGGGGTAATACTCTTTCTCCCCCAGTGACAAAAAGAGTGTTGGCCCTCTCCAGGAGTCTAGTGTGAATAGCATTTGCTTATCCTGGAAAGGACTTGGATTTCAGGTCTTCTTCTTCTTTTTTGTTTTTTATTTTGAGACTGAGTCTCCCTCTGTTGCCATGGCTGGAGTGCGGTGGCACAATCTCAGTTCACTGCAACCTCTGCCTCTTCTCCTGCCTCAGCCTCTGAGTAGCTGGCATTACAGGCACCCATCATCACGCCTGGCTAATTTTTGTATTTTTAATAGAGACAGGGTTTCACCATGTTGGCCCGGCTGGTCTCGAACTCCTGACCTCAAGTGATCCACCTGTCTCAGCTTCTCAAAGTGCTGGGATTACAGGTGTGAGCCAAGACACCCAGTCAGGGTCTTCTTTTGGTTCTCTTTACCTCTTCTTCATTTTGTCCCATTTCTATATTTTTATATTCCATGTTCTTTACCTGACTAATGGGTTAATATTGCATCTAAGAACCAAAGTTGTTTTTTTTTTTTGAGACAGAGTCTCACTCTGTCACCTAAGCTAGAGTGCAGTGGCACTATCTCAGCTCACTGCAACCTCTGCCTCCTGGGTTCAAGCGATTCTCCTGCCTCAGTCTCCTGAGTAGTTGGGATTACAGGCATGTGACACCACGCCCAGCTAATGTTTGTATTTTTAGTAGAGACGGGGTTTCACCATATTGGCCAGGCTGGTCTTGAACTCCTTACCTCAAGTGATCCACTCACCTCCGCCTCCCAAAGTGCTGGAATTACAGGCGTAAGCCACCACGCCCAGCCCAAAGTTTTAAAAATCATTCATGAAGGATTCATTGACAATGAGAGCAATTTCATATCATATGTCTTCTAGCATTTTCTAACACTGAATAGAGCAGGTTAAAGGTTAGCTGATATCTACTAGAAGGCGGTAGAGTAATTTGGGCACAAGGTAGCTAGCTAATTGATAGTATTTGGTGGAAAGTAATACACATGAGGCCATGTCATTTTGCCCTATTCTATTGCAGTAGACTAGTGAATCAAATTCAACAAAGGCTGCCTGAAGTCGTGCTGTGTGCTGGTGCCATTCTGATGACTGGAGAGGAAAAAATGAACAGTATAGACAGGATTTCTGATCTCACGGAGTTCACATTCGGAATAAGAAGACAGGTAGAAACAAAAAAACCAACAAATACATAAATGGCAGATTTCAGAGAGTGATAAATACTAGAAAAAAAAGCTGCTTAGTAAGATGTGATGGAGCCCAGCTGGAGGGGAGGGCCATTGAAGAGTGTGGTCAGGAAGGTCTCTTGGAGGGGGTGGTGTTTGAGTTGAGATTTGAATGGCAAGACAGAGGCTGCCAAGTAAAGATTGGTGGCAGATTGTTCCAGACACAAGAACCAGAAAGCCAGGAGGTGGGAAGAAGCTGTATTTGAGGCTGAGAAAGGTCAGTGAAGCTAGTGTATAATCAGGGTAAGGGACAAGAATGGGAAGCAGCAAGTTTACCTCGGGACCCTTGCAGATCAAGGGAGACATTGGAGGCTTTGACAGGAGGGAGGCAGGGAGGTCAACTAATCCACGCTTTAGAAACGTCAGCCTAGCTGCTCTGTGTACAAAGGGATTATAGGGAGGTGAAAAGGAAGCAGTAAGGTTATCCATTAATATTAATCAGGTGAGTGATCATTGTAGATTATACAAGGTATTGATGATGATAGAGATAAATGAGAGATTTGGGATATATTTTTGACATTGATATGATGTAAACGTAAGTGGACTGAGCATGGAGGTAAGGAAAGAAGGAAATCAAGGATGACTTCTAGGTGCTGATACTACATGGAAATACTTGCTAGTACTGTGGAGAGTAGCCTGGCAGAGTTTAAAGAGAACTGCAGTGTCCCTAGGCAGCATGTAAGACCAAGTGCAGCCTGTTATATCCTTGCTGATTAGCCCTGTTAAGGGAAATGCCTCAGTCATTTTGGATAAATACTTTCTATTTCTTCCCTAATACAAAGTTTACATCATTTTATTGCAAATCCTAAACCCGGAACAATCCACAAGTACATAGCTTTTAGTTCCAAAGCAGAAAAAAACATTTGAATGATTGAAATATACAATATTTAATGTATACAATGATTCATATATAATGAGTTGACATATACAATGGGTTGGGGCTCAACCAGAAGTGGAATATGCAGTTGTTTCCTTTGGTGGGGAGAGTGAGTTTCTTGGTATTTAAGCCACAGGATAGCCCAGTTCTAACATGGGCAGGATGGATGCTGCACTGATATCAGAGGCCCTTAGGAATGGTTGGAGGACAATCGATTGGTTGGTGATATGACCTAGTATGTGAAAGGGGCACCATCGTTGGGAGGCTGAGGTGGGTGGATCACCTGAGGCCAGGAGTTCGAGACTAGCCTGGCCAACATGGAGAAACCCTGCCTCTATTAAACATACAAAAATTAGCCTGGCATGGTGGCACATGCCTGTAGTCCCAGTTACTCAGAGGCTGAGGCATGAGACTCACTTGAACCCGGGAGGTGGAGGTTGCAGTGAGCTGAGATTGTGCCACTGCACCCCAGCCTGGGCAACAGAGCGAGACTCCGTCTCAAAAAAAGGGGGCACCACCCTTTTGTTGGTCATTGAATTGAGGTTTCAGAGTCATGTTTTGTTATTATTTGTTTTGTTATTTACTTTCTTGAAAGTTTTAAATTTTTTATTACGATCTTAGCAACTTTCATGATCAATGGTTTTAGCAACTTAAAAACTAATGACAAGGCATCTGTTCTAGAGAATGTGCTAAGGAGAGTTCGTCCACCTGTTGCTTGCCTAGCTGTATGTATCAGTCAGGATTCTTGGAGACCATGGACAGCACATTGAGTTGAGAGTTTCAGAGACTTTCAATAAAAGAATTGTTGATGAAGAGCCAATCAGAGCCGCAGAAGTACGAACAGGCTGTGGTAGTGCTAGAATCTCATAGGTCTACAAGAACAAGGGATGGAAAAAGTGTTTGGAGACCAGGGACCATGGAAGGGAGGCCTTTTAAAAGAAGCTCCAGAGGCCACAGCTACCTCCAGAACTGAACCTCAGCAGAGAGGGAGCAGGGGAGAAATGCCCCCACCTCGTTCTTCCTGCTCTCAGGTGAGCTGCTGGTGTCTCTAGCTAGTTGACCCCCCACAGAAAAGTCAATGGTCAAGGTTCCTGACTCACTTTTTTGGGGCAGAGGCTAGGATCGAAAAGGACAGGAAATGAATTTGGAGGTGAACAGAGAAACAACGTTTGTCCCCTAAAGTTGCTCTTGGTTATAGGATTTCTTGTTTATATCCATGCTTATATTAGTTGTTTTATGTACTGCCTTTTACATACTGTGGACAACATGGTCTAAATGATAGTTTTGACCACTATAGAGATAGCAGGGGGCTATTGATTCTGTGGGGCCTGCAGCTATCAATTTGCCATAGATATGCAAAACTTTGTTACTAAAAGCACAAATGGAAGGAAAAACAATGTCAACCAAAGAAAAGCAAATTCAATTCCAAACCATATTGTCAGAGTATTTTTTTTTATCAGAGCTAGTGAACGGTTCACGTGAGAATACTTACAAGAAGGGCAGTGAGACTTGTCAGTACTTCTCACGCCTCTTCTACTTTTTTGGCACTAGAGAAGTGTTTTAGGGATTGGGTCAGCAAGGAGTTGATGCCAGCAAGGAACTGCAGTGAACGGAAATTGGCCTAGCTCAGGAATAAAGAATTCTACCCCACATTACTTAATCTTCGTTCCTACTTGGCTACTGGATGTATTAATAGCATAAATCCTCCCAGCTTCTTCCCTCTTATCTGAAATGTACTGTGGTTATTAAATAAATTGCGGATCTATTCCACATACTCTCTAATACTTTGAAAACTACACAATATAAGGCTTAATGAAGGTGGCATGCCTCAGAATGACTTAGAACTGAAAATATGACTACATCAAAAGTCTTTAGAAGGCAAGATTTTAATGGCTGAATAATATGCTGGAACAGAGGAGTAATTTCTTCTCCAATGCTAGGATGAATTATTTATGCTTTGACAACATTATGTGTCTCTAAAGCAGCTTTTAGTTATTCGCCACTTCTGGGCTACAGCTGATCCTGCTGCCCATTCTTGTAATTACATTAACCTCTTGACTTTACATGACAAGTTTTCCTGTGCGCTGCGATCAATAGCCCATAACTACACCTCTTTAATAGGGCCACAGTTACACTTCAGTTCAGATACAATTAACTTTTGTCCCCCTTTTCATTTTGGTAGGGCATGGAATAAAATTTCTGATTTTAACATCTGAAACAAAGGAGATCATTTTGAAGGAAAAAAATACATAAAAATATGCAGATCAGATAGGAAGAAGTGAGTGCAATAATAAATAGGCCAGTTGAAAATCCATTTCTGCAATCCCATGGGATTACAAACCCTGGGAGAAGCAGTGAATTTCAAAACCCTACATTTGTGTAGTGGCCTTTAAATCTCCACTTTGATAAACTTTGTAGTTTCAGGAGGATTAAAGGCACCGTGGACCACCTACTTTCCTACTCAAGCTATGACAATTAATTATAGCGTATAAACGTAAATAGAGAAAGCACAATGTTAAATGTTAAAACATCTTCAAAGTCAGCTAGTTAAATCCTCCTCTATGTCAAAAACCCTCCTTTTTGACAAAGAGAAAATGGAAAAGGTATATAACAGTGGTATAATAGAGACCACTCCTGCTGGCTCAGGAAAGGATTGTGCACATTCCATCATGCTGGTAGCTCTAAGTTAGCCATGGTAGGAGTATTTACACCATGGAAATTGGCAAACATATGAACTAGCGTCTTTCCCCAGAGAGAGCAAGTTAACCATTTACCTGCATACCACTGTACATATATGTGTATACATACGTATACATCACACATATGTATTTCATGTGCTATATTATGTAGACATTTGCTCTGTATTTCACATATGAAATAGCCTCATAGGATATAGGAAATACAGACATTTGATCTGGATTTCACATAGCAAATAGAACTTTCCCAGGTATTTCTGTGATGGCATTTTAATATTATTTTAATGCTTTATAATACATTAATGCACAGAGACACAAATACAAACACCCACAATAGGTATCCACACAGACTTCCAGGGACTTGTATTTTATATTTGACTTCAGGTTGCTTAGAAGACTTCCCAGCTTATGGTTCAGTTTGAAGAGCTCAGAGGGAAGCTTGTGAAAATCGTGTCCACAAAGATAGGCACAATGGATAAGGCTGTAACCAGACAAGTTTGAAACATGAAGGATTTTGAATGTGAACTGAATTAAATTTTCCTCTAATTCTATAATACTGTAAATGACCAAAGTCTGTTACTATCTTCTGTACTATATTATTATAGCCATATATCTAAGAAATAATAAACTAAAACTCCCCATTACAAATAGCAATACTTTAGGACCCATCCAATGTTCCCTACAGATAATGAATCTGGATTAACCACCTTAAGAAATAACTGGTGGCTGCTTAAATCCTGCCAGACTGCCCTAATTTTCTTTTATGACACTGTCAGGCTTGCTATATTGCAGAAAAGTGATCTACATAATACAGATGTTTATGCCTATACATATTACAAAATCAGCAGATTTAATGTGAAAAGGGATCTTCAGTAGGTGCAGAATCGATAGAAGGGAAGTAAAGTGTAGTTACTACCAAGAGAAACTAAGCATAGAGAATTCCAATGTCCTAGGGCTCAAGCAGCCTCTGTTCAAGTGGGAAAATGGGACCGCATACATCAATATCTACTAGGGTGTTAATTAAATATCAAACCTCTGGGCCCTAGTTCTTAACCCACTGATCAAATTTCATGAAATGATTCTTATGCCTGCTTGAAATTGGGAATGACTGCTGTTGGGTTGTATTTCTCAAATGAGGAAAGTCCAAGAAATAGGGAACTTTCAGCATATACTGAGTGACACCAGAACTCCTCTGCAACCTGTGAGAGCCACCTCTTGCTCACACTCTTGGCCCTCTGTGACCTCCTTCTCTGATGTTTGCCAGAACTCCAAGTTAGTGTGGGGACAAGAATTTCCATATATGATTTCAAGCCAATGTGAGGCGATGGAAGAAGCTTTAAGCTTAAAGACATAAAATCCAAATCAGCACGCAAGACCCCACATCTTTTGTATGGTCTTATTGATAAGTTATTGACTTTTTATGAGCCTCAGTTGCCTCATTGGTAATATGGGAATAATCACATTGGTTCTTTACATATCATAGAGATGCTCTGAGAACTAGAAGAGAATATGGAATGTAAAAAGTTAACCCTAGGCCAGACATAGTGGCTCATGCCTGTAATCCCATCACTTTGGGAGGCTGAGGCGGGTGGACCACAAGGTCAGGAGTTTGAGACCAGTCTGGCCAACATGGTGAAACCCTATCTCTACTAAAAATACAAAAATTAGCCAGGAGTAGTGACATGCGCCTGTAATCCCAGCTACTGAGGAGGCTGATGCAGGAGAACTGCTTGAACTCGGGAGGCGGAGGTTTCAGTGAGCCGAGATCATGCCACTGCACTCCAGCCTGGGCAATAGAGCAAGACTCTGTCTCAAAAAAAAGAAAAAAAAAAAGTTAACCTTAAATGATTGAGTTCAGGGCTATGTCAAGTTTACCATAACCTAGCTCTGAGATAGCGTAATTTGCTCTGAAATGGATTTTATGGGGAAATCTCTGTTTTATGGCCAAGGATCTAAAGGTCTGAGTTAGAGGTATGAGGACTAGGCGGCAAAGGGAGGAATAAAGAAAGAATTAGTGATGGTCATTTTAAAGAACACACTAGAATAATTAACAATTTTTGAGTACTTACCATGGTAAGCACTTTACATAAATAATCTTGTTTGCATCTTAAAGCTATCTGTTGAGTATGTACTGTTATAATCACCATTTTCCAGATGAAGAAACTGAATGATTACATGGTTTGTCCCAAGTTGCACAGCTTGTAAATGCGAGTTTGATTTGAATGCTAAACTTTAACCACCAAAAGTGGCAGAACAAATAGTTGAGCAATGGGATCAGATTTAGCCAGTGGCAGCTAGTATCACCCTGTATCCTGGAGTGTAGGAACAGACAGCCCTGAAACTTGGGAAAGGTGGGGAGTGAGCAACCTACTACCATTGCTTCCTGGATATCCCAGAGACCACGGTATGGGGAAGGTGGGCTGTTAATGCCTAATAACCCCAAATAAACACAATATCCTTTTCATTGAGGGTTTATAAGAACTAGACGGGACTGACAATAATAATGATAGAATCTGCACCTCTAGGGGACTTTAAAAGTGTTGTATATTTTATTGATTGGGGTTGTAAATATAATCTGTTCTAAAGGTGAGAAGTGAGGTGTAATAGTTCTCTGTGTTGGGTCTTTCTGACTCACCTAAGTTTCTTTTAGTTTATTTCAATGGACATAGCCAATTTTTGTGAGGGCATAGTATCTAATAAAGTAGTAAAAGTTTATGCTCTGCATTAAAGTCTAGGGATGGCCATTTTCCTTTTCTTTTTATGGGTGGTCTGCAGGAGTCAGCAGAGCAACAGTCTCCAGACCCATCGGAATGGAACACACACATTACAAAAGCTCTTTGCCTTTCCTTTGGGTCTAAATCACGTAGAAACAGAATCGAGACCCTTTCGTGTAGATGTAACTAAAGGGTCTGATATCAGTCTAAAAACAGCTCTTTGCCAAAAAGATCCAGATACTTTCAGATCCAATAGAAATTTTCCTAAACCATCTGGATCCATTTCCAGGTGAAAAACTTGTGGGTTAATGAAATTGCCAGATGTGACTGCTTGCCAAAATATTGGGATGCTTTCGTTGGTGAGTTGCTACTTTTGGGGTGCACAAGGTAGGGGTTGAATTACCATTCTGATTTTATCCTTCTAAACAAATTAACATTTTCAAGCTTTGTGGACAGATAGCGCTATTTGAAGAACTTACACCAAAAGGGGCTCTCTGCTTCTTGGGTAGCTAGATAAAACCCTGATTTTAAATCTCCTTTCTTATCTTCACAGTTACTTTCTTTTAGGGTTTTTTTTCCTCCCGGAAGTTACTTATGCCCTCCCCAACCCATTCTTCTTCAACACACCTCTTGATTATTAACATACAAGTCAATAGAAAAATAACTACTTTGGATATCTAAATTTGGAGAGGCCTAGTTTTAATCTTGTTTCGCTGCCTTAGTTTCATTTGTGAACATTATGAACCAATCGCTGCCCAGGAGAAGCAAATATTTCCTTCCTGAAGGGTGAATCTCTCAGAGAATAATAAATCCTGCTCTGGTTCTCTTGTTTAATGTTACAGTTCCTTCCTTAATGGGGACACCTGACCCCCCGTAACCCCTCTTCCCATTCCAAAAGCACAACCTCAAACCCAAATAAATAACTTCTCCCATCAAAGAGATCAGAAACAACATGCTTTTTTAAAATATATAACAATGGTGACATTGCCTTAAGGCTTACTGTACCAAATAACTTTAACAGGATCCTTCTAAAACCAAGTCAGATATTAAGACAATAATGCAGATTAGCAGCAACAAAGGTTAACCTACGACTCTAAAAGCAGCTTCCCTAAAATACCCAAGAATTGTCCTGAATGTGTACAGAGAAGGCTGAACAATAGACAGGATTTCAAGGAACTAGGAAACTCCTTATTTTGGCCCCCAGTAAGAAAAAAGAAAGGGAGTAGCAGATAACAGATGAGCTGAAGATGAGGGAAAGCCGTGGTAATATAGCCCTGCCTATTATAAGAAACAGGTTTGCCTGTCTTGGAAACCAGGGCAGGCTGCTTTCCGGGGATGGGAGGAGCAGTCTTTTGTCACATTAGGGAGGGTCTTTGAAGAAAATATGAGTAAACTGTATCTTGTGGATTAGAGGAGCTCCCACTGTTTCAGGGATAGGAATCTCTTCTTTTAGGGTGAAGCTGATACCCATGATAAAACAATACCTGGACAGAACCAGGAAAGGCCTGTTATTCAGGAAAGAAGCTGGAGGGCTGGGTCCTAGCCAAAGTTTTGCAGGCTTGACATAAGGGGCAAGATTATTTGTGGTTTGCAGTACAATGAAGCACTACAAAGGCTTAGCCCTGCATAAGGGAGACAACACTGGCCAGGGAATCAAGAAACTCATGTTCTGCACCCCATGGGTGTAATTTCTCCAACTGAAAATTGTTGCATTTGGATTTGGGGGTCTTACATTGATTTATCTTACTCTTTATCATATTCATTTTCTTCAAATCTTTTTGGCAGGTAGTGTTCCTTTCTCCCCACCTTTTTCATTGCTGCATTTCATGTGTTTTCTCCCTTTTATTGTATTGTTGCTTTTTTTATTAGTTTTATATGGTTTGACTGTGTCCCCACCCAAATCTTATTATGAATTGTAGCTCCCATAATATCCACATGTTGTTGGGGGGGACCTGGAGGGAGATAATTGAATCATGGGGGCAGTTTCTTCCATACTGCTCTCACTGTTGTGAATAAGTCTCATGAGAGCTGATGGTTTTATAAGGGGAAACCCCTTTTGCTTGGTTCTCATTCTCTCTTGTCTGCCGCCATGTAAGACATGCCTTTCACTTACCGCCATGATGTGAGGCCTCCCCAGCCACGTGGAACTGTGAGTCCATTAAACCTCTTTTTCTTTGTAAATTATCCAGTCTCAGGTATGTCTTCTTCAGCAACATGAAAACAGACCAATATATAGTTTTCGTTGGAGACTTTGACTAGAAATATATCATTTAGATGAAATTTCTAGTGGCAATATTCACTAATACTCTGTTATACAGTTCCCAACATATTAAAGGTGGGGTAGTGTATACATGTTTCTGTTCTTAGCTGGATACTTTAAACCCTTACACGACAGATTTTCTCAAGTGAAAAAAATATCTTGGCACACTTTGTCACTTACCCAAGTATCTAGTTTGCCATACTTGATTATTAATTCTCACATAATCTGAAGAGCCAAGTATTTCTTCAATCTCAAGTCTGGTATCCAAATAACGAGGTGATAGTATCTTCTTACGTTGCTCTTTTTTGATCTAAAGTATTTGGAGAGTTTCAGACTAGAAGAATCCAACACTGACTACACTGCATTCTTTCTGTCTCACCTCAGGTCAAAGCAGCACATCTTTCCTTTATTTTCTCTGCATTTCTCTCTTTTACATAGACACTTCTTACAGACTTTGAAAATTGAAGTTTGGTCTTTTTATATTCTTAAAATGCTAAATGCTCTGTAGAGAACTTCATATAAAAAACAAGTCACATTTCTCTAGAAACGTGGATAATCATTTTCTATTCAGACGGCTGTCTCAAAAGACCTTGCTATTACATACCTTGTAAGTTGAAGAAATAACATTTCTCTGAAAATAAATGACCAAAGCCACTTCAGAAAGCAGCAAACTTCAAACAGCTTGGTAATTTGTAGATCCCTCTGACATCCCAAGTGCATAATGGATTTGCAAAGACATTGAAGATTAAGTAAATTAACTATGAAGTTGCAACTCTATTTAAACATTTTTCCTTAAAAATTTTTTTTTTTATTTTTTGGAAAATATATTTGGTGACAAATAGTCCTCAAGAAGCGACTGTGGTTTTTACCTCTGTCCCAGGTAGTCCATCTATCCAAAAGAAGCAATTGAGAAAACCCACAGGCTGAAGGCCAGATTTGGCTCTTGTGGGTCATAGAGTTCTATTAAAAAAAAAAAAAAACAGCTTCAGATAATCTGAGAGGTTCCTCAGACTAACATTCAAAGGGATATTTTCAACTCATGCTATAGAAATTGGAAAAAAATTCATGATATGTCCAAAAGTGAACCATTTGAGGCTTCTGTTCCGGTGATGGGGGTATTTCATTGAGTGCCGTCACCCGCTTTGAATTTATGGTCACCAGCAGAAAGCTGGGGACTGTAAATTCTGAGTCCTGCTTATTAGAACCCAAGAGCATTTGACAATGCACATAATTAATGATCATTTGCTAAAAGTATTTTGGGGGATTTTATTCAAACAAAGTAAAAAAGAAACACATTAAATATTAGTCCTGTTATATATTATGGGACATTATATCCATTTGTGTGCCCATAAATCATTTAGCTATGAATACTTAAGAAGAGCAAGAAAATGATACCCTCTGTACACTCTGAGATAATATTGTCTTAGTATTTGATTACGGGCATGGTGTCCTTAATGGACATTTTCATGCTCGGTATCCAATGTCCAGTTGGAGCGGGGACACCAAGAAATGGTAACAGGAGGATGTTAGACCAAGATCAACCAGAGTTCAGGAGTGTGAAATTGGTGATGAAATGACTTTTACTGGGCTTGTCAGAAAGCTCCCTTTTCTCTCTTTTATTGTATGGCTTTCCAACACTTGATTTTGTTGCCCCTCTGTGCGTGCACACACACGTGTGTGTGTGTATGTGTGTACTATTTTTTAGGGGGATGGTATTAAAAATATTTGGCCTGGTTTGACTATCTTTTTATTGGGTCAAAGAAAGAGAAGAGGGCAATGGCTGCTTCTGTGAGAACTAGAAGAATAAACCTGACTAGTAAAGAATATTTATTTGTTTTGAACAGCTACCAAAAAATCATTGCAATTTGGGTTACATCAGAGCCAAAGCTTTGTCTCCACACACAGGGCAACATAGAAAAATTTTTAAAAAGACGGAAAGAAATATTGCCTGAGAAATTTAGATACCCAATACAGGCTTCGTGGAGTGATGAGAAGATTCGAGGGATTTGTTTTGAGTGCTGATCCCCATGGACATGTCTTATGATTTCGGACAAAGCACTTCAACTTTCCGGCTTTAGTGTAAATTTCTAAAAATGAAGGAAAATCGATCAGTAAGATCACTAATGATCATCTAATTGCCAATATTTATGATTCTAAATTGACACTTTCAGGAAACACACAATCACAAAAAAATGTGAATTTTTGGTTCAAAAGATCCATGTATTTGTTTTATGTCTCTGCTTCACTAAACTCAGGCAGTCTATGTCTGACTGCCACTGTATATCATTCCTACGTGTAAAGTATAAGCATTTACTGGCTGTCAGGGAATAAAAAAGGGGTCCAAAAATTATTTAATGTCAGAGAAGCAAAATGTGGGAGAGCTTTAAGAAGTATTTTAAAAATTTGAACTGGGTGCGAATCTTTAAAGTTTGGCTGAAGAGAGCAAAGGACTTCAAATATTTATTTAGATGGATGAATAAAATATTGACAAGTAAATTGACTTCTTTGGGGTTGTTGATATTTCTTGGTAGTATCTGGATACCAATAGCGTAAAACTTAGAACTCAGGACTGCTAACTCAAATGGTCATTATATCCATCACAATTTTTAAATGTGGTGATTCAGACATAATAGTCCAAATGAAAGTTATAAGAGTAAAGATATACCATTTTTTAACTTAAATGTAATAACACATAACTAGGCAGCCTTGCCCAGTTTTATACCAATTATTTGAAGAGAATGAATATCTATATTTACACACATACATATTGTGTATGTATATATATGCATATATATATATATAATATTTTTATTTGTTCAGTGTCTGCCACTGTTCTTCTCTAGATCATGAGCCCCTCATCACAGTAAATTTTTAAATTATTATTCTGAAATTTAGGCCATCTTTGGTTTAGGAAACTTACATTTTGTGGCTTTCCAGAATTTATACTGAATGGATGTGGAAGAAGATGAAAATTATATTTTAAATCAACACATACCCATGAGTATGAGATCTTGAACCCATTTTAACTGTTTAAATTAAAAATTTTCCCAATGGAACTTATATGAAAAGATTTACTTGCATAAAATGTGGTACCTTTGAAATAAATATTCTCTCAATGTGTCTTATTCATGTTCAGCCAAGTTGAAGAAAAAAATATCGACCAGTCACACATTGTGTTTTGAATTTCAAGGGATCTTTAGAGATAGAGATGGGGACACTGGCACCCACTCTTGTCAGAAGTTGGCTGATGAGCCAACAGCTGAATCTTTTCTTCTCCAGGGCAGCATTTAGGTTTTAGTCCCCAGTTGTGCCTGCCTGTAAGCCAAGAAAAAAACAACAAAAAAAGCACAATGTGTTTTAAATAATGCAACCAAATCCATTTTTGGGCAAAGGCAGTTAGAGATTTATAAAAGACAGCAGCCAGGAAATTTCTCTGCTGGTGTGGTTGGAAAAAAAGCAATCTTCCCATCCTTATTAGCCTGTTTCCATTTCTTAGACACCAAAGAAGCACCAAGAGGAGGAAATTGGTATATTGGTATACCAATTAGAGGAAAATGCTAACATCTGTTAGCATGGGTGGTGAGTATTCATTTGTTTGTTACATTGATCTTTATAGCTTTCTGAATGTGTGAGAATTTTTGTAATTAAAAAAATTAGATGAATTTGGAACCAAGCCTTGGGCTTCAAATCCCCATCACCTTACTTTCTAGCTATAGTAGCCTGGGGCCAGTTATTTCACTTCTCAGAGTCCCAGCTCCCTCATCAACATAATATGAATAATAATTCCCAACTTTGGGGTTGATGTGAGTATCTCAGATCATGTATATAGTGGCTGACAAGTGTCTGGTTTCTCATTGGTTGTGACTGGCACCCACCCATCAAAACTTAGCTGAGAAAACCCGTCTCCAGGGAAAATGTCTTGGAAGTTATTCACTGCATCTGTTCTTTTAGATCTCTATATTTACTTCTAGATTAAGTCAGGTCACCACAGATCTGTGTTTCTGCACAATATCATTCATGCCAAAGGCATGTCAAGATGTTTACACTCCATTGTCCTTGGGAAAGGTGCCACAGGCTTTTAGTAGGGAGCCTTCTTCAAATGTCCAATGAAACTTCTGTGTGCTCCCTGTTAGCCTGCTATGGGCTTGTGGTTCACTGGACTCTTCTCAATGGCCCCCATGGGAGAGATTCCTGTCTGGTCTTAACATCCCAAATAATTGTGCTTCTTCTGAGTGACTCCTTTGTATTTCTCTTACAAACATTATAAATTGTTAAACTGATTGGGCTTTTCTTTAGGAGCTGATAGCTAGGAACTTGAGAGCCAAATTAGTGATTCACCCAGAACAGTTGTATGAGTTTTTATGGTGTAAAGCTTCATATTATCTTTATTCCAAAAATCTATTTTATATCTGTACTTAAAAAAAAAAAAACTTTTCCCTACTTATTTTAAATTTGTTTCATAATGCTGTATATTGAGTATTCATGTAAGTCATCTTAAATTCTTTGGTAGAACAAGAAACCAGATGGCATATAACTGAATCAAGTAAATAATATACAGCACTCAATATTATTGAGAATAATAGAAATATCAGGTACAACTAAAAAGAGAGAAAAATGAAGGCAGTAAATGTTCTTAAAGAAGATGTCTAGTATCACAGCAAGCCTGAATATTCTTAAATGGCAGAAAATAAATACATACTAGTTTCATTAAGAAAAATAGTTAATGCGAAATAATTGTCTTTCTTCTGAGTGACTCTATATGGAATACATGATATATGCTAGGCACTACTGTGGACTACAGTGAGAAGACCAGGGTAGCAATTTTAGATCACCTTGCAGGGTAAAGAAAATTGGTTTTAGAAATTGGAATTTGGAAACAGGCATGACTGATGATCATGGGTATGGAAAATGGGAGAGAAGAATTGTTGGATTATCATGTTGTGTTGTGAGGAAAAGAAAACAATAAAAGCACAAAATGAAAAGGAGACTCAAGTTATGTTGTCATGTGGAAGAGAAATGGTGCTGTGCTGGGTAGGTAATGGATGCCTAAGGAATAGGTCATGTGTGTAATGTGGCCAGGGAAACTTGGCTAAGGATAGTGGGTTCAGTTTGAGGAGGGAGCTGAGGAACTGGTTGAAGACCAATAACTTGGCTAAGAACAGAAATGTCCAGATCTCAAAGTGTAATCCCTTTCCTGGCCACATAGGAGTTGCAGCCACTTCACATCTGAGGTGAGGTGCAGGACCCTGGGGCCACTGGTGTCTGGTGGTTGTCTACTATTTTTTACATAGGAACTGGGAAATTGTTACAAAGGTCTTGATATAGCTTTTGTTATGCAAACTCAGAGCTGACTGACTTACAGTATTCCTTACTTAGTCTAAAGTTATCTCAAACATTGCTTCATAATATTTTATTTCAGAGTTAAGGAGAGTTCAGCCAGGAGCAATGGCTCACGCCTGTAATCCCAGCACTTTGGGATGCTGAGTCAGGAAGATCACTTGAGTTCAGGAATTTGAGACCAGTCTGGTCAACCTGGCGAAACCCCCTCTCTACTGAAAATACAGTAACTAGCTGGGCATGGTGGTGAGCACCTGTAGTCTCAGCCACTCGGAGGGCTGAGATACAAGGATCATTTGAACCTAGGAGGTCTAGGTTGTAGTGAGCCTTGATTGTGCCACTGGGAACCAGCCTGGGCAACAGAGTAAGACCCTATCTCAAAAAGAAATAATCTAAGTGTGTCCCAGAAGGTTTATTTTTATTCTAGATCTAGGTTCATTTCTGGGAGCCCTTCAGACAACCTGGGACAATTTTGGAGTATACTGGGTCTGGGGTAAATGTCACAGGCAAAAACTGAAAGAAGAAAAAAAAACCTTCTCATTTTTAATATAGAATGTTGCTATTTTCAAAAGTCTTCTACGTATACAACTCTTTCACTATTATAAATAGTGTGATCTCTTCTGACTCAAGGTATAAATATAATCACCTCTGTATGTTTTAAAATTATTTGCTGCTGCTTCTTTTTTTTTTTTTTTAGACGGAGTCTCACTCTGTCACCAGGCTGGAATGCAGTGGTGCAGTCTCAGCTCACTGCAACCTCTGCATCCCAGGTTCAAGCAATTCTCCTGCCTCAGCCTCCCAAGTAGCTGGGATTACAGGAGCATGCCACCACGCCCAGCTAATTTCTGTATTTTTAGTAGAGATGGGGTTTCACCAGGTTGGCCAGCATGGTCTCAATCTCTTGACCTCTTGATCCGCCCGCCTTGGCCTCCCAAAGCGCTGGGATTACAGGTGTGAGCCACTGCGCCCAGCTAAAATTATTTGCTTCTTTGCTCACTTGTACTACTGTAGTACTCATATAAAATTTAGTACTTTCTTTATGGGGTCTACCACCACAAAATAGTTCAAGAACACTGGGAACTTTAGTCCAAAGATATTTGGTACTTTTCAAAGTGCCAAAGGTAGTAGAAGCTGGGGGAGGAGGAAGAGAAAGAGGGGGAAGGATGGGAGGAGAAGCAGAGAGCATGAGAATCTAATCAGTCTATTACTATTGTTGCCTCTTGGAGCCCAGAGTGTTTCTTTTGAAGGCTGATCATGTACATTCAAAGACAAGGCTTGGCTGCTGCTTCCAGGACCTGCTTCTTGTGTCCTTTCTCAGGACACAGTGGTGACCCTGATTTTTGCTCCTTAGATCATACTTCATTGCCCAGTAATTGTGCCCTAAAGCCTACCACCATACCAACCTGACATCCTTACCCTTCCCGGGCACTGAACCTTGAGTGCTACCTTGTTCCAGGCTAACAAGTCACTTTGACTTCATATCACTGTGAGTAGGAATGTGGGTCTTGAACGATCCTCCCCCAACGACTCTGAGTTCCTTACACAAACTGATCTGCTCCTCCACCTTGACCAGCTTTTCATATTAGAGTTCTTAATGAAAGACAGTCTTGACTTAGACATGCAAAATTTTGTTACACTTTTTGTCCCAGACAATGAGAATCTATTCACTCTACATTCGTATAAGTCAGACATTCAGGAGACTCTACCTAGAACAAAGAAGGTCTGTTTTAGCACGATTTATTCTCCATCCCCAGATGTAAGAGAGATTGGTATGTGTTTTCAGTGTCTTTTACTGGGTACCCACATCCTCCAAGGCAGCTGGTACTATTTATGTCCATCTCCTGGATGAGGAAGCTGAGATCAGGAAGCTCAAGTGAGTTGTTCAAGGTCTCATGGTGATACATTGTGACTCAGTGAGTCTGACCTCTCAACACAGTGGCATTAGCTAAAGGGCAGAGGCTTTAGCAGTAACTTGGAAAGCTTATTAATCACATTGACTAATACAACATGTATGCTGGCTAATACCTTTGTATTAATGAAATAATGAATATGCATGTGGATATGTTTTTATAGAAACATGGTTTTACAGTAGGAGAATATAAAAAGAGAAATGACGATTTGTTCTAAAAACATTCCATAAACAAAATCTTGTTCTTATAGTAAAACCAATGAGAAAGTGTAACAATAATGCAGTGGACTTTTCTAGAGTTTTTTTTGACTCAGCCTTTGCAAACAGAAACATTTAGAGAAGAAACTCAAGAGACTCTCTGGATAGTGGAATGTTGAGCCTATATGACATCAACTATAGTGGATGGTTACCACTGATCAGAGAATACCAAAAATATAAAGGCAAAGACTCTCTGGAGAGTACCATTAACTGCTGGAAATGATAGTATTCTTCATATACCCTTAACTGATGGTTTATTATTCAGCTTTTAGAGCAGAATTATAGTTTTGTTTTTTTTTTAACCTGTGAACCAATGAAACCAAAAGTATTATATAATTGAAGAGGAATTATGCAGGCATTGCTTAAGTCACCTTCTGATGTTGGGCAGTAGAAGGCAGGGCTTGGTCATGAACAGATCAAATCAAGGCTGCCTGCAAAGGCAACACACCCGGTATGTGTTGGGAGGAGGGTCAGGGAAGGGTGGAGAGAGAGGCAGAAGGATAAGAGATCTTGTGGCTATGTCAAAGTAGGCTGTGGTCCTTTATTAGGTTCAAACTAGTCACATTTGGTATATAAAAGAGCAAGGTCTATATCCAAGGGAATCAATCAAGCTGTTCAGGAAGTCAATAAAAGGAAGGACAGAAGTCTAGCCTGGAATAGGGTGGCCAGAGATATAACAAGAGACAGATGGATTTGAAGGCTGAGTGGAGAACTAATTTCACAAACGTAACTGGCACACAGCCCATTATTTTTGTCAGCTGATTGGTGATTCTCTTGGAGCTGGAAACATACTCTTAAAGAGACAAAACCAAGGGCACGGTCCGACCATGACCCAGGTTGAGTTATTTTGCTCTGTCCTTTTTATCCTCCTAAATGCCAGAGAATCTACATCAGTTCTTCAAACATGAGAACTGCCAAGAAGTTAAGAATAGGTTAGAAAGAGCTTGATTAGAATGCAGACAAATCATCAAAGAGTACAAAATATTAAACTGTCCTCAGAGGAATTCCAAATAGGCTCTAAGGCAAATGGCAAATGGCACACTACATTATGGAAGTAAACTTATTTAACTGGCAAATATTTGTTGTGTGCTTAGTATGTTCCAAGCACTGTGCTTGACATTTTATACAATGCAGAACAAAACAGACAAAATCTTTGACTAGTAGAGCTTAGATTCTAGAAGAGAAGTTCATGCATTAAATGAATGATCCCATTTAATTATAATAAATGTTATGAAAGAAAGACTGGGTTATTCTGGAAGAAAAACAGGCACATTGGGGTAGATCTTATAAGGGGGTGATCTTAAAAATTGAGACTTGAGACCTGAGAGAGAGAGAGGATGAGAAGTTACCCGATTCAAGGAAGAACATTCCAGGCAGACAAAACAGATGAAGCAAAGACTCCAACAGGAATGCATTTTAGTGTATTTGAGGAACTAAAAGAAGTCATCTTTGACTGGAGGTCTGGAAGAATGACATGAATATGAGTTAAAGCTGTAAAGGACCTGGAGCCAAATCAGATGGGGTTTGTAGACCATTTTGATGGGTTTTAAAAGGTAAAGTGATTTTTATTTGCATTTAAAAAGACTGCTGTCTGCTGCATGGAGAAAAGCAAGTGTAGAAGCTGTGAGACCAATTATGAGACTATTATGATGGACAAGATAATGGTGGCTTGGACAGTATTGAATGAAATAGAGATGGAAAGAATTGAATTGATTTGAGATACATCTTAGAGTTGGAATTGACATGATCCATCAAGATTGTTGCATTTCATGGACCAGTGGAAAAGGAAGGGCTATTAAAGGAGATTGAGAAACATTAGCCAGAGAAGTGGGAGGAAAACTACTAGAAATTGGTGTCATAGATAACAGAAGAAAAAAGTGTTCCAATAATCAGGGTTGATCAGAAATTTAGAAAGATGAGATTTTAAAAAATGTATGAGATTTGTGGCCAGGCACGATGGCTCATGCCTGTAATCCCAGCACTTTGGGAGGCTGAGATGAGCACCTGAGGTTTGGAGTTTGAGACCAGCCTGGTCAACATTGGTGAAACCCTGTCTCTACTGAAAATACAAAAATTAGCCAGGTGTGGTGGCTCATGCCTATAATCCCAGCTACTCGCATAGCTGAGGCACGAGAATCGCTTGAACCCAGGTGAAGGTTGCAGTGAGCCAAGATAGCGCCATTGCACTCCAGCCTGGGTGACAGAGTAAGACTCTGTCTCAAAAAAAAAGTATGAGATTTGTCAAACTAGAAGCTATTCATGACCTTAGCAAGAGCAGTTTTGTAGGGAGGTAGTGGCAGAAGATAGCATTCTAGCCAGAGTAATGAAAGAATACATGGTAAGAGAGAAAGTGAGGATGAGAGGAGCAATCAATGCTTCTGCAGTTTAACATCCCTTTATAGATAGGGGTTCCTCATTTGATACCCAGAGAGTTAAAATGATGTGCTCCAGATCACCACATTGAGCAGAAAGGGATTAAACTAAATAGGCTTCTATCTCAGGTTCTCCTGCCCATGGAAGAGGGCTAACCTTAGATTACGACCCTTAGATTACAACAGTAATGTTGTGCTGTCCCAGACAGCAGTCACTAGCTCCTTGTAGCTATCTAAATTTAAGTTAATTAAAATGAAACAAAGTTTAAAAATTCAGTTGCTCAGTTATGCTATTCATATTCAAGTGTTCCATAGCTACACCTGGCTAGTAGCTACCACATTGAATAGCACAGATGCAAGACATTTCCATTAACACAGAAAGTTGTATTTAACAGCTCCAATGGAATGTATTATTTAAATTTAGGCACCTTTCAAAGTGCCTAAAAAAATGAGGGCATTTCTCATAATCAGACCAGGGAAATAGGCTTGGACCATGACTTTCCTGGGCAAAACAGGATATACAGACACCACCTCTAGATTGACTATTTTGAAAACTTTATTTCTGGTCCTTGTACCTCTTAGTTGAGAAGACACAAGTAAGGCAAATGGTCTCTCGATACCTTCAAACTTATAGGTAGGTGTGGTGGGTAAGACGGTCCTCAGTGATCCTCACCTTTTGGTATTCATGCACTTTTTCTTTCTTTCTTTTTTGTTCAGACTGAGTTTTGCTCTTGTCACCCAGGCTGGAGTGTAATGGTGCTATCTCAGCTCACTGCAACCTCTGCCTCCTGGGTTCAAGCAATTCTCCTGCCTCAGCCTCCTGAGTAGCCAGGATTACAGGCGTGTGCCACCACACCTAGCTAATTTTTATATTTTTAATAGAGATGGGGTCTCACCATGTTGGCCAGGCTGGTCTCGATCTCCTGACTTTAGGTGATCTGCCCACCTCAGCCTCCCAAAGTGCTGGGATTACAGGCGTGAGCCACCGTGCCTGGCCGCCCTTGTGTAATTTCACCTCTTAAGTGTAGGCTAGACCTAGTGACTCACTTTTGATAAATACAGTATAGCAAATGTGATGGGATGTTCCTTCCTGAAGATGAAAGGCCATGGCTTTCACCCTAAGCATTCTTTCTTGCTTTCATGCTCTGAGGGAAGCTGGCTGTCATGCTATATGCCCCATGGAGTGGCTCATATGACAATGAACTGAGGTAGGTCTCTGGCCAACAGCTAGCAATAAACTGAGTCCTTCAGTCCAGTCACTAGCGAGGAACTGAAACTGTTAACAACCCTGTGAGCAAGCTTGGTAGCAGATGCTTCCCAAGTTGAGACTTCAGATGAGACTGAAACTCTTGTCAATAGTTTGACTATAACCTCCTGAAAGACTGTTGGTTAATACTGAGTGTCAACTTGATTGGATTGAAGGATACAAAGTATTAATCCTGGATGTGTCTGTGAGGGTGTTGTCAAAAGATATTAATATTTGAGTCAGTGGGCTTGGAAAGGCAGATCCACCCTTAATCTGGTGGGCAAAATCTAATCAGTTGTCATTGAACGTAAGGCAGGCAGAAAAACGTGAAAAAGAGAGACTGGCCTAGCCTCCCAGCCTACATCTTTCTCCCATGCTGGATGCTTCCTGCCCTCCAACATCAGACTCCAGGTTCTTCAGTTTTGAGACTTGGACTGACTCTCCTAGCTCCTCAAGCTTGAGGACAGCCTATTGTGGGACCTTGTGATCATGTAAGTTAATAATTAATAAACTCATATATATAGTTATATAGTTATAAACTATATATAGTTAATAGTTATAAACTATATATAGTTAATAGTTATAAACTATATATAGTTAATAGTTATAAACTATATATAGTTAATAGTTATAAACTATATACATATATAGTTATATAGTTATAAAGTTATAAACTATATATATATAGTTAAATAGTTATATAGTTCTGTCCCTCTAGGGAACCCTGGCTAATACAAAGATCTTAAGCTAAAATCACCCAGCCAAATGGCGCCTAGATTCCTGACTCACAGAAATGAGAAATAATAAATGTTTGTTATTTTATACTACTAAGTTTGGGGATAATTTGTTACATAGCAATAGGTAATGAATACATCCGAGCTACTTTCGGCATGATTTTTGCAAATTTTAAGGAGCAGGATGTTTATATACAAGCCTTTTTCCTCACTGTTCATCTCTCCCAAACTCAATCTCTCTTCTTGTGTCATTGTCTTCTACAATTTGGGAAAGCCAGCATATAGCTTCGTGGAACCCCAGTAATCCTTCCACTTACGTTTTCTGATTAAGAAAAAGAAATAATATAAGGCAGGCAAATTTTTTCTCCTCCTAGCCGTCTGCGGTAGATGGCCAATCTTTATTTTGTATTATTTATTTATTTATTTTATTTTTATTTATTTATTTTTTATTTTTTATTTTTTTATTTTTTATCTTGCTCTGTTGCCCAAGCTGAAGTGCAGTGGCACAATGTGAGCTCACTGCAACCTCCACCTCCCAGGTTCAAGTGATTCTCCTGCCTCAGCCTCCCGAGTAGCTGGGATCACAGGCGCGTGCCACCATGCCCGGCTAATTTTTTGTATTTTTGTAGAGACGAGGTTTTGCCATGTTGGCCAGGCTGGTCTCGAACTGATGGCCTCAAGTGATC
Source organism: Homo sapiens (assembly GCF_000001405.40). NCBI lineage: Eukaryota > Metazoa > Chordata > Mammalia > Primates > Hominidae > Homo > Homo sapiens. The sequence continues at coordinate 221,342,322 of NC_000002.12, read as the reverse complement.
GGCCTGCCTCGGCCTCCCAAAGTGCTGGGATTACGGGTATGAGCCACTGTGCCCAGCCTATTTTTTATTTTTTATTTAATTTTTATTTTAAGTTCAGGGCTACATGTGCAGGTTTGCTACATAGGTAAACTTGTGTCATAGGAGTTCATTGTACAGATTATTTTGTCACCCTGGTATTAAGCCTAGTACCTGTTAGTTACTTTTCCTGATCCTCTCCGTCCTCCCACCCTCCACCCTCATGTAGGCCCAGTGTGTTTTCCCCTCCATGTGCCCATGTGTTCTCATCACTAGTTCCCACATCTACGTAAGAACATGAGGCATTTGGTTTTCTGTTCCTGTACTAGTTTGCTGATAGCCAATCTTTGACTAGGGAGGAGGCTAGCTCTTAGCATAAACAGAAAAGGGCCAGAGAGTCCTGTGGAAAGGTACTTAAAATGACAGCAACTCATTTTCTTGTGTTCTTTTTACTTCCCTCTCTAACACCTATTTTGCTTTTGTTTCACTCTTCATTGCGCCCTGTATATTGGTGTTCATGCTCAGATAGAATTGTGAATACAGGACTTTTACTCCAGGTTCCTTAGAGTTCATTACATGAGAGTGTTAGTGAACAATGTCATCTGTCTGAGCCTCAGAGCCTCCTCCATCACTAGTGTTAGTTCAGTAAGCCTTCATAGAGCTCTATTCTAAGAACATCTCTGACAACTGTAGTACAGTGTATATATTTGCTCTATGGCCATAAGTCTGTGCTGTCTTTTAAGTGCTCCTTTTAAGTTGCTATGTAGCAAAAGCCCCAAATATGTTGATGAAATCCATTGTAATAGAGGTTGTATCATTTCATTAATTCATGGAGTGGTTCTAGCAAAATTACTCCACAGAACCAATTTTTAAAGGTAGAAAGCTATAAATAGTGTGAAAATGAATTCAGAAGCTGAAGACTGAAACACTGAAAGATTTAGAATTAATACTCGGACATCCTAGGCCCATTCAATGTAAAAATAACCAGGATATAGCATAAAGATAGACTTTAAGTACCATGATAAGTAGACATTCCGAATGTGGAAAATAAAATCCACCAAGAGAAGAAAAATACATTTATAATTCCACTGAGAAAAATAATCAACAGTCATCTAATGAGACCAGGACAGTAAACACCTAGTGTAACAATGATGGCCTGAATCACTGTGAAAATTAGCCACCTACCTCTAATACTTCAGGGACAGCACAATTACCATAGTTGGCATCATAAAAATAACATTTCAAACAGAGGCTCACACAATGTTTTTTTATTAAGAACACTGAAGTCCCTTAGCTACCTTCCATATTGTAAATTTAAGTTTCCCTTTGGAATACCTCCTTTCTCTTCTGTGTGGATGAGGAGGCTCAGAGGTTTAGCAAAGCTCTGGGGAAACTATGCATGGACAGCCTCCAAGGATGCTACAGCCTTAAAATTATTTTCAGGGAAATAATTGTTTTGAACTGAACAATTTAAGACATATCTTCATGAAACTGGAAAAGAGAATTTATATAAAGTATAGTAATATAATTTTAAGATAGTTTGATGGTTATCATCAGTATGTAAATTCGAGATGAGAAAGGTTACCAGGAATTTTGTGGGACCATGTGACACACCAACACTAATTTTCAGGTGTCTAGTGAAGAAGAAGATAGGAAATTTACTACAGAGGTGGGATATGGGGAAATCCATGGATTTTTCTGGTTCAACCAAAGCTCCAGATAGTGACAACTTTTTTTTTTTTTTCCTAGCACACACGAAAACATTCCTATTCCATCCTGTTTTGTCTCATTTTAGGTTACTTGGCTAGACTTCTTTCTCTTTTCTTTTCTTTTTATTTTATTTAATTTATTTATTTATTTTGAGATGGAAACTCGCTCTGTCGCCCAGGCTGGAGTGCAGTGGCGCCATCTCGGCTCACTGCAAGCTCCGCCTCCCGGGTTCACGCCATTCTCCTGCCTCAGCCTCCCGAGTAGCTGGGACTACAGGCACCTGCCACCACGCCTGGCTAAGTTTTTGTATTTTTAGTAGAGACGGGGTTTCATCGTGTTAGCCAGGATGGTCTCAATCTCCTGACATCATGATCCGCCCACCTCGGCCTCCCAAAGTGCTGGGATTACAGGCATGAGCCACCGCGCCCGGCCCTTCTCTTTTCTTTTCTATTCCAGTTATAGTCTTCCTTTAATCCCTTCTCAAGAGCAAGCATTTTCCATTAATTCTCACCCCTCTCCATCCTGCTTAGGCTATACCACAGTGATCACTACCCTTGGGCTCCAACAGCCCTTGTTAGTTAGTAAACTCAAATGCGGAGCTAACTTCTTGTTGGTATAGGTTGCATACATGTCTGCCTCTGTATTTTTCTCCTCAACTAAATTGCAAGCTCCCAAGAGGGCAGAAGTGCACTTTATGGTTTCCTGTGCCCACCTTCGACATCAGCCTATTCAAATGCTTCCAACATAGCAGACACCCTGACCATGATGGCTCAACAATTGGTGAAGTTCCCCGGCAAAATGAGTTTGTTCAGAGAGACTCTCAATAATATAAAGGTTGGAGAAGAATGCGTTTCAGATGAATGTGACTTATAGTTGTGGTTTAAGTTTTAGAACCCAATAAAGCCAACCCTATCTGGAACTGCCAGTTTAAAAGTACTTAGGATCTAGAATTGCCCTTATGAGCACAGAGTAGTAATGGGAGAAAATTGTGTTGATTAATAGTTTATAACCACTGGCTTCAATCCTGTAAAGAGATAAACATTTAGATTTAATAATTACTAAGAGCTTACTATGTGCCAGGCACTACCACATTTCACCCTCAGTAATATCCTGCCGAGGTATTGTTAGCTCCAAATCACATATGAGGGACCTGGGCTTGGAGCAGAGATTCCAGTAGCAGAGTGCAGAGACAGCAGGTAGTAGAACAATGATTGGATAGCAGGATTCTTAACTTCATCTCTACCAGGTCACTGCTCCCTGCTGGGCACTAATTTTTCTAACAGCAGTATTTTTCCATGTTTTTAAGTTTCAATAATGAAAAGAGGTATACACTGAATTCTGAGATTCTTTGCTATATCACACTGGTCATGAATTGTAATACTGATTAATAAACAATATCTGAAAATAAATATTGATATATTTAAAACAAACAAAAACAAACTTAGACACTTAGGAATTAAATAAAGCATTCTTCATCTCACTATGTTCTCATTCAATCAAATAAATATCTATGAATCTTTTTTATTGTTATTATTTTTTTGAGACAGAGTCTCCCTCTGTCACCAGGCTGGAGTGCAGTGGCACGATCTCAGCTCACTGCAACCTCCACCTCCCAGGTTCAAGCAATTCTCCTGCCTCAGCTTCCCAAGTAGCTGGGATTATAGGTGCGTGCCACCATGCCCAGCTTGTTTTTGTATTTTTGTAGAGACGGGGTTTCACCACGTTGACCAGGATGGTCTCAATCTCTTGACCTTGTGATCCGCCCGCCTTGGCCTCCCAAAGTGCTGGGATTACAGGCATGAGCCACTGTGCCTGGCCTCTATGAATCTTATTTATGCTAAATAGAAACATTTGGAAGAGTTTTTCAAAGCTACTTGTCGTGGACACTTGCCTTTTTTCTTTTATGATCAACCACAACAACAAAAAAAACTTTCCTGTTTTGGTGACCGTCTGCTGTATGAGTCTTGATTGGGGGGAAAGGTCACCATTTTACTACAGAATGTATTCAACTTCTCCCTGTCCCCCAGAGACCAGCTGGGAGGAAAGATGATCGACTTAGGCCCCATCAGTCTAACACCCTCACCCAGGACTCTGAACATCGGGTGTATGATTTGCACTGAGATGATGTAACTCAGCAGAAGTGGTGGCACTGTGGGGTTTGCATTCAGTGGTGTCACAGCTGTGCAGTGGCAGTGGGGATGATGTTCTTTCCAGATTCTCATCCCTAGCCTTCCTTGATTGCTTTCTGTTTTTCAATCCTGATTCTTTACCCTCCCCATTCTTGTTTAGCAGTTACTCTTCTGAATCACCAAAGCTTAAATTAACTCAAGTGGGTGGTTGTGCTTGCAACCGAAAACATAGTTATGTGATAGCACAATGAGAAAAATATACCAGGCAAGCCATACTACTAATGGGAATGACTAAGTTAATCCTTATATCTCTAATTTTTACCAGGGACACACAGATGTTTTTCAAAACACAGCAGTTCACAACACAAACAGATACCTTTCGGTTCTCAGAGTTAATGACCAGTGTCAAAATGGATGAGGTACTTGATGTCTGGGCTAATGTTTAGCCTAGAGATGTAGGGTGTTTCCCAGGATGGGGCATGCCAACACAAGATGCACAAAATTCAGAGGCAGAGAGGTGCTGTACAAAGAGCACAAGCTTTGAAGTCACCTTTTTCTGTGCTGACAACTGTTCAATTCTTACAGTTGCCTTGCTTCTCTAAGTTTTAGTATCCTCATGTGCACAAAGGGGATAAGTTCCTATACTCTGCTATTTATAACCAAGACTTCATGACTCTAAAGTACATGGTAGCTACTGAATGAATGTTGGAGCCCAAGCCTTTTCTTTCTCTCTCTTTCTTTCTTTCTCTTTCTTTCTTCTTTCTTTCTTTCTTTCTTTCTTTCTTTCTTTCTTTCTTTCTTTCTTTCTTTCTTTCTTTCTTTCTTTCTTTCTTCTTTCTTTCTTTCTTTCTTTCTTTTTCTTTCTTTCTTTCTTTCTTTCTTTCTTTTCTCTCTCTCTCTCTCTCTCTTTCTTTCTTTCTTTCTTTTTTTCTTTCTTTTTTTTCTGAGATGGAGTCTCACTCTCTCTCACCCAGGCTACAGTGCAGCAGCATGGTCTCGGCTCACTGCAACCTCTGTCTCCCAGGTCCAAGCAATTCTCCTGCCTCAGCCTCCCGAGTAGCTGAGACTACAGGTGTGTGCCACTACACCTGGCTAATTTTTGTATTTGTGGTAGAGATGGGGTTTCACCACATTGGCCAGGCTGGTCTCAAACTCCTGACCTCAACTGATTTGCCCATTTCAGCCTCTCAAAGTGCTGGGATTATAGGCATGAGCCACCACACCTAGCCAAAAGCCTTTCGTTTTCCGTTACAACTTCTATTAATTACCATATTCAGTGGGAATCATTGTCCACAGAGAGAGTAAAATAAAGAAATTGATGACTCAAGGAGCTGTCTGTCAAAAGGCCAGGGGAAAATTATGTATGTGTATGTGTGTCTCTGTGTGGCTACTGGGATTCATAGAAATTATATTTACAAATTGATTATTTAGGAGTAGTCCTAGAGATCCATGAAACAAAATAATTTATAGTTTTGATGAAGTGCATAAAAGTTTAAACCATTTTCTTCAAGGGTGGCACAAAAGAATAAACCCAGCAGACTTATCAGTATCAACATTTTGGCTCATCTTTGTTATTTTCTACTAACTCCTCCTATTATAACTATCAGGAGGTGACCAAATTATGGTTTTTTTGTTTTGTTTTGTTTTGTTTTTTATGGGAAAGGACTTCTAAAAGAGAAGGATGGGTAATGCAAGGCAAGAGAGAGTTGAAGAAGTGCAGGAAAAACAAGTTATCTGTTCTTTTAGAAAATAACAGATAATTTGAGCTCAGCAATGGCTTGAATTTCTCATGGGTAAAGTTCCACATATATTCCATGTAGGAGTAAGATGTAGCATTGCATGAAAACACTTTTGCACTTGCTTCAGCCAATTCAAAGCCGTTTCTCAAGTGACAGAAAATTAAGAGGCTGAGGGGTCATTTAAAATTGTTATTCACATTTTACTGCAGTTTATGTCGGGAATAATTTGCTGTAGTAGTATTTGGGAATTTGTTGGTTGGCAAAAGTTTATGAACGGCAGATTTTTTCTTTTTCTCTCCGTGGGTGGATTTTAATAACATGCTAAAGGGTCTGGATTTTAAAAGGAGAAAGAAAGGCAAACTCTAAGATATAACTTTAAAATATAATCATTTCCCAAAGAATTTCAAGAACAGTCCTTTCAATATGAGAAGCATCAAATTGTGGAACCACAGAACATCTCAAATAGTCTCTCTAGTTATATTAGATGATGATTTTAAAATAACGTTTTAAATTGTGCTTATAACACTGGGACTTTTATACAGATGACTTTTAGAAAGTTGGCAATTATCAGGTCAGCAAATCCTGATACAAACCAAGGGTTGCAGGGAGTCAAGAGGAGCATACATCTTATCACCACATGAGGAAATGGAGGAAATGCTTTGATTTGGAGTATATGGCTTATTGGTATCGAGAGAGGCAAGAAACTGTATCTCCTAACTGTGTTTGCTACCGTGGGAAGCTCAGGTCTATGAAGCAATGTTTGACACAAAAATAATGCAAGAAGAATTATGAAGGCTAATTAGAAAATATCTGCAACTCTTTCCTTAATGAATTTCAATTTGAACCGATGAGAACTGCTTGAAATTATAGCTTCAGTCCTTTATATAGGATGTTATGTGATATTGTGTTTTACGGAATGTGCAACCCTTATACTGTCATTCTTGATGGATGAAAAATGTTTCCTCCATAGTCTCCACAATTAACATTATACTGCTTGGTTTCCTCTCTCTGAAGGACACATTATTTTTTAAAGGTTATTTATTGTTCAGTCAGGTCCTCTCTGTGACTCCTTCCTCTGATGAGGTTACTGTGAATATTATCCCGCAGACATGCAGGAAAACTCAGTAGCAGAGAAAATAACAGTGTCGTTAACCTCCTTAACACTGCAGATAAATTAACACTAATAAGAGAGGTACCAGGGTAGCAATTGACTCGACAGAGTGAAATTCACCAGCATAAGGAGACGGTAGCCGGTGTCACTCAGTTGTGCTCCACAGTCTTGTGCGGACGTGATGGCTGAGAAGCCTCTTATCCCTCCCTTCTTGAAGTTCAAGACTCACCGCATTGAATTAAAGTCCAGCTGCGCCAGTGTTCCTCTCACCCGTTGCTGCTGACCCTGCTGATGGAAACCAGTGCCACCGTTATTAATTTAAGTCTCCACGGATCAAATAACTCTTCTCATCTCATTTCATGACAGGACACATGACAGCTTCATGGTAGATATGCATGCCAGGGCAAGAGTGAGCTCTGCCTTGCTGGAAAACATTTTGTCGAGATATTTAAATGATATACTGAGAAGGGAAATGGGCCAGAGTGCCTGTCTAAGAGTAGCAAGATAGGGATAAAAAAAAAGAAAGCAACGATCTAAAAGATAGAAAGAAAAGGATGCTGGTTACTTAGGGGTCCGCTAGGTCGTTTTTGACCAGCCGTGGAAATGCATTTTATGTTTTCATTTGTTAATTGAATGCTAAATGAAAATGGCAATAATTAATATTTTTACTGCCCATTAATTAGGAAATTGTATCATGGAAAGATGATATATGAGGCATGACTAAGTTGGAGTGCTACTGTGAATTGCTCGTGGTCTCACACATGGAAATATAAATGTGTTAATCATTTTGCCTCATCATTAGAGGGGTTCTTAATAAATTTCCAGTTCTTCCAATTGTTTCTTTGTGTGCCCGGATGGACTGCAGTTTCCCAGAAGGAGAGACTTTCTTTGGCTGTTATTTAACATTGCGGCAGGCTGAGACATTGTGCAGTCTGTGGCTCACAGAAGGTTCGCTTCTGAGGAGCCTTGCCCGTGGCATGCAGAGCTTTTCAGGTTTGTGCCTTCATTCGGTTGCCAAAACATCTGGTTCAGTTTTGAGGAAATATTTGTAGTTATTTTTCCATCAGGATTTAATTACTGCCACTGAAACATTAATGGGTGCCCTGCTGGCCTAATAGATTTTATCTGTGTACCCTTATATCTATGGAGTGTAACTGACAAATCGGAGCCCTGTTTTGCTGTGACTTGCATAAAACAGCCATAGCCTGAAGAACTGAGGATTGATGGAATTCAAAAGATGAACAGATATCAGATTTATGGGACTGGGATTCTAATTTGCAAAGAAGATTACTTTTTTATTTAAGTAACTTCTCATCCATTGAGAAAATGAGCTACTATATTCTAAAATTAATACCCTAAATAAGATACTTTTGTTCATGTCAACCTTACAAGCATACGTTTCAGTATTAAAATTACTGTAATCTCTTGTCTGTTAGTGAGAAAGTACAACAGGTTATGTGGAAAAGAAAATAAAGAAGCAGAGGTTACTATTTACTACATTCTGTATGGCAGGCACTGTACTGAATGCTTTGAATATCTTCTCTCATTGGAATCATTTCAACAATATGAGGTAGGTGTTATAAAGGCCCGTGTTATTGATGAGGACACTGAGGGTCAGTGAGATTGTGTACCTTTACTAAGATCATACACTGAATAAGTGGAACTAGGATTTGGACACAAATATGTTTGACTTTCAGCCCCTTCTTGTAACTATAATGCCAATAATATGCCTTTAAAAAAAATCAAGCATCTGTTAAGCACTAACTAAGTTCCAGGCAAGGAACATGCTGCTAACGGCACAAAAGGGGAACTAGATGAGGTTCCTGATGCTGCTGAAGTAGATGGCAAGGCCGGCAGCATCTCTGTATTGTGTCATGTAGAGGCTTGAGCAGCCTGGTACAACTCTGCCGTGCATTCCACCAGCTTAAAGCTTTATCCCCAAAAAGGGCCATCCATTTTAATTGTGACTATTAATATTGTCAGAATGAATGAAGCGGATCCATAAAAAATGCCAGAGAGTAGTAGTTTATCACCACCCAACATTTGGTAGCAAGGCAATGTTATAGTGGCTTACATCACCTATTTTGGAATCAACAAGATTTGCATCTAAACCTTCTTCTTCTTCTTTTTTTTTTTTGGCAGGGTCTCACTGTTGCTCTGGCTGGAGGGCCGTGGCATAATCTTGGCTCACTGCCATCTCTGCCTCCTGGGCTCAAGTGATCCTCTGTCCTCAGCCTTCCAAGTAGTTGGGACCACAGGCATGCACCACCATGCCTCGCTAATTTTTTGTATTTGTGGTAGAGGTGGGGTTTCACCATGTTGCCCAGGCTGGTTTTGAACTTCTGAGCTCAAGCAATCTGCCCACCTCAGCTTCCCAAAGTGCTGGGATTACGGGCATGAACCACTGTGCCCAGCCTGAATCTTGACTCAAACTTACTATCAGAAAGTTGTTTAAGCTTTTGGAGCCACACTTTTCCTTCTGTAAAATGAGGATAACATTATTTTTTTCACTGGGTTTCTTTGGTCATTATTTGAGATAACATAGGGTAGACACAGTGCTTGGCACATAGTTAAATCTTAAAAAGATTATTACTCTTATTTTCAGAAAAATAAAAGAATATTGTAGGAACTACTTTCCTCTCCACATGTTCACTCCAGCCTGGTGAGATTCATATATTTCAACCTGTAAATCTGCTATTCTCAGGAAACATAAGAAAGCTCCAGGGATGAGACAGAGTAGCTCAGTTGCACAGAGTTCATCTCATGCTGTGGGTGAATCTCTTGATTCCTGATTATTTGCTTATTTTCTGGATCCTACTGCTTGATTCCTTTACACCCACCTATTTCCTTGAAAGTAGGCTACCATTTTGGATCCCCGATTTTAACCCTGACTGACCGTATCTTGCTCCCATGATAGCTGTGGCCCACTGCTGTTTGTGACCTAAAACAACATGCAGGTGGCTTTTGGTTGGAGCAGGGGCATATGTGAAAGTTGACATATTGGCATTCATATGTATTACCACAAACAAACAAGCCCATTATGATGAGAATGTTAATCTTTGGAGAAGACGTGTTAATATATTGCTAGAAAAAATGTCTGAAATGCATTGTGTCAATCTCAAATGTTACACACACAAAACCCAGGGGCTGCAACTCAAGGGAATTCCCACAGAATTGAGAAAAAATTGTGCCTAATGGAAAGAGCACAAATATTAGTTTGTAATAGATCAGAGTTTGCAACTTGGCTCTCATAATAATTTGGTATGTTACTGATATGATTTGGCTGTGTCCCCACCCAAATCTTGAATTGCAGCTCCCAGAATTCCCATGTATTGTGGGAGGGACCTGGAGGGAGATAATCGAATCATGGGGGCCGTTTCCCCCATACTGTTCTCATGGTAGTGAATAAGTCTCACGAGACCTGATGGTTTTATAAGGGGAAACCCCTTTTGCTTGGTTCTCATTTTCTCTCTTGTCTGCCGCCATGTAAGATGTGCCTTTCACCTTCTGCCATGACTGTGAGTCCTCCCTAGCCCACGTGGAACTGTGAGTCCATTAAATGTCTTTTTCTATATAAATTACCCAATCTCAGATATGTATTTATCGGCAACGTGAAAATGGACTAATACAGTTATGTTGAGGAAATCATATTGTCTCTCTTTTTATTTTTTTCCTATAAGGCAATTATATTACAACCGATGTCACATGTTGTTATAAAGATTAAATAAAAGAATGCAAAATGGCTGGCACACTTCCTAGTATGTAGTAGCTATTATTATTCTTGCTGCTTTCTTTAGGGTTTTCTTACAAAATAGTTGTGTACGTGGTCCAGGTTCAGAGATTGTCAAGAATGAAGTCTGAGACTCAGCTGAGGCTACTTTTGTTTTACTACAGTAAGTTTGATGAGTTCAGCAGCCTGCATGGGGTGATAACTTCTGGGAGGAATTAGTGGAGAAGATTCTGAGCCATCCACTTCCCCAGCATGCTGGGAAGCTTTATCTTTTTAAATTAATGTACTTTATCTTTTAGAGCTATTTTAGATTTACGGAAAATTGAGCAGAAAGGACAGTGAGTGCCTACATACCCTTTCTCTCCCTGCACTGTTTCCTCTACTTTTAACATCTTGCATTGGCATGGTACTTTGTTACAATTGATGAACCAATATTGATACATTATTCATAAGTCCATAGTTTATATTAGGGTTTATGTTTTATGTTGCATAGTTCTATGGATTTTGACAAATGTGTAATGCCATTTGTTATGGTGGATGATGCATCCACCATTACAGTACTGTATAGAATCATTTCACTGTTCTAAAAATTCCCCCAAAATTGAGGAAAACACCTTTTTATTTCTCCTTTTTTTCCCTCAATCCCCCAGCAACCATTGGTCTTTCTACTGTCTTCATGGGTTTATTTATTTATCTATTTTTAATTAATTAACTTTTTAACTGTTAGGTTTAGAGGTACGTGGGCAGATTTGTTATACAGGTAAATTGCATATCATGGGGGTCTTGTGTACAGATTGTTTCACCACCCAGGTGATAAGCATAGTACCCAATAGGTAGTTTTTTTATCCTTACCTTCCTCCCACTCTCCAATCTGAAGTAGGCCCCAGTGTCTGTTGTTCCCATCTTTGTGTCCATATGTACTTGATGTTTCCCCTTTTCCAGAGTGTCATTCAGTTAGGATCAGTAGCCCTTTCAGATTGACTTCTTTCATTTAGCAATATGGATTTAAGTTTCCTCCATATCTTTACATGGCTTGGTAGCTCATTTCTCTTTAATCAATAAATAACAATCCATTGCATAAATCTACCACTGTTTTATCCATTTGCCTGTTGAAGGACATCTTGGTTGCTTCTGAGTTTTGGCGATTATGGATAACACTGCTATAAACACTTTCGTGCAAGTTTTTGTGGGGACATACGTTTTTAATTCATTTGAGTAAATATCTAAGAGTGCTATTGCTGGATTGTTCTGGTAAGGCTATACTTAGCTTTTTAAGGAACTGCCAATTATCTTCCAAGGTGGCTGTAACATTTTGCATTTTTACCAGCAACGATGAGATTTCATGTTGCCTCATATCCTAGTCAGTATTTGTTGTCAGTGTTTTGGAATTTAGTTATTCTAATAGGTATACGGTGGTATCTCACTGTTCTGATGTGCAATTTCTTAATGACATATGATGATGAGGATTTTGTTATATGCTTATTTGTCACCAGTATATCTTCCTCAGTGAGGTGTCTATTCAGTTAGGTTGACCATTTTTAAATTGAATTGTTTGGCTTTTTATTGTTGACCTTTAAGAGTTCCTGTATAGTTCTGATACCAGTTCTTTATCAGATACATGTTTTTCAAACATTTTATTCCAATCTGCGGCTTGTCTTTTCACTCCCTTAACAGTGTCTTTCTCAGAACAGACGATATAAATTTCAGCGAAGTCCAACTTACCGTTTTTTCTTTCATGACACATGCTTTTGATGTTGTATATAAAAAGTCATCAAGAAATCAAGGGTCACCCAGCCGTTCTCCTATGTTATTTTCTAGAAGTTTTATAGTTTCGTGTTTTACATTTGGGTCTATGATCCATTTTGAGATAACTTTTGTTTTTTTATTTGTTAATATTTAGAATTTCGAAGTAATTTGAGTTAACTTTTTTTTTTAATTTGTTAACATTTCGAATTTTAAAGTAATTTCCTTTAACAGTTTAAGAATCATGGAGATAGAAGCTTTAGAATAGCTGCCCCAAAGACTGGTGATAAATTTCATAGTACTGAGTTGCTATTTTTTCTCATAGATGTGAATCTATATTTGAACGTTAAGTGTACTATACAGTTTTTTCATTATGTTCATTAATGTTATTGGAAAAATAGAGTAAAAATGCTTAGATCTATTATATAACTCTAGTCTAATCTATAGTCAGGGAATAATGGGTGCCTTAAGTCTTTTCTAATTTCCAATATTATCATGCAATGATGTCCATCGTCACCAGTATTACTAGAAAATAGCATCAGGATTCCACTAGTTTCTGTGATCTATTCTAAACAGTCAGATATATCGAGTGACTGCTAGAATCTAGTATCTCTGTGGCTGCTCAGTGATTTTAAAGGATAAGAACCTTGTCATAATTCCCCTCATATCCTCTGTGTCTACCCTGCTGTAGAGCTCTGTAATTTTAGTGCAGCCCCAAGGCCAATGGGGATTCTGGAGGTAGACAGTTGATTTTGCAGCACAGAGTATGGTAGCGTATATTCAGGGTTCAGAAAGTATGGAAAAGTGAGAATTACTCCTTTGCTTGTGAAGCTAAAGTGAATGTTACCCACAGTGCTTCTCAAATTTGAATGTGTATTTGAGTCCGTTGGGGATTTTGTTAAAATGTAGATTCTGATTTGGTAACTTTGGGGAGGAACCTAAGATTCTGTATTTCTGTATTTCTAACCAGGGCTGACTTGTCCTTTAGGCGCAGGAGACGGAAGGCACAATGCCTAGAGCCCTTGGTTCTTTTGGCGGCCCAAGGCAATGTTTAAACATCTTTTAAAATCAAACGAAAAAATCCTAAACTTTTAGGCTGAAGAAAAATTTATAATATATAATATTAATGTATATTTTTATATTAGCCTAATTATAAGATATAATTCTTAATTTTCTTTCTGAAAGAAGGGGCCCATGAAGACAAAAGTGTTTGTGGCTCACGAAAGTCCTAACAAAGCCCTGTTTCTAATCAGCTCTCAGGTGATAGCAATGCTGCTAGTCCAAGGGCCACACTTTGAGTAGCAAGGATTTATTGGTTTTTCTCTTACACTGGTTGATGAGTGGGGCATCTGAAACCATGTATAGTATCTGGGATTCTGTACTCATTAAATAAAGTCTCATGCATAAACCTTTCAACAGATAATGAATGCAGTGTTGCCAGTTTTCATGGCACTGACTTCTTGAAGGTTGATGTATTTTCTCTTTTGGATGAGCTTCCCAAAATATTTGGCCCAGAGTATTTTATCAGCTAACTCCTTTGACTGTAATTGTTGGCTTTGGTAGGTGTATTAGTCCATTTTCAAACTGCTATAAAGAATATCTGAGACTGGGTAATTTATAAAGAAAAAAGGTTTAATTGATTCACATTTCTGAATGGCTAGGGAGGCCTCAGGAAACTTACAACCATGGCAGAAGGCAAAGGGGGAAGCAAGACACATCTTACATGGCAGCAGGAGAGAGAGAGTGTAAAGGGGGAAGTGCCACTTTTAAACCCTCAGATCTCATGAGAACTCACTCACTATCACGAGAACAGGCTGGGGGAAACTGCCCCCATGATCCAATCACCTCCAACCAGGTCCCTCCCTTAACACATGAGACTTACAGTTCAAGATGAGATTTGGGTGGGGACACAGAGTGAAACCATATTAGTAGGTTTTCCTCATCACAGGCCTTCTCTGTATTATTGGAATATGTATTTAAAGTAGTCTTTGAAATGCCCTGCTATTTATTCAGGATTTTTTCTTTCTCCACTAAGAGAGCAAAACCATTTTTCTCCCCTGTTCCTAGTAGACAATCCCATGTTCTAAATTAAACAAATAATTGTTAAGAATACACTCCATGCCTTCACATGGTCTCTGCCTTCAAGTTACTTTCTTTCTTTTGCTACAACACTAAAAACTTCAAAATTAAGGAAAAAAAAAACTAAACAAAAATACCAACTAACAGACCAACCAACCAAATCAACCAAAAAAACCCAATGAGAGGAAAGCTCTCACCTGGATCAACTTTCCTCTCTCTATGACAATGATTTTCAGAGTGCAGCCTCCAGACAAACAGCATAAGCATCATCTAGGAAATTGCAAGAAAAAGAAACTCTAGGCCTCCCATCCCAGAGCCACTAAATCAGAAACTCTAGGGGGAATGCCACCAGTTTGAGTTTTTTATTTTTAGTTTTATTTATTTATTTATTATACTTTAATTTCTGGGATACATGGGCAGAACGTGCAGGTTTGTTACATAGGCATACATGTGCAATGGTAGTTTCCTGCACCCATCAACCCACCATCTAGGTTTTAAGCCCTGAGTTATTTGTTAATGCTCTCCCTCCCTTTGCCCCGCATCTCCTGACAGGCCCTGATGTGTGATGTTCCCCTCCCTGTGTCCATGTGTTCTCAATGATCAACTCCCACTTATGAATGAGAACATGTGGTGTTTGGTTTTCTGTTCTTGTGTTAGTTTGCTGAGAATGATGGCTTCCAGCTTCATCCATGTCCTGCAAAGGACATGAACTCATTCTTTTTTATGGCTGCATGGTATTCCATGGTGTATATATGCCACATTTTCTTTATGCAGCCTATCATTGATGGAAATTTGGGTTGATTCCAAGTCTTTGCTATTAAAACATTGGTTCTTAACTAAGCTGCAAAATAGAATCATCTGAAAGGCTTTAAAAAATACTTTAAAAAATCTGGGCTCCCATCCAGATATTCTGATTCAATTAGTCTGTAGTGAGGCCTGAGCGTGGGCATTTTTTATTTTTTATTTTTTTGAGACAGGGTCTTGCTCTCTTTCCCAGGCTGGAATACAGTAGCACCACCACAGCTCATTGCAGCCTCAACCTCCTGGGCTCAAGTGATCCTTCCACCTCAGCCTCCTGAGACGGGGTCTCATTTTGTTGCTCAAGCTGATCTTGAACTTCTGGGCTGAAGTGATCCTCCCACCTCTGCCTCTCAAAGTGTCGGGACTACAGGCATGAGCCACTGTGCCCGAATGATCCATGGCTGAGTACTACTGTGCTATCTGTTTCGTAAGATTGATGCCTCAGTGGCAGGTGTGTGAGTGTGTAAATATGTGTATGTGAGTATGGCAGTGACTTTGAGTGTGTGATTCCTGAATCTTTGCCTAAGTAAGCCTCAATTCTTTTTTTCTTTTTCTTTTTCTATTATTTATTTATTTATTTATTTATTTATTTTTTTTTTTTTGAGATGGAGTCTCGCTCTGTCCCCCAGGCTGGAGTGCAGTGGCACACTCTCGGTTCACTGTAAACTCCTCTTCCCGGGTTCACGCCATTCTCCTGCCTCAGCCTCCCAAGTACCTGGGACCACAGGTGCGTGCCACCATGCCAGGCTAATTTTTTTTGTATTTTTAGTAGAGATGGGGTTTCACCGTGTTAGCCAGGATGGTCTCAATCTCCTGACCTCATGATCCACCCATCTTGGCCTCTCAAAGTGTTGGGATTACAAGTGTGAGCCACCGTGCCCGGCCGTAAGCCTCAATTCTTAGAAAACTGACATGGAGATTACTCTAGAAAATGTACATGCTCTCAATAAACACATACATGTTGCACATTTACTACATGATTTGTTCTGTAAACAGTGGTTAGCAAACTATGGTCCATGGGCCAAACCCTGTCCAAAGACTGTTTTTGTGTGGCCTGGAAATGAAGAATAGTTTTTACATCTTTAAAGCATTTAAATTAAAAAAAAGAAGAAGAAGAAGAAGAAGAAGAAGAAGAAGAAGAAGAAGAAGAAGAAGAAGAAGAAGAAGAATAGCAAAAACCATACGTAGCCCACAAAACCTAAATATTTACAATTTGATCCTTTATGGAAAATTTTGCTGATCCTGCTAGGAGATATAGTAGGGACATCTGTAGGAGGGCTTATAAACTAGTTATAAAATCAGGGGTAACACACAGAATAGATGCAATGCAAGACTATCTGAGCCTTAAATGACTCAACATAGATCAAAAGTGCTATGGAAAATTTAAAAATCATGAGGGAGGCTGGGCGCAGTGGCTCATGCCTGTAATCCCAGCACTTTGAGAGGCTGAGGCAGGCAGATCACGAGGTCAGGAGATTGAGACCATCCTGGCTAACATGATGAAACCCCGTCTCTACTAAAAATACAAAAATTTAGCCAGGCGTGGTGGCAGGCGCCTGTAGTCCCAGCTACTTGGGAAACTGAGGCAGGAGAATTGCTTGAACCCAGGAGGTGGAAGCTGCAGTGAGCCAAGATCGTGCCACGGCACTCCAGCCTGGGTGACAGAGCTAGCCTCCATCTCAAAAAGCAAAACAAAACAAAACAAAACAAAATCATGAAGGAATTAGAATTCCTACAAACTTGAAAGCATTTGGGTAGATGTAAGAAGAAAGGCCACTTCACATAAAGCCTTCAGGTAACAGGACATTCAGATTTCAGGAAACTCAACTTTGAATACTTTCTACAAACTTAGAACACAGGTTTCCTTACATTATTGGGCCGCTGGCTTGCCTTGAGTTCTGCCAACTGGATTTCCTTCATATAGAACAATTCTCTATCCTTTATGGAATCACAGGGCTTTGCAGCCAGAATTCTACTTTGTTTTTGAAAATGTGTCTGGAACATTTTTGTTTGTCTGTTTTAGGTAGGTGATATAAGGTAGCCTATCCCGAAGTCTGTTTGATGGCAGGTGACTTCCTCAGAAAGGTCTTTCCTAAGATTCACATTTGTCCCCACTGCTTACTCTGGCTTCACTCCTTCTCACTCCACTTTGTGGGTAGTCACAGCACTTAGTGCCACCTTAAAATGACTTGCTTGTAGGGTTATTGCCTGTCTCTTCCTGCTGGAATGTATAACCCATGAGTGTAGAAGCCTTGTCCATTTCGTGCAATCTCACAGGCCAGCACAGAGTTCAGTGCTTGGTGTAGAGTAGGCATCTGATAACATGTTTCAAGAATGGTGCTTCACAGCTGCTTTTTTAAAAAAAAAAAAAAAAAAAAAAAAAAAAAAAAAAACAAAGTGCAACTAAAAACAATACACAAAGGGTTTCTAAGTTGTATGCATTTACAGATTGAGTGATACCAAGGAAAACAAACAGTTTCTTTAACTGCGGGAATTATCAGAACTCCTATATGCTAGGGTTCTAGCTTGATAGGCAAACATATTAATTATGTATGCAAGATCCCCAAACGTTTATAACTACTTGTATCAAGGCAGATACCACAGGGCAGAACTGTAGATGAAAGTTTGTAAGAAAATGGAACTGGTGAATTTCTCATCAACACAAATAGCTGTATATTTATGGGGCTTTACTTGATATTATTTTCATTGATATCTTTGAAGTTTATAGAATTGATTGTGTATAATATAATCATGGATATTTGTTACCACTGTAGTTACCTGAATATTTTTACATTGCTTAAAATTACATAGTCTTCTGAGAATAATTCTTATCCCTGATTAAAAAGGCCTCCCCAAATAGAGCCTAGTTTATAGAGCCAATCACTGCTCTGAGAAGAGTGCCTGAGTCATCTTCATCTGTATGCATATAATAAACTATGGTGGTTTGTAACGACTTGATGTCTTTCTCTCTATTCCAATTGGGTAGGAGAAGTTTCTGGTGTCATTTCGTTTGGGAAAGTTATTCAATGAAATTAGTTAAATACTCTGGTGAATATCAGTCCAGACTGAAAATCTATCCAATCATCCAATAAAAATGAGACTGCCCTCCAGGTTCCAGCTATCAGGGTCTCTGTGCAAGAAGAGACAAGGAGAAATGATTCCGGTTCCCCTGACACCTGTAATCTAGCAGAAGAGCTGGCTTAACCCCAAGTTTACAAAGGGACCTTGAAGCAAGAGACTCAAAACATAAAAATGAGAAAAATAACACAGATGCTTGTTACTCAAACATAAAGAAAAGCAGAAACGACTTAATCATCTTTGTCCTGCTGAAATAAATGTTTCTGTATAATGAAGGGGAGACTAGAGAAAGCCCTGGCAAACCCTGAAAAGTTTTGTTAGGATATGTAATGAAAAGGCACTCTCACTATACTCCCAGAAAGGGGAAATGATGTATGCCTTATGCTTTACAGAAGCAGGTACAGGAAAATTGAACTTTCTCTGCGTGACAGTTGGGAAGCAACAGTTCTGTGGGGATTTTGGTCTTCTTTCAGTTGTGATAATTAGCAATTGTGAAACAATTGAGGAGTCACGTGGTTGATAAAATGGCCAGAATAACTCTGTTGATTGCTTATGTTTAGTTCCTGTTGTTTTAGCTCTCAAAACAGAACAATCTAACCTATTTCATGGTTGGCAGCTATGACTGTGCCTTAAATGTATTTCATTGGGAAATGTTAAACACAGTTTAAGTGTTGAGCTCAATGGATCTGGTTTATTAATGACATTAATAGGAGAGTATAGCCCAAATCAAGACATCTCAATATTTCAATTTTCAAATATCTTCCAGTCCCTACTGGGAATAGCAAGTGAATAGTCCTTGCCCATTCTTAATGGTTTCCTTATATATGTTTTTTCTGTTTCTATAACTTTTAATAACAGAAATTTTAAAATAGAACTTCTAGAAGCACCATAGCT
Organism: Homo sapiens; assembly: GCF_000001405.40. Taxonomy (NCBI): domain Eukaryota; kingdom Metazoa; phylum Chordata; class Mammalia; order Primates; family Hominidae; genus Homo; species Homo sapiens. Next base: position 221,323,293 of record NC_000002.12, on the reverse strand, counting down.
TTGCTTCTGTTTACATTCCCAATAGGACTTTTTTTTTTTTTCCAACTGCAGGTTTTATAGTCTTATATATTTCTCGTAATTGAATTTAGAAAAAAATATTGGAGAACATGAATCTCCTGGCAATAAGACACCCAATGGTACAAAATTCTACCTAGGAAACACAGTTCATTCCCAGTGTGCCTTCGAAATGCTGAATACTTAACCCAAAGTTGGTCTTAGCCAATAGCCTAGTTATTACAAATAATAGAAAGAATTCGCCACCTGAAAATAATTTTCACAGGATGCAAACAGGGAACTGTTTTTCTTTACCTAAGGGAAACAGAGAAGTGTGAGTCACCTCACCTTACTGTTCTTTCCCTTGCTTTGGGAGTTAATGTTTTACAGAAGTTCTAGGGATGGATTGATTGGTTTAGGTGTTGGTTTTGCTTTGATTTGCAATAGACAGATGCAGTCGACGTTGGAGAAGACAAGGCAGCCTCATCTGTCTCCTGGGGAGCCTCGGAACTCATTTCACAACTCATTCATTAGAATACCAAGCCCATCTAAAAAGAGACCAGCAACAGTACTCCAGGGCCCTCGGATGCAGAGGAGAGCAACCCCGTATCCCTGGAGGCAGATAAAACTCAACCTCTCAACCTCAAAGAAAGCTTTTGTGCTAGGAGGGAGCAAATTTATGACAGTTGGTGAACCAAAGAAGCCGTGGGCATTTGAAGGAACAAGGTTAACTGAACATTGTCTTTTTGTTGGTGGGAATGGATTTGTTCTTTTTGTTCCTCACCTTTTGAAGTGTTTCTAAAAGGAAAGAAAGTCTCCAGCTCGATCACATTTTTAAAATAATATACAGCATATTCTAAAAAGCACACTGGAAATCTCATGCTCACTAGGTAAGAGTTCCAGGACTGTACTTGAGAGAGGAACTGCACTAGTTCAGCAGTAGATGGTCTTAGCTTAAGTCATGGTCAGTAGTTGAAGACCCATGCTGATCCTTTGAAAGCTTAGGAAGTCGTCCGTAGTCAAGGTCACAGCTTGATATTAGCCAACTTCAAGCCTCTGCATGGAGACAGCAAGTAGCTGTATCCTTCTCTCATGGTCAAAAAGGTGGCCAGAGATCTTTAGTTATCTGAACCCTAAGATACCCTAAGATTATTCTCCAGAATAATGGCCAAAGAAATACACTAATGGAAACAATGGTTCCTCAGGGGTGCTAGTTTCAGCAAACAACTTCTAATATATACTGTCATTCCAAGAATAACCTGATAAAGAATGGTTATGCTCCTTACAGGTAAAGTTTATTTAGAAAAAATCAGAGCATCTCAAAAGCAACAGTAGCATCAGAAAGAGCCAAAGTGACTAGAATTCATCTGAGAAGCAGAAGAGTCAATATTATTTAATCTTCATCTTGAGTACCTGAATTTCTGATTTCCTGCATGTTCTGTGGGTCCCTTAACCCCAATCTTGCCCACTTTGAACCTTGACTTTATCTGTGTTCCATTCTCTTCTACCAGCTCCCCAAGTATTGAAAATCTATTCATATCCCAGCTACCCCTGGACTCAGATTCCACTGCCACCCGTGATGAGTCCATTATGATAAATGCCATAACATTTTAGAATTACAAATAAAACAGTTCAAATCTCCTTTAGCCTCTTTTTCTGCACATGGGAGCAATAAGACTGTCAAAAATTCAGAAATGAAAATGTATAAACTATGTGCACCAAATAAATACCCAGGTTAAAATTTCTATTTCTGGTGAAATCCAAGGGACTCAAGCCTGGGGCCAGAGTTTTTATTATGATCAGAACAAGACTTGCATGTAGTTAAAATAAGCAGGTGCCTGCATAAGGCCATATAAACAGTGCCAGTATTTTAAGCCCACAAACAGTTTTGCCACCCATTCAGTGTTACCCTGGTTCTGAGATGACCAATGCCCCAAAGAATTCTGATTTCTAGATGCATTTGAGTTCTGATTCATTCTAGAGGCACTGAGTTCTGATTTTTGGGCAAATGCAGCATCAAGGAGTTCAGGACTCTAGACTTTTGGTCAAAGTCTGGATATCCAGTGATTCCGGCAAAGGAAGAGAGCTGAACACTCACACAGCTGAGCCACCCGTGCCCATCATGTTCATATCAAAGTGAGTCCCCCAAAAGACCTGTATGTCACATCCCAACTTATCCACACTGGAGAATCTACAAAGGTAGGTCAGGGTCTATGTAGAGAGGTTGAGAACTAAGGACTTTTAGAAAATATTGGCTATAGCATCAAAGTCAGCATCATCTAGATGAGAAATAGCTCTGCCAGATGCTGAGCTGCTCTCTTTTTTGTAAAATCTTTCAGATCTACCTGTTCATGCAGACAGCATGATGTGGGGCAGTGAATATGTGACTTGGAGTCTGCACAATTTGAATATTTACTATCCTTTTGGAGCACTTATCCCGTGGCACTTCATATACATTCCCTCTAATCTTTACAATCACCATCCATACCATGAATAATTATTTTTTATTATACAGGCATGAAAAGGGAACCTCAGAGAGGTTAAGTAACCTATCCAAAATCATATCACTAGAATATAGTATTTAAACCCATCAGTAATCAGTGGAAACTTACATTATATAAGGGGAATGATAAAATGTGGATTTGCTATGAGGAGCACATGAAATAAAGCATGCCAAAGCATTGTAAAGGCAACAAAGTTGGTGCAGATGCTTATCGTTGTTTTGAAGCCTGGCTCACCTGCACTGCAGCTGAAATTCTATCCTCTGTGGCAGACGATAGGCTCACCCTATCGTTCGGCGATAAGGAATCTCCCACTGGCTCTGACTGACTGGGGAACGAATATGATTCATGAGAAGTCTAGACCTGCAAAATCAAATGTGTAGCCACCAGCTTTGGCTGGCTGTGGAGCATCTGACATGGGCTACCCCAAGTTGGGTCATGCTGATGTGTAAAATGACTAATTTCAAAGACTTGGTCTCCCTCCCAAAATGTAAAACACAGTATCTCAATAATAATGTTTATATTCATTACACATTGAAATGATGATTTGGGGCTATTACATGTTAAATAAAATAAAATATGTTTAAAAGTGAGTTTATCTTTTTATTCTTACTATTTCTTTAAATGTGACTTCTAGAAATTTTGAATTTATATACATGGCTTGCATTTGTGGCTTGTGTTATATTCCTGTTGTTCAGCACTGGCCCAGAAGCTTGATGACCTGATTTCCCTATTTTTAGGACTATCTCCTTATAATCTATATGCAGGGGCCCTGATTACTTTTGGATTAAGCCATTTAAATTTCCTAGAAATAAACTAATATGTTCCTGACAGTCACACATATTGAGTAAAAATCTATTACCTTTTTCAGTGTCAACTTTTCTTTATGTTTTAAGCTGTCTTGGAAGATTCAGGAAAGTCATAATAGGAAGGGGAAAGGAAGCTGAAAAACACATATGAAACTGACCATCATGCCAGATGGAAGAGGGGTGCTTAGGGCACTGGATGATTGGGTGCAAACTGTACCCAACAGGGCTGTAGGGCTCAGAGAGGAGATAATACAGGCTTGAGTTACTCTTGGTTAATCCATATTACCACTGGCCTTGATGTTTTGATTTTGTCCTTTAGGCACTTTTAATTTTCTATTGCATACATATTTATCTACATGTACGTACATATCTATGCAATATGTATACTGCATATTTTCAGTAGCAAGAAAAAGGCAGCTGTTGTTTTATTCAGGAAGGTGAGGGGGAACATAATATTTTGGTGGAGGTTTATTTTTTTGTTGTTGTTCCAGGAACCCTGATTAGTACTTTATAAACATCAACTTCCTTAATTCTCACAAGAAGACAAAAGTACAATTATTATTATATAGATGAAGAAATTGAGGTTTAGAGAACTCAAATACTTGCCCAGACTGGAACAGTTGATTGGTAGGTGGAGGAGTTGGGATTTTCTCCTAGGTCTGCTAAAATCCAAAGCCATGTTTTCCTCCATGAATCAGGAAATAAACACAGAGTTTGAGAGCATGGGATTCAGGGTCAAAATATCTAGGTAGAGAGATTATACAATCTCCCTGTCTCATTCCTTTTCCTTATTTGTAAAGTAGAGATGATAATTATAACCACGGAGAGTTGATGGTGACTATAAAACGAGAGAATACTACACATCAGATGCTTCCATGGTGTTTGATACATAGCAAACACTCAATAAATGACAGTGATTATTAATTCACTAAATAACGCATGTTTCAAATAACTTCTCCTTTGGACAATGAATTAGTCCTAGCTGAAGAATCTGCCAGCTTCTACCCCAGGATTTGGAGTCACATTTTTGCCTGATGAGCTTCTAATATGCTTGTCTGGCTCTTGCACACAGCAGCTGTCTTGGCCCCTGTCTTCCTATCTTGTATGCTCCCTTGGTCTTGGAAAAGTCCAGCCTTAATCTTTTGTAAATCTAGCTTGAAAATGCATGGTCTTAGAATATTTTACAAACCTTCTCTACTCTCCAACTAACTGCTCGAATGAAGAGAAAAATGGTAATTGAAATGAGACTAATTAGATTGTCAATTACCTGCCTCCTCGCATAGGTAATTGAAATCCCCCTAATTATGGTGTCTGTGTGTCTAGATGCTTTGTACTGAGGAATTATTAATGGAAAGCAGCTTTAGATGAAGTAACAGGAAGTCTTGAAAAATGATTTAGAGAAAATGTGTTCTAAAACATTCATTCTTTCAAAGCTAAGATGTTATATATCCAATCCAGCAATGAAGTCATCAATGAGGAAAGAAAATCAGTACACTATTTTGCCTTGGCCATACAATTCAGGTTTAATTGCCACAAGATGACACAAATCCCTTACCTTGACCTTGATTTTTATTTACTATTTATCCCTGTTTTTACAAAACTCCCTTTGAGTCCATTAGTTCTTTTTTCTTGGAAGGAAAGAGTATACATCAGGAGTCCCGTAGAGGATCTTGAGATAAATATTGGAAGTGGGATTTGCAGATGAGGCACAAAAATGTACACAAAATTAAATATATACATCAAACAAATGACTTCCTCTGAGTGCCCACTAGGAAGAGCTTTTATTGAAGTGGCTTCAAGGGTGAGTAGAGAAGGCAATTTTGATTCCAGGAAAAATATTCTAATAATGAAATCCTTAGAGTTCTCGTGGCTAGGAAGGTGATTTTTGACTTTAAGCAAAGTGTGTTCTTAGAAACATGACCTCTTTCATGCCATTTCAAATTTTCAGTGGAAGAATTTACTTAGACAGCATTAAGGTTGCATTCATGGTCATTTATTTGTATCAGGATAATTTTTAAAATTTTTCTAGCACTACCTCTGATATCTCAACAGTCTCATAATAATTGTAGAAGTTAGGCAGTGAAGATATTATGACCTCTGTCTGAGATGTGGTGAAACAGCCATGTGGAAAGATGAAGCAACTGGACCAGGGTGACCCAGCTTGTTCAATAAAGCCAGGTGTGAATCTTGGTCCTTCTTCTCTTAGTTCTCCGTAGTAAAGCATAACAGGGGCTGGTTTGGTGAAATATCAATGTTCTTATTATCCCAAACAAGTGAAGTTGCAATATAAAACGTGACTGCCTCCTTTTCTGTCTAGGTAGAGACCATAAATATAGCAGATTCTTATTTTAGGATCTTGAACAACCTCCTTTTTGGTATGTAAACACTAGGAATATTGGAATTCCTAGGAGGTTCAATATTATTCTACTTTACAGCCATCATAAAAGGGCTCCTATGGTTACCCCAGAGGGGAAACTGATCATGAAAGAAGGATGAGCCTGGAATGTGAGTTTAGACCTAACACCAAAGTCTAGAGCGTGTGAGGGGACAGCTGACATTTTCCCCAGTGCATGACGAAGGCTGGGTCATGCAATGTGGGTGCCCACCATGCTTACTGCCATTACTACCACAACATGGTATTCATGTTTCTGAGACCATGTACTCAAAGAACTTCACTGTGAGAGTCCAAAGGGTGGAGCAGAACTATGGTCAGTTCACGTTCTGGAAAGTGACAGATGGTGTCATTGCAGGAGTTGACAGGGAGGCATTGGGCTAGCTGTCAACAGCAACACCGAATGACAGCAACAGCTGAAAATTGCAACCCCCTTCCCCAAGTGCAATGGGTAGTATAGTGAAATCATTTTAGTAGGTTATAATCACATTTTTTTTGGAATGAAATAGCATATAATAGAAAATATCAAGGTGCACAAAATGATTTCTTAGTATGAGTTGATTTAAAAAGAAAACACTGAGAGTCACTCACTTGTAGACTTTTGGGACAACCCAGCCTTCTGTCCAGGAAGCACTTAGAGAGAAGATTGAACCCTTTGGACTAAATAAGTAACTATCTGATTCTTGGTTATTCAAACAGTGAATGGAGGCTCATAGAGAGATACTAGACTTGTGCAGTGGGAGAGGGTGGGGTGAACAAATAAATTTTGAGGAAAAAAGCAAAAGATATATTCTCTTTGTTCCCTAAGCTGGAGATGCGGGTCTTGCTGATTACAAGGATAATTAAATAGCTTTGTTTAAAGAATTCCTAAAACTGCTTGGTGGCTTACATGATCATATTCTAAAGCATGATAAGAAATCTCAAGTTTTTAAATCTCCTTTGTGATGGCTCAATCAATGAGGTGGGAAATCTTAGTTAATAATTTTTCTTCTTCCATCTGTTCAGTCTCCCTGAATGACAAAGGCCCAATTAAGCACATTTCTATATAAGAAAAAAGAATCAAGAATTTATTTTAAGTGTACACTTATAATCACTTGGTGTGTGGGCTGGGGAGGGAGAAGAGATGGAACAATGACAAGCAAAAAGTGTCTTCAGGCTTTTGAGAAACTGCTAACTGGTTCTACAGCTCACCTAATAAGAGCAATTCAAATTTCACTGAGAAAGGGATTCAAGAACAGAACATGTGTTTTCAGATGCTAACATTTGTTGTCTTTTTTGTTGCTTTTGATATAAGCCAGGGACGGTTTCTGATGGCACAGAAAATTGGTAACCTAGAAAAATGGTGTCACAATGGAATTTGAGGAAGGAGCTTCCCACTGCTATCAACTCTGAGCGCCTCCCATTGGCATTGTCAGCCCACAACTCCATTTTCCTCCTATTGGAAACCCAGTTTCTCTCAAGCATCTGTGTGGCACTTTCTCCAGTTCCTGGTTCTATTCATTCATTCAATGACTGATAATTCATTGATTTGACTCCCACTTAGTTCTGAGGGCACAGCCAACAGGAAATTACAAATGTTTCCCTTCAGAAACTTACAGTCTTTTTAAAGGTCACCAGCCTCAATTAACTTCTGGAAGCCTCAGCAGACACTGCTTCTCCAGTAGCTGTTCCCAATGTCCTTCTCACTCTTCATCTTTCGCTATAGAGTATTCATCTTTTCTGCTTCCCATGTAGACAAAAGCGACCATGTGACATTGTTCTGACCAATGAGATATAGTAGAAATCTATTATAGAATTTCCATATCCTGATAAAAGGCATACAAGTGGCTGTCATTTCCCCTTCCTACTTTCTTACTGTCACGAAAAGTTGAGACATTGGGCTCTCAGGCAACCATCTCGAAATCATAAAGTGATAAACAGGAAGGAAAAGCCAAGAGAATCACAAAGATGCAGACTGATCTAACACTGAACTGACACTGTTAACTATTACTTCCAGACTTCCTGTTATTTGCTTAAATCCTGTAAGCCAGGTGAGGCTTGAGGGGCTGTGTCTCATGGATTACCTGGGGGCCCGTGCACATAGGCAGGTTTCCCATCTCCACCCATTCTAGCTCCACCATCTTTCACCTAATCCTCTAGCAGGTTATTAGGCTGTTATCACTTCTGTGAGCTATCAGGAGACCTTGGATCTTTCAAACCTTCTTGGTCTAATTTTTTCCCCTTTATTACTACTTAAAAAGAGTTTCACAAGGAAACACGAAAGGAAAACAAATCAGAAGGTATAATTCTACAAAATATGTGGCTTCAGATGAGGTAGTATGTGATAACTTCCTGGCATATAGCAGGTGCTCAATAAATGTTGATTTACTTTCCCCTTGTTCCATTAAATCCAAAGCTGCTGATGTTAAGCAGTTGAAGACCAGTCACAGGATCGTGTGGTGGTGCAGGTTTTGGGGCAAAAGAGCTATTAATTTTCATTAATTTGGCTTAAAGAAAACCGTTCAAAGCCTTTCCTTTTCAATTTATGAGACTTTCTCCTCCCACACACTCCTTCATGTGGTATTGTTGAAAGAACACAAGACCATGGATTAGAAGGTCACATCAGTTTCACTGGCACCATAGGATTCCTCCTGCAGGCTGAGAAACTGAGATGAACAAAGACATATGGCTTCTGCCATTGAAAAACTTCAGTGTCTTGGAAATGAAAATAGTGGAAGAAAAGGCCATTTTCTCCCATGGGAATCCAGAGTTTTGGTGATTCACAAGGTCTCTTCTAGCTTCAGTATGTTATTATTTTATGTTCACTTGTCTTGTCTCTTGGAAATACACAAGAATATTTTCCCAAGAGCTATCAACTTAGAATACAATACAAAGTGGAAGGAAAGAATATACATTGGTAGAGCTGAATGTAGTAATTTCTGCATCTCTTCTCTTTGATCTGAAATTTTATTATACCCTAATGATACACAATTTTATTCTCTTCATTGAATAAAACTTTATTAAATATGTAAAGTATTACAATGATTTTTTGTGGCCATTGCTATATTCTTGAAAATGGAGAGAAGCCTTGAATATGAATGGCTTTTAAACTTAAACCAAACCAAACAAAAAAGGCTCTCTCTAAAGTTAGAACCAAGGGGCCAGGGGAAAGACAGCATCAGAACTTTCTTCATTCTATCTCTAGCTAAGGCAGGGTCTTATCAGTGAATCAGAAAGAAAGACTGAATTATGATCTTCAGGAGAATAATGCCTTGTTCCATGTTGGCCCTTGATATCTAGAACCATGAGTAGTGTATATCAGGTGTTTCGTAAATATCATTTAAGTGAATGGGCGACTGGGATGAGCAGCTTTTTAAATCAATTGCTTAGACCACAAGCAGGTATTATAGATCCAGATAGCAATAGCAGATCAAAACATAAATTTTACCTCACAATATAAGGTGATTGGGATGAGCTTTTCAACCTACGTGGACCCAAAACTTCCCCAAACTCTCATGCTGATAAAGAAACATTGAATGAAATTCTTTCTTCAATTGATCATCAGTCGAAGTCTTCTCCCCACATACCTTCAGCCTGTAGGTCAACAAATTTGGACTCAGGACAGCCAGACGACATCAGTTTTGGTCAATGTTCCAAAGCATAAATCTAAAGATAGATTACCTGTCAAAGCGAGTTGATGATGGAAAGCCCATAATATATTACTTATCAAATTCAAGTTGGATTTTAAGTGTTTAAGTGTTCCAATACCACCTTGTTGATTGGTTGACCTCTGGTTTAGGCAGGTATTTTTATGCATGAACTCTGTGTGAACTGGAAAAGACAAAAGAATGATGAGCTTCTGGGTGAGGGTTAAGAAGGTGACCTTGCCTGGGTCACTGTGGGGCTCCCCAGGGACACTGGAGAAGGCCCTGTCATCCATTGTCTAATAAAGTCCAATAAAAGAGAGAATTAGTCCTAGTGTGGTGTCAGCATCGCTATAAATTCTTACACAGTAATAAAATAATAGGATGTTATTAATTCCACCATTCTGGTTGCTTCTGAAATGATATTAGAGTAATATCATTGATTCATATTTTTGACTGCTAATACATTATTTTCTAGAACTATTAACTGCTTTAAAACCAGTGTGCCATAATACAGTTGGAAGAGATTGTGAAATATTTCAACTGATTCCAGCAATTAACTTAATTTAAGGCCACCTTGCACATTTTAGAATTAAGAATTATGCTTTGAAATAACTTAGAGAAAAAAATTAAAGGAGACAATGAGTATTTTTGGACTCCACTCAGTCTTATAGGTAAAAGTTGGGTCATATGTGTTCAAGAAAAAAATTTTAGAAGACATTTAAATTGTTAATTTTTCCATGTATGTTGCACACCTTTGAATCAGAGAAGCAAAAAAAAAAATAGTATAAGAAGTTATTGAATTTCTTTTATGAACAGCATATTGTGTGAAGAACTTTCACATATATTGGTTCATCGAACTATGATCTGGATGAAACTGAGACAGGTTTGCTACTCTTCTCCTAGTTCAGATTTATGATAGTAAAGGAAAACCACATCTAAACCAAGTTCTAAGATGAAAAAGGTGTGGTGGAGTTTTGGAGATAGAGAAAATTGCAGCTATTTAATGATCTGGAGTAAAGAGTATTGTTGGTGCATTGTGTACATGTGTTAAAGGATGATAGCTTAAGCTGTAAAAACAATATCATGATAAACAAAGTACATTGGTGTCTGGATAATTAAAAGGGAATAAAGAAAGAGGAAGTTGCTTTCACACAGTAAAGCTGCAGAACAGGAAATCCCAGGATTCTGCACAACATAGAGGCATATTTTTTTAGGTGCTGTGTAGAGAGTAGTTTGGTTTTGAACAGGCTTGGAAAACAAACAAACAAACAAACAAATAAGCAGAGGGAAACTGAGGCAAGAAAAGGTTCTGCTAGTATAGCTGGAAAGAGTTGTCCAGACTAAGAGGTTGTAATTACCCTCTCTTCCTTAAAGCTTACTCTGTCCACCACTCCTCGTAGTTAGGGGACCACACAAAGTCAGCCTGTAATGTTTTTGAACATTGTTTGAAAAGCCAGCAGATCAACGTTGGATTGGGAGTATGTCGGGTTTTTTCAGGTTGCAAGGAACAAAGATAATTTCACTATAGATATCCTCTAAGTGCACTTAAAAGCTCAAGAAGCTTAAGCTTTAGGGCCCCCTCCCTTGCATGAAGCGGCTCTAGCAATGTAATCACAGGATTTTGCAAAATGTGCAAAAAGTAAGATATTTTAACTACAATCAAGAAAATCATCTCTTTTACTCCAACTTCTAAATTGCACTTCCCCATTTGTTAGGTGGAATTGGAGTAGATACAGGCAATTTTGAGATTCAACTCAGGAGAAACTGGGCAGGGTATATATTTGGTTTAGGATAAGTGGAACATATGGATGGGGTTATCCTTCACTTTTAGATAGTGTTAAGTTAATGCTGGTCAGAATGGATTCCAGAAATATTCCCATGGGCGCTGCCTTTGGATACTTACCTGGTGCTGCAATGTAAGACATCAGAGATGAACTGGTTAATGACTTTTCTGTTTCAAGGGGCATTTAAGGGAAGTCCTTGGACAAATAATCCTGAAATGTGCTGAACTCACGAGGAGTTTGTCCAAATTTGACAACAGTTCTAAAAATATACATGATATTACCAATATCAAGTTGTGAAACAAAATTAAACTCTCTAGTCGTCAATTTAAAGAAAATTGACCAACTATGCTAGAAGACTGAGAAAATAGTTACAAAACCATCACCATACAGAAAGGCAGACAAAGAGAATGCGGCAAAAATGTGAGACACATATTACAGAAGTCTATCAGACAGTTATGTTTCTAGATTTTCTAGTTTGTGGTGTTTGTTGGGATTTATTTATTCAATTTAGGTAAATATTCACTTCAAACCTACTTTTATGTTCATAATTTTGTAACCTTTTACTTTAAGGGGCTCTTGTGATTATATAAGCTTCAGGGTCCATAAAGCTTGTATAATCCACTAGGAAAGAAAGAAAACCATCTCAGGTACCAAAAGGTTATGCTTTAAAAGACAACAGTGGCCGCGCATGGTGGCTCAGCTGTAATCCTAGCACTTTCCACCTTTGGGAGGCCAAGGCAGGAGAATCACTTGAGTCTGGGAGTTCGAGACACCCTGGGCAACACAGTGAGACCCTGTCTCTATATAAAAACTTACATAATGTTTTAAAAAAGACATCAAGTAGCAGGGCCAGCTGCATAATTGCTGGACCCCATGCAAAATGCCAGTGCGGGGCCCCACGTTTAAGTCTTATGAAGAATTTCAAGGTGGCAGCAACAGAGCATTAAACCACTGGCAGGGCCCTTCCTTGCTCAAAGCCAGCCTGACAGGAGGGCTGTGAATGGCTATACTGTCGCTCTGGCTCTCTTGTTCCTACCTCAGCAACAAGCATCTGAGGCCTTCATTTCTGAGACTAAACCATTATGGTGACAGCTTTTATTATTTTTGCTTCTACCAACTCATGTACTCAGCTCTGCTCTCTCCTCCTGACTTTTACTTCCTGGCTGTATTTGCATTTACACTTCTGTTTTCTACTGTTCCTCAGGCTGAAATTCTCTGGCATAGAGAGGATTAGTGAGGTTCATTAACAATTACATAGTACAAGGCACCCTGTTGGGTGGAATTCTCAAGTGCAGCTGTTTCATGGATCACTGATGATATGGTTTGGCTGTGGCCCACCCAAATCTCATCTTGAATTGTAGTTCCCATAATCTCCACGTGTCATGGGAAGGACCAGGTGGAGATAATTGAATCATGGGGCAGTTTCCTCCATTCTGTTCTCCTGATAGTGAGTGAGTTCTCGTGAGATCAGGTGGTTTATAAGGGGCTTTTCCCCCTTTTGCTCTGCACGCTCCTTGCTGCCGCTATATGAAGAAGGACATCTTTACTTCGCCTTCTGCCATGATTGTAAGTTTCCTGAGGCTCCCCAGAATGTAGAAGTGTGAGTCAATTAAACCTCTTTCCTTTATAAATTACCCAGTGTTGGGTACATCTTTATTAGCACTGTGAGAACGGACTAATACAACCAGACACCCTGTAAATGGCTGCCTTGGGTCAGGTGATGATATTGGTCTAATCGTCTTGTGGCAAGGATTGTGGTATCATATAGTGAAAAGCACGATGATTTATTTGTCCTTAACATCTTCCCTTAGAGCTGTGGGCTTGGCTTTTCAGACGGGCAGGCTGGCTAGGGGACACTGGACCTGTCCTGTCCAGTCCAGCATGCACAAGTTCTAATGCTATGTATTCTCTGGAAAAATATTTAAGTGTATCGTATATTGCAGCAGCACAAAAGTCAATCTGTACAAGTTAAAAAATATTGCATTCCCAAATTGAGGTGATTTGAACATGGAAAAAGCAGAACAGGAGGCCTGCTCCCTCTGAGAATCTCACCCTGCTTCCTTATCAGATTTCAGCCTTCTGCAAAGGCATTTTCAAGTGGGCTGTAATTGCCTGCCAGTATACACTTCGTGCCCTCATAAATCTTCGCTAGCACAGAAAAGTAAACTGTGTTGTGTTTGAGAATTCTTTGGAAATGTATTGCGGCTGGATAGTGAGAGGGGATACCAGTAAGGGGAAGGGGCTGTGTTCTCAAGGTGAAAGTCATCAGTCTGAGCATAAGCGTCCCGGGGGGATTGCAAGGAAGGTGGAACCTAGTTCAGGAGCCTTTGGGCAGCTGCCCTTCCTGTGTGCAGCAGCAGTGGTGCACGGTGGAATTATGGCAACCACACCTGCAGGGTCCCACAGAGGCGATTTAACTTGCATCTATTCTAGAAGTCCGCTATGGTCTGTCTTAAATGAGGGAACAGCATTCTATACATAATTTACCCCCAAACTGGCTGTACATTGGAATCACCTGGAAAGGTTTTACAAATAGGATCTTTAAAAATAACATTTCAATCAGTGTAATGGTTATGAGCATAGGTCTGGAGTTAGACTATCGGTTCAAAGACCACTTTTATGACTTACCATGTGGCAGTTCTCTGTGCCTTCATCTTTTCATATACAAAATGTAGATAAAAAATCTTACCTTTCCTCTAAGAGGAGCATATCAGCACAGTACATAAAACTCTGGGAATACCCAATAAATCCTGATTATTTTACATATTCATATTGTACATCATGCAATTAAGGATGGGGGGGCTCACACATAGGCTTATGCACGTATATACTCAGAAGCACAAGTAAATTACATTAAGATTTAATGCACCATCTGAAAGGGGATACTTTACTATAAACTTGCTTTCGAAATGTGCTCTTGAAAGATGAGCAGAGCACACTTGAACATGTGTTAAAAATTAAGTAAGAATCCAAAATGAAAGCTCTTTAAAAGGAGGCCTAGTTATATATGGAAGGACTTCAGATTTGACAAACAATCAAAAAGTAAACCTAATTTATTTTAGGGAGAAAATGTTCAGAAGCTGAAAAGGTCAACTCCTGTATTCCCAAGCATCGGGACAAAAGCAAGCCCCACAGACACCATGACTTAGTGCTGCTTTTGCCTGTGAAATACTAACTCAGTGAGCTACCAGGGAACAGAGGATAAGAAAAGTGCAGCACAGTCTCTTCTCTGGCTCTCTGGATTGTCAATTCCTGCAGAGACCATGGACTGTTTCTGCTTCACTCCCTTGAGCTAGATCCTTCCACATCACCACGTGCGGATTACCATTTAATAAGTGTTTGCGAAGATGACTGATGATGAGGCCAGTGCACTTGGTAATTCAGAGCAGGCTGTGTCGGTAGTAAGAGATTTTATTTTCCTTCCTGTGGGAACCCCTTCTCTGCTTGACTTTTCTTGTTGATTGTAAGCTCCCTTGGGCAGAAGACTTGTTTGTATGTTTATTAAGAGGCATTGAGCAAATTGCAACAAACTACAGAGTGATAACAGTGAGTAAAAATTTCATGAGATGCTATCAAATGATTCATTAAAAGAAAGATCCAGGATATTACCACCAACTGCTACATTAACTAGTCATGTCATAACACCATCAAAATGCTAATTAGGTTGTCTGGCATGATTTGTTATTAAAAAATAAACCCAAGTTTCCTGCAGTTCTTGAATTTGGATAGTTTTCCCTTTCCTAATATTTACTTTAGGGTTTATTGGGTACCATTTAGTTCTTTTCTTTGGATATAAACAAAGCTTTTGTGTATTCCTCTTGCCACCACCCCCATGAATCTCTAAGCAGTTTTAACTTTCAGACAGGGGCCCAACTCCACAGAATAGTGAATTCAAACCCTACTAAAAAGGGATGAAGTGTGGTGTTAGGAAGGTGCCAGGGGAAGAGACTGTTCATGCTAACCTGTCTTGGGATCCAGCCAGGGCCAACTGGCTGGTTGCTTGCTGCTGGAGAGGGCAAGTGGGGAGCACCAAGACCTAGAGCTCAAACCATCCGTTGGCATAGGCTAGGAGCCGGCAGGGAAATAATAAGGGCAGGCTTATACAGGGGAGGTTCTGTCCAGCAGGCCAATTCTGGTAACTGAAGGCCAGAGGCTTCAGATGCAATTGATGATAGAAATTTAAGATGAAGAATGGGGGTGTCTCGATAAGTAAGGATCACCCAACAGGGAGGAATCTGGAGTGAATGTTATCCAAATTTAAAGAAGTGGATCAACCTCCGGGAAGATTACCAACAGGTAGTAACACTTTTGGGCTAAGATTTGTGGGCAGGGCTCCAGTCCTTGGGAGAAGGTCTAACAAAAGCAAAGCAGGATGCCAGCCTTGGAGGGGCAGATGCACTAATCATTTTACCTAAGTGGCCACTCATAACAGCAGTCAAGGCCGAAGTTCAACTGTGGAGATGCCGGGGACCACCATGAACTGATGATGGAAGAGAAAATGAGAGACCACTTCTCAGATCCTGAACACCATGTATGCCCTACAAACTATCCTGCAGTCTGAATTGACTGCAAGGAGACATTCTGAACTCTTCAATAGTGATAACAGCTGGGCCAAGGTCACTGCTTTAGGTTAGGAACTGGTAGCAAGGCTGAGCCTGCAGATAAACTAAGAGATCCCCTTGGGGAGAGAAAGGGAAAGAGGCTGGTGGCCAGCATGGCCCTGGCACATGGTAGCCATGTCTTCTGCCTCAACTCCTGTTCCCAAATTTCCAGAACCGTGGAGCTGGCCATCGTTCCTAAAGGCAGAGACAGCAGGTCATAATGGTAACAGCACATGTTCTGGAATTAGGCTGGCTTTGACTCCTAACTAGGGTTGCCACATTTAGCAAATAAAAGTACAGGACACCCAGTTAAATGTAAATTTCAGATAAACAATGAATAATTTTTTTTTCTCTAACTATGTCCCCAAAATTACATGGGACACACTTATGCTAAAAAAATTATTTTTTAAATGTGAATATTTAAAATATTAAATTTGATTATTTGAAACATACTAACATATTATTCATTGCTTGTATAAAACTAAAATTTAATTGAGTATCCTATATTTTTTTTCTAGTAAGTATATGCTGCTAACTTGTTTACTTTCTAACTTGGAAATTGGGAAGGTTATTTGATACCTCTATTTCCTCATCTGTAGAATGGAACTGATCTAGCTTACAGTGTTGTTGTGACGACGGATTGAGTTAATACATGCAGACTCCTCAGAATTATGTCTGGCACGGAGTAAGTGCTCAAAAATCATTACTTTTGCTTGCTTGTTTTTTTATTATTATTACCACCAGCATTATCACTACATCTGAGGGTCTGCAATACTAGTGATCAGTAGAAATTTTATTTTTATTTATTTATTTTTTTGAGACAGGGTCTTGCTCTGTCACCCAGGCTGGAGTGCAGTGGCATGATCTCAGCTCACTGCAACCTCCGCCTCTTGGGTTCAAAAGATTCTCTCCTGCCTCAGCCTCCCGAGTAGCTGGGACTGCAGGCGTGCACCACCACACCTGGCTAATCTTTGTATTTTTAGTAGAGATGGGGTTTCACCATGTTGGCCAGGCTGGTCTCAAACTCCTGACTTCAGGCAATTCACTCGCCTCGGCCTCCCAAAGTGCTGGGATTACAGGCGTGAGCCACCACACCCGGCCCGAATTTTTATATTTTTATAAAATAATGCAGGGCAAGGTTTCAGCAAAAGGTGAAATATTTTACTCATTTATTATTTCCTATTCTCTTCCAAAAACAATTTGTATGGTCCCACAGTAAAAGAACAGCTAAGATAAACCCAAAGCCGATTGTCAGAAGAAAAAAAGAAAACCATTGAGAATTTAAGAAAGAGGGAAAGAAAAATATCAAGAAATTCCGGTTGAAGACACAGCTATGGCAGTTGAGTACAAAATTGAGTTCTGAGTTTGCTGATAACGCCAGAGAATAAAAGATGGTGAGAAATGGAAGCAGGTGCTGTTTCCAGCCTCCCTTCTCTGTACCGCATTTCTCTCCTGATGCTTCATTGCGTTTTCTCCTGTAAGAACTTGCTCCAGAGAAAGACTTTTAAATCCTAATAGCAACTTAAATTAATGAGTAGCTTCTTCCAGGAGAATGTCCCCTTAAAATCACTGGAAAACAGAAAGGCTGACTTTTTGTTAGAAAGGATTTCTGATGTTAGTTCTTTGTGGGGTAGAGAAAGTTTGGTTCGGCATCAATTTTTGGGTGGAGAGTTCTTCAGCCAAAGCAGTGACTTTGGCTGCTAATTAGAATCACTTGGGGAGGGTTTAAAAATCTGGGATTCCAGGCTGCAACTCAGACTAATCTCTCCAGAATCTTTGGGGGTACAATCCAGGCATAATTCTTTTTTTTAAAGCACCCCAGCTTATCCACTTTGAATATCCAAGATTGAGCTAGATAAAGATACCCTTGTGCAAACTATTTGTATGGTGAGACTTATGAGACAAGCATATAATCCAGAAAATAATACTAACTATAATTTTCAAATTCTCACTAGATGCCTGCCACATACATATACTTTTAACCTTTACAATATTGAGGAGTAGGTATTTTTATTCTTATTTTACAAATGGGAAAACCAGAAAATTGTAAATAACACAGTAAGTAAATGAGCCCCAAATCAATTGGATATCTGACTCCCAAACCAGAACTCTTTTCAATAATAGGGCATATTGAAAAAAGATGGAATATGCTCTTTGGGAGACCAGGTTGAGTGCCCTTCCCTCAGGCCTTATCTCCATCTATGCCTGGCCGTTCTATATAGCACTCCTTGGTTTTCATGTCCTACATGGTCACTGGAGGCAGACCCACGTCTTGGAAATTTGTAGGGAGAGAGCTGTATGGCTGGCCTTCACTCTAACTTAATTTTCAATTCTCCAGCAGGCTCCAGCCCCTCCCATTGCAGACCAATCAGCCAGAGTAAAGCATCAGACACACATATTTGGACTTTGTTGGACAAACCCGTCTAAAGACAGACTCGCAAATGGTGTGCCAGGGTTCTCTGCCTGTAATTAAGTAGGGTTTTGCTTGACAGGTTTAGCTAGTCAAGCAGGACTTGCTTGCACCTGTGCCAGTGACAAAGATTGAATGAAAAGTGGGAGCAAAATCAGCAGCTCACAGCCCACTTCAGCCCTTCTCATCAGGTACTGAACTGTTTCACCAGGAAAGCTGTCTTTGCTAAAACAGAATACAAAACCAACTTATTTTATTATTACACATGCAGGAAAGGAATTGCCAGGTGGATTCAGTTCTCCTGTTATGATCTGGAACATATGTATGTGTGTATGCATTCATGTCTTCAGTAATTGTTCATTTATTCATTCATTTATGTACTCATTAATTTGATCACACAACCAATATGTATTGAGTGATTGCTACAACATTGCTGGTAATGTACTAGGTTCTGGGTATTCATTAGTGAGCAAGCCAAAAATGGTCTTGTGGTCATGTAACTTGTAGTATGGAGATGGTGGGGAAAGCCAGGTCATAAACAAATAAATTACATGTCTTACACCTATAATTACCCATTGTGATAGAAGCTATTAAGGAGAGATTAAACTTTTTGATGGATAGATAGGTGAGAGCTGTGGGTAGCTCTGGGAAATCTTCTCTGAGAAAGTTACATTTGAACTAAGATGTAATTTTCCAACTCAAACTTTTTGTTGTTGTCATTTTTTTTTTTTTGGTTTTTTTGGTTGTTGTTGAGACAGGGTCTCGCTCTGTCACCAGGCTAGACTGCAGTGGCACAATCATGGTTCATTGTAGCCTCAAACTCCCGGGCTTAAGTGATTCTCTCGAGTAGCTGGGGCCACAGGTGTGCACCACCATGCCTAGCTAATTTATTTCACTTTTTATAGATACTCACTATTTTGCCAAGGCTGGTCTCTAACTTCCAGTCACAAGTGATCCTCTGACCTTGGTCTCCCAAAATGCTAGGATTACAGATGTGAGCCACTGCATCAGGCTGCAAAATGTTTTTGTATCATATTTCATTGAATATTTCCCTAACTCTTTCTTTTTCCTTTTATTAAGAATGTCAATTGTACATACATTTTTCTCAGTCTTCCTGATTACTTTGCATATGTAGACTACTGAGCTAGGCATTACAGCTAGCTATATTCAGAAAACTACAGCCCTAGCATCCTACAGAGGGTCACTGTGGAATTAACCTCCCTATTTATTTGCATATCTCGTCTTTTCATCATCATCAGTTCTTTATTTTGGGATGCACTTTATTGTTTGCAGAGCACTTTCACCTGTTAATCTTTATGAGCAGATCCTGGGCTGCTGGTCTGGGCCCAGGATTCCATTGATTCATCCCACCTTTGAACTTGAACTCTGTTTTTCCAAAGGCCCAGATATTAAAAATGCTGGTTAGACACAGTTAAAAATCACATTTTTAAGGATTAGGTTCTATAATCAATTTTTTCATGTGAAGATCACATGTTGATCTTTACCAGCTGATCTTCATCAACAGCCCTGCAGGATAGGAAGAGAGTGACCTCTCTGTGAAGTGGAGAGAAACAATGATTCTGGAGAGAGAATGTTTTGTCCAAGGTCATACGCTAGTAAGTAGCAGAGACAAGAGAAGAACCCAGGCTGTTTTCACTCTTAGGCCAGGAATGTTTCATGCATAACCCCTGCCATTCTCCCAACCCCACTTACCCAACACACACACATTTCTCTCTCCTATTTAGAGCACTTGGGGAAAGACTGATTTAGATACTCAATTTCTTTTGCGCATTACCATGGATCCAGGAGCATGTCTGGTCTCTGGCCCAGCCTCAGCTCTCCAACCTGCAGTTAACAAATAGATAAACAAATAGATAACCAAATCCAACAAATATGTATTCAACAGAGCCCGCTGTGTATCAGATAACTGTTCGGGCACTGGTGGTATAATACATCGCTGGGCAAACAAACAAGAAAACCTTCCTTCACTGCATTTACATCCTCCCGGGGGACACACATCAGTAAGTAAATCAAAAAATAAATATATCGTGTATCAGATAGTGCGCTATACAGAAAAATAAAGCAGAGAAGAGTTAGAGAATGCTGTGGAGAGAGGAGGTTGAAATTCTAGATAAGATGGTCAGGAACGACCTCTGGTGCCCTTTGTGTGAAGCCCTGAGGTCGTCTGGGGAAAGAGCATTCTAGGCAGAGGGGACATGGGCTAAGCTGCTGGCCCAAGCCCAGGAATCCATTGATTCATCCCATCTCTGAACTTAAACTCTATTTTTCCAAAGGCCCAAATATTAAAAATGCTGGTTAGACACAGTTGAAATCATGTTTTTAAGGATTAGGTTCTATATTCAATTTCATTTTTGGTCAAATACCCTGTTGTGTGTTGTCCAGAAAGCCAAACCACCATGAATAATGTTTCCATAGGAAAACTTTTTTTCAGAGTTTAACTCATTGACTTACCAATGAACTTAAGGAGTTGGTTAGTAAGTTGAGAGCTGGATATAGTCATTAAAGGGCAATTCTCCTACCAAGTCTTCTTTCTGCTAGGACAGAACACAATTGCACGGAGCCTCCTCCAACCCTCAAGGACACACTCCGACATTCTTTTTCTGTCCTTATCCTCCTCTCTCATCTCTTTGGTTCTGACCTGTATTTTCCATTTCCCCTGCAGGGCTTCTCTTTTTGCCTTTAGATCTTTGAATAATCCTTCATGAAACCACAGTGAAAGCCCTTGATTCCCTTATTCTCCTTTTTTAGAAGAGTTGCCATCTATCTCCCCTTAATTGTAGTGTCTCGCAGATTTCCCAAGCCTTTTTTTTTTCATGCACACAGATTTACCTGTATTATTTCACTGTCTGCTTCTGGCATTGCAGCGTATTTAATGCCAGTAATAAGCATTGCACCTGGAACATTCTTAGCACCTCACAAATAGATTAATGAATGTACATGCTATTTTTTTTATGAAATTAATGACTACCTTTTCTCCATTAAATGGGGGATTCTTCAAGATTCTTTTCTCTGTGTCTGTTTGAAATTGATTCTATGGATTCATAAAAATAATCAGATGGGCTTTGTTTTTCCATCAACTCTGCCACTCATTTCTTGAAGGTGGAGGGATAACCGTTTCTATCTACAGGGAGGCATAATGGGGAGTCAGAAACCTACAGCATCAGAGTAACTAATACAAAGGAGGTAGGGTTTGGGGTACTGCTATACTGGGGAAACTATCTGGGGTTGTTCTGTCAATTTTCCTTTGAAGTTTGCCTGGATTTGCATGTAAAAACCATGCAATTTTTAAATTCAGTGTGTGTATATACATATATCCCCCAAACCATGTACAATATCTTCTTTATTCTTACTTTACTTACACAGTGGGATAGCTAGATACACAATTGTGGGCTGGCCAGAAAGCCAAACTTAGAGAATAACAATAGCTAACATGTTTTGAGCACGTGCTGCATTATCAGCACTGTCTTACAAATGAATTAGCTTTCTTCATAACATCTTCACGTGAGCCTCTGAGATACAGCGGTTAGCTAACTTGCCCCAAGTCACCCAGTGGGTAAAGCCACAATCTGACCCTAGGCAATCTGATTGCAGGACAGAAACCTTTGATCACTACCCACTACCACTGCCCGTGGAAGATGAAGGGAAGAACAGCTTTTCCATTTCCTCTTTTTCCTTCATGGTCTCTAGGTCCTTTTATGACCCTTCCTAGAGAATCCAACCTAAAATTTCTTTGATAAATCACAGATACAGGTGAAGTCATTGGTTCTTCAATTGTAGTTTTGGATGCAGTAGAATCTAACAAGCTTTCAAGGGCTGCTGATGCTGCTGATTAAAAGGGCACACTTTTTTTTTTTTTTTTTTTGAGATGGAGTTTTGCTCTTGTGGCCCAGGCTGGAGTGCAATGGCACGATATCACCTCACTGCAACCTCCGCCTCCCGGGTTCCAGCGATTCTCCTGCCTCAGCCTCCTGAGTAGCTGGGATTACAGGCACGCGCCACCACAGCAGGCTAATTTTTGTATTTTTAGTAGAGACGGAGTTTCACCATGTTGGCCAGGTTGGTCTTGAACCCCTGACCTCAGGTGATCCACCCACCTTGGCCTCCCAAAGTGCTGGGATTACAGGCATGAGCCACCGTAGCTGGCCAAAAGGGCACACTTTGAGGACCACTGGTCTACGTGCTCCTTCGGGCCCTCATAGATAAGTAACATTAATAATCATATCTTCACATTTTCAGCGTTTCACTGTTTTCAAAGCATTGTATTTATATAGCCTCAGTTCTTCACAAGGGTGCTCAGCTTTATTTTGAGCAAATCTTATGTCCATTGTATGGATGAGAGAATAGAGGTTCTGTGACTGTAAGTGGCACATTCCTCATTGTATAACAAGTGCTAGGAGTTAGGCATTTTATTTTTCATTCTACTCTGTTAATGCTGAAGAGAGTCCAACAACTGTCCATTTCCTGCACCCAACTCACAAATCGGTTTGTTCACTTTCCTCTTCAACTCATGCTTACAAGAATAAATGGGCTCAAGAAAACCATCTCTTGCTTAAAAAGGAGAAACAGTGTCCTGAAAGGCACAAATATCTGAGCACAAAGGAGGGTGGGACTGTTAGTTTCTACAACCAAGATCCCGACGCTTATATCCAAATTAAAGGTCTGTGAACTTGAACGGGGCTGGCTAATGTTTTTCTTTCCTACCAGGTTTGCTGAGCTTATAAATATCAATTATATGGTTGAGTAAATTACAGGGATGTTGAACTTTTAATTGTTGTAGCACCTTAAATTGTCTATATAGTAATAATAAGGAGATTGTGAAAATCTGCTGAAGGAAATCTCACACATATTTATAGATAATTAATACAGTGAGTGGAAACTGGAAATCAGCACTGAATGTTTTAAAGCAGTAATTTAAAAATGCATTATGGCAACACATTAAGTTAGCAGTTATTCAACAAGGAAATGTGAAGATTATTAAGCTAATTAAAGGTAATAAAAACAAGTTAAGGTAGTTCTGCATATAACTTTGAAATTAAAAAGAAAATTCTTCAGTCTTACTACTTCTAAGAAGGGCAAGTCATGGATGGCAATTAATATATTGATAAGTTACCGGATTTTAATGTAATAAGAGGAGGTTTCTGTATAAATATATATACCCTGGAGAAGTACAAAAAAGTACAAGGAACTGTTTCTGCATAACCCCAGACCCCTTAGCAGGCTCCTGTGAGCACACGTGCATTTTCTCTTTCTCAGGGAGGGATGAGTGATTGTCATTTCAGGAACTTGATCTTGAAAAACTTTCTCCAGTACAGTCTATCTGATCCCACTGAGCTTTCAGATCCTGTGCCTCTCTCCTGATCTTTGGGCTCCCTTCCACTTCAAGTTATGTGACAGCGATTTGGGGGATGGTTTCTTAACGCTTTTCCACATTTAGATCTTGTTCTCTGCATGAAACCACTATTGACATAAAATGAAGCTGCACAGTGTAAGCAGGAAGCTGAAATTGTTGGCAAGGTCGGAAATAGATGCCACTTTGTGGTAGATGTTTCAGTTCAGTGTGTCCAGGGTGTAGGCTTATAAATTTCTTTAGGGAAAAATAATGAAAAAGGAAAGGAGAAAAATGTCAAAGGTAATAGAGAGTAAAAATCACATTCATCATGTACAATAGAATAACACGTTTATGTCCAGTCTTTTGTTGTTTTGTTTACCAATTATTGGGGACAAAGGAGGGGAATGAAACGGCCAGACTTTAAATGAACCATACCTGTGTCTGCCAGTGCAATTAAGCAGATTATTAAATGCCAGTGGAGGAAATCTTGGGGGTGTTTATTGTAGCAAAGGACTGCAATTTCAAATTAAAGCAGGCTCATGATTCTTAATTCTGGTAGAGGGCCCCTGTAAAATTTACCACTGAGCAAATTGGGGTGTGCACAGTTAAATGGGGGCAGAGGGTGAAGCTTATCAAGGAGAGAATTGTCCCGCTTATTAGAGAAATGGAGATCATTTGGATACAAATGAGTAAGGAATCAGAAAAAGTGTTATCAAGAAGAGTTCCAATTTGTCTGTAATCCTACACAATTACAAAAAGAATAGGTGATAGGTGAATAGGTAAATGTTGGGTTTTAAACTCCAAGATAATTTGACTATTTTACTTCAGTAGATTTCTATAGAACACTTTATAAACTCAGTCTTTCCTAAAAAATCAGGGCAGGGTGGTCATCTTCAAGAGGCATGTTTTTCAACACTTAAGGGAACAGTTTTAACACTGCAAGTTATCTGGCAGATGATTATGCAAATTGTATCTAAGATTTCTATAACCTTTGTGCTGAGAGTCTAAATAGAAGAGTTTCTTTAACAAGGTAGCACACTTTTATCAGCAAGGTCACACCAGGAATTTTAGGGGGACAACTAAAAAATGACTTCCGCGAGCAAGAGGGATCCTTTTTGGTCATCAGGATGAATTGTTTGAAAGCTTCAAAGCAGCCATGGTTCTCATTACTGGAGCCTGACTTTATAAGAAGTGCCTTTTTTCAATTATTTTCACTTTTCATTAGAAGTTTTTGCAGCTGTTGCTCACCTCATTAAGTTCACTAAGATGCTAGGCATTTAATTTTCATGTTGTAATTTGTAGTAAGTTGTTTGACATTAAAGCTAGTTTTCTGAGTCTATAATTTCTGCAGTTTTTTTGCTGCCCTTCTCCTGTAGTAACCAGTTACCTTTTAGAAGACCGAAGAATTTAATGCAATTAATGTAATTTTTAACTTAACTAGTCTCAATTATTGGAATTTTGTTCTTATAGGGTGTCCAGACCATGGTGCCTTCCATGTGCTGGAATGCTCATTACCAGGTACCTTCTAGAAATATATTCTGCTTGCTCGTAAAATGTCCCTCCTGATCCAGCCTCCAATTTAATTACTTAGTAATCAGTTGGCTAATTGAACACTTTCTCTCGCAAGATTTTTCTAATTCTCAGCCAAAACTTTCCTCTGCTAATTTATAACAAGGAATGTTTTTCTTACTTGGTGTTTGCACATTCCCGGTACTTGTAGCTTTTATCATTTTTCCCCTTAGCTATTGCTCTGTCAGGTTTCTTGATTTGGCTCCTTTAATCTTTTCTCATCAGTCAGTCACTTCCAATTCCCCCATTCCTTTAATCATCTCCTTTGAACTCAGTCCAAGTTTTTGGATACTCAGGTACCCAAGACATCACGCAGCCGTCTAGGTGTGGTCTCACCACAATTGTGTGGAGCTGAGAGGGAAAAAGAGCAAAACAATCTTAAGTGAAT
Source organism: Homo sapiens (assembly GCF_000001405.40). NCBI lineage: Eukaryota > Metazoa > Chordata > Mammalia > Primates > Hominidae > Homo > Homo sapiens. The sequence goes on along the minus strand of NC_000002.12, from coordinate 221,297,869 downwards.
CTGAAACTTGTTTCTATTTCCATCTCAAAAATAAGTCTTTCTACCCTCCATTAGTGTAGCAGTGTAGCTTTTTCTCTTCTTTCTTCCCAGCTTTTCCACATTCAATGAGAAGCATTAAGAGAGGGTTTTGGCCGGGCGTGGTGGCTCACACCTGTAATCCCAGCACTTTGGGAGGCCGAGGCGGGTGGATCACAAGGTCAAGAGATCAAGACCATCCTGGCCAACACGGTGAAACCCATCTCTACTAAAAATATAAAAATTAGCCGGGTATGCTGGCGTGTGCCTGTAGTCCCAGCTACTCGGGAGGCTGAGGCAGGAGAATCGCTTGAACCAGGGAGCCAGAGGTTGCAGTGAGCTGAGATCATGCCACTGCGCCCAGCCTGGCGACAGAGCAAGGCTCCATCTCTAAATAAATAAATAAATAAATAAATAAATTAAATAAGAGGGTTTTTTTGTTACTAGGTGTCACATCACACACAGATCACTCCTACCTAACAAAGTAAGAGGCATCCTGGGACCTAGAAGCAAGGTCAAATTCCCACACAAACACATATACCATTAGCCTATGCTGATTCTGAATTTTCAGATGCATGTTATTTGTTTTTGTTTGTTTTCTGCCTCCCCAAAGGCCTACAGGGTCTGGAAGGACACATGTGGCCTACGGACCTCCAGCAGTCTGGCAAACATCAAAACACTGTTCAACCTTCTTGCTAGATCATGGCATTTCCTGAGATGTATCAGTAAACATTCCAAATACAATCTTGGCCTCAGATTGAAGGAAACCCCGGGGCTTTCAGCAGAGCTTAGCAGCACAGATATGGGAAGGTGGCTCTGCTGTGATTGGCAGGAGGGGAAAGCTGGACACCTTCCTGTCACCTTTAATCCCACATCACCAGTGAGCCTGAGAAGGTTAGACATAGGGTAGCAAATGCAAAGATCATTCCTGCAAAAGACAAGTCTTCATACAATTGTCATTTAGGTTGAATCATGAGAACCTTGACGCTCATTAGAACTGAAAATTGGAGGCCGGGTGCAGTGGCTCATGCCTGTAATCCCAGCACTTTGGGAGGCCGAGGCAGGCAGATCACTTGAGGCCAGGAGTTGGAGACCATCCTGGCCACCATGGTGAAACCCTGTCTCTACTAAAAATGCAAAAATTAGCTGGGCATGGTGGGACGCACCTGTAATCCTAGCTACTCAGGAGACTGATGCAGGAGAATCGCTTGAACCCGGGAGTCAGGTTGCAGTGAGCTGAGATCATGCCACTGCACTCCAGCCTGGGCGACAGAGCGAGACTCCCTCTTAAAAAAAAAAAAAAAGAAAGAAAGAAAAGGAAGAAAAAAAGAAAACTGGGCTTGCATGACATACAGCAGTGAACTCCTTAGCTGTACTCCATGGGATTCTATTAAATCCGCTGCAGTTTCCCAGTGAAGAAATACTGTAGCTAGACACCCTTCATCTGCGCAGGAACTGAGTTTTTCATTTCACAGCTCAGCCTCTTTCCTAGTAATAAATTGACCCGAACTGGAGTCCTAAGACTGTCAATTTGCACTTTCCTTTTGTATCACCTCTTCTCTCCTGTTACAAATGTGTAGAACCATGACGGGAGATTAATATTGAAAGAGAACTTTTTCCCAGTTACATTTGATCTGCCTACTTCTGCCTTCTATTTCTTTCTCCAAGACTTATTTTAGTTCAGCAAAAGCCTCCAGGTTAATTTAACAAAGAATTCTTCCCTGAGCTTACCGGAGTTTCCTGCCCATGGGTGACCTGTTCTTCCACCAATTGAGATTTGTCACTGAGCGATTCTGAATGTTGATCTTGCTTCTTTAAGAGGGAACAGTGTGCCTTCAGGTCAATATCCCTCCTAACCACAACAGAATGTAAGCCTCATTCTCAGACAGAAAGCAATGCATTTGTTCAAAGATGAAGAAAACATAAAAGGGGATGAGGCTAAGGATGGAGACAGTTTCTGGGCGTTCACAGGTAAGCTGATACTTTGAGATTCTCGGAGATTAGTGTTCTATCAAACAGCAGAACATCTTTGGCAAGAAGAAAACTAAGGGATTAATGCTGGGGTGGGGGGAAGCTGACTGCAAGAGTATGGGGGACAGATGTGTACAGAGGGTGTCAAAGTCATTCTTCCTAGAGCTGGGAAAATTTAGACATTCTGGGGATCGAGCCAGTTAAATTTCATTTTAAGCCTTTCAGATCACAAGATTACAACAGGCATAGACAAGTTTAATTATAGTAGATGGAAGGTTAAAATGCACACACACTTACACCCTAGTGTGCACATACATACAAACACAGCGGCACAGTGTTTTCTTTTGTTTTTCTGGTGAATTCATGTTACTGCTAATTACTTAGGGGTAAACATTTGTTGGATCAATTGTAGAATCCACTGGCATATGCTATAAACAGGTTGAAAATAATCAAAAGAAAAATTCTCTTTGACATGTCACTGACACCTTGAAGACAGCGTATGAGAGAATAAAAACAGCATTGGAGGCCTGGCGTGGTAGCTGTCACCAGTAATCCTAGCACTTTGGGAGGCCAAAACGGGCAGATTGCCTGAGGTCAGGCGTTCAAGACCAGCCTGGCCAACACGGTGAAACCCCGTCTCTACTAAAAATACAAAAATTAGCCAGGCGTGGTAGTGCATGCCTATAATCCTAGCTACCCAGGAGGCTGAGGCAGGAGAATTGCTGCAACCCGGGAGGCAGAGGCTGTAGTGAACAGAGATCACAACACTGCACTCCAGCCTAGGTGACAGAGCAAGACTCCGTCTCAAAAACCAACCAACCAACAAACAAACAGCACTGGAGGGTACATACAGATCCTGGCAAATTCTAAACATTACTAGTGTGTGTGTGCATGCGTGTGTATGTGTGTCTTGAGAAATTTAGTCATGAGGTAGAAAAAATAAAGCTTCAACATAATGCATTTAGGTTAATGTAGTAGACTGATTTTAGAAATAATATAGAGGCAGCCATCAAATGTAAGCTGCAGAGCTGAAATAAAGTGATTTTTTTTTTCAGTTTTCTATTTCACGTAACAGACTATGCCACAACTTACTGATTTATTATTTATTTTATATTTCTCACAGTTCTCTGTGTTGATTGAACTCAGATGGGTGGCTCTTCCATTCCACATGGCATCTGCTGGGGTCTTTTACTTGGCTGCATTCAGCTGGGAGCAAGCCTGGGCATGGTATGCCCAAGATAACCTCACTGGAATGCCTGGGGCTCTGCTGGGGACAGCTAGAAGGCCAGGATCTCTTTTTTTCTAGCAAGATAATGGTGCCTCTTTATATAGTAGCTCAGAGCCCCCAGAGAACAAAAGCAGAAGCTACTAAGCCTTGTAAGGGCTACAGCTGAAACTGACACAGTGTCACTTCCTTCTCATTTGATTGGTGGAAGCAATTCCCAAGGCCAGCCCAGTCTCAAGGAGGGAGAAATGGACTCTACCCCTGAGGGGAAGAGTGGTGACCAGATGCGCGCACAAAAAATTATTCACAGCCATTTTATAAGTTTTCAACACTTCTATGGCAGTTGTATAGGCACATCAATTGAAAAGGGTGGGGTCAGAAATCTGAACTCTGCTCCAGTTTCCAAATACATAGTCTCCATGTGTAAGAGAGGTTGTAGTTTCCATCCAACTCACCTGCAATCACAAGACCCTCCCTTTCAGGTTTGAGCGGAGAAGTGAATTAGATGCCTTTGTAGGTTACCACTCCCTCGAATGCTTCCTTATGCTTCTGAAAGTCAATAGACTCGGGTCATGGAACTGCTGCTCTGTTGAAACCTAGCCGTGTGTCCTTGCTCATATTGGCACATCATTAGAGAGGTTTAAATATTTTAATTTTTTTCCAATTTTTACTCAGTTTCTGGCATTGACATTAACCAGCCAATGTAGGAGAATAAAATACTATACAGACCACTGTTCAATTTTCTAGTTATGTATTAATCATAGTTACACTGAACTTGGAAAATCTTAAATACCATCATTTGGCTTGCTTATGTTTTTAGTCTTTATTTTTATTTTTATTTTTATTTTTATTTTTTTTTTTTGAGACAGTGTCTCACTCTGTCACCCAGCCTGGAGTGCAGTGGCATGATCTCGGCTCACTGCAACCTCCACCTCCTGGGTTCAAGTGAGTCTCATGCCTCAGCCACTCTAGTAGCTGGGGTTACAGGCTTGTGCTACCACATCTAGCTAATTTTTTGTATTTTTAGTAGAGACGGGGTTTTGCCATGTTGGCCAGGCTGGTCTCGAACTCCTGGCCTCAATTGATTCATCCCCCTCTGCCTCCCAAAGTGGTGGGATTACAGGCATGAGCCACAGCACCCGGCCCATACTTACATCTTTAGTTGAATAAACTCCATAAGGCTGCCCACAGTGGCTCATGTCTATAATCCCCGCACTCTGGGAGGCTGAGGCAGGCGGGTCACCTGAGGTCAGGAGTTCGAGACCAGCCTGGCCAACATGGCAAAACCCTGTCACTACTAAAAATGCAAAAATTAGCTGAGTGTGGTGGCTCATGCCTGTAATCCCAGCTACTCACAAGGCTCAGGCAGGAGATTCACTTGAACCCGGGAGGTGGCGGTTGCAGTGAGTCAAGGTCATGCCATTGCACTCCAGCCTGAACAACAGAGTGACTTCATCAAAAAAATAAAAATAAAATAATAAATAATAAAACTCAATAAGACTATTTACTTTTAAGATGAAGTAATCAGATCTCTGGTTTGGCTGTGTCCTGCTTAAGTTTAATTTTATGTTTTAGGAAGCTTGTCACCCATTATATCCATATTTATTTATTACCTACTACGTGCACTATGGTGTGTTTGTTCATTGGAACAAATGTTTTATCCAGAAATTGTATAGATAAGACAGGTCTTTCCGATACCGACCCATTTAGGAGTCATGATTCTATACAATCAGCAACATAGATTGGAAAGTAAACATACTGAAGAAACTTGAATTTGATGCTAAAAATGAAACAACAAAAAATATATTCTAGGCACATGCAAAATGTTTCCTTTGTGTCTTCTCAGCGGTTAAAAATAAATTCTATTCCATGAGAGGCAAGAGATTTTTCTGGAGATAGAGTAAATACACAAAATAAAAGATCATCAAGGTACATGCTGAAAATAATGGAACTATTTATAAAGCACAATTCTAAGATTATGAATACCAGTAGAGTGATGATTTGATAAATAATTCTAATGTTAGGTATTTGATGGAAATTATTATTACAAGGTAGAACAACCATAAATTAGTATTATTTTTATTTATTCCAAAATATTTAACGAATGCGTGTTTCGGAAAATGTAAGAATGAGCACAGAAGACAAATATTTTTCTTTCATATACTATCTTTTAAAAAAAAAATCATAAAACATTTTTTTTCTAAAATAGCTATTTTTAAAACATTCTAAAATCTTTATTATCATTCTAAACAATTTTCTCTAACAAGCAAACATGCCTCAAAGCTTTTTACAGGTGAATCCTTTAATCTCTATCAGGGATCAACAAATTGCAGCCCAGGGCTCAATCCCTTCCATGCCCATTTGTTTAGTTATTGTCTATGGATGTTTTCATACAGCAACAGCAGACTCAATGCAACAGAAACCAAGGCCATAAGGCTGCTGAGCTGAAAATATTTATTATCTGGTTGTTTCCAGAAAAAAAAAAACAGCCAACCTCTGATCTAGAATCCATGACAATATCAAACTTTTTATAGTTGAATAAGATAAAGAGGACCTTGACTCTAAAAATGATTTCCATAATCTATTACAATATACTATTTTATTTTATTCTGTTGCACAAGGTTTTCAAAAAGAAGAGTTAGCTTTGGAATTTCTCTTCCACTCCTCATCCTCCAATCCCAAAATAATCTTACCTTGAATCTCTTCCCATACATAATGAGGATGGAGGCTGAGATACAGTGGAAGTTGTCATGCTCAAGGTGGGATGGAGGCCTTGGAGCTCTGACAGTTACATTGCTTTGCAAGTGCTCCTCTCTCCAAAGAAGTGTGTGAAGCTTTCTGAAGAACCCCCTGGACTACAAAATTGCTTCTGAGCCAGATGGATAAAATTAATGAAATGTCAAAGCTAAAAGGAATTATAGATGAAGATACCAAAGCTCAGACGACTTAAATGCTTTAGGCCAGGGTCTACACTAGTTATTGGCAGAACTAAAAGCCAAGATCAAAGCCATGTGACTTGATTTCCAACCCACACTGCCTCTTCCATTCCTGCAGAGGGTGAGACATGGGCTGGTCTCGCTTGGTGGCATAGTAAACCCAAGACCAGCAATGTCTTTTTATTGTACATGTCAACAGGTTCCTAAATAGATTTCAGAGCAGTGACCTAGGAAGAGAGACAGATGACAACTCAAATGAGAAGAGATAGCCATGTTTCAAAATATAAGAAATTCAGGATGGATTGAAGAAAGTAAATTTTAAAAGAAAGTTTTAAAATAAACTGATAATACTGTCAAGTATTTTTCTCCAACACATGGTGTTTTAAGGTTTCCTATAGCCAGCACTAGATTAGATCATATGTATTTCTATTTATGTCATGTTTTCCTAATTTCAGATTAAAGGAGGTGGTATAACCTCCTTTTATTAACCCTGAGAGAGAGAAACAGAGAGCGAATGAGAAAACAAGACCTGTTAGAAAAAACTATAAGACTATAACATTATTTTAGAAAGGGAAGTGGAGATATAATTTACTTGAAATTGTAAAGAAATTTAGGTAGAGAAAGCTGAATTACTAAAGTAGGAATTTGACAGGGCACTGAGGTTAACAGCTTGAGCCTTATGACAAAGGTTATGGGATCTCAAATGAGGACAAGTGACCATGAACATCTAGTTAGTATCCTTTCAATTTATGGAAGGGGTTAGAAAATCTATTTTGGCCTACGACTTCTTCAAGCCTCACAAGATAGATTTCTGTTTATTACACTTCTAATAATAGTATTACTACTCATTGGTAAAAATTAGAAGCAAATTAGGCCATTAACCATTACTACCTGTTATATCTTTTAAGAGGATGATGTTTTTCAAGTACCATGAGAGATCTAATAGTAATTACTGAACAGTTAATGTCTTTGTCCCTTTATTTTAATGGCACTATCAATTTTAAAGATGAAAGTTTGAATGAAAACTTTAGGAAACTTTAGTTGTAGGTACTCAGCCAAAGTAGAATTACTGTGCTTAGGAGCTTCAAAGAAAATAATTCACTGAAACTTATGTATATATGCTTTTTTTTTTTTTTTTTTCCATGAGACGGAATCTCGCTCTGTCGCCCAGGCTGGAGTGCAGTGGCACAATCTCAGCTCACTGCAAGCTCTGCCTCCCAGGTTCCAGCGATTCTCCTGCCTCAGCTTCCTGAGTAGCTGGGACTACAGGCACCTGCCACCACACCTGGCTAATTTTTTGTATTTGTAGTAGAGACAGGGTTTCACCATGTTAGCCAGGATGGTCTCGATCTTCTGACCTTGTGATTCACCTGCCTCAGCCTCCCAAAGTGCTGGGATTACAGGCATTAGCCACCACGCCCAGCCTTATATGCTTTATTTCTCAAGATACTCATGTATTTGTGTTCTATCGTGATTTGTGCTTTAAGAAAAACCATTGATATCAGAGGTAAAATTTGAGTCAAAACATTTACAGATAGATAATGCTTGGCTTCTGTGTCTAGAGAATGTATGTGGGCAAAATACAGTACCCAAGCCTATTGAAACAGAGGTAGTAATAGCTGTGGAGAGGGAGACATATTAAACCAGGAGTCAGGATTCTGGATATGAGTTCTGACTTTGCCATTATTTGCTTTGTGACCTTGGGTGTATTTGCTTAATCTGCCCATACCTGGTTTTACTTGTCTCTACAATATAGGGGCTTAAATAATAATCTACACTGATCTATCTCTCCTAATGGTTATGTGATGGAGAATTATGTGCTAGCATGTCCTTTATTTGTCCAAAAACAATCTTAATTTTTTAATTGGAAAACTTTACCATTTCTATTATTTTTTGCTACCCCCGTAAAGTTCCAGAATCCTCTAGATTTTAGATTGGAAAGATCTGAGATTTTCTTGCTCAGTGGTTCTCAAATGCGTGCATGTCTCAGAACGCACTGAATCACTTATTCAAATGGCTAGTCTTGCACTCCACTCAGGAGTTCCCGATTCAGTGGTCTGAAGTGGGGCCCCAAATTTGCATTTCTAACAAGTTTCCTTCTGGGTGATTCTGAAGCACTGATCTGGACACCACACTGAGAACACACTGGTCTCTCTCAAACTATTTACCAGATTAGGCAAGAAGCCTTGCAAAGATAATTGAATTACCCATGCTTACTCATCAGTTAGGGGCCCAAACAAAACCAGCAAAACCCTATTCTCCCAGATGCTGAGGTCAGAGCCTTCTCTATGATACCACAATTCCCCACTTTGAATTTGGGTTATATGATACAGACTAAAAAATTCAAATAAATTTATTCCAATCCACATTGCCACTCAGATTAACAGCTTCTGTTGAGAGGGTTTTTTTTTTTTTTCCTTCGGTCAGGAACAGAGTTTAAATACCCAGTAAGTTTTATTTTCTTTTTTCTTTTTTCTTTTTTTTTTAATGTGTGGCCCACACCTGGACCATGTTTGCATGAAGAAGAATTAAAGCTAAAATGGGGCAAAGAAGGATTTATTGTTAGTGAAAGACTTCTGCCACAACAAAGACGGACTAAAAGAAAACAAACCAGCTTATTTCTACTAAACGTATATATTTTTATATTTTCATGTGTGAGTTTTAGTTTGTTGTTGTTGTTAATAACAAAAACCCACACAGAGCAGGTTTAAGGTTCATAAAAGATTTTAGTATCTCTGGAATCTCATTTGCTTGAAGAAAAATTCCCCTTGATCCTGATAGTGTAGAGATAAGAACTTCTTCTAAAGTCCCCAGAAACAAGCACAAATAATGTGCTTTTGATAACGACTGAGAAATCTACAAGACAGACAAATAGGGTTTCCCTGGATGCACTGATCTCTCTCTATCCCCTGAGTTTGTGGTGCTTTCCTCACCCTCTGGAATAGTCCTTGGCCCCTCCATTCCCCCGCCATGTTGGCTACTCATTCTTCAGGTCTGAGCTTAGAGGCTCTTTGCTGACCCTCCAAGTCCGGGTGAGGGACAAGTGGTGGACACCACTGAGATGACTTGGCATTCTTGCCCTTGCGCCTCCCTCACCTTGAGTTTAAGCTGGATCTAGAGACCTGCTTCAGATTAATGGAATTTGATGATGCTTCTAACAGGAGGTTACATAAAGGCCCTGGCTTTTGTCTTGTTTTGCTCTCTTGTTTGTTCACAGTTTCTATGTCATGAGCTTCCCTATGAAGAGGCCAATATGACAAAAGACAAAGAAAGACCTCTGGACAACAGCCAGCAAGGAACCAAGGCCTTCAGTCCTCCAGGTTATGAGGAAGGGAAGCCTCTAACAATTCTGTGAGTAAGCTTGGAAGCTGGGCCTTCTGTTCATCCTTTGGGTGAGATTTCAGTCCCAGTAGCTTGGGAGAGGCTTTGAGGCAGAAGCACCTAGATTCCTGACCCACAGAACTGTGAGATAATAAATATTTGCTGTTATACTAAGTTTTGAGATAATTTATCACACAATAAATAATTATTATATCACCCATCACATTTATTGACTTTCCCTGTAGACCAGTAAATCACAAACTTTAGATGGTGAACTCTTGAAAATAAACATTTCCAGCTTCAGAGATTCTGATCGAATAGTTCTGGAAAAGGTCCAGGAATCTGTTTTTAAAAAAAGTATTTCAAATAGTTTGTATGCATATAGTCTCAAGACCCCATTTTTGAAAATTCTCTCTGGAAGCTACAAGCAACTTTTTTTTTATTTTTATTTTTATTTTTTTTTTTTGTGGCAAGAGAGATTTTAATGGCCAGAAAGGACTCCTTTAGGATAAGCTAGGATTGTTAGGCTAAATCATACGTTGCTCAAAAAGGGAGATCTCTAAGAAGCCCTTAGCTAGTGAAGATTGCGATCTATTTGTGTTTGGGGCTTATTGCATAGGGGCAAAGGGCAAGATAATTTATGGCTCCTAGACTATCTTTTTATATTTTTATTTTTTTTGAACTTTTATTTTAGGTTCAGGGGTGCATGTGAAGGTTTGTACATAGGAAAACTCATGTCACGGGGGTTTGTCATACAGATCATTTAATCACCAGGTATTATGCCCAGCACCCAGTAGTTATCTTTTCTGCGCCACTCCCTCCTCCCACCCTCCACCCTCAAGTAGACTCCAGTGTTTGTTATTGCCTTCTTTGCGTTCATGAGTTCTCCTCATTTAGCTCCCATTTATAAGTTAGAACATGTGGTATTTGGTTTTCTGTTCCTGCATTCGTTTGCTAAGGATAATAGCCTCTAGCTTCATCCATGTTTCCACAAAAGACATGATCTCATTCTTTTTTATGGCTGCATAGTGTTCCATGGTGTATATGTACTGCATTTTCTTTATTCAGTCTGTCATCGATGGGCATTTAGGTTGATTCCATGTCTTCAAGCAACCATTTTTGTTTTATTCATGCCTATATATTCATGTCTGAAATGTGGTAGAGTCTCAATAAATATAATGGAATGAATTAATGAATTAATGCATACTGATATACAATACCAAAATTTTAAATGGATTTACCAAAACTTAGTTGTAAGCATAATATGATTAAGACAATTAATTTCTTCATAATTAATCTGTTTTGTGGTTATCACATCTGTTTTTCTTACCTGTAGCTGTTTTATGCATTTATACATGCAAATTTTCCCTCTTCCTAAAAGCAAGAACTGCGTCTTTCTTATCCATCCACTGACCATATGACACCTTGCAAAGTAACTTGCTGCATATTTAATTCTCAACTATATTTATTTCTCTTTTATTTGCATAAAATATGCTATAATAATGTGTACTTTTTAAAAATCAGATAGCTATATTTTAACTTATCATAAGCCCACTGACATGAGAGTAAACCTAGCATGGTGAAAATATGAATCTTCAAGTTATACATACCTGGCCTTAAATTCCAGTTTCCATATGTAATAACTGTGGGCACTTTGGCAAATTGTTTTATTCTTTGAGTATCTGTTTCTTCCTTTTAAATGGTGGCTTGTGTTCTTGTGAGATTTGAAGGAACTAATATATAGTAAGCCTTACTGAGTGGTGGCTGCTGGAATTCACATCATCCTAACATTTTTTTCTTATTGCTCATATTATGGGCTGGATTTTGTGTCTTCTCCCCCCATGCATATGTTGAACACCTAAGCCCTAGCACTTCAGAATGTGACTGTATTTGCAGATAGGGCTTTTAAAGAGGTAATTAAGTTAAAATTAGGACATTAGGGTGAGTTCCAATGTGATTGGTGTCTTTGTAAGAAGAGGAAATTTGGACACACAAAGAGACACTGGGGATGCATTTACAGAGAGAAAAGGCAACGTGAAGACACTAAGAGGAGAAGATGGCCATCTACAAGCTGAGAAGATACCAATCCTGCCAACAGCTTGATCTTGGACGTCCAGCCTCCAGAATGTGAGAAAATAAAAGTCTGTTGTTTAAGCCACCCAGTTTGCAGTATTTTGTTATCACAAACTTAGCAAACTAAAACACTTCATATTATAATATGTTTTCATGCTCCTATATAGTCATAGTCATAATTTTGAATGACTGCATGATATTCCACTGAGTTGCCATTGTTTATATAACAATTCTGTTGGCTATTTAATGTTTTGTTACTTTGCAAATGGAGACAGTTTTTTTCAGATACGGCTTGGTTTCTAGACTTGGTTCTCCCCTCCCTTTTCATATGATAACTATAGCATTCTTACCAACGAGATTACTGTACCATTTATTCTGAATGGTGCAACCCTGACCTGAAGCAAGAGACATCATTTAAACAACTCTTGTGTTGCAGCCTTAGATTCCAGACTAAATCCGTCTTGCTCTCAGACTAAATCCAGACTGCTCTCAGTCCCAGTTTGGAAAACTCAGTCTACCCCAGTGCTCTTTGTCCCCTGTCCTTATTACTGGGCTCCTAACTTGGTTTCTGGCCCTGGGACTTTACCAGCTGATTATTGTTTAGGTAGAAGGTCAGAGACTGCATTATCAACTGCCCAGATAATTTTACTTTAACTTTTACTCATCTTTCTCCCCTAAACCAGGAATCAGGGAGAGATCATTCAATTACGTGTTGGGAATAAAATTGTATAAGTGTGCCAAGAAAAAGATGGAGAAACAAAGTGACTGTGTGTTTGTGTGTTGTTCAGGGGAGAGAGAAGGGAGTTGGTGACAAAGTGTGGAGGATTCAGCACTGCCCCTTCTAACTCTGTTTTAGGGGTTGCATTTCCAGGCCATGAAAAACCAGAAAATACTTCCTCAAAAAGTAGAAAAATCACAGGCTCAGCTCAAATTTCAACTGCAGCCAGAGGGCTTTTGATGACAAATAAGGAAAAGAATATTCTGAAAAGAAGGGTGGTGAAACATCATAGCAGGTCCCTAAAGGAAGTTGTCGAATTACTGGAATAGTTGGTCTTTAAAATACAGAATGTCTCCTCTATTTAGGCTCATTTAAGTGTAGTCGACTCAAGCCTGAAGTGGACAAAAGAAAGAGAGGGTTTATTAAGAGCATATTCATCCCTATAATTTTATGGTCTTCATGAATCAGCAGCCTTTGTTGAATAGGTTTACCAATCATTAATACTTGATATTATTTTAGGCTTACCAGTGGCTGATCTTTAAACATGCTTTGAGTTCCAAAGCTGTGCATACCAAGATTTCTGGTAACAGCTGGAAATCCGTAGTTATAGTATGCAGAGTACATCCTCATCTGGCAAAAGCTGTAAATAAAGCTTAAAAAGCAAATACCCCATTTATATATGCAGCTTCTGAATACTAGGAGATCAATTACTAAGAAATTGGAGAGCTAGATTTTCTCAATTATTTCTTAAGATAATAAATTATTTCTTCCTCCAAGGGAAAAGAAAATACAATTTTAATATTTAAAGATTTGGGTGTAAAGAGTAAAATTTATCTAAAAATGTTACTTTTTTTGCTCCTTATATAACTTGAAAAACTGGTTGACATTGTTGAAATATCATTGGGAAAAAAAATTATTGCTTGAAAGGAATTTCCTACTGGAATCTATCCCCTGCAGGATTTTTTTGTTTGAAAATGCATAAGAAAAAATTTTTTTTTATAATTTTTAATTTTTGTGGGTACATAGGTGTATAAATTTATGGGTACATGAGATGTTTTGATACAGGCATGCAATATGTAATAATCACGTCATGGAAAATGGGGTCCCTGCAGGTTTATTTTAAGGAAGCATCTGGATTAGCTACTAAGAACTATGAGAGATTTCTAGTTTAATGTCTTTTAAAGAGTTGTTTGAAGTACTATAAACCACAATGAAATGGTATGAAACCAAGAAATTCTGTATGCATAAATAAAAAACAATTCACTGTGCAAGTTGCATTTGAAGTCGGCACAATTTATAAAGTATGAAACAGTTAACTTCTGCTTTTTAAAAGCTATATTCTAAAAACCCCTCACTACTTCCCATTTTATTCCGAGTATTTATTTGAGAGTGGCTTTTGATGGAAAATATTTTAAACTGAATGAACTCTTAAGCAATTAATGATTACAATTCTAGTAGAAGTGACATGATATAAACGCACAAATATACCACAAGAGACATTCCAGTGACTGCTTAGTATTTGTGGTGGCAGAGGAATGAGAATATGGTTCTTGCTCATTCCAGAAAAAGCAATTACAATGGTCAATCACGCTAAATTCCATGCAGTAAACCACTAGTTTAAGAATAAAGGCAAACACATTTTCTCTTTTCCTTTGCAATATTTTTACTTTTGTTTGGCTTTGAGCATGTTTAAACTATTTAACTAGTTAACACAACTTAAAAAAATAAATGAACCAGAAAAAATGCAATTTGCCTATATTGGTCACACATTAGGCTTACTGGCATCAGTCACTGTCTGAATGTCCTAGGGCACAGGCAGATGTAAAATCTGATTTGAAAAAAATCCCAAACTAGACAATTGTATATTTTAGCATATATAAGGTCTGATTATCGAGTATCACTTTTTTGTGTGTGGAGCAACTGATATTACTATGCAAGCAACCCTAAGTATGTATTTATGCCTTTGTTCTATCTTTTGGTGTCCTTGGACCCTCTGAGCCCTATTGCTTACTGTATTTCACTTACTTGACTCTATCCTGGTATGTAAAGCTCTATACATCTTAGCTGAAAGTTAAAACACAGCAACAAATCAATAAAAAATGCAATATTCTTCTTTTAAAAATTGAGATCAAAATAAATATAATAAAGTATGAAGCTGCAGTAATCTCAAGGGATAAATTTTTACATGTATATCTATATACCTGTATAATCCCATTCACATCAAAATATATAACATCTCCTGCAGTCCTGAGGTTTCCTTATGACTTTTCCAGATTAATACACCTCTCCCTCTTTTTGGGGTAGCAACTATTCCTACTTCTATTTTCATCAGTTAGTTTCACATATTCGTGAAATTCCTATAAATTGAATTACATATGTGCTGTTTTGTGTCTGGATTCATATTTAAAATTATTCATAGTTTTAATGCTAATTTGATTTAATTAAGCAGAATGGCAAGCAGAATAATTTCTCCATGTTTAGTATTAGTTATGGTGCTATTAAATAATTCTGTAATGTGGTATGTACTTAATTTTTTAAGAAGTTTTATTCTAAATAAACCACACCAAGACTAGAAAAGAGCCACAGACATTTTAAGAGTTTGAAAACAATGCATTTATTTGATTGTTGGAAAGTCAGAGTTGCTTTTATCACGTTAAGAGGAGCTATAATTAGCTAGAAACTGCATAACTATGAGTTCTATATGTGAGTTGCTTTTAGAGGAAAGATTCCAAGCAATTGTTCAAAGTCTGTGGAGGAAAAAAGGAGAAATAGGCTAATTAAACTGGGAAAGATTTAGGTTTGGGCCTAAGAAAATAGCCTGATGTCCCTAGAAAGCATTATCATGGACGCAGCTTTTAGTTTTAGCTCTGTTACCATCTGTAGCTTGAATGACAAGTGAATTCACTTCTCTGGGACTCAGTTTTCTTATCTGTAAGAAAGGAAGGTTGGCCTAGATTTGGAGTTGCAAATTCAGCTCCCTGTGAGAACCGGGCAGGTGACGTGTATATGTGAAATGATCTGCAAATGAGTATGGCCAAGGGGGCAGGTGCAGTCATTACTGGGCTCAGGTGATTATGAGTCACCAAATGAAGAATGTTGCCAAATGGCCCAATATGGCCAAAGCCTCCCAATTTTCAAGAACATTTAGAAGTCTGGAATGGCTCATGTTTAGTCCCCTATTTTAAAATTATTTTCTCTATAAAAGCGAAATTAACCCTCCAAAGAACATCTTACAGACATACTAAGCCTCCAGGTCAAGATCTTTGATTATATTAGCTGTCTAATATGGTAGCCATTAATACCGTGTGGCTACTGAGTACTTGGAATGTGGCTAATCTAAATTAAAATATGATTATGTGTGAAATATACATTGCATTTCAAAACTGAGTCCAAAAACAAAATTAATATCTCAATATTTTTCATACTGATAACAGGAAGAAATGATATTTTTGCTGTATTTGGATTAATAAAATATAAATATGAACATTAATTTTACCCACTTCTTGTTACTTTTTAAGGTGCAGCTAATAAGAAACTTTAAATTACTTCTCTGGCTCACATTTGCAGTCAGCGTTATATTTCTATTGAGCAGTTCTGTCTTAGATAATTATTTTTTAAAGTGCGTCCCATGGTCATGAGATGACACTAGGTAAATACAATTGTAAATTGTATACCCATTGGCAAGGTATACAATCTCATATATACTTCTTCTCCCACTCTGTTCAACAAGAAAAAGGGAAAAAAAGGATAAAAGGAACTTTGGTCAGAAGACTTTTGAATACACTAAATTAGAGAAAGGCAGGCAGCCTTTTGTAGAGTAGCACACACAGTGATGCTCTAGGAGGAAGATCCTGGAATGCCTTATCTCCTACATGCACTTTCTCTTTATTGACCATTAAACAAAGAATCTGTTTGCTTTATAGAGATTCTCACAGGACTGTGTTCTAAAAAACACACTAACTGGTAAGACCTATAACCTCCTTCCACTCAGTTTAAGAAACCAGGCATATTTTTCTGAAGAAACTGTGATAGCTCTGGAGGGGAAAAAAATGGATACTAACATTTGGGAATCTCGTGATGAAATATTCAAGACCCCTGATGTTTGGAAACCCTTCCTGTTCTCAAAGTTTGTACTCAGTGCCCTAACAGCTTTTAAGAAAAACTTCTAACACAAAAGGCAGAGATCAAAGTAACAAAAGGACCAGAGAAGAATCAGAGCTGGAGATGGCTGTTTTTCCTTATAATCCATGTAGTACTACTTGACTTTTAAAAATATGCAGTTGTGTATGTATGTGCTAAAAAATAGAAAATATATAATTAAAAAATGACTAAACCCTACGCTTAAGAATCTCAGAATCCGAAAAAAGAGTCCAGTACATAAAAGATTCTTTAAAGTGCACTCTGTCAAGAGTGAAAGTAGCAACAGAAAACAGGGAGCACTCTACTAAGGGCAAATGATGGGTTGAATGATCATTAAGTATTTTGAGAAAAGGTTGGGAATATGTGTGAGGGTGACTAGCTCTATGAATTTACTTCAATCAAATGAGAACATAAAAATGAGACTTACGGGATGTAACGTAAGGATTGGGGTGAATCACCGGGTTGGGGAGTTAGTGGATATTGAACTTACTTAGATACAATATACAGAAAGCATAACTGAGAATTTTTCTCTTCTCAAGCATTTAAAATATTTCAATTTAATTTTTTAATATATGTTTTCTGTTATTTTTGTTCACCACATCAAAATAAACACAGATCTATGCAACGTTACAATATGATATTCTCCAAAATAACTCACTTAAAAAATTGCATAGCTTCTACTAACTGTAACCCAACCCAAAAAAGGAAGAATATGGTCAATATCTATCGTATATACAACTGTGAAAGATAAAAGGTTACTTTCAAATATTTTTTCTGATTATGAAAGTTATAGATTATTTAGAAAATGGGAAAAATGCAAAAAAAAGCAAGTAAAAATACTTCTATTTCTGTCACTCAGATATGACAAACTAGTCCATTTTATGGAGCATAAGAATAAGGTCAGTTTCTGCTTTTTTCCACGCTATATTTGTCATGCCTAGCACAGTGACCGGAACAAAACAAGCATTTCCTTTAATGCCAAGTGATTGAACAAAATGCCCATGGCTCTTATTTTTGTAATATAAATTTAATTTATGAGGATTCTAATATCTTTGTTTCTGTGACAGAAGGGTGTTGTGGAAAGAACTGGACAGGCATGATTCACATTCTTTTTCTAATACTAGCCATGTGGACTTTTAAAAGTTTTGAACTTTCAGTAGTCATTTCCTTTTCTGGATAATGGGGGATTAATAATAGTTTCCCTATAGAGTTGTAATGATTAATAATTCATAATAATTTGTAATAATATGTCACAATCAAATGCCATACTGTACAAACTGTGCCTGGCATATAGTAAGATTTATCAGTGTTAGCTCACATTCATTCCTTGTCGTCTTTAGAGTAATGGCTTCCAATGCAAATACTATTCCTAATTGGCAACTAAACTCTTTCCATATATTCTTTAAGTGACAAAGAGAAGGAAGAGATAAGACAAAGGAAAAGAGAAATATTCTTCTTAATATCAAGTCTGGTAGAGAGTGACCAGGCATCAGATACTGAAAATTTATTGTAGTGATCTCCAAACCAGCACCTATGGTTCAGAGGTAACTGCAAAATTCAATTTCATTGAAAGTAGACCTTACAGACTCTACGACTTTACACAACTGGACATTTTATAATGACTCTTAACTGACTGAAAGTTACAGAGCAGGTTTTTCTATTTTTCAGTGTGATTTTGTGGTCTTCACAATCGACGTTTATAACTGAATAACATTTAGAGCTAGATATAACATTGGAGCTCATTTAATTCAAGATTTCCATGTAGAGATGAGGAAATGAAGACTCTAAGAGGTCAAGCCATTTGAACAAGGTCAAAGAGATCAAGTGACAAAGCTAGGATAAGCCTAATGTATTGTTATTCCAGACAGCATCTTGTTATAGTGTCCCATAGCCAACATTATCTGTTGACATTTAAATATAAATGCTCACTTTTAATAAGTATGCCCTAAACTCATACATAAATATTTACATATGTTCTTAGTATTTCATGTACATTATCATGCTTTCTGCAAGCATTTGCATGCCCAATCAAGATGTTTTTGTTGAAGATTTGATAATTAAATGATTGGCCCTGGATATGAAAATGGGTAGCCTTGAACCATCTGGTCTTGATTGTAAATTAATCTTAAAAGAGTGGGGATAGATAGGATTCCAGATGAACAGAGATTAGAAGAAGGTCACCATCTTCTGAAGTTAAAAAAAATAACAGATACATCTTTAATCCCGTGTGCAGAAATTTTGTGCGCTTTCACAAACTTTGCTTTTGGAGAATTTTATCTCCCACACTAATCGGAAACTATTAGACATCGCAGAGTGTAACTACTTTATTTTTCAGTTAGAAAAGTGAGGATCACTGAAGTTAAGTGACTTTCTCATGATCATTCCACTAGTTAGTGGAAGGAAAGGAAATTATCAAGTGGTGGATACTTTTATAGAAGATTTTCTGAACACACTTACACACATGTATATATATGACCTATTTTTCGTTATTCAAAACATGGTTTTATTTTCTGCATTTAATTTTTGAGCAAATAGGTCTTCAGAAACATTCTGTTGCTGGGTTTGAAAAACACATCTGATTCTAAGATGAAACCCTTTTTACCATCCCACATACTTGACAAGAGACAGTCTAGATTCAAATGCATGTCTTTTGATTCCCAATTCTGACAGTATTTTAAATGTGGACACTGCCTTGATACATTTTACTTCTCAAATAAACCTACAGAGGTGATATATCCCTAAAGAAGCAATCTGGTCAATGGAATATGGATACATGGTGTATTTTTACATTTTTGCTACTGGCGGAAGTAAGGACTGAGTTTGGTCTCATGCCTTCAAAAGCTCTAGTCAAACAACAGACAACTCCTTCCACATTAGCAGGTTATATTTAAAAGTAAACGTTTGAGATCCACTTTTTAAATTTATCTATTAAAAATATAAAGACTTTTTAAACAACCCTTTTAATTGTGGGGCAAAACTGTCACCTGTATCCTGGATTATATTTATGATTTGCCCTTTTTTTTGGAGGACATAATTTATCCTGCGTGGAATCATCATGTGGCATAGGCTACTTGCTATACTAGAACTTATTTTAACATGCAATGCACCCCTATTTTTTTTGTAAAATTTTTACAGAAGTTTTCTTTCTTCTTTCTTCTCATAATTCTCTCTTTGGAGTTTCCAGTTTCTTTAAAGCTAATGAAGTCTACTGTTTAAAAATAATTTCCACTATTTTTTCCAATATTAAAAAAACTTTACATATATTTATTTATTTATTTTATTTTATTTTTTTGAGAGGGAGTCTTGCTCTGTCACCCAGACTGGAGTACAGTGGCACAATCTTGGCTCACTGCGACCTCCACCTCCCCAGATTCAAGCCATTCTCCTGCCTCAGCCTCCTGAGTAGCTGGGATTACAGGTGCTCGCCACCATACCTGGCTAATTTTTGTATTTTGGGTAGAGATGGGGTTTCACCGTGTTGGCCAGACTGGTCACAACCTCCTGATCTCAGGCAATCTGCCTGCCTCGGCCTCCCAAAGTGCTGGGATTACAGGCTTGAGCCACTACGCTTGGCCATTACCTCTATTTATGAGGGTTTTGTGTGTGTGTGTGTGTGTGTGTGGTGGCTCTTACCTCAAATACCAAACGTCAGTGTACTCTGATCTTCCTTAAAGAGCAGCCCAGAGTTTTCCTCCACCTAAGCAAAAGATGAGGACCTTTAAAGCAAAAGAGATTCTTGCATGTCTAAAGAGATTAATTATTCCCTGGTTTGAAGACAAAAGATCTGATTAATTACAGTCATAAAATTCCAGAAATAGTCTTAGGATCCTAGAAATGGAAAGAAGCTTGAAAGTTAATTTAGTGATGAGATTCAGTTGACCATTTGTAGAATCACACAGAACAGATCTGTTCTTTCTTCCTTGTGATAGTCATGCAGGTATTTGAACACTGTAACTATATCTTCTCTCCAGGCTTATCAGCCGTCATTTATTTAACTGACCCTTATATGTGTCGTGGCTAATTACTGCCCTCAGAGTCCTTTTTGGTTAATTGCTGTGGACTGAATGAAGACCATTTTTTTCAGGAGTGGTTAGAGAATAACAGCATTGATAAGGACCATCACCTCCTTTATCTAGAAACCAGACCACCATTAATTCAACTCAAGGGACCAGACATGGCCTATCATTCACTAATAATGATCTCGTTAGTTTCCTCTCCTTCCAGTCTGTACTTGTGTATTCATATTATTTGTTCCCCCAAACCTTTGTTCCATAAAGCCTTTGGATTTTCTGTTACTAAGAAAAGAGATATACTATATTGTCATCTGGGAGTTCTTGAGAATGGAAAAGGCAATTTTCTAGACCACAAGAGGAAGGAAGGATTTTAATTCAATTCTTTTGAACTTGAAACCCAGATGATAGGATAAGAATGAGAATTACAGACACTTTGGTCACTCCTTCGGCCCACTCCCAATTTGAATCAAGATGTCTTAGGTTCCACCTAAATTTGAATTCTGGAAAAGATAATACATTCAGACTTAAGTTGACTTTAGATTTTATTTCATACGTCCATGAGAAATAATGGTTGTATATTATCCTGAGAATTTAAGTGGTTCTTCTGGTCAGCCCTGATGATTTAGCACACTCACCCTGCAAAACTCAAATAAATAAAATCTCTGTGCCAGAATGACTTGATTTGACATCACGAATAAGCAAATGTCTTTATAATTAATCACACCCTTCCCAGACCTATCTATTTCAACAGTATATAGGCACAAGCATAGATATTTATTTGTGTGAAAACTTTCTAGGGTAAATGCATGCATGGATGTATAAAAAAGCTATATAATGGAAAAACTGTGCTTTAGCTATTCCTCCCTAATTATGGGTTCAATATTTTTCTTGGCCACTTATAATTGAATATCTTCTACGTTCATGAAAATTCTATGAAGCATATTTGAACAATCATTTACTTTCAAGTACATTGAAATATATCTCACTGTTCTCATTTTTGTGTCATCCACAGTATGATGTTTTTATTGCCACCAAGGATTACTTAATAGTCAAAGAAAAAAGGAATAAAAGAAACAGGATATGTAATTATTCCACTGCCAAAGAATGTTTGAATCAAGAAAGTATAAGTGATTCTTATCATGAAAAAATATGTTTAATGTGAAGGTTAAAGCCTAAATTGAAAGAGAGAGAGAAAGGAAGAGAGAGTGAGAGAGAGAGAGAGAGAAAGAGAGAGAGAGAGAAACTGGGTTGAAACTGAAATTTATTAACACTTGTAAAAGCCCCATTAAAACTCTTCAATTCATGGCAGTTAAACAAGTTTACATGCTGGAATTGCTTCAGATTTCATATCAAAGGTGGATCGTTTGATGTTTTATGAATTATCAGAAGTCTAAGAGACAGATATCTACAGCAATACTATCATATTTCATGGAAGACATGATTTTCGTATTTGTCTGAGATCTTGCTTTACTTACTACTTTTGACAAGAGTGATTCCAGGGAATATTCACTTATTTATAGCATTGCAGGAAGGAATAATAGAACAGAAACCTGTAAAGAAACTCACCTCCCCTTCTTGGTAATAACGTGAAGAAGCTGGCATTTATGAGATTAAATAATACGAACAAAAATATGGACCTGAACATTAAGTGAAAAAAAAAAAAGAAAAGAATAAGACTTTGCTATAAAAGGTAATTTTGGAATAGAGATAGCATTTTCTTTCTTTTTTGTGTGTTCAGCAGTAAATTAGAAGAACATATGATGATCCATGTTTTGTCATCCTTGTCTTAGGAACATTTTAATTAGTAGGCATGACATTTAGCTAAATTTCCTGGAAAAGATAAAGGCAACCTCAAAGTCTATCTAGGAAACTAATAATATGCCTTTGCTTTAAATAATCTGCCTCTTTGGAAGAATACCTCACAGTAGTCAAATACTTGGATGAAAATCTATGTTGTTTACAGATTTTTCAAACTCCTGTGGGTAGTAACTTGAGCAGTTAGCTCAGCCATATTGTTGCCAAGCCATATTGGAGCCTGAGGTAAAAGAGAAATGTCAGTAATCCTGATCCTGTCTTTATGTGAAATGTTTATATGTCATTTATTACGGAATTTTTGCATTAATTTTGATTTTTTAAAGATATTGTACTAAAACACTATTTATCTTGATTACTGAGATTTTTGGTGCCTTTTTAAATATGTGCCTAAGGCAAGTGCCTAACTCACTGTACATTAGAGTCTATCTGTCTATCTATCTATCCATCCATCCACATTTTAGAAGATGTTATTTGTATCTTTCCATTTCAGAGTTGAGGCCCATTCCTCCTCCCATCACTACATCCTTAGTGAAGTTAAAGAACAAGTAATTATAATATTTCTTTACAAGCATTTTCTCAGCTTTGACATTAAATCTTCCTGTAGGCTTTGTTCTATGTGGATAATCTGGAAACCTTTAGCTTTTTTATATTTAACTCTCTATTTTTATGGCTCCAAGATAAATTTTTCTCAGTTTTCCCAAGTAGTTCAATACTAGAGGGAAGATTTGATGTTATGGTTTTTACTTTTTGTGTCTTTATGTTGTACTTATTTCGGTTTTTGTTTGTTTGTTTTTGAGACAGGATCTTGCTCTGTCACCCAACTTGGAGTGCAGTGGCTCAGTCTCAGCTCACAACAGCCTCAGCCTCCTGGGCTCAAGTGATCCTCCCACCTCAGCCTCCTGAGTAGCTGGGACCACAGGCATGTGCCACCACACCTAGCTAATTTTTTTATTTTGTAGAGACAGTGTCTTGCTATGTTGCCCAGGCTGTATACTTTTTTTTTTTTTTAATTGTTTCAGGCCTTTTTTGTTTTCTTGATTGACTCTCTTCCTGTAGTCCGGGGAATTGACTATTGGGCATGGCCTTTTTCAGGAGCAAGTTATTGGCAGAGGGCTTCGTGTGGTACATTAAAGTGGTGTGAGTTTGTGTGTGTGTGTGTGTGTGTGTGTGTGTGTGTGTGCGCGCACATATGTGGAAGTTGAGTATAGCAAATAAATGTTTTACAAATATTGTACAAAATGCGTATTAGACCTTTGGAGTGCAGCTAATTCTTTTTCTTTGAGATGAGACTTTTTGGTTTTAGATAATCAAGAACAACACAAATCTTAAAAAAAAATACAAAGCAACCTGATACTGGTCTCCTCACAATCTTTTACCTTCTTTTCCCAAAGATTTCGGAAATCGAAGTCTATGGCATGCATCAATAGACAAGAAAAGGGCTTGGACTATAACTGAATCTGTGGCAGAAATCCTAAATGTCTTTTACTGCCAGAGTTACATATACTTAACTTTTCCCTGTCTCCATCAGGCAAAATCTGTTCTTCAGTATGACACTGTTATCCCCATTAAACCTTACTTTAGTTGCAGCTGATTGGTTTGGCAATTTACTCTATTGCTTTGGATTTTATTGCCCTAGTCCCAGGAATCTGGCCTTCCCCCTTTGCCCTTCAGAGCTTAATAAGAACCTTCTCTCTGTTGAATCCTCTAGGTCACTGATAGAAATGTTAAACCACCTCAGATTCAGAGCTGACCCTGGAGGAACTGTGGCACCATTTGTTGTGTGTCCCTAGGTTGACACTGATCCATTGATAACCTCTCTTTAGGTCTGACTTTCCAGCTGGTTTTCCACTCACCTCATGACTGAGTAGTTCAGACCTTGTTTTTCCACTTAATTGATGTGTGTGTTGTGTGGGGCAGAATCAAAGACCCTGCTAAAACTTAAGATTGATTATATCGCTGGCTTCCTTTGGTTGACCAGAACTCCCACAAGGATATCACCCTGGTCAGACTAGACGTATCCTTGTCAGAGCCACACTGCTTTTTCTTTTTATTAAAAAGTGTTCATTATTTCATGTTGTGATGATTTCTCCACTTTTTTCTAAGTGTCAAAATCCTGCTGAAATTACAATAGCTCAGCTATAAACGAAGTGGAAAATTCAGGATAGTTCTCAAGTTTTCTTTAAAGGAAGAAAAGAATTTACAGCAATTATTTTACTGTGTTAAACCAAAAGCCAGAGAGTTTAGGTCAGAAGATTTCTGGGAGCAAAAGAAATCAGGGCTTTCAAAAGAGCTTTCTGGAATCTGTCTGTGCCACTTCTCTGTTTCCTTCTACTCTTTCCTCAACTTGGCATAGATTGTGACAGTCATTCAGGTAAGAAATCACCCCATTTTGAGAGCTATAACTTCATATTGTTCATTAATGTTTCTGCTTTAGGGTAAAAAGAATGGGTACATTAATGTCTACCTGCAGGTATAATAAAAATAGATGTATCACACAGAGATGGATCATTTGTCTAGTTTATGGGGAATTCCTTTCCATGCCCAGGAAATTTAAGTATTTACTTGAAAGGAGCAACCGTGGCAGTGAGGCTTCTGCTGTTCTTCATTCACCACAAAACATTAATTCAATTAATTTATTACCTTGAAAGGCTTTGACGCAACAGTGGTGTACATGACCTACTCATGTTGGGAACAGATGAAAATGCTGTGTTGGCAAAAGGCTTCCATCTCCTTAATGAGATGTGATACTGTTTAGGGTATTGTAAGGCATAAGAATATCTTGAAAAGTCAAACTGAGATGACGGGGACATAAAAAAATTGGATAGATGAGATGCATAAAATTGTGGAATAAGGAAATTCACTTTCTCTTTAGAGAAAAAATAATACTTTTTTGTATTTTAAGGTAAAGACTATATATTAACTTTCTAGGTTTTTGAATTTATGTTTCTTTGAATAAAATACATCACAGACATATGAGGGAAAACAATGAATGCAAAACAGACACAAACTTCTGTGCATATTTTGGAATATGGGGAGGGAGCGTCAAGCTGATGAATCCTCCACACCTATCCTCTGCCAATAGTTTGGGTTGCCCTTTCCACCAAAGCCTGGAAAGGTCAGCAGCCAAAGAAGAGGACAGAACCTTTGTCCCTGCCACTACAGAGCTTCCAGTCTGATTCTGGGATGCCACAGGCCCTTAAGACCAGGCCCCTTATGACTAATCACACTGTTGTTCAGGAATCAAGGGAAAGCATAGCATTGTGCACTGGGTCATTTCAGTACCTTAAAGTTGACTTCCTCTACATTCAGCCCAACTCATTATGTGTTCTAACAGACCCTTACTTTCATGTATTGTCAGGGAGCAAGTCTACTTTCCTCATTGTGTTGCTAGTTACCTCAAGCCATAGTGTTTTGATATGAAATCAATTAAATATTATAAATCAAAAAGAAGGTAAAACACATCAAAGAAAAATAAATATGAAATGTAAAAGAAACTATAAAACAGTTAAAGTAAAATCCAAGGTACAGGGCTGGCATGTGTGGTTGGGCAGTTTGTGCACTGCACAAGTGCTCTAACCTAAGCAGGGTCAGCCAGTGTTCTGCTCAGCAAGCTTTCTGGCTATGGTCCGGAGCCTGCCTTGTTTATAGCCTATTGGTCGCCTTGTCAGAGTGCCTGAAGTTTGAATGTTGTCCTGAAGGTATGAATTTTAAAGAATCGTTAAGCAGAAAGACAAAGAATTATCTGCAATTTGATTTGAAGTCTCTAATTTAGGAATCCCAAGGAAGATGGTGAAAGACACGCAAAAAATGTCAAAGGGCCACAAAAAAGAAGACTAAGAACAAATCATTTCCTTTAACTATGCAGCTAAAGGTCCCAGCAATTCTGTGTGTGCATGGCAGGGGCTGGGGGAGTGGGGCAGCGGGTGGGAATAAATGAGAGGTAGATACCTGAAGTAGATATGTTTTTCATTTATGATTTGTTTGATAGATACCGATGACTATTCTTCCAGTTACCAATTACTAAACTGATTGCAGTGCATGCCTATCATGTGGGTTTTTATTCTCAATGAAGCTTTTTATTATTTTTGTGACCTGAGATGAAGAAGACCTCCAAGACTTGATATGGAAGATACTTGTACTCAAAGAATTCCACATGATAATTGCAGTCATGATTCAGGTGTCAGGGGGAGTAAACTAGGTAGGCAGAGTCACACAGAAGAATGCCATACATGGCTTGTTTCGGAGTAGTTGTGTCTCCTGTTAGGTCAGCTGACACTCCTGCCAGTTACTGTTTACCCAGCCTTGGGTGGGAGCCTGCCTTGGACACTAGGACAGGTACTGGTACAAGTAATTGTGATGCGAAGGTAGTGGATTTTGAAGGCAGCATTAGAAAGAAGAGGGAACCACCATTAAGAGGAAAGAGGAAGGTATTCCAGGTGGAAGCTGCATGCTGGAGGCTGACAGGGTAAATTTGGCTAGAGTGTGTGTTTGATTTGGCCTGCAGAAAGTTTATGTAACTAGGGAAATAATATGATTGATCAAAACATAACTAGTGTAATGCCTAATATCTTAGCCAGCAGCTTTATTCTTTTGTGTGTCCTGCCTGACCACGAAAAGCAGTTGAGCTTTTTAGTCCCATGAGCATCTCATTTTGGAAGTAGAAATGGAAAAAGAATAATTGCATTGAAAGAGAAGGGACATGAACATTCTTGAAGCATATATTGCCGTATTGAGTCATGATGTAATGAGTAACTGGGAACCAAGTTTGTTTTTTTTTGCTGTTTGTTTGTTTTTTCAAAATGCTTGTGAACTTTAGTGGATAAAACATCATGAAACTGACCATAGACTGTTCCCAGGATCCATCATTTGTGTATTATAAGGTGAATACTAAATAAATACTAAATCTATAAATGAATATTAAATAAATACTAAATCTATAAATGAGTACTAAATAAGTAATAAATCTGCACACATACCTTACGCGAACAAATTAAATGGAATTGTGTCTTTGGTCATGACTCAGAAGTGTTTCAAACTGGTCTAAAGTACTTATTTTAATAAAGAAAAAGTACTTTCAATTTCCAAATGCAATAAATAAAAATATCCTCTAATTCTGTAATCATATTTTTAAAAAAAGTTTGAGGTTGGTGAATTTTACCAGGCACAAGATTATAAAACTAACCCCAAACTATTTCTAAGATATATAATTTGTGTTTGGTAAGACGTGTATTGAGTAAATATTATAACCTGCAGATACATCTCATGTGAACTTGAACCCATAATGGTTGGAAACAGTTTCCACAAGATTGCTTTTTATTGGGGTGGAGGCTTCAGAACTACATGAAAGAAATTTAATGGCTAGAAATTCCTGGGGTTATAACCAAAATAACCGAATATGCAATTCAGCTATGTGGCATCTTGGTGATGCCGATCTCACTACTGTTAGTTTTCAAGAGCTCAATGCCTGAAAATATAATAGAATATGCTGTTCTGAAAGATTATTTAGAGCATTCAACAGAACTTCCTGAACCTTTCCCAACCTAGCAGGGGGAGGAAGAGTCAGTATGTGTCCTCAGGGGTAGTCCAAATTGCCTACAACTATGGTGAGGTTTCCTTAAAGCCTCTGTTATTGAAATCTTGGGAATTAAACATTTTACTCCATGATATATTATGCTTGCTTTGGTATAAAATTTATTTTAAATTTCTTACCATAGAGCAAAACTGATGTTCTAGGAAGAAATACCCTATGGATAGAGTAGACACTAGGACTCCACTCCACCGTCTGTGGCGGTGGAGATAGTTGTGTGAGTGTCCCAGTTTAAGGAACATGGTGAACAGGGCAGACCAAAGCCTTCAGAGGTGGAAGCTTCTGCACTGGTACAACTCAGTTCTAATGAGGGGAAACCAAAGAGCGTACCCGGAGGAGGACTGCATTTACATAGCTCCTCTGTCCCTGGCTTCTATCCCAGCCACAAAATACTAACACGAGATTGCATGCAGTCATTGGGACATTCAACACCTGTCCAGGAGAAAGGGCTTAACATTCACTAATTGGGTGAGAACAACTTCCAACATGTTTCAGGTATCAATAAGTTATCCTTAAAATTGTTGCTCAGTACAGAACAGACATCCAGCAACCCCATAAGCATTTGGTTTCCAATTTTAGCTGATTTTTTCAAAGCTGCTTTTACTTTCCGCCTAAATCTTCTCACAAAATGCTCCAGTTAACTATGCACACATCACAGATGATGTGCTCTGACAGATATGAAGAAGAATTAACGTGAAACGCATGCACTGTTTAAAATAAAATCATCTATGTCATAAATAAGAAAAACAAAACAGATGGAATTGTGTCTTTGGTCATGCCTCAGAAGAGTTTCAAACTCTTCTAAAGTACTTAATTTAATAAAGGAAACACACTTTCAATATTCCAAATGTAATTAAAAGAAAAAAAGGAAAAACCTCATTCTGCAATCTCTTTGGAATTTGGTATCAATGGTTTCAGTGTAAGAATTCGTTAATGAAATGACATTGAGGGTAAATCATTGAGGCAAAATGGCTATTGATTCGGGTGTCACCGAACTGACAAAGTGGCTTTGCATTAGACTAAATCTTGCTTAAAGAAGAATCTGGTAAGTGGAGCTATTGTCAAAAAAAGAGGAAACCTTGTATCAAATTGGGTGAAATACGTCTGCAGTTTCTTCAACACAAATGGTCATTTCTTCACGAAACATTCCAAACAAGCAATTCACAAGCCATTTGTCTTTCATAGCCTGAAAGAGGGGTGCATTTGCTGCAATCATTTGGTTAGCTCAGGGCCACAAAAAAGTCAGCAGTCTTGAGGTTGCTTTCCCAATGGAATGCTTCAACTTGACATCAACAGGAAAGCCCAATCAGTCTTAGATTGGAAATGCTGAAAACGTTTCCCTCAACTGATTGGTGGGAGAAGGAGGGAAGAAAAGGAAGGATTTACTCAATACCAGGGGAGCTGAATAAACAGGTGCCATTGCAGTTTCCTGCAGGAAGGTGGAAAGATTAGTCTGGTTTATATTGAGCGCTTAGTAGAAGTTGTAGTTGATTAAACAAGAGTGAATCATTGTGCTGCCTCGTCTAGATAATCTTTAGCCATTATCTTTCATAATAATATCAAAATCCTGAGCTTTCATTCAGTCCCTGACTTATGTGATCAACGAAGAGGTGGCACTCCTAACAGAGATGACAAAGACACATCCAAAGTATTTTAGTCACTTTATCTCCACAGCATTTTCACTCAATCTTCACCTTTAACAAATCATACACAGGATCCTCTTACAAATCCTAATTGCAAGCTTTTAAAATCATACGTTAGGAAGTCCAGGATCATTTTCAGGGTCTTAGAAGAAAAGTCGCTCTTGCCAAATGTCCTTGGGGACCTTTGTTACTAGAAGTGGGCATTTTGCCAGATGCTGCAATGAAGCTTTATAAAAATAGACAAGATAAATGGACTTTTAGTACAGTATTGTGCCAGACTTTTAATTTTCAGGAAATTATTTTTTTAACCTAGCTGAGAGTCAAGTCAATTTGTGAATTAGTTGAAAGGGTGGCTGGATATGGGGTGGGGGGTAGGGGTGGCATCTGACATTTTAAGTCAGAAAAGCCTGCCACACAAAACAGATTTCTCTTGGCAATCAAGATAAGTTAACAACCATAAACACATTGTCAGAGGGAAAAATTACATTTTACTCTAACACAGATCATGTACAGATGACTGATTTTTCTCTCAAGTTCAAGCACAGAAAGATTGTTTATATATTTCAACTTCTGACCCAGGCGGGTAGAACGGTCTTAGAGGTCTGAACAGAGACGCCGAAAGGGCTTTTGGCTATTTCTGTGTTAAGGATACAGCATAACGATGATGGGGTGTACATGCAGCCCAGATTGCAGAGAATCAGGATGAAGTTGCTGCTGCAGATAATTTGCAATGTTTATTTGCTTTTTTTATAACCCACAAAAAAGGCAATACCACTGCAGTTAAAAAATATATACATTTCCCTTTGCTTGATTTCTTTGGAATATGTCAGGGTATGTTTCCCTGTTTCAGGGGTTGCTTGTATCAATCCAAGGATTTTTAAAACGAACACCCCAACATTTTATAATATTATGATTTCATCAACTTACCAGGTAACTGATCCTTTAGATGGTGAACATAAGATAGTTCTGAAGGACAGTTGAAAATGTTAAGAACTATATGAAACACAAGGCATTATTAATTCTTTATCATTCTTCTTATTCTGTTTTCAAAAATAAGAAGCATTGTAAAATCTTTAAATTCACCTGAGACCACGCTTCAACTAAGGCAAGATTATTTGATCCAGTTGGAGTTGACAGGAGTGTTGCCCAATTCTCGAACAATTTGGCATTATTCATTGCAACAAATGCATTGACTGAGTATATACTTATTGAACATCTTTGACATGCATAGTGCTGTGATGGAAACTGTCACTGTGTGTCAGATATTTCTGACAATGCAACAAACGGCCCTTGCTACCTGAAAGTTTGCAAGCTGGTTGTGTAGAAAAGACTCACAGTGCCCACAGACACATAAACACATTATTGTTTAAACATTACACAATAATGCAAGACAATAGTACAAATAGTAAAAGAGTAAGAGTAAGCAGCAGTATGTTATGAATATCTATTTTTATTATAAATTTGGAAAAATCACAGAAAGGTGGTATGTGTGTGTGTGTGTGTGTTCATGTCTTCCTGACATCACTTCCTATAACTTATATTCCTAAAAGCCTCTTGAAATGAGACAAGTATTTATTGAGTACATATTATATATGCTAGGCACATGGCATGTATTATCTCATATGTTTGTCAGAACAACAACTAAAGTCATTGTTATTGCTAATTCTATTTTATAGACCTGGAAACAACCTCAGATACTAAGCAAGCCATCCAAATCTACCAGTTAGCAAATGGCAGAGCTGAACTTCCAATTCTGGTTTTTCTAATTCAAAAGTCTGTTGTCTTTTCCTTCTAGCAGTGTTTCTGAAAATGAGATGTGCAGACCTGGGTTAGAACCACTAGGGAAGAGAGGGTGCTTGGTAAAATGCAGATGACTAGGTCCCTATGCCTGCTAAACTGGAATCTCAGCTGACTGGAAAACCATTGCTCTGCCCTCTGCTTCCACTGTTTGGTATTTGGTACTTCAGGTAAACACAATTGTCTGAGATGAAAGGAATAGGAAAGCATAAATCCCAATTCATTGCTCCTTGTGCTGAGGTCACTTGAACTGAGCTGAGTCCTCTTCAGGTGTCACTACAATTTTTCAGGAGTTCACAAATCACTAAGCAACTAAAAATTCTATTTCTTTCCTGAGGGGGGGGGAAATAAGAATGGGTTTCCCTCCTGAATAGCTGGTGTCTGAGGATGCTTCATCTCTGAAAGATGAATTTTCAGGTGTCTAATTGGAACCTAATGTGGATCCAATCCCCGTTCTGGAGCCATGGCTCTCACATTCCTTTTATCCCGGGCTATAAATCTCAAAATAAATTTAGCAAGAATTTAGAATGAAAGTTTCTCCATTACATTTTGAGATGAAATGAAAGTTAATCGTGGCAAGAAGAATTTCATCTATTTTATAGGATTCTATTGGGAGGTAACAGATAATTGGAAACTAATTCCTAGATTCAAAGAATCCTAAGAGTGAATGGAAATGTGATTATGTCTATTTGGGAAAAGGTATTCATGAAATATTTTTGTTCATTATCCTTCCTCTGAGCAGAATAATGCTGTACTTAATTCAAGCTCTATCTTGTTCTGGGAAAAGTATTTCTGGAACTAAAATATAAGATTTTACTTTACCTAACTCTGTTAAAATGTAAATTTAGTAAATGAATTTAGTAAGAGTAGTAGTAGCAGGTACAGTTGCCAAGGGAGTAGGGACTGGACTGATAACTTTATGGCCATCTTTCATTGAGCATTTGATTATTATATGCTGTCACTCAATGTTGAATTCCTGCAACTGCCTCTTTTATGGAAAAAGGAAAGATATTGCATTTTATGCCATCACATGTATATCTAAAAAATGTTCACATGCATTCTTATTTTGTTATTAATATTAATAATAACAATAATGATTTTGGTCAAATTTAATCTTTATGAAAACCCTGAAAATTAGGTGCTACTCACATGTTATAGACAATGACATTGAAGCTTAGGAAAGTTAAAAATAAAACCCAGTGGGTCTGGAACCTTAGCTTGCATCAGCTAGAGGTCTTGTTAAAACACACAGTGTTGGGTTTCACCCTCAGAGTTCCTGATTTAGTGTATTCTGGAGTCTTTTCAGGAAAACTAGTGCTCTACACACGTTGAGTAAGACATAACATTTCCACATGTACACACCACATTTTGGTATCCTATTATTCAAGGGTACCCCATTATTTAACAATATTTTTTCTTTACAATGCAATTTATTTTTAAATTATTTTGTCATCCAAGGAGACAGTGCTTCAGGGTGGGTCATGATACATATTTGATGCTTAAATTACACAGGAGAAAGCAGTTCAGTACTGAGAAAAGAAGCCAAATGAAAGATCACATTATGGAAAACATACTGATTTGGGACAGGCTGAGCCAGGGGTAGTCTATCAGGTCTTTGGTTGCATTGAACTTTTGTGCTCCAAGCAACTTTCCTACTTGTATCATTTTGTGTCAGCAGCCTGTGCTCTTAAAAGTTATGGAAATTAGGAATAGGAGAGACCCACAGTGTCATTTCTTTCATCATCCTGTCGGCCTAGAGCCACTCTCAGGTGTTTTGTCCATTCCCACCAAAATTATTGTTAAAAAATGAGGTAATGGGATATTAAAAGAAAAGAAAGGATAGTTGGAAGGAAATATTTTTCAACTAAAATGTCAAGAGTTAAGAAAGCTACCATTTGTTTTTGATTTCTCTGACACAAGGAAACTGGGAGAATATGAGTTTTCTGTCTGCCAACATTAATGCTTTCACTATGCTGATTGAGTCACCTCTGAAATTATCAGTCTGGCTTCCCATGCTCCAGGAAGCTGGAAGACATGGTGGGACTCCTCACGTTGAGTGCCATCTCCATGCACAATCACAGACAGTGTAAATGGCAGATGTAACTTTTCTTTCTTCCCCATTAGGGGCTCTATCAGACATCTGTTGTGTTTGCCGGTTCATTATTTCTTTTCCAGCCTTTGATTGCAGCACCCTAATATTTCAGACTAAGCAGACCCTTCCAGAGCCTTTTGCTTGTTTTTATTGGACTTTCTCAACCTGTAGGATGTGAGCTGGATGCTCCTAGGTTTACCATCACACAGGAGGAGCCTGGTTAGAAAGGAAGGGACACGCGGAGGAAAGAAAGCAGATTTTGGGATGGAGAGAAAGATTTGTGATAATGCTACTTCAGAATTTGAATCAAGACTGTCCAGGTGTGAACCAATAAATTCTCATTTCCTTTTCTCTTGTGTGAAGTTTTTGAGTAAGGTTTTAATCACCACCTGGTTTAAGTTTAAGAAAACTAAAGCAGAATGAATTACAGGTATGTCAGCATTAAAATAAGCAGGCCTGTATGTCAGTGAGAATACTAGGTTCAGGTTTCAGGAGACCTGGGTTCTAGTCCTGGTTGTGCCACTGATTAAGGTTCTTTGAGGACACGATCTCTTGGTGTCAAAGCACCTTGAATTATTTCTCGCTCAATCCAGGCCTCCCAAAATGACCTGTATGAGTGATGAAATTGCAATGAAGAGGCTTCTGTGGAAATTCTGGAAAATGGCCAGGGAAAAGATCTGTCATCTAGACACTGGAAGATCTGAAGGGAGAGGTGACAAGCTGCAGAATCAGGGTCATAGGCAAGTTACAGACAATGACATCATTTTTCCTGATACACTATGGCAGCCCAGTCAACCTCAGCCACTGTCTGTAATGGAAGCCCTAAGATGAAGAAGCAAAATAGAAAATAAACTATGGAAAAAAGAAGGCAATATTCCATACCTATCGCTAGTAACTTTATTTTTGGTTGTGTGCTTGTTCTTGCTAAAATGTTAGAAGCAGAAGAGACCAGATATTAGGAAGAAAGAGAAATCAAGAAAAACCCATCCAAAGAGCAGGGTCTCGTAAGGTCCCTGAAGATGTTTGGATAGAAGACTCAGAAAATGTTCACAAAGTTGAATTGTCACATTTTATGTGATTTTTGTTTTGCTTTGTTTCTTTTTTCACTCAAGTTTTCATCAGAGCCCTGCCGTTGGCCTACTGGTAAATGTTTAATAATTGTCTCTCCAGGAGAAAAAAAAAAAAAATGGCTTAGTTAGTGGAATTGCCAACTTCAATAGTGTAAACACTCCCCCCATGGCCAATTTCAAGCTACCAACATTATATGAACTGATTCATAAAATTCCTTCAAATTTAACAATTGGATCCAAAATGAGCTGACGCTAGCCTATACTGAAATTACAGAGTGAAAACTCTAATTATCAGCGTGCTTTGTGTATACATTTAAGGGATAGCTATGTGTTCCTCCCTGAAGAATTCAGATGTGAATCAGAGATTGTAGAGTCCAGAAAGGGGGTTTATAAATGCCTTTGGTGTCCTATTCTTAAGTAGGGCTATTCTGATGCCACTGGACCATGGCTTCAGAGCAGAACCTTGGCTGTGGAGGTCACAGGGCACGGCCGCAGGATCATTATAATGTCTTAATCCACACAGGCAAAATTAGCATGGCATGCAGCCTGCTCTGATGTTTCAGGTGCTTGGATTCTGAACACAAAGGTAGCAATTGTGGGCAGAGGGGATGGTGCAACCTTTGCAAAGAAGAGAAGCATTTGCCCTGGGGCTGGAGACAAGAAGAAGAGGATAAGGAGCTGGAGGCATCCTCACCTGTCCCAGACTCAAAACAAGTTTAAACAGAGCAGGCAGAGAATTCAGTTCCAGATAATGAAGCAGTCCCATGAAAGTACATGAGAAAAGAAGGCAGCGTTGGAGATGATTCGATGTAGAAGCTGGAGGAGGAGGAACAAGGAAGAGAAGAAAGGAACAATGAGAGGAAGGAGAGAAGTAGCCACAGGAAATTGGCAGGAGAGGCCTTCACCCGTCAAACATGTGGGTCCCACGTCTCTGGGAGGCCCAGGTGGGATTGTGTTAGTGAAGGCTGATTGCATAAGGGGAAGGATGAAGGATGTTTTCAAGGGAAATAAATCAAGGGGCAGATTGAAACTTCCCATGAACAAATACTAGATACATATTTATCAGTAGTTTCACCTAGGCAAAAGCCAAAGCCCAAACTGCATTTGTAGACAGAGGAGCAACAGGTTTCACAGAAACTGAAGATCCAAAAGCCCTGATGTTGAGGATGAAAGTTAAAGAAATGCAAGCATGATTATTGTTTTAAGGAAAAAAAAACCAGAAATCTTTGCTACTCTTCAAATCTTTCTAGTTATGATTTAGTCGTGGTAGTGTCCAAGTTCCCCAGACTAAATGCAGTGCATAGTCTTCAAAGAAAAAATTATATTCCAAATAAGATTTATCTTTGGCTCTACATTGAAGGTAAAAATATGGCGGTTAAGAAAGATGCTTTTGTAACTTTCAAGGGAAGAAACAATAGATGACTCTTTTTGGAAAGATTTGTGCAAGAAACAGACTGCTTCGGAAAAAAAAAAACGCTGTTTGCTTTTGGGAGGAGCAATTCCAGCTAGGCTCTTTTGGACTTGAAGAGAGACAAATGGCAAGCAACAAACTTCCTATGTATTTTGCTTCACACAGACATGGATCTGTTGAATTTATGTAAGGAAGTAAATTATGATGTATATTCAAAGAATAATCCAACTGTTATCTATATTCCCTGTACCTTCCCCCCAAAAGGAAAAATAATAATAATTATCTATTTAATCATGTATGTTCTTTTCTAAACAAAAGTGTTAGGAAATTGATGTTTTCCCCTTATCTCTTACAGTCACATTAGAGGAAGATTTGTAGACTTCAGGACAGAAAGGAATCAAAGATTTTAAAAACACAAATGCATGCTAATTCAGAAAGATGTTTTAAAAAGCCAAATAAAAATGCTGCAGACTCAGTTTAGGCAAGTACCGGATTTTAGCCCAGACACAGTTTCCAACATTCTTTACTACTTGGACAAGTCACATACCCTCCCCAGCCTGTCTTTCATAGGATGTAGAAACTGGGGCCGACACATAAGGTTCTGTTTGGCAGGAAACTGACAAAGCAATCTACAATCAAGAAAGACTCAGTTCCTCTAAACGCAAGGTAAATAATTCATTTTAAAATTTGATTAATTCATTTTAAGTTCATAAATAATGCATGAATAAATGTTCTGTATAAAAATTTCAAATAATACAAAAGTATGTAGGGAACTAAATTATCATGCTCATATCTCCCTCCTAAATCTCATTTCTCTCAAACAAGGTAACTAGAATTTGTAGTTTGCTGCATGTCCTTTATGGTACTTTTTCTATTTACTTATCTGTGATGATCATTTATATATTATTTTTATTATTAAAAATAGTATTTTAATAATTTTACTATTAAAGCAATGTAATCACATTAAAAAAAATCCAAAAACTAGAAAAACAGATAAGTAGAAAGAAAAGTCCATAATCTCACTAGCTAACACAAATCCAGTAAAAAGTTGTTATGTTTTCTTCAAATTTTCGCCTATGTGTAATTTGTAATAATAGTAATAATACATACAAAGGGAAGGACATTCAATTATTGGGTTAAAAATTAATAGAGTTATATATTCTGCTTTAGGGTGATATTTTAGTACTACTCAGTACTAAAATTATTGGTAATCAGTATTAGTAGTACATCTATTAGGAGCCAGACACCTGAGAAATGAATAGGAGAACAAATTTCATTTTTAAGGAACAGAAAATATAACTAACACCCTTTTAGGATTCTCAGCGTGGATGATGAATGTGTTAGACAAAACAAAAGCAAGAGTTAAGGTCAGAATGAAAGAATTACAGACTCTTAGAGCTTAGAGGCATCTAGGTGGCATCTAGCCCATGTTTATTATT
The DNA here is from genome assembly GCF_000001405.40 of Homo sapiens. NCBI lineage: Eukaryota > Metazoa > Chordata > Mammalia > Primates > Hominidae > Homo > Homo sapiens. Next base: position 221,260,603 of record NC_000002.12, on the reverse strand, counting down.
TTATAGATGAGACAGCATAAGTTTGTGACTGTTTTTCTGAGGTTACACTGCTAGTGAGTAATAAAGCCAAGATTTAGACCCTCTTACCCACCCCTAATCCTAAATTTTTTCCTTAATAAAATGAACCAAGCTCATAGAGAGACATCTTCAGGGGTAGAAGGACCAGGATCCAGGTAGTCCCTTACAGAGAATACCTTTTTAAAAGGTATTTTTGAAATTTATTTTTAATTTATATGGATTTAATCATTGTATACATTTGTGGGGTGCATATGACATTTTCATAAAAGCGTACAATGTGTAATGATCAAAGCTAGGTAATTGGGATATTCACCACCTCAAACATTTATCATTTTTTTTTTGTGTTGGGAACATTCCAAGTCTTCTAGCTATTTCAAAATAATACAATCAATTATTGTCAAGTATAGTCATCTCATTTTTCTACTGAACAGTTTTAAACCAGCACCTTTAAGCCAAAGCTGATCCTCACAGTTTTTAATTTTTTTAATCAAAACAATAGTCTTTTAACAGAATTAGTTCCCAACACTTGAAAGTGTAATTTTTGACTTCTCTGAAAACATAAAAAGATCTCACAACATCGGGCCCAACAATTGCATGTAGCAGTCATAGACAGGAACCTCTTTGGACCTGCCATGCTCTCTCCAGAGCTCCACAGCCCTCACCTGCCAGCCTCACCCATGTGGGGTGCCTGCCTGGAGCCCCTCCATCAGGAGCAATGTGTCATGTCCACACCTGACAATGTTGAGCATGAAAGTCTTTGTAACTAATCACGTTGAGACAAAAGAGAAAAACCGGGACAGTTCCAGACAAATTGGAATATATTATCGCCCTATAGACACCTGAGTATGTGAGGGCTATTTCAGAACCTAGGGATGCTGTGTGTTGATGTTCTGTCTCAGTGTGAAACATACAGCTTACCGCTCTTAATCATTCCAAGTCCCTTGTTCCTTCCCTGGGTCCACAGAGGCAGTTGCCTTCTCTGAAGCTGGTCAGTGCTCCTAAGAGTAACAGATATCAGAAACACTGCTAGGCATATCTGGGAATAGGAATTGGGAATCTGTTTATAAGAAAAGTGTTGATTGGGGTAAATGTTAGAACTGCAACTTCTTTATCAGCAGATAACTTTTTAAGAATTTATTTTTAATTGACAAATAATTGTATATACTTATGGGGTACAATGCATTTCAATGCAGATACACTTTTTTAATAATCAAATCAGGATAATTAACATATTTGGCATCTCAAACATTTATCATTTCTTTGTGGTGAGAACATTTAGAATCCTTTCTTTTAGCTATTTTAAAATATACAGTATGTTATTAATCACTATATTCCCTCTAATGTGCAAAAAGATCTTCAAAACTTATTTCTCCCAATTGTAACTTTGTACTCACAAACCAACAGCTCTTCTTTCCCCAGTCACCCTCCCCCACACCTCACTCAGACTCTAGTAACCACCATTCTATTCTCTACTTGTATAAGGTCAACTCTTCCAGATATCAAGTATGACTGAGATCATACATTATTTGTCTCTTTGTCCCTGTCTCTCTGTGACACTATTTCACTTAACATAGTCTCCTCTTGGTTCATCCATGTTGTTGCAAATGAAAGAATTTCCTGTTTTTGTTTTTAATGGCTGAATACTCTCTATCTATCTATCTGTCTATCTATCTCTCTCTCTCTATGTATCTATCTATACACAGACACACACACACACACACACACACACACACACACACACAATATTTTAAAATCTAATCATCCATTGTTGGATACTTAGGTTGTTTCCATGTCTTGGATATTGTAAATAGGACTGAAATGAACATGGGAGAGTAGATATCTTTTCAACATACTGATATCAATTCATTTGGGTATACAACTAGTAGTGGCATTGCTGGATTACGTAATAATTCTTTTTTTTTGAGACTGAGTTTTGCTCTTGTTGCCCAGGCTGGAGTGCAATGGCACCATCTCAGCTCACCGCAACATCTGCCTCCTGGGTTCAAGCGATTCTCCTGTCTCAGCCTCTGGAGTAGCTGGGATTATTTTTAGTTTTATTGAGGAATCTTCATACTGTTTTACAAAATGGCTGTAACTAATTTACACTAATAATAACAGTGTATACGGGTTTCCTTTTAGCCACATCTTTACTTGTTATCTTTCATCATTTTGATAATAGCCATTCTAACAGTGGTAAAATGATATCTCATTATGATTTTTATTTTCATTTCTCTGATGCTTAGAAATGTTGATCACTTTTTCATATATCTGTTGGCCATTTGTATGTCTTTTGAGAACTGTCTCTTCAAGTTCTCTGCCTATTTTTTAATAGAGTTATTTGTTTCCTTGTTATAGAGTAGTTTTGGTTCTTTGTATATTTTGGATAATAGCCCCTTATCTGATGTATGCAATTTGTATTTTATGAGGTATGTATGTATGTATGTATTTTCTCTCATTCTGTAGGTTGTCTCTTCACTCTACTGATTTTTTTTTTTTTTTTGCTGTGCATACTTTTTTTTTTTCAGTTTGATGTAATTCTCTTTGTTTATTTTCACTTTTGTTGCCTATGATTTTAAGGTCTTATCCACAAAGTTGTTGCCCATATTCACAGGTTTTATTCTAGAAGTTTATAGTTTTGGCTCTTAAATTTAAGTCTTTAATCCATTCTAAGTTAACTTTTGTATATGGTGTGAGACAAGGGTCTAATTTCATTCTTCTGCATATGATGTCCAGTTTTCTCACAACCATTTATTTATATTTTTAATTATACTTTAAGTTTTAGGGTACATGTGCACAATGTGCAGGTTTGTTACATATGTATATATGTGCCATGTTGGTGTGCTCCACCCATTAACTCCTCATTTACATTAGGTATATCTCCTAATGCTATCCCTCCCCCCTCCCCCACCCCACAATAGGCCCCGGTGTGTGATGTTCCCCTTCCTGTGTCCAAGTATTCTCATTGTTCAATTCCCAGTTATGAATAAGAACATGTGGTGTTTGGTTTTCTGTCCTTGCGATAGTTTGCTGAGAATGATGGTTTCCAGCTTCATCCATGTCCCTACAGAGGACATGAACTCATCCTTTTTTATGGCTTCATGGTATTCCATGGTGTATATGAGCCACATTTTCTTAATCCAGTCTATCATTGATGGACATTTGGGTTGGTTCCAAGTCTTTGCTATTGTGAATAGTGCCACAATAAACATACGTGTACATGTGTCTTTATAGCAGCATGATTTATAATCCTTTGGGTATATACCCACTAATGGGATGGCTGGGTCAAATGGTATTTCTAGTTCAAGATCCTTGAAGAATTGCTACACTGACTTCCACAATGGTTGAACTAGTTTACAGTCCCACCAACAGTGTCAAAGTGTTCCTATTTCTCCACATCCTCTCCAGCACCTGTTGTTTCCTGACTTTTTAATGATCACCATTCTAACTGGCTCACAACCATTTATTAAAGAGACTGTCCTTTCTTCATTGTGTATTCTTGGCACCTTTGTCAAAAATGATTTGGATGTAGATGCATGAGTTTATTTATGGGCTTTCTATTGATCCTTTAGTCTACGTGTCTGTTTTTATGCCAGCATCATACTGTTTTGGTTACTATAGCTTTGTAGTATATTTTGAAGTCAGGAAGTGTGATGCCTTCAGCTTTATTCTTTTGATCAAGATAATAAACTCAATAAAGTTTCAGGATACCAAATCAGCATACAAAACTTAGAAATGTTTTTACACATCAAGAGGAAACTCTCTGAAAAAGAAATTTTAAAAGTCTTATTTACAATAGCTACAAAAAAATTAGGAATAAACTTTACCAAGGAGATAAAAGGTCTCTACAACAAAAACCATAAAACATTGATGAAAGAAATTAAAGAAGACATAAATCAGTGAAAAGGTTTTCTGTGTTCATGGATTGAAAGAATTAAATCATTAAAATGTCCATACTACCCAAAAACAATCTACAGATTTAATACCATCCCTATCAAAATACCAATGACATTCTTCATGGAAATATATGTTCAAAAATCCTAAAATTTGTATGGTACCACAAAAGACCTGGAATAGCCAAAGCTATATTGAGCAAAAAGAACAAAGCTGGAGGCATCACACTAGTTGACTTCAAAATACAATACAAAGCAAATAATTCCTAAATGCCACTACGTGGTAGACATTTTAAAAGCTATAACGGAACATAAACACATTCCTTGCTTTAAACAGCTTAGAATCGAGCTGAGAAGATAAGCTCTAAGGGGAGAGGGAGAGACGAGTTCAAAGGAACTGAGAAGTTCAAAGGAGCATAATTGTCCATGGCTCCTGCTTTCCAAGAAGGGCTTTATAGTGAGCGCAGGACTTGGGCAAAATCACAGACAACAAGTAGAGGTTAAGCCAATGTGGAAAAGCGTAAAGACATCTTATGGAGAGAGAAAAACAAAAAGATTGGTTGGTGTGGAGAGAACTCAGTTAGCCTGGGCAACTCTCTCTTCGTTTTTCTCAAACAGAGCAGCACTTGCCAAGTTATTCCTTTGTTTGCAGTTTCTTTGTTTGCCAGAGAGAGGGATGCATGTGTGGGGGCGGGGTGAGTGTGGAGGGGACAGTGATACAGAGAGAGAGAGAGGGAGCTAGAGAGAGAAAAGAGAGAATACACTATTACTATCCTTTTTCTGGTGATGGTTTTCTGATTCTTGGCAAATAGTTCGTTTTCCAAAGGATGAACAAATGTTGGATTATTTTTCCAGTTCAAGAACCCAGCTGGAGGTCAAGGTGCACACTTAACTACTCATTAGGCTGAGGAGCTGGTTGGGCGGCTAAGGATTATTCTCTAGACAAAGGGTTTTTAGCCTTATCTCACCCAAAGATGTTCTTTTATAATATTTTGTGATGTCCCTGAGATTATCCTGAAATAAAATCTATAAGCCATTTTCCATATATATAATTTCATAAATCAATATAATACTCTAAGTATAATATTATAAAGAAATAAAGGATATGTATTTTATAATAAAAATCGTATATATACATATGTTCAATTTTTATATTTCAATAGATATCTGCTAGGTCACAATCACGATAGAAAACAGAATCTGACAGATGCTTGTGCCTATGCATGGATCCATGGGAATGCTGACAGTGGGTTGCTTTGGTGTTAACATGAGTGCTGTGGTGTTCTTAAATGGTGAACAACACTTACTAATATTCTAAGTAAAACAAAGTCCGATTTTCCTTTCACCTCATCAATTCCATTTCTGAAATATTCATTGTGTGTTAGGAACATGCAAATAATACTCTGTGTCTATATATCAAGGAGAGTGAGCATCCAAGCCCAGTTAATTGCAAGCAGACTATTACTTATTTGAGACTCTCCTGTTCACTGTTGCCCACCTAGCAACCCTGGTGCATACCTCCATACATGTCAGTAGTGTCATTCCATCATTATGATTCTAAGTCATCCCTCTACATATCTAAATGGTTCTCTGGTGGCAATAGTACCTCCATTAAGAACCACTGCCTTGTTTCAATCAAAATCCACTATTAGAGCAGTTTTTTTTAGATGAGAGGAAGATAGAAGACATGACTTAACAAACCCTTAATTCTACGTTAATTGCATATCAATAAGTACTAAATGTTGTTGGAAATGTAATAGGCACTCTGCTGTGAAGGACTTTCCCCCATATTGATCAGTAGATGTTCCCAACTCTAGAAACACATTCCAGCATCTAAATGAAGACTATCTGTATTTTCTATTAGTGAAAGAGGCTAGAAATAAGAAAGGCAGGGCATGGGAAAGAGGATGTAGTGTTTCTAACCCAGGTAGAAAAGGAATTAAACAGTAAAGACATTTATAGTTTTAACCATTGCTAGGGTAAAAAGAGAATTCTGACCCCTTGGTTTTGAGGATCCCACATATAACACTGAGCAATAGCTCAGGAAGACAGTGGGAGGGGTAAGTAGGAGAGGTGCTGACGTCTCTCTCTCAACTGCTCTCAATACCACAGTGTGACGGGCAAGCCTTAAGGCAATATAAGCCACTGAGGACCTGAAGTGGAAATGCCCCTCCCTGCATCTGCACATACTCCAAAGGCTGAACTCCAGTGACCTTGAAGCTCCCCAGTGTAACCTGATCTCAGTTAGATGAAGTGATGCAGGAGCACGCAGAGTGACTGGCTCTGAACTGGAGAAATCTAGGGAAGTAATTGGCTTGGGCTGACTATGGCACAACCTTAACCCGAATCATTTCAGAGCAAGAGATCCTGGTTCTCTTATCAAAGTAAAAAAAGCTTGAAAATATGCTCAGTTATCCAAGGCATATAAGTGGGCAGCTTCATACACTACTCATAACAGTGTAAATTGGTACCTTAGTCTGGAAAGAGAATTTGGCAATAAAGAAAATGTCCAAATAGATAGATACATTTAAAAAAAGTTGTATCTTTTAACCTAGTGATTCTCCTTGAAAAATCTAAACTAGATAATACAAACAAAGCAAAATGATTTGTGCATAATGATGCCCATTTTGGAAATGTGTAAATAGTAAAGATTTGGCAACTCTTTGAACCAAAGATTCTCTAGCCAGTTATTTAGTGTAAATATCTGAAGAACATAGGTACAAAAATGGTCTATATATGTATACATATGTATAATAAAAATTTCTCACACTTGTATATATTTTGGATCTACAATGATTATTTATTTGCCTTCTATTGTTTGATGCCAGCTTTTGTGTTTTTATAGTAATTAGATGGCTATGATTATTTATACACAATATATAAATATAATAAGACTCTTCAGGTAGTAGCTAATCACAATATTCTTAAACTAATATTATTAGTACTATAAACATTTTTTTCTTTTAAGAAATAGATGTTCACACAACTTAAAGAATTAGAAAATACACAGAAACAAATTAATAAAAAAGAAAATTAGAATCCCTGCTCAGATTTAAATGTTTGTCTTTTCTAAAACATTTGTTGAAATTTAATTGCCATGGTAACAGTACTAAGAGGTGGGACCTTTAAGAGGTGATAAGTCCTGTTATAAAAGGTCAAGTTCAGCCTCTCTCTTGCCCTCTCTTGACTTTCTGCCTTCTGCCATGAGATGATGCAACAAGGAGGCCCTTGCCAGAGACTGGCCTTTTGATCTTGAACTTCCCAGTCACCAGAACTGGGAGACAATAAATATCTGTTTATTCTAAATCACCCAGTCTCAGGTATATTTCCTTATAGTAGCAAAAACAAACTAAGAAAATTCCCTGAATTGCAATAGACAGAAATAACTTCTTAATATTTTGGCATCTGTTCTTCAAAAATTCCCCTCACCCACATTTATGCCCTTTTCAAATAACAGAAGACACATTTTCTCTACTATTTCTCAGATTATGTAGCTTTTCCTTCTCTATAAAAGTCAAGGAAATAATGAAGCTTGAATGAAGGTGTGTATTTAGTTTTATTTATCTGTCAATCAATGCTAAATCTAGATCCATAATTTAATTCCTCAGGTTGTTAGATTTACCACATTTTCATCACATTTGACTGTATGTTAAAACAAATATAGAACATTGCAAAGGACCAAATATAACATACTCATGTTTTCACCACTTGAAATGCACAAATATTGACCTTTTTGAAAATGCTTCAGAATAAGAATTATTATTTTAAAGTTCACATCCCTTATGTAGCTTTTCCCAGTCTTAGCTCTCTCTCCTTTCTTCCCTCCCTCCACAGAAACAGCCACTATCATTAAGTTTATTATGTAAACTTTCAATGTACTAGCACAGAAGCTTCTGGAGGGCAGAGATTTTGACCACTGCTTTATCTTTGGTAACCTTAGTAGAATAGGTTCTCACATATTTGCTGAACAAATAAAAATTTATCCGTAACCCATATATAACACATAGTTACATATAATATATGACATATACTATGTATTATTATATATAAAATATATGATATATATGTCATGGTATTTTTGTGCACCTTACAACTGTATACAAGTGGTATCATACTGTAGCTATGGATCAACTTCTATAAGTAGCTTTTTATTTAATATTAAGAACTAGATTCTATATTTACTGAATATATTCACATATGTATATCTCATACATCCATTTTATTTTTCCTACCAATTTTATTTAGCACTAACGTATGCAAATGATCTCTATTTAAAGTGTACAATTGAATACGTTGTACACATTCATAAATCCACCAGCAAAATCAAATTATAAAACATTCCATCACATCCAAAACATTCCTCATTCCTTTCCCTTTTGCCCCTCACTCAAGGCAACTACTGAATTGCTGTTGGTCACTATATATTAGTTTGAATTCTATATATATTATATCATATTATATGCATTTCCTTGTGTCTACCTTCCTCCCTTAATCAAACTGATTATGAGATTCATTGATATTGTATGTTTCAGTATGTTTTCCCTTTTTATTGAGGAGTGGTATTCCAATGCATGGATGACCGCATTTTGTGTATCCACTCACCTGTTAATGGACACTGGGCTGTTTGCAGTTTTTGACCACCTTGAACTTAGCTGTTATGAACATTCATGCACATGTCATTGTGTTGACATGTTTTCATTTTCTCTTGAGAAAATGCCAAGGATCATATGGTAGATATACCTTTAATTTTTAAAAAATTTCCCAAGTTATTTTCTCTGTATCATTGTCTCTTCTCCTACTGTGACTCTGTTTACCTGCATATTAAGCTTTCTGAATTTGTTTCACGATTCTCTGAAACCCTTTATTATTTTTCTTTTTTTCTTCTGTATTCAAGTTGCATGCTTTTCATTAATCTATTTCAAGTTGATTAATAGATTAATCATTTTTCTATAGGACCATTTAGTAAATATTATTAAAATATATTAAAAAGTTGTATTTTATATGTAATAAAGTTAATACGATTAACACTGGATCTATTTTAGGACTTTTTCATATGTTCTATTTCTTTGCTGAAATTTTACTGTATTTTTGTTCATTTTAAGTTTATTTGTCTTTACCTTACTGACCATCATTATAGGTATTGCATTAAAGACTTTGTCTGATAGTTTCAGAATCTGGATCATCTTGGTGTTGGCATCTATTACTTATCTTTTTCCTTGAGAATAGTTCACATTTTCTTGGCTTTTTAAAAATCTTATTTTGGGATATTATCCAGGACCTTGAAAATGTGTTGTGTTAACTCAATTCAATTACATTGTTCTACCCAAAGTATTGGTGTCTCTTTTTAGGAGAGAATAAATTTGGATAGACACACATTTTCAGATATCATGCCTCAGCTCAGTTAAGGATTTTTTCTCTCATTTTTCTTTTAACTTTTATTTTAGGATCAGGGGTACATGTGCAGGTTTTTTATATAGGTAAACTTGTATCACGGTGGTTTGGTGTACGATAATTTCATCACCTGGGTTCTACGCATAGTACCCAATAGATATTTTTTTCTGATCCTCTCTCTCCTGTCCTCCACCCTCAAGTAGGCCCTAGCATCTGTTGTTTCCCTCATAGTGTCTATGTGTTTTCATTATTCAGCTCTCACGTATAAGTGAAAACATGAGGTATTTGGTTTTTTGTTCCTGTGTTAGTTTGCTTAAGATAATGTTCACCATCTCCATCCATGTTGCTGCAAAGGACATGATCTTGTTCTTTTTAATGACTGCATACTATTCCATGGTGTATATGTATTGCATTTTCTTTATCCAGTCTACTATTGATGGGCATGGTTGAGTCCATCAACCTGGAAACAGGTGGATTCCATGTTTTTGCTATTGTGAATAGTGCTGCAATGAACATACATGTGCATGTGTTTTTATGATGGGACAATTTATATTCCTTGGGGTATATACCCAATAATAGGATTGCTAGGTTGAATGGTAATTCTATCTTTGTTCTTTGAGGAATCACCACACAGCTTTCCACAATGGCTGAATTTACACTTCCACCAACAGTGTATAAACCTTGGTTCCTAGTATGTTCAGTTTGTCCGGTGCCTGCTTGGTTCAGGGATCAGCCAGAAGTAGGATGAGTTTATGCATGGTCAGGGGTTCCTCTTCTGTTGCTCTTTCATTGCTGGGGTCCTTCTTGCTCTCTGGCAGCTCCTTTCATGCTTGCTTCATCCAGAAATTTAGCTGCCCACACCACGGCAGTTGCCACCATGACTGACTGCTTTCAGGACACAGCCTCCAAAACACAGGGGCCTCATTTTATGCTCATCATCTTCTTCAAGTTTTGACTCCTCTTAAGTCTCCTCGCTTTCGATAAATCTCCAGAGTCCTCCAGTAGTTGTCTTTGTATTTTATCTTGAGCTGATGGCTGTCATTTATGGATCAGTTCGTTAGGCACATACTCATCCATGTGCTTACTTTTTCATTTTAACTGTTGTACAGTATTCCTATGGACTGTCCATATTCTTATTTATTTGTTCATCTACTGAGAGACCTTTAGTTTTCTTTTTCTAAAATTTTTAACTATACAAAAAATGTACAGTAAATTTCAGTTACACCTATGTCTTTCTGTATTTGTATTGGTGAGTATGCACCAAGAAATAGAAATTTTGGGTCATAAGGTATACACATCTTCAACTTTACTAGATATTCCTAAATTATTCTTTAACATGTTTGAAGCAATTGTACTTCCATCAGCAGTTTTGCAACTTCCCCCGTCTCCACATTCTAATTTGATATTCTCAGTTATTTAAGTTTTTTTAGTGTTCTAATGTGGGGAATATTATCTGGTTACTGTTTTTATTTTCAATTCCCTAATTACTAGAGAGGTCAAGCAAATTTTCATGTTTATTGACTCTTTTCCACCTCTCCTGTGAGTTGTGTATTCATAGTTTGTTTTCTTCCATTCTTCTATTAAACGGTTTTTTTCTTATTGATTTGTAGAAACGCTTCATATATTTCCTGATTTCTAATCACCTGCATTGCAAATACCTTCTTTCATTTTTTTGCTTACTTTTTAACTTTATTCATGCTATAGTTTCTAATAATGAAATTTTATATTTTGATGGAGTCAAGTTTATCACATTTTACTGTATGGTTTCTAGTTTTGATAATTTCTTTAAGAAATCTCTTTCTCTTTTTTTACACGATTCATTCAAAAATAGTTTTTGAACATCTGTTATGCTACAGGCATTCTTCCAGGCACTTAAGATTATAGTGGTTAAAACGTAATGGGAAAGATAGGCAAGATGCAGATAACCATACTCATTGCAAATTTAGGCAAGATACAGATAACCATACTCATTGCAAACTTAATCTCAGGTATTGATAACTACTATAGAGAAAAAATAAAACAGAAAGGACAACATAGCAACAAAATTAAGGGCACAGCATTTGCAGCTGGATCGCCTGGGTTTGCATCCTGGCTCTGCCACTTAATAGCTGAGGGCAGTTACTCATTATCTGCTCTGTGCCTCAGTTTCCTCACTTATAAAGTAGAAATCTTAATAATGTCAATGATATTGTTTGGCTGTGTTCCTACCCAAATCTCATCTTGAATTGTAGCTCCTATAATTCCCATTTATTGTGGGAAGGATTTGGTGGGAGGTAATTGAACCACGGAGGCAGGTCTTTCCCAAGCTGTTCTTGTGATAGTGAATAAGTCTCAGGAGATCTGATGGTTTTATAAAGGGGAGTTCCCCTGCACATGCTCTTTCTTGCCAGCCACCATGTAAGATGTGCCTTGCTCCTCCTTGCCTTCCATCATGATTATGATACCTCCTCAGCTACATGGAATTGTGAGTCAATTAAACCTCTTTTTCTTTATAAATTACCCAGTTTTGGATATGTCTTTATTAGCAGCATAAGAACAGACTAACACACTTGACTAGATATGAAATGTTTTCAATAATTTGGAAGAATTAAATGACTATATGTATATGTATATATATATATATACACACACACACACACACACACACACACAAAGTATATATAGTATATAAACTGCCTAGCACATAGTAAGCACTGCATAAGCATTTAAATATAATTTATAGAATACAATGAGATGAAATCAGATGACAGGGGTGCATAGCCACAGATAAATTCTTCATGAAAACTTGACCAAGGAGTTGGGCATTTCAGCAGATACCTAAGTGAAGTGAGCTAGGGAAATCCAGTATGCTCAAGCTGTAAAAATTTTGTATATTATTCTGCAGTTTCTTTTAATAACTTAAATTCTTCTTTTTCATTGTTTGTTTTTTAATCCATCTGGAGTTTAATTTCATGCATGGTGTGAAGTCGGTATATAATTATATTTCCTTCCATATGGAAAGCCAGTTGTCCTAACAACATTTATTGACTAGTCCATTTCATTTTCCCAATTTAGTAATTTCTTCCCTATTATATATAATAGCATTTACTACTTATTTGGGGACCATCTATTTTGTCCCACTTACATATTTGACTATCGCTGTGCCAGTACTGTGTAGTTTTAATTACTAAAGCATAGTAAGCATTGGTATCTTATAGGACAAGTTTTCCCCATCTTCTTCTAAATAGTCTTGTGTGTTCTTGTTCATGTCTATCTTCATGTAAATTTTAGAATCTCTTTGTTAATCTGATGAAGAATCATATTCATTATGTTTTTTTTGAGTTGCATTGTTTTTGGTGGGGAATTGACAACTTATTGAATTTTTCCTTCCATGAAAATGGAATACACAAACATTTACTGAGGTCTCATTTTACGGCAACTTTTAAAATTCTCTGCCTAAAATACTTGTATAATTTTGATAACTAACTTCTAGATATTTTACATTTTCATGGCTATTATGAATTTCTCTTTTGACAGTTCTGTTTTTCAGTCAGTTATTGCTAGTGTATAAGAGAGCTATTAAATTTTTATCTTTATCTATATTATGTAAATGCGCTGAACTTTCTAACCCGTTTTAATGGTTTATCTGTAGAATCTCTAGGTTTTTCTGTAAAAAATGTAAGACATCTGTAAATTATAACACTTCTTCCTTTTAAAATCATATGCTTATTTATTTTCTTAAAAAAGTGATTAGAGTCTGTTTTATAATGCTGAATAAATGGGAAATAGAGGACATCTTTATAACATTCCAGATTGAATGGGAAATCTTTGAAAATTACATCATTAATAATTTATTATGCTTGTTCTAGGCTTAGCTGGTGCTCTTCATTGGGTTAAGAACATTCCTTTTTATTCTTAGTTTGTCAGGAATTTTATCAAATGACTTTTCTGCATGTATAGATTTTTTACTGTTACTGTTTTTAAATTAAATTTACTGGTTTTTTGATGTGGAATAACTGTAGCACTCCTTAATCAAGTGACTTGATTATGATGTTTTAAAATATATTGCTAGATTAATTACACATATTATATTGAGAGTTTTTGCATGTTCATAATTTCAGTTACACACTTGTTCACTGTCTGATCTATTCCTTCTGCTTTGTTGTGTATTACAAAAAACTCTTTTTTGTTTGTTTGTTTGTTTGTTTTTCTTTTTTGAGACAGGGTCTGGCTCTGTCACCCAGGCTGAAATGCAGTGGCACGATCATAGCTCACTGCAACCTTCACCTCCTGGGCTCAAGTTGTCCTCCCACATCAGCCTCCCAACTAGCTAGGACTATAGGCACACGCCACCACACTTGGCTAATTTGTGTATTTTTCGTAGAGATGGGGTTTTGCCATGTTGCCCAGGCTGGCCTTGAACTCCTGATCTTAAGCAATCCATGTCCCTCAGCCTCCCAATGCACTGGGATTACAGGCGTGATCCACTACTCCCAGCCTACATTTTCTATTCTTTATGGACCACTGGCTTCTGAGTAGGTCTGGTCAAGAGAAGCACCACTGGTTGTGGAGTGAAGGGTGGGAAAAAGGAAACATGAGGGTATTATAACTTCTCCCTCCTGCCCCGACTGAGTGTCTGGGGGTGGCCACATCACCTCTCTAGCCCCATTTCCAAGACTTTCCTCACCTCATGCTTCTCAGATCCTACCAGACAACTCACCATCCTCCCTGCCCCGGCTGTGTGGTACCTAATCCTGGGGTCCAGTAAAACCACCTTTTGTCATTGTACTTTTTGCCCTAGGGCTGGTATTGGCTGTCTGCTATTGCTAATCTCTCCATTGCTTGGTGGCTCACGCCTGTAATACCTGTAAGACTATCCTGGCTAACACGGTGAAACCCCGTCTCTACTAAAAAAAAAAAAAAATTCAAAGATTACCCAGGCATGGTGGCATGCACCTGTAGTCCCAGCTACTCAGGAGGCTAAGATAGGAGAATCGCTTAAAAAATTCGGGAGGCAGAGGTTGAAATGAGCTGAAATCACGCCACTGCACTCCAGTCTGGGTGACAGAGCAAGACTATGTCTCAAAAAACAAAAACAACAAAAACACATTTTTTAATCATCTGTATTATAAATTGTTTGTATTGAATTCCCTGTGTTTGGAGCACCTAAAGTAGTTTCTGTCTTCCTAAGGGGATCTTGACTGATACAACCTCCAAAGGTATGTTTGTGGATTTTTAAAAAATAAATGTGTTTATAGATTTAAAAAAAAAAAAATTGAGACAGGGTCTTGCTCTGTTGCCCAGGCTGGAGAGCAGTGGCATGTTCATGGCTCATGTAGTCTCAACCTCCCAGCCTCAAGCAATCCTCCCACCTCAGCCTTTGGAGTAGCTGAGGCTACAGGCATGCCCCACCACACCTACCTAATTTTTGTATTTTTTGGAGAGACAGGGTTTCCCTATGTTGCTCAGGCTGGTCTTGAATTTCTGGGCTCAGGCGATCCTCCAGCCTCGGCCCCCTAAAGTGCTGGGATTACAGGCATGAGCTACTGCACTGGCCCAAAGTTATGTTAACATATTCTTCTTGTCCCATTTGGCTTTATGGTATAACCTCATAAAACAGAATTGGTAATTATCAGTTTTTCTTTTCTTAGACACACATTGTATAAGATAGAGATTGGTATTGAAAATCTTTTATGGTGGCAGAGAAACTAAGAAAATTACGTTTAAAGGTAAATAAAAGTTGTGTTATATTGTTTTCTCAGATTACATTTTAAAAGACAACTGAGGTTAAATTTACTCCCATGTGTCTGAAAATCCCGTAACCATTTTTCTTAGAGAGGAAGGTTTGTTTATCTGAACAAAATAATATAATTAGTACATTTTAAGTATATGAATTAAACTAATGGTATTATTTGATTTCAATCCTTGTTCTAGACTATCGCTAAAAGCAGGAGGAAGACTTTACAGATACCTCAGAGGTAGACTTTGACACAAAAGATGCTCATGTACCTGCAAAGTGTTATAAATTTGCTGTTGTTGTTATGCAAGGATACTTTTAATTGAGTCAGTGGAAGATGACTTTACATAACTCCACCCTGCATTCCTACTCCCCCGTTTCTCACACTTAAATAAAGGAAGTAATTGAGACATTTTAAGCTTTGTTATTCTAAGCATGATACACATGAGAAACAAAACCTGTCTGATGGAATTTTTAGATATTGATAGTTAAATGTGTAAATGGGAAAATTGTATTCTTACGATGAGAACTCAATTTTATCCCAACTCTGGTATCTACACCTCCAAAAATTCCTATTGACGCTGTAAGTTTTTTAAATCATTACGGAGGTTAATAATTTTTTTTCTTTTTTTCTTTTTTTTAAGACGGAGTCTCTCTCTGTTGCCCAGGCTGGAGTGCAGTCGCGAGATCTCAGTTCACTGCAAGCTCTGCCTCCCGGGTTCACGCCATTCTCCTGCCTTAGCCTCGCGAGTAGCTGGGACTACAGGCGCCCACCACTACGCCCGGCTAATTTTTTTGTATTTTTAGTAGAGATAGGGTTTCACCATGTTAGCCAGGATGGTCTTGATCTCCTGACCTCGTGATCCACCCTCCTCGGCCTCCCAAAGTGCTGGGATTACAGGCGTGAGCCACCGCGCCCGGCCAAGAATAATTTTTTTTCTTTAACATTTATTAAATAGTCGTATTTTGGTCCTTTTACATACAGTCTCATTTAATAGTCACAAAATCCTCTGTTATATGAATTATTATAACCATTTGACAGATGAGAAAACTGAGTTTCGCAGTGATTATTACCCCAAATTCATAGTGTCTAGTTTATATTTTAAAACCAACGTACCTGAATTTAACTTTTCTTTTCTTTTTTTTTTTTTTTTTTTAAGACGGAGTCTCGGTTTGTCACCCAGTTTGGAGTACAGTGGCCCAGTCTTGGCTCACTGCAACCTCCACCTCCCAGGTTCAAGTGATTCTCCTGCCTTGGCCTCCTGAGTAGCTGAGATTACAGGTGCCCACCACCAAGCCTGGCTAATTTTTGTATTTTTAGTAGAGACGGGGTTTTACCATGTTGGCCAGGCTGCTCTCCAACTCCTGGCCTCAAGTGATCCTCCTGCCTCCCAACATGGCTGACTTTAAATATCATGCTGCAACAATAGGTGCCACACTACCTATTGACTATTTTATTTCTGTACTAAGTCAGAGTCCTGTCTTCTAGGAGTCTCTCCTAAGGTAAAGGAGCATATCAGAATCACTTTAGGGAACTGTTCACAGTATGCACATACCCAGGGGTAGTGTTAAAATAGCTAATCACCTCTTTGTCTCAGTAGATCCACACTTGTGCACAACTACTGAATATCAATCTTGCATATCTTTAATCTCATCGCTTCCTCCCATAAGATATGCATGAAGGGTCTGGCTTATTTAATAGTTCATGTGGTTTTTCCGGTCACTGCACATTTGTGAGTTTTCTTACATATACTGGGAGGAAGGTAAAAAGAAAAGTAAGGGGGAATACACAGCTCTCTGACCATCAAACATTGGTCATCCTTGATGTATCATAGGGGTGTGTTTGTTAATATCACCTACCGTGTACATTTCCATATTCCATATACGTGGAAGCCACCCTTTCCTTCTCTTTTCTGGAGTACTCATTTCTACCTTTCTTGTAAAATGTCCAACGCCAAGAGAAGCAACCTAAGCTTGTCATTGTACACTAAGATTACAATTTTAGCTTAAGATAGTTTTGTCCACAATGATTTGGGAGAATTTAACATGCCCTGCTTTGTTAAAAGCACTTTAACAAAGCTCACTTCTGTCCCTAGGTCTGGACACCCAGGTCTACTATTCAACTGAACATGAATATCAACCCCACAGGTATGCTTATGCCAGGATAGGATGCCAATTCCTCAATCTACAGCAGGGCTGCTCCCTAGGAAACCAGTCTCACAAGCCTAAGGCACTGGGTCTCTGGCAGGATCCAGAAAAGTTTTACAATAGGAGGAGTTATCATTGTACAACTGGTGCCTGGAAGACCACCCTCAGAGATTTTATAGTGGAAACCTATTATGAAACCAAATGAATATCTAAATTGCATAGTGAATGTGAAGTCATAAATAAGGGCTCAGAATTACTGGCTATTTTTTCCCCAGAGCTTTTTGGAAAACCTTTCTCGCTTTCTTGGTACCCTGTTTATACAGTCTTCTCCTTCATTGCTTTGCCCAACTAATAAATAACAGTGATCTTTTCTTCCACTCAACTTTTCAAGTTTCCATATTCCTTTTTGTAGATTTTCTAATTTCCATTATCTTCATGATTTCCAGGTAATATCATTTCTCCCCTCTTCCACGTTCTATATTAACATTTCTATTTTGTTTTCTGAAATTAAATAGAACTATAACTTTATACATTCTGGGTCATGCTTGTAAGTGTGCATTGTTAATTTTGGGGGCCAATCCACTATTTATGTTGGCTAAAGACTGCTTTTATTTTTAATTTAATTATATCAGGGGTGGAATGTTAATATAGGTTGGTTCTTTACCAAGATTGCTGGCCTGGGAATCAAGAATCTTTTTTTTTTTTTTTTTTTTTTTTATTATACTTTAAGTTCTAGGGTAGACGTGCACAATGTGCAGGTTTGTTACATATGTATACATGTGCCATGTTGGTGTGCTGCACCCATTAACTCGTCATTTACATTGGGTATATCTCCTAATGCTATCCCTCCCCTCTCCCCCACCACACAACAGGCCCCAGTATGTTATGTTCCTCTTCCTGTGTCCAAGTGTTCTCATTGTTCAGTTCCCATCTATGAGTAAGTTTACTGAACCTTTCTGAGTCTCAACTTCTCATCATTAAAATAGGAAATTAAGACTAAATATTCAGTGTCATGTATTTCTTTTCTTTATATCAAGGTCTGCTTCAGTGCTTGGTATATAAGCATCAAACAAATTACAGTTAAATTAAATTGCATTATTTGCTTTCTTTCTCAGTTATATCTACTTAAGCAAGAAAAATTCCATATTGTTGCTGTTATCTTAACTAGTAATATTAATAGGGCTCCCTTAAAATCCAAGAAACATGACAGAATCAAATTGTGAATAATATCACTCCAAAATGAATTTTGAATGTCAAAGGAATTTCCATTTTAATATAATGACATAAAAGCTGGTTTATAAGCTACAAGGAAAAAAAAATCAGCCTCATTACTTCAATGTTACACCATTTTTGGACCAATACTTGAATTACTTGGTATGATTACCTACCTTCTTTACTGAACTTGGCTCTAAATGACTTTTGATTGCTCCCCAAAATTGAATTCATCTTCAAAGGATAGATATTTCTTAATACCGAAGGGATTCAAAAGTTTATGCCATTGGCTCTAATCTGAAGGCAACTTAAAGAGGATCCAGCAGTCTCTTTGTTATGAATTAATAAGCCAGAAATATAAAGGAAAAAAAAGATCAGAATACCTGGATTCTAGCCCTAGCTTTGGAAATAATTAGCTGAGTTCAGGCAAGTCACTTCACTATGAATCTTAGCTTCTCTATTTGTATAATGAGGGATTCGGGCTAAATGATTCCTTCCAGCTTCACTATTTTGATTTGAATGTAGTAGAAGAAGATGGGAAATGCATTGTTTATACATGGAATCATAAGATTGTGAAGGATCTTGATCACTATTTAGGTAATTGTTACCGTTGAGTTGTTTAGATATTTACTTAAATGGGATCTTTCAAATGGGAAAATGTAAACAGGGGTTGAAGGATAATTGCTATTTTTTGATAGAACAAAATACTATTTTGAAAAGCCTATGCAATACTATGTTGTAAAAGTTACATAAAATCTAATTTAAGCTAGCCAAGACAACAAAGAAATGTACTGGTCCATGTAACCAAAATGTCCAGTGGAAGATATGCATTCAAGCTATGCTGGATTCATGACTCAGGTGATATTGCCTGGGTCCCAATTTTCCCCTCTACGTCCTGCTGTCCTTTGACTGGTCCTTTCCTTAGGCTCTACAGGGTGGCTGCCTGCCAGCTCCAGCTCTCTTCTCATGAAAACAAAACGCTCCACACCTTGAAGTTTCATTTTATGCTACTTAAAGAAAGAGAAAGATCTCTTCTGGTAGCTTTTGTAAAAGTGGGCAGACACCTTCATTTCCAGAAACCTGCAAACGTCTTGTGTAATCATGTTAGTTCTCATTGGATGGCATGCTCCCCTCTGAGCCAATCACTGAGGTCAGTGGAATCAGACATGAATACTGACTGAAGCCAATTAGGAAATGTTCCCCAAGCTGAGGGGGAGAAGAGTTCCATCCATACTCTATGGCAGGAAATGGGTAGAATGAGATTCCTCCAAAGAGAAATTGTTACCTGAAGGAGGGGATATGGAAACTAGAGAACAAACAAGCAAATGCTTATAACACAATATTAAATAATAGTAACCAAGATCTGGGAAAGCATTTCTGAATGACTGGTTATAAAAACACCTTACATATTAATAACAACTTGGAGTTTACTTAGCATATTTGATGTTCAAAATAGCCATGTAGAAGAGGGAGGATAGGAGTTTCAATTCTCATTTTCCACAGAAAGAAACCAAGACTCGGAGGACAAAATTTTATGTTAGTGATAGAGCTGGGAGTGAACTTTCAGGCTTTTGAGCTACAGAATTCCGGTGCTCTTTAGATTTGCCTTTGTACAAATTCCAGCTCCACCTACCTCTTGGTAAATTCCTTGACTTCTTTAAGCCCTGGTTTCCTCATCAGTGAAAAGGGAAAATTATGATGCCAACCTAATGTGTTTGTTACATAAAATGAGTTGTTCATTTATTTAAAACACTCAGCACTGTGCTCAGGAGATAGGAAACATTTAGTAAACGTTAGTTATCATTATTATCACCATCAGCATTATCATCATCATTATTCCATGATAACTCTATGGAAAATCACTCACTGTAGAACCCACGTGGTATCCCATGAGATACCATTGCTCTGGGCCATCTGATTACCACAGTCTCGTCTCGGTTAAATGCAGGCCTGAATTTCCCACTATGAAACTTGCTTTATAAAGCAATTTATAATTTATAATGTGATTTACTTATAACTCCTTAGCATTGATTGTCACTAACTAGGGATTGAACCAATTGTATTTATTGTGGCATTTGAAGAGTGGACATTTGCCATGTGCCATGGTTGCCCAGAACCTTTTTGTCTGTCTTTTCAAGTTTGGAGACATTCTTGTGTTATGAAGACTATGTCCTGCATGTACTAATGAGAGTTTTACATCCCACACAGGGTCCAGGTGTGTAACGTGATGTCACCTTCGGCCATACAATGATCCAGGCAGGACCTCAGTTCAGAAGTGAGCACAGTGAGGTGTTGTGTGTGCAGGAATCATCTTCTGAAAGAAATTATCTGATTTTTAGGGAACAGAGGTGGCAGAGCTTTTGTTGTCTAATCCGACACAGTATCCACTCATGCCACGCAGGGGCCCTAAGGAGGTTGCAACAGTGCTTTCTCTGAAGAAGCTCCAAAATGTGATGAGGTTTTTCTAATCACGTTGTATTGGCTCTTGTAGCCAAAACTTCCAGCAAAGGTTCTCCTGCACAGCACAGAAACCTGGTTATCTGGCTTCAGGTAGACTTTGTGAACACCTAATAACCTTCAATAAATTCTTTTTCTGCTTAAACCAGGCGG